>NC_000005.10:108234807-108859807 GCF_000001405.40 Homo sapiens | reverse complement strand
TAGTGATACTTTATTTAAAAATTCAATATAAAACACCTTTAAAGAGCAAGTTCTCAAACTCTGTGTAATATAATTTCCTTGCATATAGTGATTGCTACATTCAATTGATCCACAGTCTTCTAACAACCTGTAAAGTGAATGATGTACCATGTCCAAATCTACATTCCATAATTTCCTAATACTGTGAATGAGGGAGTTCTGGGTAGCTGGGATATGGCAGCAGCATAATTCTGAATCTCCCACATATTACCCAAAAATATAATAAAGAACAAAATGAAAAACATAACTCATACCCTCAGCATAACAGGCACAGAAAGTCCAAATTTTAAATTGGCTATGAGTAGAAAAGTAAACACCAAATCTCTACAAATGATCTCTCCCCCTCCCAAAGCAAGCCTTTACGAAGACCAAATGCTGTTGGGTGGGTTGGTTGGAGGTGGGTGTTGGGGGGTGAGGCAGGGGTCGGGGTGAAGAGAAGAAACAGCAGAATGCTTAAGACTGATCTAAAAACAACCATCAGAAAAAGAAGGTCTGCTCTACTTGTGAAAATACTGAAAAACTGTAGTGGTAGATCACAGCAGTGACAGCAATGTAAGAGTTAAAGAAAAGAGGAAGTGAGATACTATGTCTCATCTACCAAATTGAGAAACACTCTGTTGGCGAGGATGTGGAGAAAAAACATTCATACATTTCTAGTAGAAATGCAAATTGGTATAATCCTTATAGAAGGAAATTTGGCAATATCTAACAAAATCACATGTAAGTATACCTTTTAACCCAGCCATCACACTTCTTGGAATTTATATCACACTTTTGGGAATTCATATCTCCAATCACACACACAAACACACACACATACAAAACACATACATAAGGTTATTTATAGTAGGAGTACATATAATTAGAAAAATCAGAAATAAGCTATATGTCCATATGTAGGAAAGGGCTTAAATAATCTTAAAATAAAGTGGCATGCAGCTGTTGAAACGAATGAAAAAACGAGCAAGAGACTGTGAGGACAGAAAAAAAAAAAAAAAAAAATGAAAAAACTGTCTACCAACTCAAATGTTGTCATTTTCAAGATGCATTATCAATGGAGAAGCAAAGGAAAAAGAATATTATATAATCGTAGTTTTGTGTAAGAAAGAAAGGAAAATAAAAATGATTGAGTTCCCTATATGGTTTTGAACAGTATTAACTTTTGGAATCACTAAAGTTTCACATAGAAATAAATAAACAAAATTAACAAGGATAAGAGGGAGGGGGGAAAATAAAATGAGATACAACAGAAACAAATGAACCAAACTGTATTTCCAGTGAATAACACTAACCACACTAAAAGGAGTAGGGAAGTAACTTTGTAAAAAACTAAGTAACTTTGGAAAACAGTATTTGATTACAATAGAAAGCTAAAGACAAAAAAAGCTTTAAACAAATACCAAACTGTAGTCTTTAAGTTTCATTTTTCAGAGGCATGAGTTAGCAATACTGAAATTACTTTCTGTGTATTCTAGCATTTGAGCAAGTAAGTAAAATATTGTGAACAACAGAAGCTAGGTTTCTCACTGCCAGAGAAAGCAGTTGCAAATATATAAATAGGAAGAGGAGGAATAAACTGTATGGTATTGGACTAGAATTTGAAGTATCAATGTGAACCCCTCAGTGTATCCCTAGACAGACCAATAGATAACAGAAGAAAGCACAGGTGTACATGAATGTGTACGTGTTGCTTATTTCCTGTGTCTGTCAATTAACAGGACCTAGAATAAGATACTCCACTAGCAATGAGCACACCAATGGCCAGATACTGTTTTCCAAATATAATTCTCCACTAAAAGGAACTAGGGTTTCATAGAGAAATGGAACCTGAAGTAGGAAAAGTATAAGATGAGCCAGAAAATACGTATTCAATGAATGATAGGAATGTGTCAAAAGGACAGAGGAGCCAGTTTGAAGTGGCTCCCACTGGCCAAATCCGAGCATGATAGTATATCATTATGATAGTATAAAATTATAATCCATGAATAAAAATCAGAATCTGTGAGTTCATTCTAATACATTAAATTAATACATAAATTTAAAAAATAAACAGGAGGGGAAAGCCCTTCCTTATATTAAAAACAAATTAATAAATGTAAAAGGAATAATTGAATTAGAAAATTACCATTTCACAATTGCCATAATAATAAATGATTTAGGCAGGAACCATTGATAGACATAAAAACTAGTGGGTGAAAATCTGAAGAGTAACACCGTATTTACATAGCGTCAACGTTTTCCCTACAATACTTATTAACAAAAAGAAAAATGAAAATGTAACTTAAGTGTGGAGAAATCAAGCGTATACCACCTTACTCCAATGATCAAATTAATATCCAATAATGGGATGAACTGACATCATGGACCTGATATAAAGCACCAACAACAGAACATCATTTCTATGGTATTCCTATGAAAAATAAATAAATATTATGCAGAAAAACAAATCAAGGAATACTCCATAAAATAACTGTTCTATACTGCTCAAAAATGTCAATGTTTTGTGAACCATAAAGACTATTAACTGTTCCAGTGTAAAGGCAACTAAAAAGATATGACAACTGAATAAATATACATTTACGTTTTTATATTTACACATACACACACATGCATATATATGTATGCACCACATACAGAGACAGAAAAGCATAAAGCAAATGTGGTAAAATGTGAACATTTGGGAAACATGAGTGAACGGTATATGGGAATTCTTTCTACTATTCTTTCAACATTTCTCTAGGACTGAAATGACGTTAAAATA
This sequence comes from Homo sapiens, assembly GCF_000001405.40. Taxonomy (NCBI): domain Eukaryota; kingdom Metazoa; phylum Chordata; class Mammalia; order Primates; family Hominidae; genus Homo; species Homo sapiens. The sequence goes on along the minus strand of NC_000005.10, from coordinate 108,857,007 downwards.
TAGTTAAAAGAAAGCTGTGAAAATTGGATCAAAATTTTAAAGTATCAGAATATTCATTGTATCTAAAGAACTGGTATTATTTAGCCTACAGATAAGAAACCTCAACAATTTGTTCTTTAAATATCAAAACACTGATTTCCTAGTTCAGAAAAGAAAATTTAGTTTTAATTTGTATGTCTCCTAGCAGGTATGTTTCCACTACACGTAATATTAACACACAAAGAAGTCACACTGAAAAAAAAAAGATTTAACTCTACTTTAGAAGACTAGTCGAGTGTGTGGAAGAACAACATTTACAGAAAATTTAGGGCATTCATCCTTTAAATGTTTATCTACAATCCATGGTGTCCTAGGTTATGTGAGGGATGCACAGTTATAGTCTCTTCCTAAAAGATACTGGATACGAAAATTAAAATGAAAGCTGACCAAATAGTCATCATGTTAGGATATGACTGTATCAAAAATGTAGAGATCATCATTAATTTAGCATAAACAAACACATACTAACCTCCAACTCCTAATATGTACTATGATACGAAAGGTATCTAATAAGTTGATGAACACACTTAACAAACTGGCTTAAAAGCTACATGTTATGCATAAAATATCTCTAGAAAAAGCAGATAATATCTGTTGCCTCTGGAGGAAAAAAATGAATAATGAGTGGGAAAAAAAACTTTTTCATTGTATACTTAATGGTTTGTACCTTATGATTTTGAAATCTGAACCATATTAGTGTGAAGAGGGAGTCTGTGAACCCCATTTTTAAAAATTACTCTGAAGAGAACTTCCATAAGCTTTCACCAGCATATCTAACCTTTTTATCTGAATTTATATCTCTCCATCTCTCCTAAGCTATTACTATGAATAAACTGTCCTTGTTCAAAGTGAAGACTAATCTATTTATTGGGGTACTAGATGTATCCTCTCTCACCTACTCAGGGACATTTCTCCAGCAATTCTTCCTTCATTCCTGCTGCCTCAACTGTTTTTCCTTCCCTAGAAGTGCACTTCCATCAGTAAACAAGCTGTAATAGCTCCCAATCTTGAAAAAAAAAAAAAATCCTCCCTTTACTACACTTCTTCCAGTTAATTCCGTATTTCATTCCTCCCCTTTACCGCAAAACTGATACTAGTTATCTCCAGTTTCTTTTTTCTCCTTCTTTCTTAAACCCAGCCCATTTAGGGTTTTCCCTGTACTACTCCACTGAAACTTCTCTTGTCAAAATCACCAATAACCTACACTTTGCTAACTCCAAATCTTAATCCTCACCTTATGTTTTAGCAGTATTCAACCTAGTTGATCACTTGCTCTTCCTTGAAACCTATCTTCCCACATCTGTCTTCCAGAATAGTACATTCACTTAGTTTTCCTTTTACATTGGTCTTTTGTATTCTTTTTTTTTTTTTTTTCGCTGGAGTGCAGTGGCGCGATCTTGGCTCACTGCAAGTTCCGCCTCCCGGGTTCACGCCATTCTCCTGCCTCAGCCTCCCGAGTAGCTGGGACTACAGGCGCCCACCACCGCGCCCGGCTAATTTTTTGTATTTTTTAGCAGAGACGGGATTTCACCGTGGTCTCGATCTCCTGACCTTGTCATCTGCCCGCCTCGGCCTCCCAAAGTGCTGGGATTACAGGCGTGAGCCACCGCGCCCGGCCGGTCTTTTGTATTCTTTTTAACTCTTTATTTCGCTGACTTCTTAATGTTGGGCTCAGTCTTTGTTAAGACTCTTCTCTTTTTTATCTTCATTTATATTACTGGTAATGTCATAAAATCTCATGGCTTTAAATGACAATTAACATTTCATATTTATAGTTCTACTCCAGACCTCTCCCTGGAACTGCTGAACTAGAGATTTAATTCAACAGTTCCACTTGAGTATCTAATAAGACTCTAAAAACCAGTCTTCCCACATTTTTCCCATTTCAGTTAATAATAATGCCATTCTTCCAGTTGCTCAGGCCAAAAATCTTGGAATCAGTCTTTTCTTCTTTCTCTCACAAACTACATCCAATTCAATGGCAAATCCTCTACGCTTTTTTTTTTTTTTTTTTTTTTTTTTGAGACAGGGTCTTGCTGCTCTGTCAGCCCAGCTGGAGTGCAGTGGGGGCAATCTTGGCTCACTGCAACCTCCGCCTCCTGGGTCAGGCAATTCTGGTGCCTCAGCCTCCCTAGTAGCTGGGACTATAGGCGTGTGCCACCAGGCCTGGTTAATTTTTTGTATTTTTAGTAGAGACACGGTTTCACCATGATGGCCAGTGGCCAGGTTGGTCTTGAACTCCTGGCCTCAAGTGATCCATCTGCCTCGGCCTCCCAAAATGCTGGGATTACAGGCATGAGCCACCACGTCCAGCCCGCTCTACTTTCAATATATGGTAGATTTTCATTATTTGTGAAAGCTGCATTCCTGAATTTACCTACTGGGTAAAATTTCTTTAAAACCCCCAAAACAATACATGCATTGCATTCCAGGTCAGTTACAGGCATGCCATGTGCAGAGCAGCAAAAAATTTGAGTAAAGGCACAGGTTCTTAGCTGAGGTTGAACAAAGTTAGGCTCCACTTTTTGTTTCAGCTTTCACAACTGTAAACAATTTGCAGTCTATGTGGTGCAATTTTCACATTTTTGTGAATTTTGTTGGTGATTTCACTGTTTGAAACGGCTCTAGTGCCGAAGTATAATGGTCGTACACTCAAAAAGGCTGTGATGACCCTTTAAGAGAAGATACCTGTACTAGATAAGTTTCATTTAGCCATCAGTTATAGCACCATTGGTTGTGAGTTCAATGTTAAATTAGGTGTCTTTAAATGAAAACATACATAAAATAAAGTTATGTATTGATCAGTTGCTGAAAATGTTGTGTCACTGCTTGCAGGAAACAAACCTTTATGTCCCCTAGGTGAAACAAGTCAGCACTAACTAATTTAATGTACACAGTGACTTTATCAAACTACCATGAATAACAAGAATTAATTGTTTATACAGAATTTGAGCACTTCTCAGCACTTCTTTTGCTACCAACCAGGTCCAAACCAGCATGACCCCTTGCCTAAACTACTGCAATAGCCTGGAAGTAACTGTCTCCTTACTTCTGCCCTTCCTCTCTCATTTCAGACTATTCTCAAAAAGGTTACAACAATTATCCTGTTAAAATGTAAGTTCATTCACGTCACTCCTCTGCTCAAAACACTCCAATGGCTTCCCATCTTACTTGAGTAAAAGTCAGTGTTTTAAAGGAACTACCAAGATCCTACATAATCTATGCATCGCCTGTCAACCACCATCATTCTCCCTCTCTGACCTCATCTCATACCTCCATGCCTCTCTCTTATCAATCAACTCAGTTATAGACAAAAAGGTATCTGTACTGATCTTCAAATATGCCGGAAATGATAAAATCTCAATGACTTTGTTTGGTTATTCCCTCTACCTAGAGTACTCTTTGCTACAGATGATCACATGGTTCACTCCCTGACTTCCTTCATTCTTTATTTAAATGTTTCTTTCTCCATGAGGAATACATGATCATCTTCTCAATACCCAATCTTCCTACCTTGTTTCATTTTTCTCCATGGTATTTATCACCATTTCATATGCTATGTTTCACTTATTTATTTTATGAATCAGCTATCTTCTGCTCTAAAATGTAAGCCTCAAGGAGGCTGGGATTTTTGTATGTATTGTTATCTACAATATCCCAAATTAAGAGAGCAGTGACTAACATATAGCAAGAACTCAACAAATAGTTCTTAAATGCATAAATTGATATAGTTCTTATTTGAAAAAAAGAAATTTAAACAAATCAATTTTTAAAAAGTTATTGAAAGATTATAATTTTACCTTGTGCTGTTCAGATCACGCTGTTTATATTATCAATTCTACCCTCTGATATTTATATCATCTTTTTAGTAATTAAGTCCAAAACTAATATTGCAAAGAAGCTTACCGATAAAATATAGAAGATAATTAGCAAAAAGACAGAACTTCTCTTAAGTTTTTCATGTGTAGAACTTAGCTTTGTTTACTTATCAAAACTAAGCAAAATATGGACAAATTTAGGAAGTAATACAAAGAATATAAATGAATCATATAGCATATTCCATCCCATATATTTCAGTGTTTAATGAGATTATTATAGCTGTCATTCCAATTTCTGCACAGCTTTAAACCAATGCAAATTAAAGCTAAGAGTGCCATTACTTTTAATTACCTTGTAAAATTCCTATCATATTAATGAAATTTCACTTCATACTTTATGCAGCAAAAAGCATTCATTCCATAAGTTAGCTGCTGATATATATTAATCACTAAATCCAAAAATAAGTGGAAACCTCTCATTTTCAGGTAACTTCAGTAGAATTCATGACCAACAACTGTAGCTTGAACTCTACTTTGGCCACTACCATGTCCAATATGAATTTTTCCATATGTTAAACTGAGAGAGAAATTTGAATTCCAGAATATAAGGACCTCCATATATCACCTGAACATAAATTTGATATTTAAATATCGCCAAAATATACAGATATTGAATAAGAAGGCTAGTTGCCATTCTTGGTGACCTCAAATTGAGGAAATCAACTAAAAGAGCTTTTAAAAAGTCGTATCCATTTTTTAAAATGTGGACTTATTTAAACATAAATTTAACCATCTGTCTCAAGGCTGGACTCATTTCAAACTGGTTTTCATAATTAAAGTACTCTACAGAGACAACTCAACAGATCTAATCAATTTTAATTGGCTATAAAATATCACAAACTATTCATAATGCATGAAGAGGCAATTTAAGAAAATCTACTTCCCAATTACAGAAAAATTTACTTTTGAATGAGACTTGCAGCTACTCCCCACAGTTCTAGCAGTAGGTAATCCTCTTACTCTGTCTGCTTAGGGTAAATGACGGCTTATAAATTATCATTGGGTTTACCCATCCCTTAGCATTCTTTTATTTATCATAGAGAAAGGATAATTAGGAAGATAGTTTGTTTCCCCACTTGTGTGATAAAAGAGGGTGAAGAGAACTCCTTTCAAGTGCCTCTAGACTGACTGACATGGGCATGTGTAATGTGGAGTAGCTATCCTGTTTTCTTTCTTTTTCCTGAACATGATGTATGATAAAGCAGAAGCATTCAGACTCCTACTCATGTAAGAGAAAGCCTTTATAAATACTATGATGGGTATTTTGAGGCTTGGTAAACATAAAACCCTAGCATAATTCTAAACATACAGAATCAATTAAGTAGGCTATATCTGAATATATAATTACAAGGTAGTTATTTTTAACATCTTTTCTGATACTTCAGAATATCTTTAAGTAAACTATAAAATTTCAAAGAAAAATCACATTTGAAATTATTAAATTCAATACCATACAATTAAATATGGTTTTGCTTACATATTATAAAATTGGCATGCATTATATTTACTCTTAATTTTTGTTTTTGTTTTTTTTACTTTGAACAAAGTACTACATGGCATCCGCACAAGAACCTGCATGTGTATATATATAGGTGAAGATGACTGATATGGTTTGGCTTTGTCCCCACCCAAATCTCATGTTGAATTCCCACATGTTGTGGGAGGGACCCAGTGGGAGGTAACTGAATCATGGCGGCAGGTCTTTCCCATGGCGTTCTCATGATAGTGAATAAATCTCACGTGAATAAGTCTCATGAGACTGATGGCTTTATAAGGCAGAGTTTCCCTGCCCAATCTCTCTCTTTGCCTGCTGCCATCCATGTAAGACATGACTTTCTCCTCCTTGCCTTCTGCCACGATTGTGAGGCCTCCCTAGTCATATGGAAATGTAAGTCCATTAAACCTCTTTCTTTTGTAAATTGCCCAGTCTTTATCAGCAGCATGAAAACAGATTAATACAATGATGTATATTATCTACAACATGAACAAGTTGAGGAAATGGTGAGCCCAAAATATCTGGGAATAAATAAACTCATATAACTCTCAGAACAAATTAGGAAGGATGATAAACTCCACTAAGACTCTAAAACTTAGGTTAATGTGTTTTGGTCTTTCATTATCATTAACAGAGTTTAATTTAATTCATGTTCTTCATAGGAAGAAGCAAAACCAACAAAGGCCATGGACACTGAAATCAGACAGATTTGGTTTCAACTATTTCTTTATTCTCCCAATCATGTACTTGAAAACTGTTTGTCTATGAGAAATTTCCAGAGAAACTATCTAACATTGTAAGTGACCATTATTAATTTTTGTGAATACTGTAAAATAACGGTGTAGTAAAATCAATTATGATCTGCCCTAAATAAACAAAATTACTGTAATAAACAGAATACACAGATATTCTTTGCAGCATTTCTTCAGAAATCCCTTGACAAGAAAAAAAATAAAAAGTAAATCTTAAAAGTTTAATGTTTTCTAATAGAAAAACAAATAGTATTCCAACTTAAAAAAAGAGATAACACATTTTCCTTCAAGTTTTATATAAAATTTTTTCTCATTTCACATGAGATCAAAAGACAAATCAAGCACAACGACAAATTACTTAAAGGTGTACAGTGATAAACCTAAACTTATGGAATCCCTTGAAAAATCAAGTACTACAAAAGGATTATCTAAGTATAGTATACAAAAACTTCAATTATTTAACTTATGCAGAAGAAAAATCAGAAACACCTTAACTGGAATCCTCAGATTAATTTATGAAACAAAATAAACACATGGAAAAGTATATTATAGATATCATACAGAAAAACAGTAGAGGATCATTATAAATTTCAAGAGGAAAAAAAAACAAGCTCAAAAAAGGCACTAATAATATGATTTTTTTTTTTTTTGAGACGGAGTCTTGCTCTGTCACCAGGCTAGAGTACAGTGGCACGATCTAGGCTCACTGCAACCTCCACCTCCCAGGTTCAAGCAATTCTCCTGCCTCAGCCTCCCAAGTGGCTAGGACTACAGGCGCGCACCACCATGCCCAGCTAATTTTTTTTTGCATTTTTTAGTAGAGACGGGGTTTCACAATGTTGGCCAGGCTGGTCTTGATCTCTTGACCTCATGATCCACCCGCCTTGGCCTCCCAAAGTGCTGGGATTACAGGCGTGAGCCACCGCGCCTGGCCCTAATAATGTGATTTTTAAACTTCCATCATTTCACAAACAAAATTTTATTATTATTCTCTCTGTCATGAATCAAGGCAATGTTCTACATTTTCTCCTTGGACTAGAAGTCTTATAGCTTTATTAGAAATGTTAATGAGACCCAGTCTAATGAGTTTAAAATGCACAATGTATGGCATCTCATCAAAAGTTATCAGGCATTCAAAGAAGCAAAAATATCTAACCAAAATGAAGGAACAAATCAATCAACTGAAAGTGACTGACACAGATGTTAGAACTGGGTGACAAGGATTTCAAAACAGTTATTATAGTGGTATTCAGTATGTTCAAAAAGTTAAGTAGATATATAAAAGGTTTAAGAAGAGACCCAAATCATACTTGAGGAGGCAAAACCTATACTGCCTGAGATAACAACAACAACAACAAAACAAAACAACAACAACAACAACAACAACAAAACCACCACCAGATGGGATTAAAGGCAATTAGGCATTGCAGAAGAAAAGATTACTAAACTGTTAGACATAGTCATAGAAACTAACCAAAATGAAACAAAAAAAAGACAAGGGGAAAAAAATTATCAGAGCATTAGGAGTCTGTAAGAGAACTACAAGCAGCCTAATATATGTGTAACTGGAGTCTCTGAAAGAAAGCAAAAAGAGAAGGGGAGACAGAAAATATATGTGAAGAAATAATGGCTGAAAGTTTTCCAAATTTGATGAAAACTAAAAACTCAAATACAAGAAGCTCAAAAAACACAAACATAAATTAAAACTTTAATAAAAAACTTACAACAAAGTAAATCATGATAGAATTGCTTAAAACTAATGATAAAAGGAAAATCTTAAAAGCTACCAAAGGAAAATGAAATGTTCAGAGCAACTAAGATAAGGATTAGAGCAGATTTCTCCGTGACAAGGCACTGGAGAAACATCTTTAAATACATAAAGAGGTAAAAATCTGTTTAAAAAAAAATTCTATACTCCCAAAAAATATATTTTAAAATGAAAGTGAAATAAATATTTTTTCGGACATACATAATTCATTACTTGCAGACCTACATTACAAGAAATGTTAAAAGTAAGCCATTCAGGCAAAAGTAAAATGATACCAAATAGAAATAGAGACATAGATAAATAAATAAAGAATGCTGGAAAAGATAAGTACTTGGATAAATATATGAAATATTTTATTATTGAAGATAATTTACTATTTAAACAAAACAAAAACAATGTAGTGTGTAGTTTGTAACATAAGCAAAAGTAAAATATATAAAATATATCACAATAATAGCACAAAGACAGGAAAGGGAGAAACAGAACTATCCTATTGTAAGATTCCCATACTATATACATGGTATATATACAAAGTGGCATAATACCAGTTAAAGGTATATTATAGTAAATTACATACAAAATAAAATAAAACATTAGAGCTAACAAATTAGCAGAAGAGATAAGAATCTTCAGAAAAATGTTCAATTAATCCAGAGAAAGGTAGAATAAAGGCAAAGTGAAATACAGAATACGTGGAACAAAAAGAAAATAAACTGCAAAATGACAGATTAAACCTAACATTATAAACAGTTACATTTAAATATTGGTCTAAATGCCACTAATTAAAAGGTAAGGATTATCAAGAAACAAAAGAGATAACTATATGCTGTTTACAAGAGATGCATTTCAGAAATAAAGACTGAAACTGGTTAAAGTATGAAAAAAGAATATAGATAGGTCAGATGTGGTGGCTCATACCTGTACTCTCAACACTTTGGGAGGCCCAGGGAGGCAGATAACTTGAGCTCAGGGGTTTGAGATTAGCCTAGGGAAGATGGCGAAACCCCATCTCTATAAAAAGTTAGCTGGGCATGGCAACACATGCTCGTATTCCCAGCTACACAGTTGGCTGAGACAGGAGGATTACTTGAGCCCAGGAGTTCGAGGCTGCAGCGAGCTATGATCGCACCACCACTGCACTCCAACCTGAGCAACAGAGTGAGACCCTGTTGTAAAAAAAATAAAATATAAAGTAAAAAAGGAAAAAGAAAAAATATACTACATAAACACTAATCAAAAGAAAGCTGGAATGGCTACGTTAATATCAAACGGAATGAATAACAGAGCAAACAATATTATTACCAGGCATAATAAAGGTCATTTCATAATAATAAAGTAGTCAGGTCATCAAAAGAATATAATACTCATAAATGCTTACATACCAATAATAGTTTCAAAAGACATAAAGTAAAAACTGATAGAACTACAAGAAGAAATACACAAATCCACAATTATGGTTGGCGATTTCAATATCCTTCCATCAATAACTGATACAACAGGTAGACAAAAAAATTGTTAAGAACATAACAAATTTGAATAATACTATTAAACAACTGGACCAAGTTGACAATGTAGATCACTCCAAAGAACAATAGCATAATACACATTCTTATCAAGTGCACATAAAGCATTTACCAAAACAGACATTTACTGGCCATAATAAACTATTACATAAATGTAAAAGAAATAAAGTCATAAAAACATTCTCAGACCACAACGAAATTAAATTTTAAAAAATTAAAAAACTCTAGAAAAACGATAAAACATTAGGAAACTAGACAACATTCTTCTAAATAACCTATGAATCAAAGAAAAACACACACAAAAAAATAATCAAAAAGGAAATTAGAAAGCATTTTGACCGGAATAAAAATGAAAACATAATATATAAAATTGAGGGCAAACTGCAAAAAAAAAAAGTATTTAAGGAACTTTAGAGTACCAAATGCTTGCATTTGAAAAGAAGATGGTTCTCAAATCAATGACCTCAGCTTCCACATTAAGAAAAACAGAAAAAGTGCAAACTAAGCCTAAAGCAAGCAGAAGGAAGGAAATAAGGACAAAGCAGAAAGTGTTAAAGTAGAAATCACAAAAACAGAAGAAAAAAGACCAAAAGCTGGTCTTTGAGAAGATTAATAAGACTGATAAACCTCTAGTCACAATGATCAGGAAACAAGAGAAAAACTACTAATAAAGGAAATGTCACTACACATTCTATAAATATAAAAAGGTGGGGAGGCCGAGGCGGGAAGATCACAAAGTCAGGAGATCGAGACCATCATGGCTAACATGGTGAAACCTCGTCTCTACTAAAAATACAAAAAAATTAGCCGGGCGTGGTGGCAGGTGCCTGCAGTCCCAGCTACTTGGGAGGCTGAGACAGGAGAATGGCGTGAACCCGGGAGGCAGAGCTCGCAGTGGGCCGTGATCGCGCCACTGCACTCCAGCCTGGGTGACAGAGCAAGACTGTCTCAAAATAAATAAATAAAAAATATATAAATAAAAAGGTGAATAAAGGACTATTATGAACAAATTACTATCAATACATTCTATAACTTATATGAAATGGACAAATTCCTGAAAAGACAACCTACCAAACCTAAAATAAAAAGAAACAAACTAAGTAGCCTCATTTTTCTTTTTTTTTCCAGAGACAAGGTCTCACTTTGTCACCCAGTCTGGAGTACAATGGCATATAACTTCGTACTCCTAGGCTCAAGCGATCCTCCCCCTTCTCAGCCTCCCAAGTAGCTGGGACAACCAACACATGCCACCATACTGGGCTAAAATAGCCTATATTGATTACAGAAAGTGAATTTATACTTTAAAAGCTTAACCAAAAAGGAAAAATAAAAACAAGCAGATCCAGATGGTTTCACAAGCAAAGTCTACCAATATTTAAGAAAGAAATAATACTAACTCAACACAAATCTTCCTAGAAAATTGGTGAGAAGGTAATCAGTCTGAGGCCAGCATTATCCTCATATGAAAATGAGACAAAGACATTACAAGAAACATAGACATAGGTGATAAATTATAAACAAAAACTTAGCAAATCACATCCAACAATTTAAAAAGTAGTAATACATCATGACTAAGAAAATTGTATCCTTAGTCATGACTAGCGAGATTTTATGCAAGGTTGGTGTAATATTTGAAATGTGAAAATCAATCAAAATAACCATATTAACAAACAAAATAGGTATCTATTTATCTCAATAGATGCAGAAAGAGCATTTGACAAGATCCAACATCCATTCTAACACAGGAATAGAGAAAAATTACTTCAGTAGGATTTTAAGTCTTTAAAAAACTACAGCAAACATCATACTTGAAGGTGAGAGACTAAATAAATGCTTTACACCTAAGTTCAGGAACAAGGCAAGCCAACATTGTTTGCTCCTCTCACTTCTATTCAATATCATACTGGAGGATCTAGCCAGGGCAATTAGGCAAGAAAAAGAAAAAGAAAAAGAAGGAGAAAAAAAAGTCACCTAGATTGAAAAGGTAAAAGTAAAACTGTCTTTATACATAGATAACATGATCCTATAAGTAAAAAATCCTAAGAAATTCATTTTTAAAAAACCAACTAGAGGCCAGGCACGGTGGCTCATGCCTGTAACCCCAGCACTTTGGGAGGCCGAGCAGGCATATCACTTGAGGTCAGGAGTTCAAGACCAGCCTGACCAACATGGTGAAACCCCATCTCTACTGGAAAAATATATATACACAAAAAATAAGCTGGGAGTGGTGGCAGGCACCTGTAGTCCCAGCTACTCAGGAGGCTGAGCCAGGAGAATCGCCTGAACCTGAGAGACAGAGGTTACAGTGACCCAAGATGGTGCCACTGTACTCCAGCCTGGGCGACAGAGCAAGACACCATGTAAAAAAAACAAAACAAAACAAAACAAAAGTCTACTAGAATTAATAAACAAGTTCAGTAAGTCCATAGGATAAAAGTTAATATTCAAAAATCAATTGTGTGTGTGTGTGTGTGTGTGTGTGTGTATATATATATATATATATATATATATGTATATATATATATATATATATATATATATATATATATATATATACACACACACACACCAGCAATGAACAATCCAAAAATGTCATTTTATTTGTAATGGCCCAATACTGGAAACAACCCAAATGCCTATTAACAGGAAAATGGATAAACAAACTGTAGTAGATCCATACAATAGAGTCCTAATGAGCAATTTTAAAAAGTGAATTACTCATACATGCAACAACATGGATGGATTTCAAAATAACTATTCTGAACAAATTAAGGCAGACAAAATAGAGTGTGTACTATATGGTTCCTTTTTAAAATATTCTAAGAAATGAAAACCAAACTATACAGTGACAGAAGGCAGTTCAGTAGTTGCCTCGAGATAGAAGACGGAAGATCACAGAGAGGTGGAAGACAGGGATTACAAAAGGGCACTAGGAATTTTTCAGGGGTGAAAGACATGTTCATTATCTTGATTGTAGTAATAATTTCACAGGTGTGTACATATGTCAAAATTTATCAAAATAAATATTTTAAATAGGTGCTGTCTGTTGTATGTTAACTGTATCAAAATGAACCTGTTAAAAAATAAAGAGGGTAAGGGCAATTCTTCTACATGGCAATTAAACACAATATATAAACCTTTATTTGGACCCTGGATCCAAAACAAACAAGGTTATAAAGGACATTTTTGTAATGAATTTGAAAACAGATTATATATTTAATTTTTTTAGTGTATCAAAGTTTAATTTCTTGGGCATATTAAATTAGGGTTGTGTTGGAAAATACAGTTCTTAGAAAATATATGCTTAGGTATTTAAAAGGAAATGTTATGATGTTACAATATACTTTCAAGTGCTTCATCAAAAGAAAACTATATATATATGTTCACACATATATATGTTCACACACACATATATGTTCACACACATATATGTGTTCACACACATGTTCACACACATATGTTCACACGCATATATGTTCACACACATATATATGTTCACACACATATATATGTTCACACACATATATATGTTCACACACATATATATATACATAGAAAGAGGCGAAACAGAGACAGCAGAAGCCTAGCCGTGACAAAATTTTGGCAATTTTTGAATCCAGGTAAAAAGTATGCAGGAGTTCATTATGTTATCATTTCAACTTTTCTACGGGCTTGAAATTTTTTTTAATTAGGTAAAAATTTGATTTTATAAAAATTTCAACTTTCAGCCAGGCATGGTGGCTCACACCTGTAATCCTAGCACTTTGGGAGGCTGAGGTGGGTGGATTACGAGGTCAAGAGACAGAGACCATCCTGGCCAACATGGTGAAACCCCATCTCTACTAAAAATACAAAAATTAGCTGGGTTTGGTGGCGCACACCTGTAGCCCCAGCTACTCAGGAGGCTGAGGAGGAGAATTACTTGAACCTGGGAGGTGGAGGCTACAGCGACCCGAGATCACACCACTGCACTCCAGCCTGGCGACAGAGCGAGACTCCATCTTGGGAAAAAAAAAAAAAAAAATTCAACTTTCAATGGCTTGAAGGTAGGGTCCACATCTTTTTCATTTTTATATCTCTGGCATTTACCAAACAAAAGAAATTCTTATTAAATGAGTGATTAAATGAAGGATTAATACATAAATGTACTCATATATAAATATAAAATGATAAGGAATAGATTCAGAATAATTTGATATTGAAATAGTTGCCCCAATAAGGATCATCTGAGACCTTTCTTTCATTTCTTTTTTTGTTTTCCATAGATAGATAGATGATGGAATACTACTCAGCCATAAAAAAGGAATGAATTAACAGCATTTGCAGTGACCTGGATGAGATTGGAGACTATTATTCTAAGTGAAGTAATCCAGGAACGGAAAACCTGAGTTATGTTCTCACTGATGTGTGGGAGCTAAGCTCTGAGGATGCAAAGGCATAAGAATAATACAGTGGACTTTGGGATTTGAGGGGAAGAGTGTGAGGCAGGAGCACTCTGTATACACTCTTATATACACCACAGTTTCTTTATCCACTTGTTTATTGATGGACATTTGGGTTGGTTCCACGATTTTGCAATTGTGAATTGTGCTGCTATAAACATGCATGTGCATGTATCTTTTTCATATGACTTCTTTTCCTCTGGGTGGATACCCAGTAGTGGGATTGCTGGATCAAATGGTAGTTCTACTTTTAGCTCTTAAAGGAATCTCCACTCTGTTTTCCATAGTGGCTGTACTATTTTACATTCCCACCAGCCGTGTAGAAGTGTTCCCTGATTTCCATATCCACGCCAACATCTACTGTTTTGTTTTGTTTTGTTTTTGTATTATGGCCATTCTTGCAGGAGTAAGGAGGTATCACATTGTGGTTTTGATTTGCATTTCCCTGAAAATTAGTGATGTTGAGCATTTTTTCATAGGTTTGTTACCTATTTGTATATCTTCTTTTGAGAATTGTCTATTCATGTCTATTCATGTGCTTAGCCCACTTTTTGATGAGATTGTTAGTTTTTTTTCTTACTGATTCGTTGTAGATTCTGGATTTTAGTCCTTTGTTAGGTGTATAGATTGTGAAGATTTCCTCCCACTCTGTTTACTCTGCTGACTGTTCCTTTTGCTGTGCAAAAGCTCTTTAGTTTAATTAGGTCCCAGCTATTTATCTTTGTTTTTATTGTATTTGCTTTTGAGTTTTTGGTCATGAAATACTTGCCTATGCCAATGTCTAGTTTTCTTTCATTTCTTATGGTGACATTCTTTATTTTTATATAATTTTTGTGGAAAAAATCCAACCTATACAAAAGTAGAAAGAATTGTTCAATATCTCCATGTACCTATCAACTGGTTTGAATGATCATCAATTCATGATCAATCATGTTTCATCTATACTTCTATCTATCTACTCCCTATTCTTTAGATAATTTTGAAGCAAACCTCAGATATCACATCACTTCAGCTGTGAATATTTCTGCATTTAATGCAAAAATAAAGAGAACATCAAAAAAATCACAATTTCATTATCAAAGCTATAATATAACAAGATTTCCTTAATATCAAATATCCTGTCTGGGTAAAATTTCTCAGGTTATCTCATAATTTTAATAGTTGATTTTCAAAAAAGGACCTAAACAGCATCTATATAAATACATACAAAAATACTAATCCTTACAAATCCCAGGTACTTACAACATAATTTATTCCCACAACCATCCATCACTTCTTCACTGATAAGACATAGGAAAAAAAGAAAGGAAGACTGAGTATTTTGCACACCATTGGTCCAGAAAGACCTCCCACTTGGCTCTCACTCTCACCTGATGGTACAAAACAGACTGCAGGTTCAGCAGCTTAAATACTACTTTGTTACTCCTGACACAAACCTTCACTATTCATGTTTTTAAAATTAATTAACAGACTAAAACCCACATTAGAATTATTTCCCATGAACAACAACAGCATTGATGATAGTCAAAGGGAGTTGTTAAGGCACATCATGGCAAACAGTACCTGAATTCCCCATATTTGCCAGAGCCCCCAACAAACCTCTCGATGTCTCCTAAGAGATAAATCTCAGAGTATTATTTATTTCCTAATATATACAAGTTAAAAGTTTTTAAAAATATATTATTTCCTTTATACTACTTAGTGCAGATACAAGCTTTATGGATTCACAAAACTGTTTTATGGCTAAACCTAACCAAGTGTTTAACCCACTAAAGGTGTTCGGAATTTAACCTTCAATAGGAAGGTAAAATCTGTGTATTTTGCATTTAAGTACCTGTTATTTTATGCTGATGTCAAGAAACACTTCTAACTGAAATGCGTTCACTACCTAGTAAAGTGACAGCCCTGAGCAAGAGGCTTTCTTTGCTCACT
The DNA here is from genome assembly GCF_000001405.40 of Homo sapiens. Lineage (NCBI taxonomy): Eukaryota > Metazoa > Chordata > Mammalia > Primates > Hominidae > Homo > Homo sapiens. The sequence continues at coordinate 108,841,178 of NC_000005.10, read as the reverse complement.
GCTTCAAGCCAGCATTACCTTAAAGGGTTCATGACTTTGGAAAGAGTTAAACGTAAAAAGAGAAGGGTATCAGCAAAGCTTTTGGAATTGTTTTCCCATTTCCAGCTTTTTATTCCCTCTTTACATTGTTCTCTGTTTCTTCCCTCAACCCTCCTTTCTCTTCCCAGTCATCTGCTAGGCATTTTACAAATGATGGGCTGTTAACGTAATATTGCTACTGGCAAGGATGATCAATGGATGCCAAGCCATTGGATAGAAGGTTGTTGGGGGATAGGTTATTCACACATGCCAATGTATCTCTCTGCAGTTACTTACCAATTACATGGGGTAAAGGTACCTTCACAATGGAGAGATCTGGCAGTCACTACTTGACTAAAGAAATCAAACTTGACTGAGCACTAAGAGTAAGACAAGCCAACTTTATGTGCCTCCTGGTAGGATGCAACATAAAGTATACATCGTCATCTATGAAGCAGTCCTGTCAAAAATGTTTGACCTGAATCTAATCAAGCCTCTAGAACTATCCTTAAATTTACAGGAAATATAGGGGATAGATCAGGGACAAGTTAAACAGTAGTCATGAGAATGCAATCAGACAATCCAGCATATGAGAAATTTTACAAGAAAACTGGACTCCAGAAAAAAAAAAAGTCATGAGTAAAAAGTAGGAGGACTGTTCTAGATGAAAAGACTAAGAGTCTACAGACACAACAATCAAATGTGGTATGTTTACTTTGATCAGATCCTGGTTCAAAGCAACAACAACGAAGGAAATGATGGACAGAAAAAAATAAAAACTATTAGATTGGTGCAAAAGTAATTGTGGTTTTTGACATTATTTTCAATGGTGAAAATAGCTATTACTTTTACACCAACCTGTATAAGAGACATTCTGGGGAGACCAGAATATGGACCGGATATTAGATGATAATAGAGAATTATTTATTGTTAATTTTATTAGAAATGATAATTGCATTGTGGCTTTTTAGAAGAATGTCTTTATTCTCAGCAGATGCAAGCTAAAGCATTTACCGATCAAGAGTATATGACGCCTGAAACATACATTCAAATGATTCTGCCAATGTGGCAGAAGGTTAATACTTGTTGAATCCAGTATGCATATTCACTGTCCCATCCTTCTAATTTCTACGTTTGTTTTAATTTTTTTTTAAAGGTTGGAAAAAATAAAATGAGAGGCTGCTTGTTGGGGCTGGACGAGTAGATATTTTTTTCAACCTGTGTAAATTAAAGTCAGTCCCGATAAAGAATCTGATTAACTACTTTTAGAAAATGGCATGGGATGGCCGGACGCGGTGGCTCACGCCTGTAATCCCAGCAGTTTGGGAGGCGAAGGCAGGCGGATCACGAAGTCAGGAGATCGCGACCATCCTGGCTAACACAGTGAAACCCCATCTCTACTAAAAATACAAAAAATTAGCCAGGCGTGATGGCGGGCGCCTGTAGTCCCAGCTACTCCAGAGGCTGAGGCAGGAGAATGGCGTGAATCTGGGAGGCGGAGCTTGCAGTGAGCCGAGACAGCGCCACTGCACTCCAGCCTGGGAGGCAGAGCGAGGCTCCGTCTCAAAAAAAAAAAAAAAAAAAAAAAGAAAATGGCATGGGGTTGGGGTAGGAAGAATTTCTCTGTGGCTACTTTCTGCTTCCTGCTCTACTTATTCTTTTTAAAAACCCATTGGATATTTACAGATACTTTCCATTCCCTTCTCCTCACTCAGAGCAGACTTCCTTAAGCAGCCTACAGGCACTTGACTAGCCTAACTCCCCAAAATCTTCTCTTCCTACCTGGACTAACTTGGTTCCTTTTAACTTTTGATTTGACAATCACCTAGGATTCCTTTCATTTTTGGCTAGCCCCAAACTATTACCTTCACCTGATTTGTGGGAGCCACAATCCTTCACCCATTGTTCTTTCTTCTTGGTCAGCTCTTCTTACTTATTCTGAAGGAACATTTAGAGGCATTTGCATTTTTATTAAATCTAGTAAAGGTGATTTCCCGTCTATAAGAGGCACTGACATGGGCCATGAACAGCTGTGGATATGTATGTGTTTAGTAGTGATGGTAACAGTGGGGGAATCCTTTACTACCTTTTGTACTTCTTTGTATCAAAGGGTATTTGTATCTAAATGTTTGTTAAGGCAATGAAGGAAAAAAAAAGAAACACCTCCAAGTTATTAACTTCAGCTCAATAGGTTAAAATTATTTTGGTTGTCCTCAGCATCCATTATAAGTAATAATCAATCAACTAATGTTCAAATTAGTCCAAGTCAATTTAAGATAAAATGCAATATACATGTGCTCCCTCAACATACCACACAGCAATGCACATTTAATGTTTAAGGTGTATTATTTTTAGAATGTTTAAGGTGTATTATTTTAGAATGTTTAAGGTGTATTATTTTAAGGTGCATTTAATTTTTAGAAAATTAAAATGATGCTAAATTCATATTGTAAATGAATGTTACATTTTACATTATACTAAACATAAACGAGTGTTCCTTTGTATATAAATTTTAACATTCAAAATTTAAAATATCAGTTTAATTTATACAGCAGGGGTCAGGGGTTTGTAGTTTCAGCATTAACTCAGCCTTCCTGCTGGTTTACTACTACTACTACTGCTGAACTCCCAGTTATAGGAACTGAACCCTTGAGTCCAAACCCATTTCTTGATCAAATATAGAATTTATCTTACTATAGGAATTATTTCCAGGCCTTGTTTCCCCAAGGCCTGTCTTCTCTAATTGGATGCTCTATGTTAGATTGGGATTGTAAATAACTTTTCTAAGACCTTCCAATGTCTAAAGTAATGACTCTGGATGCCAGACAAATATCTGAGTAGCTATTGTAAGCACCCCGCAGTCTCTAGGGCCCATTCCAAAAGTGTCCTAATCTGGCCCATGTAGGTGAACTAAGGTTCTGACATAAAGCCTATATATGTTGGAAAAATTTGCCATTACAGCTCATCATCCTTGTAAAGAGTAAATAACTCCACAAAACTCCTATTTCCATAAAAACAGAAGCAGTTTGAAACATAAATTTTTCAAAAATAAAATTTTATACTTTTTCATTTAAATATGAGTATAAACACAGTTTTGATTATAAAAGAAAAGTTTACCTATCTCTCATGTGTGAAGTGGATATATAAAAGTACTTATTTTAAAAGTAACTATATATTCTGTAGGATTTAATGTGAGAAATCAAATTCTTGAAAACAGAAAAATACTATCATGAATACCTTTAGAAAGACAACTAAGCTTGTATAATTTTTAAAAAAAGATTCAAATAATTCACTTCTTACAATTTATTACAAGTATGATCTTCAGATTCTCTCGTTGCCTTCCAACTATTAATACAATACTAAATGGTGTTTCATCTGAATCAAGAGTAAAGAATAATGATTTTCCATAATCTTTTCTAATATAAGCATTAGGTACAACAATTAAAACTTTGACATCAGAATTAGATTTTGCTTTTAAAAAAATAAACTGTATCACTAAAAACAGATATCAAAGACTTGAAAGTACTTATGTATTTCTTTTTCTAACTAATAATTCTCCAACATATACAAACCTAGTGCGAAATACACAACATAGCTGGATTACAATATGGTTGCTGTGGGTGAAGTTAGATATGGATATTTGCAATGTAATTTAATTAACTTGAGAATGCTAGCCAGGCATGAAGCAATGAACTTTATAAAATTAACTATTTTGACAGATTAAGAAGTAATGTTTAATGTATAAAGTTATTTTTAAACTATTCTTGATGATTTAGCAAGGGATACCTTGTGAAAAAGCTAAATTTTGCAAGAGAGTGAGACTTGGAGTTCTCAAGTTAGTGAACCAGACTGTAAGCTCCTTGAATGCCTGGCAAATATTGTTTTGAATCTCAGTAACTTAAACATAGCAAGTGCCCAGTAAATATTTCTTGGTTATCTAAAGCACTCCTAAAATAACAAAGGAATAATAATTAGGTATAGGAAGTTTGAAAATCTATGAAATAATCACACAATGTTGGAACTTAAATCCAGGACTCTCTGACTCCAAAGCCTGTGCTCTTTCCACTGTCATTTCTTTCTTTGCTTCACTAAAATAATTTAGATAATTTAAAGATAAAAGCATTTCAAAAGATATATCTACATTAATAGAGACCATAATCTCAAAGTCTTGGCTGAGTTACATGACAAATAAGTAAGGAAACTGTGAATATGCATACAACTTCCCTAGTAAATTGGGGGAAGCGGGGAGAGAAGGAGACACAAAGTAAATGTTGGGGTAAGAAGTGGAGGAGGAAGAGAGAGAAGGGGGACAAACAGGGAGTCCAAGGGAGAGGAAGGAAGAAGATAAAGAAGAGGGGAAAAGGAGAGAGAAAGGAAGGAGAAGAGAAAGAACTGCATTTAAATCAGTATCACTTCTAGTGTACTGGGAATAACAACAATATTTTCATTGTGCAAGATACAGCCAAATGGAGGAGCTGTTTACTTCATTTACTATGACAAAATAACGAGAATGTTTAACAAATGAAAGATAAAGAGAAAATGTAGAGAAAGATGAATTTAAGAACCAAAATAAAATAGAGATTCTAATAAACGCTTTATTTAGCTAGAAAGAAAATTAACAAAACAAAAAGAAAAATCCTCCAACTTTCATAAAGAAAAAATGTATAAATATGAGTGGTTTAGGCACATTTAAACATAAGGAAAATATTGCCCAATTATAGCAACAGCCAAAGAAGTTTCTGTTCATAAACTATGCTTAGTCTTTACTGAAATCTAACATTTCAAAATTTAGATACAAGATCACCTAAGTACTTAATAAGAAATTATAACCATAAATCTCTGTTTGAAACATAAATAATATGCTTCTCTTTCCATTTATTTTTAAGACTTCTTATGAAAATTTTAGGGCAATATAGACACATAAAATTAAGCTATAAAGAGAACATAATGCTATAAAATGATGTGGTTTTAATGACTTAAATAATACAGGTAAAAAAGAAGATTTTAAAAGTTTCTAAATAAATATACTCCTATTTTTCTTACTTAAGCACTCTGTAATTAAATAAGTAAATATGATGCAAGAGAGAAAATTTTAAACATCCCTTCAATTCTATTACACATGCTACATAATTCCATTTAGTATGAACTATTCGAAAATACTTTGAGTCATTTAAAGCAATGGAAAATTAGTAAGACTTACTACACTGTTTGACAATTAGCCAATGTGGGTTTATTTTGAGTTTTTTATATGTGAAATGCTCTAAATGGAATCATTCCACTACTTACAAAGATAACTTTCAAACAGTAAGAATAAAAATCACCTAAGTAAACAATTTTTAAAATTTTGCCTTACCTTTAGCTAAAGCTTCTTTATATTTCTCTTTGGCAGAATTCATTTCTTTTATTAATTGTCTATAGCTGCATTTTAACTTCTCCAATTCTGTTTTGGTAACCTGTCAAAGAAACAAAATGCATAAATGTATTAAATTGTTTAAATTTAAATTGCTCAAGAACTTAAATTCCAAAGTATTAACTGATGTGTATTTCACTACTTACAGGTCAGAGTTGTCCTTTAATATACAACTATAGAAAATAAACTACAAGTATGTTTTAAAAATCAGTACTAAATTCAATAGCATGTGAAAACAAATAAACTTTTTTAAGAGAATAGCAAATCAGGCCAGGCACGGTGGCTCACGCCTGTAACCAGCACTTTGGGAGGCTAAAACAAGCAGATCACTTGGGGTCAGTAATTCATGACCAGCCTGGCCAACACAGCAAAACCCTGTCTCTACCAAAAATACCAAAAAAGGAGCCAGGCTATGGTGGCGCATGCCTATAATCCCAGCTACTCGGGAGGATGAGGCACAAGAATCGCTTGAACCTGGGAGGCAGAGGTTGCAATGAGCCAAGATCACACCACTGCACTCCAGCCTGGCTGAAACTTGACTCAAAAAAAAAGTGGGGGGGGGGGGGTGGCGCAAACGAAGAAATAACACTGCCATTATCTAAAATTTAAAAAAATTAACTTAGTATGTGCAGAAATATTTTCTGTAATTAAACAAACCATTAAAATATTATTTCTGTGGAACAATGAAACAAATGCAAGTCCTTGACTGTAGTCAAAAAGTCATTTGAATGCAATTTAAGGAAAAAATATGTGTCCCAGATATTGTCTACAGATCTTCAAATTTGCCATTTGAGAAGATTAAGAAAGAGAAAGCATCAAAACCTTGCAAAAGTGGTTATCAGCAACTTGGAAGATAATCTCAAACCCCTTTTAAAGAAATTCTGTATCACCAATGTTCTTGATGACACAGACGATGACACTGTGTGAATAAACAAAAAATATAAATATAAATGAGTTCAAATCATTCTCCATTCAAGAAAAAACTCACTGGTTAACTTTGTAAAACTATTTGGTAAAAGTCTGATACCAAACTTTTTTTTTTTTTTTTTTTTGAGACAGAATCTCCCTCTGTTGCCCAGGCTGTTAGGGCAGTGGCATGATCTAGGCTTACTGCAGCCTCTGCCTCCAGTGTTCAAGCAATTCTCATGCCTCAGCCTCCCAAGTGGCTGGGGTTACAGACGTGCACCACCGCACCTGGCTAATTTTTGTATTTTTAGTAGAGACGGGGTTTCACCGTGTTGCCCAGGCTGGTCTTGAACTCCTGACCTCAGGCGATCTGCCCATCTTGGCCTCCCAAAGTGCTGGGATTACAGGCATGAGCCACCGCACCCAGCCAGAAAACTTTTTTAATAGATTGATCAGGTTGACAACACTGGAACCAATTAGTCAAGTTTCACATAATAAAAAGATAAATCAACATTATATACCTCCTGATATAAAACTGCAAGAAGTGTATACCACCACCTATGATGTACTCTTGCCCAAAATATGCAGCCAGAATCTTATCAAGTCTCTAGATTTAAATTCCAATTTACAGAAAAAATTAAAGATGAAGGAATATGTGAAATCACATCATAAGATGCTAACAGAAAAACCCAATATGAAGAAAATTCAATTATATAGAGCAAATTACCTAGTTTCTTCCATAAATAAATGGCATTTTATTAAACACTGTGCAGGAAAGAGAACCTACATATTTTTTAAAAGTATCATTCAAATGCAAGGTATAGATGGTATTTGGATCCTGATTGAAACCAACCAACTATAAAAAAACATTTAAACAACAAGCATTTCAACAAAAAGTATTCGATAACATGAAGGAATTATTATTTTTAGGCAAATTAACGGTATTGTAGTTACATTTTTTTTTTTTTTTTGAGACGGAGTCTTGCTCTGATGCCCAGGCTGGAGTGCAGTGGTGCGATCTCCGCTCACTGCAACCTCCACCTTCCAGGTTCACGCCATTCTCCTGCCTCAGCCTCCTGAGTAGCTGGGACTACAGGCGCCCGCCAGTACGCCCAGCTAATTTTTTGTATTTTTAGTAGAGACGGGGTTTCACCCTGTTAGCCAGGATGGTCTTGATCTCCTGACCTCGTGATCCGCCTTCCTCGGCCTCCCAAAGTGCTGGGATTACAGGTGTGAGGTACCGCATCTGGCCTGTAGTTACATTTCTAACAAGATCACTTATTTTAGCTATACATTCTAAAATATTTATGGATAAAATGATACCTTTAAAATGATCCAATGTAAAAAAAAAAAAAGTGGGTAGGAGTATAGAAAAAACGGTGACTATTCAGGTGATGGGTAGGTGGAAGTTGATTTTACTATCCTCTCTTGTTTTATACATTTACAAATTTCTATAATAAAAATAATTTGAAAAAAGTCATTCAGAAGAGACAGACTCCGAATGTAGGGAAAATGAGGGATACGTAAATTTAAGAATACCAAAAGTAATTCTGCCTGTATTTTCTTTTTTATTTATGCAAAGTATTAGATAAGACAAATTTATTTTTAAAAGTCTCAAAGAACTATTTCAGTAAATAAAAACTAAAAATCCTAAGTGATAAGAAAGCTTTGTGTCATAGTTTAATTGGGAGCCTCTTTTTTCTTTCATAGGAGTATATACAGTCACAGTATATCCTATAATCAATGTTTTATGTTCAATAAGATATTACTTATTAGAGACCATAAACCTATTTCTTGTTGGGAAATGATGAATAAACAATTTTTAAAGCCAAATAAGGTAAAATATTTCTGTGAATTTGGAAAACAATTTCAAGAAAGAACTTCAATATGGAAAAACGAACCTTGATCATCTCTGCCTCTATCTGCTGATGAACACCTATGTAACTTTTCTTCACCTGCTGCTTGTCCTTAATCATCATGGTGAGCCTGTGTAAAGGTCCAGAGTTCAAGTCCTCTGCATGTGTCTTCATTATCCTACTAAGTTGTTCTGTCTGCTGAATCATAAGTAGCCAAGACTTAAAAAAAAAAAAAAAAGAAACAAACATTTGCATTAAAGGTTTCCATTTAGCTGTGCTTTAAGAGTTCAAAACTTTAAATATTTAGTTTTATGTAAATTATTACATTAATATAAAAAATAGGTTTCTGGCAACTGTTCAAAGATCTATGAATGGTTCATATTTAACGTCTTCAACTTCAACTACACATGCTTCAAAATTCTATAATCACAGACAACACAGAAAACTAAGAAAAAGATTACGGGACTCTTTAAGAGTCCACACTTGCAGTCTTCATTTGTTCACTTCTCATTTGTTTTCCAGCACACTGAAATACTGCTCTGCCACATGATTCTAATGTCCCACTATGGTCTTCAGTTCCTAATGGTCAAATGCAACAGACATTGTCCCATCCACATCTTAACCTGCATCTCTCTGTGGCATCTGATCCTGCTGACTCAACTTCACTCTGAAACTGTCTTTTGTGGAGGCTCGCTTAGCTTCCTATTTCCAAAATTCCTGGCTTGTTTTCCTCCCTTTCTAAAATTTCCTTTTCAATCTTTGGTACCTGTTCTTTTGTTGCCTGTGAGAATACTGGTATTGTATGGATTTCTATCTATAGCTCTATTCTTTTCCTAACAAATACCTTTACATCTCAATAGTTCTTCCAGCACAATACACCAAAGGGCACAACACACTGCCTCAATAGCAAGAGGCACATAATTGTAGGTTTGGGATCAGTGGGCATATGGAAACTGCTAGAAGAACAAATCATTTATTAGTTAGACTTCCTGACATACACATACTTTTAAAAAAAAAAGGAACAGAGGAATCCTCTTCGCTATAGTATTCAATATTCTATTCAGAAACAATATTGAAGACCTATGACACAGTGGATCCAAAAGATATTTTTTAAATGAGCAAAGTTTGGTTTCAGATACTGACAAGAATAATTTTCTACTCTATTATTTTTGATCTGTGAATGAACAGAATTATTTTCCTTCTGTTAATATTCCAATGTAATCAAAAATCAAAATTTCATAAGCATCTAAAGCAAAATTATAGCCTAAAGAAAGCAAATTCTTAGTCATAATACAAAGTTGCCAGGATCTGACTTGCCAATCTTGTTTTTGATACACTGCATTGTATGTTTTTTAAAAAATAATAACCTTTGAGAACAGTTTTTTAGGGAGGGGACTATTTTTAGTTGTGAAATGATATGATGAACATGGAACATATGTGCGGCCTATAAACCCATCATATTTACTTTTAAATATGAAAATATAATCACTAATTTGCTCTTAACACCACAAAGCAATTTAAAACTAATGTAGTCCTTACTTTAAAATCTAAAATGTAACAAAGATGCAAACAGTATAAAACTATATAAACATGGATTAAAAACATAAACTAAATGGCTATAATATATGTAGCTTTGCCTTTTTCATCTAGTATTTTCACTTCAAACTATGCAGTGTTGGAGAAATATTCTATGGCATGTGTAGAATGTTAATGCTACAAAAAAATAAAAAGTGAGAGGAGACAGTCTTCTTGCTGTATCTTCAAAAAATAAATATTCTTTAAGTGCTTTGTAGCAATAACTTTTTGTAATTCTATGTAGCAGTCCTTGCAGCCTAGGCGAGAAGATTTCTTGCAAGCCAAAAAACCACACAATTGGGTCAGATTGCCCTCCTCTCCCAGAATGGTACATCCCAACCTGCCTAAAAGCCCTGTTCAGTGTAGTCACTACAGGAAGTCCAAGGTCTCAAAGCATATATTGCCACTCTGTCAACCCCATATTGTCCTCAGTATCTCCTAATCCAACCCAAGCCACTATCTATAGAATCCTGTATTGTCAAGAACTCTCGCTCTATAATTAGAAAACTCTTCATACCTCTTATCAGAACTTTCCATTCATCTTCTAGTTTTAACAAAAGCCTGGCTCTATCTCACTCCCAACACCCCAACGCTGCTAATAAACATTCTCTGTGTTTCTGCAGAAGTCCCAGCTCCTTTGAATCTGAGGACACCCTTCTCCATGAACAATGCATCAGCAAGTCTTTCAGATTCTGTCTCCAAAGTCAATCACAAATCCATCTTCTTCTCTCCATCTCCAGTGCCACTCCTTTGAAGGTTATGATTACCTCTGGCTTAGACTATTACAACACCTCCCAAATGGTACACTCTCATGCTCCTTTCCAATCCATTCTCTTTAAAGTAGCAATAATAATAATAATACAATAATAATTTAAAAATTAATATAACTGTCTCCCTTAAAACACTACATTGGCTTTCCTTTTCATTTAAAGAAAAATCCAAACTCCTTTCTTTTGTGTTGAGATGGAGTCTTGCTCCATCACCTAGGCTGGAGTGCAGTCACGCAATCTCCACTCACTACAACCTCCACCTCCTGGGTCCAAGTGATTCTTGTGCCTCAGCCTCCCAAGTAGCTGAGACTACATGTGTGAACCACTACGCCCAGCTAATTTTTGTATTTTTAGTAGAGGCGGGGTTTTGTCATTTTGCCCAGGCTGGTCTGGAATTCCTGGCCTCAAGTGATCCACCCACTTTGGCCTCCCAAAGTTCTGGGATTGCAGGCATGAGCCACCACACCCAGCCCAAACTCCTTCTAAGACTTATAATGTCTCCCATTATCTATCTGCTAATCTATCCTTCCAACTTCATGTATTGCTGTTCTCTACCAAGCTAAATAAATGCTAGAAATATTGTTCTTTCTTCACTTTGCTGAACATAGCAAGCTCCAATCTCTTCCTGAAAGTTTCTACCTCTACCTGGAAGCTCTTCCTCACCTTCACCTGGCAAGCTCCATACCTTCCTTTAGTAATCAGCTAAATATCCTATAGGTCTAATCCTTGCTATTCTGTCTTACTCTTTCTCAGCATTTAAAACAATTATTTATCTATATGTATAATTGGTGGTTTGGTTTTTTATAATGTCTCCTCAATTGAAATGGAAGCTCCATGAAGGCGGTACCATGTTTAATATTTTGAGTATTTATTGTGATGTTTGAGACAAGAGGGAGGGAAAGAGGGAAGAAGTAGGAAAAAAGAAAGAAAAAAAGGAAGGAGGAATGTAGAATAAAACCATGAATTAAATACATGCCATAAAAGTGACTTAAAAAAGTTTTTTTTGAGACAGGGTCTCACCCTGTCACCCAGGCTGGAGTGCAATGGCACGATCATGGCTCACTGCAGACTCAACCTCCCAGGCTCAAGTGATTCTCCCACTTCGGCTTTCCAAGGAGCTGTGACTACAGGCATGCACCACTATGTCCAGCTAATTATTTTGATTTTTAGTAGAGACAAGGTCTCACTATGTTGTTCAGGGTGGTCTTAAACTCCTGAGTTTGAGTGATCTTCCCACCTCAGCCTCCCAAAGTGCTGGGATTACAGGTGTGAGCCACCATGCACAGCCATAAATATTTTTTTTAACACAGAATTAGGTAATATTATAATGTGATAGTGAAGAAAAAGTAAACAGGTCTATCTTCAACTGAAAAAATAACAGAAATAGCAGAGCAGCATGTAATGCAAATGAAACACTGACCTAAAAGGAATGGTTGAAAGTCACAAACAAAAAGATCTTTGGATGATATAATTCCTTGAATTAGCTGGGTGGGTGGGATATTTGTTAAAAGAGAGGAGAGTAAAATGTTAATAGGTGCTTAACAAAGAAACAAACAAAAGTAAAGCTACATTTCTATATTTACAGTAAAACTGGAATATAGCACGTTGCAGATATAGCTCTTTGGTTACAGCATAGCAATGATTAGGACATAGATAAATTGTTATTAGGATAATTTGTGGAAGATAATTCTTTTTCTTTTTTTAAAAAAATAGAGACAGGGTCTCACCATGTTGCACAGGCTGGTCTCAAACTCCTGGCCTCAATCAATCATCCTGCCGGTCTCCCAAAGTGCTAAGATTACAGGCGTAAGCTACTGCACCCAGCTGCAAGCTAATTCTTTGTAACTTAATAAACAAAATATTGTCGGCCACTTGAAGACCTTAAAATTGCTTCATTATACAGAAACCTGATTGCTAATAGTATTCCTTACAATTGAATTTTACCAGTAGGAAGTCACTGATGCTGAAAGTTATAGACAGGTTAAAAAATATTAAAAAGTAAAAATACCTGAATTTTAATTTTAGAAAAGTTTAATCATAGGCAAATAACAATAATACAATCAGGAAAAAACACTGTTAAAATTTGCAAAACGGAATATAAATATCATCATTATTGAAAAAAGAGCTACAAAACATTAAAGTGATAATAATTTAATTTTACTAGACTAGACAAAAATTCCACAGGATACCAACAAAAATGAAGAATGAGAGACTGACGGAAAGAAGTGTTAGTACCTTTTCAAATAGAAGAGTCAGAAGATAGCTTTAGTTCTTAAGTTTGTGTATCAAGAAGTATAAATTTGAGTTTATAATTCTTGAGTTTCTAAAGTTAACCAAGTGAAGGTTTTTAAATAAGCAGCCTATTTATACCTCCTGAATTATCAAAAGTGCTTTTTAAGGAAAGTTAACACTATCCATTTTAACAAAGTACAAAAAGTAAATAATAATTGAAAATAAGTACAAAATACAAATGAGGCCAGGAGCAGTGGCTCATATCTGTAATCCCAGTGTTTGGGGAGGCCAAGGTGGGAGGATTATTTGAGGCCAGGAGCTCGAGAGTAGCCTGGGCAATGTAGCAAGACAGTGTCTCTACAAAAAAAAAATTTTTAATCAAAAATTTGAAAAGCTTTGTTTTTAAATTTAAACATTAGCTGGATATGGTGGCTTGTTTCTATAGTCCTAGCTACTCAGGAGGCTGAGGTTGGAAGATTCCCTTAAGCCCAGGAGTTTGAGGTTACAGTGAGCTATGACTTTGCCACTACACTCCAGCCTGGGTGACAGAGCAAGAGCCTGTCTTGGGGGAAAAAAAAAAAAAAAAAAAGATACTAACTCCATCTGTTAAATATTATACGAAAATGGGATAAACACTTATAAAAAGGAAAACATTATCAAATCAGAGAGGGGACAAAACTTCACTATATGCAATACGTATGAAACAGAAATAAAATACAGCACAACAACAAAAAGACAAGTGAAAACACCCCAGAAAAATATGAACAACAAGACCCTGTAGTCACTATATTCAAATAATATAAAGTCAAATTCTAGGACAAAATATAAAACAAAGAAGAGCTTACTTAATTACAGAAAAAAGGAAATAAAGTCGCTAAAATTAAGTCTAAGAAAAGAGAAATAACCATAGATTAATAATAACTTATGAGAACTTTGACAGGAAAATACTAAAGAATGGAAGAAATGGGTACTATTTTTTTCTTCTTTTGAAGAGAAACATAAAGTGCCAAGACTGACACTTCAAGATATAGGGTACGGATCATTTGATTGCTCACAGTTAGAAACCCAGCCCTTTATCTGTGCTGTCCCTTGCTAATTACCTTCTGATAGGGTTGAGGAATAGGAGGAAGGCTGGCAGGCTCTCACTCTTGCACTCTCTCTCCCTCTCCTGTTTCCTTTTAGCTTTTCCAAAAGTGTTGAAGATTTTCCCAAAATTAAAACCTGTCTATTGAACTACATCATGTAAGTTCCACTTTCCTGTTGGAATCCCAACTTTTACAAGTACGAAATTCAAAGAGACCAATAACCATGGAGTCCATGGTTGTCATAAACCAATTATGAATAACATACCTCTAATAAAGTGCAAAGCTCAAATGTTTTGCTATTGAATAATATCTAAATTGTTTGAATCAGTAAACTTTGGTGCTACTTAAATTGTCTCTAAGAATTGAGAATAAAAAAAAAGTTTCTAAAACCACCATAACATTGAGAAACTGAGGCAGAACCCTGTGGAATCCCTGAATTGAGGAGACAGAGCTGGGAGTCTGCAAAGAACAAGGTGCTATGGAATAAAAACAAATACAACCTACCAAGACTGAATCATGAAGAAACAGAAATTCTGACTAGACTAAAACAGGTAGGGAGACTGAATCAGTAATCAAGCACTTCCCATCAAAAAGCCCAGACCTTTGTTTGATTCATTAGTGAATTCTACAAAACATTTATAGAAGAATTGACATCAGTCCTTTTCAAACTACTCTAGAAAACTGAAAAGGAGGGAACACTTCCAAATTCATTCTATGAAGCCAGTATTACCCTGACAGCAAAGCCAGACAAAGACACTATAAGAAACAAGAACTGTCCAGGTGCAGAGGCCCATGCCTGTAATCCCAGCACTTTGGGAGGTTGAGGCGAGAGGACCGTTTCAGCCCAGGAGTTCAAGATCAGCCTGGGTAACACAGGAAGGCACCATGTCTACAAAAAATAAAAATAAATTGGAAAAAAAGGAAAGAAAAATTACAAGCCAATATCCCTAATGAACACAGATGTAAAAATCCTCAATATAATTCTAGAGAACAAAATTGTATACATATTAAAAGGATCATATACCATGACCAAGTGGGCAAGTGGGATTTATCCCTGGGATGCAAGCATGGTTCAACATACACGAATCAATAATTTTGTATTTGACACATTATATTAACAGAATAATGAATAACTTCATGTGATCGTGTCAATATATGCACAAAGAGTATTGGGCAAAATTCAACATCCTTTCATGATAAAAATTCTCAAGGAATCAAGTATAGAATCAATGTATCTCAACATAATAAAGGCTAGATATGGCAAGCTCACAGCTAACATAGTCAATGGTAAAAAACTGATAGCTTTTCCTCTAAAATCGGAAAAAAGAAAAGGATGCTCACTCTCACTTCCATTTAATGGCATACTAAAAGTCCTAGCCAGAGCAATTAGGCAATAAAAAGAAATTTTAAAAATCCAAATCAGAAAGAAAAGTATGACTGTCTACAATAGACAGGATCTTGTGTTGCGGGAAGTCAGGGACCCCAAATGGAGGAACCGGCTGAAGCCATGACAGAAGAACGTGGATTATGAAGATTTTATGGACATTTATTGGTTCCCCCAAATTAATACTTTGGTAATTTCTTATGCCTGTCTTTACTGTAATCTCTAAGCATAAATTGTAAAGATTTCATGGACACTTATCACTTCCCCAATCAATACCCTTGTGATTTCCTATGCCTGTCTTTACTTTAATCTCTTAATCCTGTCAGCTGAGGAGGATGTATATCCTTCCAGGACCCTGTAATAATTGCGTTAACTACACAAATTGCACAGCATGTGTGTTTGAGCAATATGAAATGTGGGCACCCTGAAAAAAGAACAGGATAACAGCAATTGTTCAGGGAATAAGAGAGATAACCTTAAACTCTGACCGCCGGTGAGCTGGGCAGAACAGAGCCATATTTCTCTTCTTTCAAAAGCCCAAATGGGAGAAATATTGCTGAATTCTTTCTTTCAGCATGGAACGTCCCCCAGAAAGAGAATGCGCACCTAGGGGTACGTCTCTGAACTGGGCCCCCCGGGGCGTACCTGTCTCTTATGGTTGAGACTGCAGGGGTGAAATAAACTCCAGTCTCCCATAGCGCTCCCAGGCTTATTAGGAAGAGGAAATTCCCACCTAATAAATTTTGGTCAGACCGGTTGATCTCAAAACTCTGTCTCCTGATAAGATGTTATCAATGACGGTGGTGCCCAAAACTTCATTAGCAATTTTAATTTCGCCTCCGTCCTGTGGTCCTGTGATCTCGCCCTGCCTCCACTTGCCTTGTGATATTCTATTACCCTGTTAAGTACTTTTTGTCTGTCACCCACACCTATTCGCACACTCCCTCCCCTTTTGAAACTCCCTAATAAAAACTTGCTGGTTTTTGTGGCTTGTGGGCATCACAGATCCTACCAATGTGTGATGTCTCCCCCGGATGCCCAACTTTAAAATTTATCTCTTTTGTACTCTGTCCTTTTATTTCTCAAGCCAGCCGACGCTTAGGAAAATAGAAAAGAACCTACGTGATTATCGGGGCAGGTCCCCCGATAATCTCGTATGTAGAAACCTGTGACTCTCCAATTTTAAAAAACTGAATTAATAAGTGAATTCTGTAAAATTGTAGGATTAAAAAATCAACATATAAAGATCAATAACATTTGTTTTTCTTTTTTCTTTTTTAAAATTTATTTCTTTTCCTGCCAGGAGTATAAAAACAATCAGTAACATTTCTATACAGTAACAACAAACTATCCAAAAAAGAAATTAGGAAAACACTCCCAAATTAGCATCAAAAATAATACGATACATAGGAATAAATTTAACCAAGGAAGTGAAAGGTCTTTGCACTGAAAACTATAAGATATTGATGAAAGAAGTTGAAGAAGGCACAGATAAATGGAAAATATGTTTACGTTCATGAATTGAAAGAATGATCATTAAAATATCCATACCACCCAAAACAATCTACAGATTGAAAGCAATTCTATCAGAATTCCTAATTAAAATTTCAATGATAAAAAACGACATTAGAATTTTGAAATAGAAAAAAAAAATCCTAAACTTCTTATGGAGCCATAAAATACCCTGAATGCTAAAACAATCTTTACAAAGAATAAAGCTGGAGGCATCATACTTCCTTTTTCCAAACTATATTTCCAAAGGTATATTAATCAAAATAATATAATACTAGCATAAAAACAGATACATGGGCCAATGGAAGAATAGAGGGAGCACAGAAAAATAAACCCACACATATACAATCAACTCATCTTTGACAAGGGCACCAAGAATACACAATAGGGAAAAGATAGTCTCTTCAATAAACAGTGTTGGGAAAACTGGATATCCACATGTAAGAGAATGAAACTGGATCCCTATCTTAGACCATACACAAAAATCAACTCAAAAAGAACTAAAGACTTAAATATAAGACCTGAATCCATAAAACTCCTAGAAGAAAAAATAAAGGAAAAGTTCCCTGACACTGCTGTTGGCAATGATTTTTTGAAGATGACACCAAAAGCACAGACAACAAAAGCAAAATTAAACAAGTGAGACTGCACCAAACTAAAAAGCTTCTACACAGCAAAGGAAATAACCAAATAAAAAGGCAATCTAAAGAATGGGAAAAAATATTTGCAAATTATATATCTAATAAGGGAACTGATATAAATATGTAAGGAACTAACACAACTCAACAGCACACAGAAAAAAATAGCTCAGTTTTCAAAATCTGCAAAGGACCTGAGCAGATATTCTTCCAAAGAAGATACACAAATGACCAAAGGATATATGAAAAGGTGCTCAGTATCACTAATCATCAGGTAACTACAAATCAAAACCACAATGACCTATCACCTCACACCTATTAAGATGGCTATTATAAAAAAGACAAAAGATAAGTGTTGACAAAGATGTGAAGAAAAGGAGCACTATACACTGTTGATGGAAATGTAAATTAGGACACCCATTATGTAAAACATATCGAGGTTCCTCAAAAAATTAAAAATAGAACTGTTATATGATCTAACAAGCCCTCTTCTGGTTACATAGCCAAAGAAAACAAAATCAATACAACAAAAAGATACCTGTAATCTCATGTTCATTGTCATATTGCTACAGCTTGCATATTATTTGTTTGTCCCCACCAAAACTCACGTTAAAGTTTGATCCCCAGGCCAGGCACAGTGGTTCATGCCTGTAATCCCAGGACTTTGGGAGGCCAAGGGGGGCAGATCACTTAAGGTCAGAAGTCCAAGCCTGGCCAACATAGTGAAATCCTGTCTCTACTAAAAATACAAAAATTAGCTGGCCATGGTGGCAGGCCACCTGTGATCCCAGCTACTCAGGAGGCTGAGGCAGGAGAATCACTTGAACCCAAGAGGCAGAGGCTGCAGTGAGCCGAGATGGCGCCACTGCATTCCAGCCAGGAGGCTGAGGCAGGAGAATCACTTGAACCCAAGAGGCAGAGGCTGCAGTGAGCCGAGATGGCGCCACTGTATTCCAGCCTAGGCGACAGAACGAGACTCTGTCTCAAAAATAACATAAAATAACATAAAATAACATAAAATAAAATAAATAAAATAAAATAAAATAAAATAAAATAAAATAAAATAAAATAAAATAAAATAAATAAAATAAAATTTGATCCCCAATGTGGTGGTATTGGTAGGTAGGGCCTAATGGAAGGTGTTTGGGTCATGAGGGCTGCTACTATGTGGGTGGCTTGGTGCCATTCTCAGAATAGTGAGTTCTCACTCTGGCAAGACTAGATTAGCTCTTGTAGCAATGGATTAGTTCCCACAAAAGTGGATTGCTATAAAGTCCCTGGATTTTCTCTCTTTGCATATGTCCACTTCCCTTTATTTTTCTCCCTGTGTTATGACACAGCACAATAGTTCTCACCGGAAGCCAGGGTGATGACCTTGAACTTCCCAGCCTACAGAACTATAAGCTAAATAAACCTCTTTCTTTATAAAATGCCCAATATCAGGAATTCTATTATACCAACAGAACTTGGACTAGGACAGGCATTATTCATAATAGGCAAGATATAGGAACAACCCTCAACAAATGAATAGATAAAGAAATTATAGTAAATAAAATGTGTGTGTGTGTGTATACACATATATAATGGAATATTATTCAATCATAAAAAAGAAGGAAATCCTGCCATTTTTGAGAACAGGGATTAATCTAGAGGGCATTATGCTAAGTGAAAAAGCCAGGCATAAAAAGACAAATATTGCATGATCTCACCCATATGTGGAATTTTAAAAAGTCAAATTCAGAAAAAGAGAATAGAATGATGATTGCCAGGGGATAGGGGTGAAGAAAATGGGGACATTTTGGTCAAAGGGAACAAAGTTTCAGTTATGCAGGATTAAAAAGTCCTGAAGATCTAATGTACACCATGATAACTAGAGTTAATAATAATTTATTATACACTTTGAATTTGCTAAGAGAGTACGTATCTTAAGTGTTCTCCTCATGAAAAGAAATAATAACTATGTGAGGTGACAGATAAGTTAATTAACTTGATTGTGGTAATCATTATACAACATATATCAAAATATTACAAGGTATACCATAAATACATATAATTTTTCTTAAAAAATAAAATAATTATATTATAGAATTTAATAACAAAAATAATATGTGTGTACTTGGAAACCTCTAAGGAGACAGAGGGAGAGACAAGGAAAGTATTCAAAGAATAATGGCTAAAATTTTTCAAAATTGGATGAAAAATAAATACAGATCAAAGAAGCTCAATGAACCCAAGCACAAGAAGCATGAAAAAGGCAAGACTACCACTACCATATTTGTGTCAGCCTTGGGATATTAAAATTTTCATAGTGATAATATAATAATTTTCAAAAACTGTTTACATATATGAAACTCCTTCAACGGTATAACTCATTGTAATGAGTTCTTGGATATCTTCATTTTTCTTATAACATTTAAAAATTTTCCCCTATAAATACAGCAGGAATTGACTAGTCTCTTTCCCCGGATCATTTATGTCTTGGTGTCCAGATTTATAAGCATGTTCCTATCTGGTGAAGGTTTTTAAAGAACCAAAGGACTAAGGTTACTTGATAAATCAGAGGAAGGTGAATCATCTGAGTTAAGTATGACCTTCAATGTCAGCAGAATTTCACTTTCTCTTGGTTAAAGCCTTTCTAACAATAGAAAGGTTGAAACTTTTAAGACCATGTTATTTTTTTTGAGACGTAGTCTCACTCTATCACCCAGGCTGGAGTACAGTGGAGCAATCCTGGCTCACTATACTTTCCACCTCCTGGGTTCAAGTGATTCTCTTGCCTCAACCTCCCGAGTAGCTGGGATTACAGGCATGTGCCACCATGCTCGGCTAATTTTTGTATTTTTAGTAAAGACAGGGTTTCACCATGTTGGCCAGGCTGGTCCCAAGTGATTCGCCCACCTTGGCCTCCCAAAGTGCTGGGATTACAGGCGTGAGCCACTGCACCTGGCCTAAGACTCTGTTATTTCAAGTATTTCAGATTCTCAGATCATCAAACACTAATATAATAACCAAAATGAATCCAAATGAAAGCAAAAATAATATGTGGACAAAGACTAAATTTTTTAAATAAAACCAATATAATCAAATTAAATAATTGGTTTCTAATGACTGGTACCAAAGATGCTGAGCTGCATTAGCTCAGTTACGGTCCAGTCTCAAAAGTTAGAGAACCACATGACTACCGGGATATTACTACTGGTATTAAAAAGGTAAATCTAAGTATCTAAACACAGAACAGGCCAGAAAAGAAATTAAGAAATTATATTACCTTTTCTTTCCCAATACTTTTCCAGCTTCTTGGTGCTCCTCAATTGCTTTTATTCCTCTTGGACTTAAGGGCCACCTTTCTTGTTCTTCTTTTGAAGAACAGTAACCAGAAAAATAACCAGCCATAGTCACCTTTATTCTTCAGAAGTAAATCGCCTAACCTCAGCAGTTTTCTCCTACCAAAAATTAAGCATTGAATAAAATACCTTCACAGTCCCTTTCAGTTCCAGCATCCTGTGATCTTTTCCTATTTATTAATAGCTACTTCCTTATTTAGTGCCATCCTCACAAACTCCTTGACTTTTATAGCTCACGTCCAGAGAAGATTCCTTTGTTGATCCAGCTCTAGTAGAGGACTGTTAAAACAATAATGGCCTATTTGGAAATTTTAAAGAGAAGAATGAACTATAGTTAGGATTCTGGGAGATTTTTATCTCTTCTTTAGCTTCTTTTTTTTATATTCCTGCTCTCCACTCTTTCCCATTCCCTTTCCATGTCCTAGACAAGCCGTTCTGTTATTTTCTATTTCCTGTAGTTCCAGATTATCCTTCATTGGCCCCATCAGCTCAATATTTTTTTAAAAAACAAAGTCCTCTCTTTCCTCCTCCAACCCAATCAACCTTTTCATCTACTGCCTTATCTATCTTTTTTCAAACTCCTCAAATAGACTTCTGGGGGAAAAAAATTAAAACTCAGTTCTTACTCCCAGAAGGTATAAACTAATCTATATACTCAAGACACTTCCTTCTTCTGAATCTCTATTTTAAAAAAATGCTTTTTTTCTCTCTCACATAGAATGAACAGGTGGAATTGATGGTCTCCATTAGTTCTTTCCAACCTGACTCCTATTAAAGCTAACTTTGCTTATCTAAATGAGAGAGACGCTCTCTGCCTCTTTTACATACTGGGGCTTCACTTATTAATATTACCAACCTCTTGCACACTCGCAGCAGGCCTTCTCTTATTTACTCCTTTTATCAACACTATGAAGAAAATACCTTCATCTTATAAATGTGGAGTTTGAATGTCAGATAAATTAATCTGCCTAAAGTCACACACCTAAATAATGGAAGAGCTCACATTCAAATACAAAACTAATTCTTAATGTGTTACACCTGACATAACCTGATGCTTGGAGGGAGCAGTGTGGGAACCTAAAGGTCTTAATATCTACAAACTACTTTAAGAATAACTACCTAGCCAGGTGCAGTGGGACATGCCTATAATCCCAGCACTTTGGAATTACAGGCTGAGGCAGGAGGATCACTTGAGCCCAAAAGTTCAAGACGAGCGTGGGCAAAAGAGTCAGATCCCAGCTCTAAAAATTAAAAAAAAAAAAAAAAAAAGCTGAGCATGGTGGTGCACACCTGCAGTCCCTGCTACTCGGGAGGCTGAGGTGAGAGGATCACTTAAGCCCAGGAGTTAAAGGCTACAGTGAGCTATGAGCACACCACTGCACTCCAGCCTAAGCGACAGAGCTAGACCCTGTTTCTAAAAATAAAAAAGAATAACTATCTAGGTTAAACTAAGGAGAATATTATTAAACTGGTTACAAATTACATAGTAATCTTTAATTTCTATTTAGTACTTAATCATTAAATTAGAAGTGAAGAGCCATAGGAAAAGCTATCTACTCCTTTAGGCTACCTACTTTGTAGTATGAGCACATCTAAAAAGAAGTCCTTGTAGGGCAAGATTGGTGAGTCACTCTTGATATGACATGCTCTGTGAGAAGCTATGGATATGAAAATGAAAGAGGCCTCTCACTGTAACTGCCTTTCTAACTAAAGTAATGACCCATCTCTCAAATCTCCCTGAACAGAACAATTAAATAAAATTATCATCTTATCTAACCGCCCCAATATCTCACTGGATAATTAGAAATAGGACTACTTTAACACAGTGAAAAAGACAGCACACATTTCCCAATGCCCCAGGAAAACAAATTACTAATTTGAGATTTTAAAATTTTAGAACATTTTTCAGAATTCTGAGTTGTATATTAATATTAATATTATTAAAAATATTGCTTTTACCTGAAATGTAAAATGTGATTTCAAAAGATTTATTCTTTTTATCTTTTTTTTGGAGAAAGTCTTGCTCTGTCACCCAGGTTAGAGTGCAGTGGCACAATCACGGCTCACAGAAGCCTTGACTTCCCGGGCTTAGGTGATTCTCCCACCTCAGCATCCTGAGCAGCTGGGACCACAGGAATACACCGCACACCACCATGCCCAACTAATTTTCTTTTTGTATTTTTTGTAGAGATGGGATTTCACCATGATGTCCAGGCTGGTCTAGAACTCCTGAGCTCAAGCAATCCACCCTCCTTGGCCTCCCAAAGTGCTAATATTACAGGCGTCAGCTACCGCATATGGCCAATTTTCTAAATTCTTAAATGCGATTCTTTGGCAGTGTTGTTTTGTGACCAAAAATAAAATGGTTCCTAGAAATAAACACATCACCTATTTCATAATAAAAAGGAGGAATAATAATTCAATTTACAGAAATTTTATTCTCATCTACCCCAAAAACGAGATCATTGCATACATTAAATAGCATCTCAGGCTTCTAAAATAATTAACATAAACCCTACAATGCCTATTTTATGCTTAGGAAGACTATAGAGGTAAATAGTACCAGTTATACTAAGATTAATACATGATATAAAGAAAGTAAACTCTGCATGCAACTTTTGAAAAAGAGAAAACTACACATAAGGGGAAAATACATAACTTTTAGAAATGCATATTAGTCCTTTCTTGCCCTCTAAATTTGAACTAACAGCTGTGTAGTGAGGTAAATCAGTATTCCATAAACAGGTATTAATTTAAGTGCTCTGAGTTTATTATACCAAAAGTATTTATTCTACAACACTGGATTAAAGAACAAACTACTACTGGAGCTATAATTATACTAAAACATTGAAAATAAATCACGAAGATGACTCAAGCTTGAAAAATACCTAAATAATAGTTGTTATAAATAGCTTTTCACTGCAGACTACACCTCCAACTACTTGTTTGCTTTCTTTTTGCTTGAATTTTTTTAAATACAACATAAAAATTCCATGAAGAATGCATAGTCTGTGCACTACACAATAACTCAAAATAAATGGTTCTGTGAAACAACAGTTTTTATTGTGAGTTTGCCCATTACATAAGAAGAATGTTTTTGGAGTCTCTGTGTCTTTATGGAATATAGAAATCCAGAAGACAACTCCTTAAATTCCCCTAAAGCTGAAGTTTTCAAAGATTCAATCGCAAGTTCAAAGGAAATTTTAGATACTTCCCATTCATAAGAGCCTCTCTTCATTTTCTTCAAAGCTTCACGGTTTCCCTGGACTAGTGGTTCACAACTCTGGCTGCAATAAGAAGCAACTGCAAGCTTTTTTTTTTTTTTTTTTTTTTTTTTTTTTTTTTGAGACAGTGTCTTGCTCTGTTGCCCAGGATGGAGTGCAGTGGCATGATCTCTGCTAACTGCAACCTCTGCCTCCTGGGCTAAAGTGATCCTCCCACCTCAGCTTCCCAAGTAGCTGGGACTACAGGACCAGGCCACCATGCTCAGCTAATTTTCTTTTATTTTTGGTAGAGATGGGATTTTGCCACGTTGCCCAGGCTGATCTTGAACTCCTGCGCTCAAGTGATCTGCCCACCTCAGCCTCCCAGAGTGCTGGATTACAGGCATGAGCCACCATGCCCAGTCAAACAACTGCAAACTTTTTAAAAATACCAATTATTGGCTCTAAGGCCATAGATTCTTATTTAACAGGCTTTGGATGGGGTCTATACATCAGTACTTTAAAGCTCCACAACTAATTCTAATGTATAAGCTCTACTGTAACAAAATATTTTTGTGCCTAATAACCATGAGATTGTACAAAAATTACAGAATAAAAACCACAGGGCTTATGGACAAATGGGGTTAAAGGCATAATACTCAAGAAACTAATCAGGGACACATTTTTTTAAAAACAGAAACCTAACAGAAAAAACTTTGCATAGTTTTACACATATTAAACGTTAAGAAGCACATGACTACTATATTAACATGGCACTTCATTTTGAAAAGACCTGAAGCTTGCTTGTCAAAGTCGACTTCAGAAAGGTTGCAACTTGCGAATTCTGTAAAGGGGAGAGTTATTCAAAATTTGACAGAAAGTTGAAATGCCACATGTGGATGAGTGTGGCTCACAACAAAAAGGTAAATGAAGGTAGCCAGTAAAGGACTGAAGTGTGTGTCTACTATGTATTCCTACGCAGCATGGTTAAGCTAGTTATAGTTTTCTGCATTCACCTAGTGCTTCTTCAGGTTTCAGACATAAACAAATGCAAAATTAACGTTAAGCTCAAATCGTTCCTAATATGTCAATTGTGTGGGAACAAACTCATGGTTTTTTTTTTGATAGATTAAAGCATGTGTGTATATATGTGTGGTGTGTGTGTGTTTGGGGGGGCGGTGGTGTAGTTAGTTAGTTACTTAGTTAAGACAGGGTCTTGCTATGTTACCCAGACTCGTCTTCAATTTGTGGCCTCAGGTGATCCTCTCATTAACCAAGTTTTTAAATGTTGAAATGATTTCAACCAAGATTTCAATGTTTTCAAATCCGGTGGTATAGCAGAAGTGGCTCTATAGCCAGGCTTAAAAATTACTGCTTTAAAAATATATATAGTTGAAACCCTAGTTGTACAGGCTCAAGTTACATTATATATGTATTATGTGACTACTAAATAATCAGACTGATTCATCAAAAAGCATTTTTCATTACTTTTTATTCCTATGTGGTATATGTAACATCACCAATATTTCAATTCACTTCATGTTTAAAAGGTAAGGCAATACTTCCTTTTAAGTACCTTGCATCATTTGAAGATAGTATTTATCACTGTACTATTTCAGAAGTTGACTGTATGCAGACAGATATAATTTTACATAAAGAAGAAGAAGCAAAGTAAAATTCATCTTCAGCACAGAAAACAGGTCCTAACAATACAATAGCTGTTAAACATATGAAAGATGTTTAATTTAACTCTTTTTAGAGAAATATAAAAGCACCCTAGATATCATTTCTTACCTATCAGAATAATAAAAATACAAAAGTCTGAGAACAAACTCTGTTACCCAGATTAAGTAGAAGCTGACATCCTCCTATGTTTCTGCTGGATATGCAAAATGATACAAGATCCACAGAGGAAATTTCTAGAAATATAAATTTATATTTATATTGGCAATATATAACAAAAATATATAATATAACAGGTACATTTAC
Source organism: Homo sapiens (assembly GCF_000001405.40). Classification (NCBI taxonomy): domain Eukaryota; kingdom Metazoa; phylum Chordata; class Mammalia; order Primates; family Hominidae; genus Homo; species Homo sapiens. The sequence continues at coordinate 108,815,256 of NC_000005.10, read as the reverse complement.
ATTTTGGCCTGGAAATCTCATTTCCAAAAATTCAGCGTGAAGACACCCATGTTACAAAAATACACCTATTCAAAGTTATCCATTGCAGCATTATTTGTAATTGCAAATACTGTGAAACCTAAAATTCCATATATAGTAAATTGGTTGAATGTTCAGATATTTTCCCCACTAAAAGAAACCAGGACTCCTAGGGAAAAGGGTTTATTCCAGGAATGTAGAAAGCAACATTCAAGATGAGATTGGAATATCTTCTTATGCCAAAAAGTAAACAAGTGCTCAGAGAATGAAGAAAAAATAGAAACCAGGTAGTTGGGGGAAAAAGATAGCTACCTAGGTCTCCATCTCCTACTATTTCCTCCAATAGGAATACAAACGAACAAAAAAAGAAAAGAAAACCACACAAGAAACATGCCCTCAGGATTAAAGACAGAATGTACACACTTCAAAATAACTATAAATAACAGAGGCATTCGAACTAGAGTGATTCCATCTTGAGTGAGGGCTAGGAAAAATGAGGCTGCGACTTGCTGAGCTGCATGCCCAGAAAGTTAGGTATTGCTAGCCTCTAGATGTTTATGGTTAAGGGAACAGATTGATAATGTTTACTAAACAGATCCAGACTTAGGAGTGTCCTAATACCCCGATGATATCTTGAGAACAGAAGCATTCCTAATTTTGCTTTAAAGATAATAACATCAATTCTTGCAAAATATAGTAATTAAGAAAAGTAATCCTTTATCACAAACCCTTGTAACAGAGCACATCTCCCAATGATCTTTTTTTATCCTGTATACAAACACGTATTGTACCTAGGGTGGACACATTTCTCCTCTTACTTTCAGGAACGCCCTCCCCTGTGTATGGAGTAGCTGTACTTTCACCACTTTACTTTCTTAATAAACCTGCTTTTGCTTTGCACTGTGGACCTGTTCTGAATTATTTCTTGCGCGAGATCCAATAACCCTCCCTTGGGGTCTGAACTGGGACCCCTTTCCTGTAAAATAAATTAAAAAATGAAAAATTACCAAATCACAGGTTCATGTGATTTCTCATGTTCGTATTCTAGATAAAAAGTCACAGAAGAGATACAACAACTATTAAATAAATGAAATAAGTGACTGTGTATTGAATTCTGGATCAGAATGAAAAAGTAATTGCCAAAAAAGGACTATATTCCATATATTCACAAAACTAGAGGAAAGAATAAATATATTAAGTCAAAAGATACAAGATATAAAAGGAATTCAAATCTACTAGAGATATTTACGACTTGTTCATTTTTAACATGGAAATGGCCCAACTACTTGATTTCTGTTTATTCTCTCCATTTGTTCCACCCTAAAGTATGGGTGTGGAGCAAAAGGAAAAGTTGAGTTTTGGCAGGTACAAGAAGACGAAGGAATGGTACACAGGCATAATTTAAATTTAAATATTGGCAAGAAAGGAAGTATTGTTGCCAGAAAAGGAGGAGTGAGGGAAGAAGAGACACTGCTGGAAATAAGTGATCAGGGAAAGAATTAAAGTTAACCTCATTAATAGGGTTACGAAAGGAAGTTGGAAGTAAAAATATCTGAGCTGAAAAATACAGTGGATAAAATTAACAACAGATTAGACATTGAATAAAAGTAAGATTAGTGAAGTAGAAGACAACAATAAAAACTAACCACAATGAAACACAGAGAAGAAAGAAAAATACAGCATAGTAAACTGTAAGACAACTTTAAACAGCCAAATCCATACGTAATCAGGGTCCTGAAAGAAGATAAAAGGAAGAGGGAGAACTAAAAAACAATTATTTAAAATAATGCCTGAAAACTTTCCAAAGTTGATGAAAACTGTAGTAGCCCATGGGTTTAAAAAGGTCAACAAGACCCTAGCACAAAAAATGCAGAGAAAACTACATAAAGGCACATAATGAATTGCTTAACATCAGTAACAAAGGGAAAACCTTAAGTGCAGCCAGAGGAAAAAAACATTAGGCACAAATTTTTCATGAGAAACAACACAAGTAAGATGATAATACAGCAACATCTTTAAAATATGTAAAGAAATTGCCAAACAGGAATCTTATACATGTAAAAATTGTTTTCAAAAACAAAGGACACCATAAAGATATTTTTACGCTTTCAAACCTAAAAAAAAATTTTTTTCAATAGACTTGCACTATAAGAAATGTGAAAGGAAGTTCTTCAAACAGAAAGAAAATGATACAAGCTAGAAACCTGAATCTACATAAAGAAGACTACCATACACTGTAACTCAATGAGCAAATATAAAGAATTATGTACTTATTATTTAAATTATTCAAAAGATAATCAGCAAAAATAATAATGTATTGTGGATTTATAACTCACATATAATTAAAAGCTGTAACAATAATAACACAAAGAACAGGTGGGAGAAACTGAAGTATACTCTTGCAAGAATATTATTATAGATGAGGTTCTACATATCACTGAAATACAGACTTATAGTAAGTTATAGATGTATACTATAGACCTTAATGCAACCATTAAAATAACACAATAAACATTTATAGGCAATAATTCAATAAAGGAGATAAAAATAGTCACATTTTAAAAATGCTCAATCCAAAAGAAACAGGAGAAAGGAATATAAGAACATAAAAAGAGCAGACAGGATAAGGAGAAAACAAATGGTAAGATGATAAATTTAAACCTAATCATATCAATAATCACACTAAATGAAATAGTCTAAACACACAAACTAAATAGCAGAGATTGTCATATTAGGAAACCAAGCAAGACTCAACTATATGTTACTTACAAAAACCCACTTCAAATATACCAAATATATGATGAAAAACGACATACCACGCTAACATTAGCCAAATGAAACCCAGCGTGGTTATATTAATATCAGACAGCTTACATTTCACAACAAAGAATGTTACCAGAGTTAAGTTAATTTCTCAGTGATAAAGGGCCTAATTAATGAGGAGAAAATAAAAATCCTAAACATTTCCCACCCAATAAACAAGTTAATTTATTTGTCAAGAAGATATAACATTTCTAAACATTTATGCATCTAATAATAGGGAATTGAAATATAAGAAAAATGGACTAATAAATGCCAAAGAGAAACAGGCAAGTTCACAGTTATAGTGGGAGATTTCAGCATCCCTCTCTCAACTGATGGGACAGGTAGACAAACATGAGTAAAGAAACTGTGATGTTTAATTTTATGTGTCAACTTGACTGACTCAAAGGAACTGCAGATAGCTGGTGAAACCCATCTCTGTGTGTCTTTGAGGGTGTTTCCAGAAGAGATTAGCATTTGAATGAGACAACTGAGTAAAGAAGATCCACCAGAAGATTCGATGACAAGCATTATCGAATCTATTGACAGCCTAATGGAACAAAAAGGAGGAGGAAGGGCAAATTCACTCTCTCTCTTCTAGAACAGATATTCATCTCCTCCTGCCCTCGAGCATCAGAACTCTAGGTTTTTGGGCCTTCTTACTCTGGGATTTACACAGGAGGTACCTCTGGTTCTCGGGCCTTTAGACTCAGACTGAATTACAGCACTGTCTTTCCTAGTTCTCCAGCTTGCAGACAGCATATCGTGTGTCTTTTAGACTTCCATGATAAATCATATATATATATCTCCTATTGGTTCTGTTTCTCTGGAAAACCCTAATACAGAAATAGAAGACTTAAACACCACTATCAACCATCTTCACTTTACTGTCATCTATAGAACACTCTAACCAACAACAGCAGAATACATACTTCTTAGCAACTGCACATGCAATATTTACCAAGACAAACTATTTTCTGGGCCATGAAACAAGTATTCATGAATTTTTAAACATTCAACTGATACAAAATAGATTCTTGAAAAACAATGAAATTAAATTTAAAATCAGTAACGAAGAGATCCATGGCAAAATATATATACATTTGAAAATTAAGTAATATAACATGGTATTTTGGGGCCCACTCCACTCCATACCCAGGCAGATCTCTAGGCATCTGGAGCATCCACTCACTTGGATCAGCAGCATGACCTGCCCCACCCTTCCCATTCACAGATCTTGGTGCAGGGAGGCCCTCTCCACTTCACACCTAGGCAGATCTCCAGGCATTCAGAGCACCCACTTGCCTGGTTCAGCAGCCTGGGATGCCCTACCCTTCCTGGACATAGATTGTGGGGCAGAAGGGCCCTCTCCATTCCACGGCCAGGCAGATCTCCAGGTACTTGGAGCACTTGCTCACCTGGAGAAGCAGGCTGACACACCCACCCTTCCTGTGCATAGATCATGGGGCAATAGGGCCCTCTCTGCTCCTCACCAGGGCAGGTCTCCAGGCATTCAAAGAACCTGCATGCCCGGACTGGAAGCATGAGCCACCCTACCCTTTCTGTGCAAAGATACAGGTAAAGGAGGGCCTTCTCTTCCTCACCCCCAGGCAGATCTCCAGACAGCTGAAACACCTGCTCACCTAGGTCAGCAGACTAAGTATCCAACCCTTCCTATGAAGACACCGTATTGCAGCTGGGCCCTCTCTGCTCAACACCAAAGCAGATCTCCACTGGGAGCACCTACTCTTCTGAATCAGCAACCTGACCTGCCCCACCATTCCTGTGCAGAGACTGTGGTGCTGCAGTACTCTCCATGTCTAGGCATCTGGAGTACCCACTCTCCTGGATTAGGAGTTTGGCCAACTCTCCCTCCCCGGGCAAAGAACTTGGGGCTGAGGAGGTTTCCTAGGCACACCTCTGAGCACTTGGTGGACACCCATTGGATTCTCCCTCAGTGCTGGTGCTTCTGCCTGCCACTGGGCGACAGGTAGGCAGGCCTGCCCAGTCCGGCCCCACACATGTTGCTCCCCAGCCTGGAGAGGTGAGCAGGGAAATCAGACCACTGTGCACTACACGGATCAATCAATTGCCTGAGGCAACAGAGAGCTTCTCTCAGTAAGCGAGGATCAAGTATACACACCCAGCTGTGTTAGCCACAGCCACGTCTTACCTATAAGCGCTATGTACTGGCTTATATATAAAGAAAGCCCAATACAAAAGCCCAGTATAAAACCTGCCAACGGAAGTCCATACGGCAGAGCCAAAAAGACATTACTGAACATTCTCTATAGACATACTACCTAGGAAGGAGGGGAAAGGAAAAGAGAAATTAAAAAATAACAATAATATCACAAGAAAAGAAAGAAAAAAGAAAAATTCCTACCTGCACAAAAATAATTACAAAAATTAGAAGTGCCAGCACCTCTAGATGAGAAGGAACCAGCACAAGAATTCTGGCACTATGAAAAATGTGAATGTAGTGACATCACCAAAGGATCATACCAGCTCTCCAGCAATGGTCTGTAACCAAACTGGAAACTCAGAAATGACAGATAAAGAATTTAAAGCACAGGCTTGGCATGGTGGCTCACATCTGCAATCATAGCATTTTGGGATGCCAAGGCAGGAGGATCACTTGAGCCCAGAAGTTTGAGAACAGCCTGGGCAATATGGTAATATCCCATCTCTACAAAATATACAAAAATTAGCCAGGCATGGTGGTCCACACTTGTAGTCCCAGCTACTCAGGAGGCTAAGATAGGAGGATTACTTAAGCCCAGAAGATCAAGGCTGAAGAGAGCTGTGATCATGCCACTGCACACCAGCCTGGGCAACAGAGCAAGAACCTGTCTAAAAAACAAAACAAAACAAAAAATTCAAAGTATGGAAAAGCATGTATTACAAGAATGATTAACAAGATCCAAGACAAGGATGAAATTCAATACAAAGAAACTTCAAAAGCAATCCAGGCAATGAAGGAATACATCAGCATCTTAAAGAGAAATCAGTCAGAGCTTATGGAGTTGAAAAACTCACTTAAGGAGTTTCAAAAGACAACTGAAAGCTTCAGAGGAAACTTCAGAGCCTAAATACATGTCTTCAGAACTAACGCAGTCAGACAAAAGTAAATAAAAAAGAATTTTTTAAAATAAACAAACTCTCTGAGAAATACGGGATTAGGTAAAGCAACGAAACCTACAAGTTACGTCATTCCTGAGAAAGAAGGAGAAAAAGTAAACAACCTGGAAAACATATTTGAAGGAATAATACAAAAAAAGTTTCCCTAATCTTACTGGAGAGGTAGATATCCACATACAAAAAAATCCAGGTAACACCTGTGAGATGCTATACAAAGTGAACAGCAACAAGACATATTGTCACAAGACTGTCCAAGATCAAAACTAAAGAAAAAAATCTTAAAGGCAGCTGAGAAAAAGGTCAGATCACATGTGCAAAGGGAAATCTGTCAGGCCAACAGTGGACTTCTCAGCAGAAATCTTCTAAGCCAGGGAAGATTAGGGGTGTACTTTCAGCCATCTTTAAGAAAAGAAATTCCAATCAAGAATTTCACATCTCACCAAACTAAGCATCGTAAGTGAAGGAGGAATAAAACATTTTCCGGACAAGCAAGTGCTAACAGAATTCTATACCAGGTCGCCTCACAAGAGATCCTTAAGGGAGTTCTAAACAAGGAAACAACAACAACGAAAATACCTGCTACCACAAAAACATGCACACAGGCCCTATAAAGGAACCACACAATACAAACTACAAAGTAATCATCTAATGACTTCACAATAGGATCAAAATCTTACATATTAATATTAATATTAATATTGAATGTAAACTGTCTAACTACTCCACTTAAAAGGCACAGAGTTGCAAGTTGGATTAAAAAAACAAACCCAACCATCTGCTGTCTTCAAGAAACCCATTCTTACATGTTGACACCCACAGGCACAGAGTAAAGGGTTAGAGAAAGATCACACAAACAGAAAACAAAAAAGAATAGTGAAGCTATTCTTATATCAGATAAAACAAATGTTGGACCAACAAAAAAAAATGGACAAGAAGTAATAATGATACTAATGATAAAGAATTTAATTCAACAAGAAGACTTAACTTATATTTAATATATGCACCCAACATTGAAGCACCTAGATTCACAAAAAAAATACATCTAGACCTACAAAAAGACACAGACAGCCACACAACACCCCACTGATAGCATCAGACAGATCACTGAGACAGAAAACTAAGAAAGAAATTCTGACCTGAAATTCAACACTTGACCAACTGGATCTAATAGAAATCTAGGAAATATTCCATGTATCATACACAGAATACACATTACTCTCATCTGACATGGAACATAATCTAACATCAACCACATGCTTGGCCATAAAACAAGTCCCAGTAAATTAAAAAAAAAAAAAACTAAATCATACCAACAACACTCTTGGGCCACAGTGAAATAAAAGCAGAAGTCAACACCAAGAAGATATCTCAAAACTACACAATTACATGAAATTAAACAACTTGCTCCAGAATGACTTGTGGGTAAACAATGAAATTAAGGCAGAAATCAAAACATTATCTGAAATAAATGAAAATAGAGAAACAGCATACCAGAATCTCTGGGACGCAACAAGAGCAGTGTTCAGAGAAAAGTATATAGCACTAAACACCACCTCAAAAAGGTAGAAAGATCTCGAATTCAGGATCTAATACTATACCTAGAAGATCAAGAAAAACAAGAACTAACCCTAAAGATAGCAAAAGAAAAGAAGTAACCAAAACCAAAGAAAAACTGAATGAAATTGATATCCAATCATCCATACAAATAAACAACAAAACAAAAACTTTGATCTTTGAAAGGATAAACAAGGTTGATAGACCACTAGCTAGACCAACAAAGAAAAAGACGGAAAATGAAAATAAGCACAATAAGAAATCACAAAGGTGACATCAAAACTGATCCACAGAAAAACAAAAGATCCTCAGAGACTATTACGAATACCTCTATGCAAACAAACTAGAAAATCTACAGGAATGGACAAATTCCTGGAAACACGCAACTTCTCAAGATTGAATCAGGAATATATTAGTCTGTTTTCACACTGCTGATAAAGACATACCTGAGACAGGGCAATTTACAAAAGACAGAGGTTTAACTGGACTTACAGTTCCACGTGGCTGGGGAGGCCTCACAAACATAGTGGAGGGCAAGGAGAAGCAAATCACATCTTACATGGATGGCGGCAAGCAAAAAGAGAGCTAGTGCAGGAAAATTCCCGTTTTTAAAGCCATCAGATCTCATGAGACTCATTCACTAACATGAGAACAGCACAGGAAAGATCTGCCTCCATAATTCAGTCACCTCCCACGGGGTTCCTCCCACAACACATGGGAATTGTGGGAGTTAAAATTCAATATGAGATTTTGGGTGGGACACAGCTAAACCATATCATTCCACCCTGGACCCCTCCCAAATCTCATGTCCTCACATTTCAAAACCAATCACGCCTTCCCAACAGTCCCCCAAAGTCTTATTTCAGCATTAACTCAAAAGTCCACAATCCAATGTCTCATCTGAGACAAGGCAAGTCCCTTCCGCCTATGAACTTGTAAAATCAAAAGCAACTTAGTTACTTCCTAGATACAATGGGAGTACAGGTATTAGGTAAATACAGCCATTCCAAAAGGGAGACGCTGGCCAAAACAAAGGGACTACAGACCCCATGCAAGTCTGAAATCCAGTGGGGCAGTCAAATCTCAAAGCTCCAAAATGATCTCCTTTGACTCCATGTCTTGCATCCAGGTCACGCAGATGCAAGAGGCGGGTTCCCATAGTCTTGGGCAGCTCTGCCCCTGTGGCTTTGCAGGGTACAGCCTCCCTTCCAGCTGCTTTCACAGACTGTTGGTGAGTGTCTGCAGCTTTTCCAGGCACACAGTGCAGGCTGTCGGTATAGCTACCATTCTGGGGTCTGGAGGACGGTAGCCCTCTTCTCACAGCTCCACTAGGTGGTGCCCCAGTAGGGACTCTGTGTGGGGGCTCCAACCCCACATTTCCCTTCCACATTGCCCTAGCAGAGGTTCTCCAGGAGAGCCCCACCCCTGTGGCAAACTTCTGCTGGGACATCCAGGCATTTCCACACATCCTCAGAAATCTAGGAGGAGGTTCCCAAACCTCAATCCTTGACTTCTGTGCACTGGCAGGCTCAACACCACGTGGAAGCTGCCAAGGCTTGGAGCTTGCACCCTCTGAAGCCATGGCCCAAGCTATACCTTGGCCCCTTTTAGTCACGGCTGGAGCGGCTAGGATGCAGGGCACCAAGTCCTTAGACTGCACGTAACACAGGGACCCTGGGCTTGGCCCACAATACCATGTTTTCCTCCTAGGCCTCCAGGCCTATGATGGAGGGGCTGTCATGAAGACCTCTGACATGCCCTGGAGACATTTTTGCCATTGTCTTGGTGATTAACATTCAATTCCTTGTTACTTATGCAAATTTCTTGAATTTCTCTCAGAAAATGGGATTTTCTTTTCTATCACATTTTCAGGCTGCAAATTTTCCAAACTTTTATGCTCTGCTTCCTTTATGAAACTGAATGCCTTTAACAGCACCCAAGTCACCTCTTGAGTGCTTTGCTGCTTAGAAATTTCTTCTGGCACATACCCTAAATCATCTCTCTCAAGTTCAAATTTCGATAAATCTCTAGGGCAGGGGCAAAATTCCACCAGTCTCTTTGCTGCAACAAAACAAGAGTCACCTGTGCTCCGGTTCACAACAAGTTCCTCATCTCTATCTGAGACTACCTCAGCCTGGACCTTTTCGTTCATATCACTAACAGTATTTCTGTCAAAGCCATTCAACAAGTCTCTAGGAAGTTCCAAACTTTCCCACATTTTCCTGTCTTCTTCTGAACCTTCCAAACTGTTCCAACCTCTGCCTGTTACCCAGTTCCAAAGTCATTACCACATTTTCAGGTAGCTTTTTAGCAACGCCCCACTCTACTGGTACCAATTTACTGTATTAATCTGTTTTCATGCTGCTGATACCTGAGACTGGCCAATTTACAAAAGAAAGAGATTTAACTGAACTTACAGTTCCACATGGCTGGGGAGGCCTCACAAACATGGTGGAAGGCAAGGAGGAGCAAATCACGTCTTATGTGGATGACGGCAGGCAAAAGAGAGCTTGTGCAGGAAAGTTCCCATTTTTAAAACCATCGGATCTCATGAGACTCATTCACTATCACGAGAACAGCCCAGGAAAGACCCACTCCCATAATTCAGTCACCTCCCACAACATGTGGGAATTGTGGGAGTTACAATTCAAGATGAGATTTGGGTGGGGACACAGCCGAACCATATCAAGGAAGAAACTGAAACCCTGAAAAGACCAATATCCAGCTCCAAATTGAATCAGTAATAAAAAACCTATCCAATTAAAAAAAAAAAGCAGACTAAATGGATTCACAGCCAAATTCTACTAGATGTACAAAGAGGTAGTACCAATTCTACAGAAACTATTCCAAAAAATCAAGTAGGAGGGAATTCTACCTAATTCATTCTAAAAAGCCAGCATCACACTGATACCAAAACTTGGCAAAGACACAACAAAAGCAGAAAACTGCAGGTCAATATCCATGATGAACATAAACACAAAAATCCTCAATGAAATACTATTAATAGCAAACTGAATCAAGCAACACATCAAAAAATTAATTCATCATGATCCAATAGGCTTCATTCCTGTGATGCAAGGTTGGATCAACATATACAAATCAATAACTGTAATTTGTCACACGAACACAATCAGAAACAAAACCATATAATAATCTCAATTGATGATTGAGATTGAAGCGTTTGATAAAATCCATCATCGCTTCATGATAAAAATCCTCAATAAACTAGGCATGGAAGGAATATAATTCAAAACAGTAAGAGCCATCTATGACAAACACACAGCCCACATCATACTGAACGGCAAATGCTTGAGCTATTCCCCTTGAGAACTGGAACAAGACAAGGATGCACACTCTCACCACTCCAATACAGTATAGTACTAGAAGTCCTAGCCAGAACAATCAGGCAAGAGAAAAAAATAAAAGGCACCCAAATAGGAAAAGAAGTCAAACTATCTCTCTTAATGGATGACATGCATCTATACCTACAAAGCCCTAAATACTTCACCAAAAGGCTCCTGAAACTGATAAACGACTTCAGTAAACAATCAGGATACAAAATAAATTAGAAAAATCAGCACCAATTCTATATACTAATAACATTCAAGCTGATAGCCAAATCAAGAATGCAATGCCATTTACAAGAGAAACAAAAAAATAAAATAAAACACCTAGGGATACATTTAACCAAGAAAATAAAAGATCCCTATAAGAAGCACTACAAGACACTGCTGAAAGAAATCACAGATGACACAAACAAATGGAAAAACATTCTGTGCGGACGGTCTGAAAGAATCAATATCATTAAATGCCCATACAGCCCAAAGCAATCTACAGATTCAACACTATTCCTATCAAACTACTGTCATTTCTCACAGAACTGGGAAAAAACTATAATAAAATTCATATGCAACCAAAAAGTCGCCCAAATAGCCAAAGCAGTCCTAAGTAAAGAGAACAAAGCCAGTGGCTTGATGTTACGCAAGTTCAAACTATACTATAAAGCTACAATAACCAAAACAGCATGGTAGTGGTACAAAAAAAGACACATAGACCAATGGAACAGATTAGAAAACACAGAAATTAAAAAAAAAAAATGCAAACCTACAGCCATCTGATCTTTCATCAAAAATAAGCAACAGGGAAAGAACTCCCTATTTAATAAATGCTGCTGGGATAGCTGGCTAGCTTTATATGCAGAAGAATGAAACTTGTCCCCTACCTTTCACCATGTACAAAAATTAATTCAGAATGGATTAAAGATTTAAATGTAAGACCTCAAACTATAAGAATCCTAGAAGAAAACCTGGGAAACACCATTCTGGGTATCAGCTGTGGGAAGAAATTTATGACTAAATTCTCAAAAGCAATTGCAACAAAAATGAAAATTGACAAGTGGGACTTAATCAAACTAAAGAGCTTCTATACAACAAAAGTAACTACCAACAGAGTAAACAGACAACCTACAGAATGGGAGAAAATAATCATAAACCATGCATCCAACAAAGGACTAATGTTCTACACAGAACTTAAACAAATCATCAAGAAAAAAAAACATTAAAAAGTGGGCATAGGACATTAATAGATACTTCTCAAAGGAAGACATACAAGTGGCCAACAAACACATGATAAAATGCTCAACGTCATTAATTATCAGATAAATGCAAATCAAGACCACAATGAGATACCATCTCACACCAGTAAGAATGGCTATAATTAAAACGTCAAAAAAACAACACATGCTCGTGAGGTTGTGGAGAGACGGGAACACTTAATACACTGTTGGTGGAAATGTAAATTAGTTCAGCCACTAGAGAAAGCACTCTAGAGATTTCTCAAAGAAATTAAAACAGAACTACCATTAGACCTAGCAGTCCCATTAGTGGGTATACAGCCAAAAGAAAATAAATAGTTCTACCAAACAGACACCTGTTTCTGTTTTGTAGAAACAGAAAACAGAAAATTCGTAAGTTTTAAGGTGATACCGCTCTGAGTGAAGAAAATGCAGCACATATGCACCACAGAATACTATATGGTCATAAAAAAGAAAGAAATCATGCCCTTTGCAGCAACATGTATGCAGCTGGAGGCCATTATCCTAAGCAAATTAACACAGGAACAAAAAAAAACAAATACTCCATGTTCTCACTTATAAGTGGCAGCTAAACATTGGGTACACAAGGATATAAAGATGGAAACAATGGGCACTACAGAATATTAGAGGGGAGAGGGAAGGACGGGGGGAAAGGCTGAAAAACTATTGGGTATTATGCTTACGACTTTGGTAATGGGGTCATTCATACCATAAACCTCAGCATCACACAATATATCCAGGTAACAAACCTGCATGTGTACCCCCGGAATCTAAAATAAAAGTTGAATTATTTTTTAACAATTTAAAATGTATATCATTTTTATTTATTGAAAGACCCAATACTGTTAAGATATAGATTTTCCCCAAATTTATCTATACATTCAATGTAATTCCAAGCAAAATCCCAGTAGCCTTTTAAAAAAAATGATTGGTAAGGTGCTCCTAAAATTTGTAAGGAGATGCACAACATTTAGAAAAGACAAAATAATTTTGAAAAAAAAAATAAGTTCAGTAGTACCCCTTAATCTGTTGTTTTGCTTCCTGCAGTTTTGATTGCACGTAATCCAAAAATGGAAAATTCCAGAAATAAACAATTCGTAAGTTTTAAGGTGACACCGCTCTGAGTAGTATGATGAAATACCTAGCCTCCCCACTCTGTCCTGCCCAGGATATGAATCATCCCTTTGTCTAGTGTATCCATGCTGTATATGCTACTTGAATATTACTCACTTAGTAGCCATCTCAGTTATCCTTGCTATAGCAGTGCTTGTGTTTAAGGAACCTTTATTTAACTTAATAATAGCCCCAAACTGCAAGGATAGTGATGCCGGTAATTTGGATATGCCAAAAAGAAGACAGAAAGTGTCTCCTTTGGGTGAAGGGATGAAAGTTCTCAACTTAAGGAAAGAAAAAAAACATATGCTGAGTTTGCTAAGAGCTACAGTAAGAATGAATCTTCTATCCATGCAACTGTGAAAAAGAAGAAAAAGGAAATTTGCACCTTTGAATTTTTGATGTTGCACTTCAAACTGCAAAAGTTATATGCATAGTACGTGATAAGTGCTTAGTTAAGATGGAAAAGGAATTAAATGTGTGGGTGGAAGGCATGAAAAGAAACATATTCTGATGGACAACAATGGACGTTCAGTACTATCCACAGCTTCAGGCATCTACTGGGGATATTAGAACATATCTCCCATGAATAAGGGATGACTACTGTACACTACCTGACTTTGATATTATTATCAAGGAACAAATAATTAAATGTGTTACTGATGTCATGATAGACAAAAATATGAATGGAACAGAATAAAGAGTATAAAAATAGACTCGCATTATGGTTAACTGATTTTAAACAAAGATGCAAAGGCAATTCAATGGAGAAAGCTTAGTGTTTTCAACAAATGAAGTTAGAACAAATGGGTATCCAGAAGCAAAAAAAGATAAAAATATGAACTTCAATCCATAGCTTGCCACATGTACAAAAATTAAATAAAAATAAATCATAGACCTACAAACAAAACTTAAAACTATAAAAATTTCCAGATGATAACACAGGCAAAACTCTTTAACTTTGCATCAGGCAAAGATTTTTTTTTGTGAGACAGAGTCTTGCTCTGTCGCCCAGGCTGGAGTGCAATGGCATGACCTCGGCTCACTGCAAGCTCCGCCTCCCGGGTTCACGCCATTCTCCTGTCTCAGCCTCCCAAGTAGCTGGGACTACAGGCACTCGCCACCACGCCCGGCTAATTTTTTTGTATTTTTGGTAGAGACGAGGTTTCACCGTGTTAGCCAGGATGGTCTCGATCTCCTGACCTTGTGATCCGCCCATCTCGGCCTCCCAAAGTGCTGGGATTACAGGCGTGAGCCACCACGCCCGGCCCAGGCAAAGATTTTTTAAGATATAATACGAAAAGCACAATCCTCTTTTTAAAAGGTAGACTTTACTTATAGGTAGAATAAATCATAGTTTTTCTGTGTTAAGAGGAAAGAATGGCTGGTCACAGTGGCTCATGCCTATAATCCCAGATCTTTGGGAGGCCAAGGTGGGAGGATTGCTTGAGCCCAGAAGGTCAAGGTCAGCCTGGGCAATATACTGAGACCCCGTTTCTATAAAATAAAAAATAAAATTAGCCAGTTATGGTGGCGCATGCCTATAGTCCCAGCTCCCTAGAAAGCTGAGGTGGAAGGATTGCTTGAGCCTGGGTGGTCAAGGCTGCAATGAGCCATGACTGTACCACTGCACTCCAGCCTGGATGCCAGAGCAAGATCCTAAAGAGAAAAAAAAAAGAGGAAAGGCTGACATACTCCTTGATTTTCTGTGAGTTCTCAACCATTGTTCAACTGTTAATTTAATGTATAAATTAGCAATAACAAAGAAAACAGAAACTATGTGACAATGGCAAATAAGATATGTCAACAGAATGTAAGAAAATGAAAAGCAGATAAGTGGTAACTAATTAGCATATGAGGAAAAGTTAAAACCTAAGTGTCCTGCAAAAGGGAGGTCAAGATTTATGAGGTCAGATGACTCCGTTAAAGCTCAGGAGACCGAGGCAGGTAGATCATTTGAGGTCAGGAGTTCAAGACCAGCCTAGCCAACATGATGAAACCCCATCTGCACTAAAAATACAAAAATTAGCCAGGTGTAGTGGTACACACCTGTAATCCCAGCTACTCATGAGGCGGAGACACAAGAATCACCTGAACCCGGGAGGCAGAGGTTTTAGTGAGCCAAGATTGCACCACCGTACTCCAGCCTGGGCGAGAAAGTGAGACTGCATCTCAAAAAAAAAAAAAAGAAAAGAAAAGAAAACAAGAGGGATAAATGAAGCAGAAAGCCTTTGGACTCAGAAACACCAGGTAGCTTACCAAAAACAAGAAGATTAAATAAAATGTGACTTTTAAAATACCAAAAATACTTTCCCTATCTATTCCCATTAACATAATAGAAGGCTTTATACCCACAGATGAAATTGCCAAATAAAATAAAGGATATCCAGTTAAATTTGAATTTCAGATAAATAACAAATCATTTTTAATGTATGTTTGTCCTAAATACTGCATGCAAATTCAAATGGTGTCCTGTATTTTTTGTGGCCATCTCTGGCAGCTCTACCTTCAGACTAGATACTGGCCCAGAAAGGAAGTTAAAGATATGAACATTACTGGGTTCTTAACAGAATCACAACTCCTTACTTGATCAAACACACTATATACACAGTCTCCACAGGTAACAGAGTTTTCCTCTAAAATTTACTCAAATCCTAAGACCCAAAAGTGAAAGAAGATTAATTTTTTTAACATTCTATAGTGAAATATGATATTTAAATAAGACACTGGAAGTAACAAAGCAAGAATCCAAGAACTATTAGAGTTTAATATTTCTTCTTCAATGTTTTCAAAGAACAATTAACAGTGTAATTCTGGCCCTTATTTTTATATGACAGAATAATCTTGGATTTAAAAAATACATTATTCATCTAATGGATGTTTTAAGAGTGACTAACTCAACAATATACTAATATTTTTGTACTGAAATGATAGCAAATAAGAGCTACATGCTAAAATATTCCATATGATTCACAACACTAATGGTTCACAGAAGAATTCAGGGAGTGGTTTATAACTAAAGTTTGTGCAAAAGGGAAAAATAGCAGGGTTCAAATGACCCAAAGCCAGAAGAGTTAATAAAAGAAACCAAAATTTGTAACAATGGTTCTCAAACCTGACCCATTAAGTCAGAGCATCAGAGAGGTACAGCTATAGAATACAGAATATCAGAGAGGCACAAAAAATTAGGGAATTTTTTGTTTTGTTTTTTGAGACAGGGTCTCACTCTGTCACCCACGGCTCACTGCAGCCTTGATCTAACAGGCTCAAGCAATCCTCCCACCTCAACCTCCCAAGTAGCTAGGACTACAGTCACATGCTACCACGCCCAGCTAATTTTCATATTTTTTGTAGAGACAGGGTTTCACCACTTTCCCCAGGCTGGTCTCAAACTCCTAGGCTAAAGTGATGTTGCTGCCTCAGCCTTCCAAAGTGCTAGGATTACAGGTGTGAGCCACCATGCCCGGCCACTCCAAAATTTATAATTTTTAAAAACTTCTCCATGAGATTTTCATACTCTGTAAAACTGTGGAATCACTGCTTTAGAATGCTGACTTAAGTATGCTCATTCAATAGTTTGAGCTATTGCATTTTAAGGACAATTATAATGTTATAAATAACAAAGAGTGAAATTATTCTTCTTACCTTGGATACGTTGCTGACATAATTCATTTGGACAGTACTTTCCTTATCAACTTGATTACAAAGGTTCTGTAAAGTAGATGCATATTCTTTATCACTTTTTATTCTCAGGGCCATAAATTTCTTTACTGTTTCCAGTAACCGTAATTCCCAGTCTTGCAATTTTAACACTGCTTCATGTGAATTCTTCAGGTCACTCCCAAACCCCATTTTGTAAGGCACTGGTTATCCTCCACACTGCACAAGTGAGCCTTCTAATCAGCACATATCTGTGTATGTAAACAAAAGAGAAAAACTCTTAAATAAAAAGGAAATTAGTCTTCAAAAAAAAAAAAGTTATGATAGATTCTTCTTTGGGGTTAAAAAAAAAAAACACAACTGAATACTTTCTTCCAAAGATCAGAAACAAGATGAAGAAGTCCACCCTATTGTTGGCTTCAACATTACTCCAGAGGTCTTAGCCATTACAGTGAAACAAACGAAATAAAAGGGGCATTCAGATCGGAAAGGAAGAAGTAAAACTATCTTAATTTGCAAATTACATCATCTTGTATGAAGAAAATCCTATGTAATGCAACAAAAACCATTAAAATAAATGACTAGAAGCCTCCACCAATTATGCCTCCCTGCCCCCTGCCAGCAGGAAAACCAAATTTAACAACTATTTACACACACAAAAATCAGGTGAGCAATCACAGTACCCAGTTTTAACTTCCTATCGCTGAAAGAGGTACTGAAAAGGGTAGAAAACACAGTCTCGAATCATCAAGACCAGTCCTCTCCCATCACCCAGCAGTGGCCACATGGTGCACAGAGTATGCTTGGAGGAGAAAGAGAGCACTGTGATTGTGGGACTTTGCAATAAACTCACTGCTGCCATGTCACAGCAGAAAGCAAAACCAGGATGAACTCAGCCAATGCCCACCCAGGAAGGGAGCATTTAGACCAGCCATAGCCAGAGGGGAATTGCCCATTCCAGCAGTCAGAACTTGAGTTTCAGCAACCTAGAGAGACATGAGAGAGGGAGGCTACAGGAGTGCTTGCAACACCCCTTCTGCACCCCGGCCAGCACAGCTTGCAGCAACAAAAGTGACTCCATCCTTCTGCTTGAGGAGAGGAGACAAACAGTAAAGAGAATGTTGTCCTGCCTCTTGGATACCAGCTCAGCCACAGAAGGATAGAGCACTGGGCAGTCATTAGGCGCCTATTATAGGCCCTACCTCCTGAATGACATTTCTAAACACAACCTGGGCCAAAAAAAACCCCGCTGCCTTGAAAGGGAGGACCCAGTCCCGGCAGGCTTCATCACCTGCTGACTTAAGAGCCTCTGGTCCCTGAATAACCAGCAGTGATACCCGGGTAGTACGCTGTGGGCTCTGGGTCAGATTCAGACATGCTAACCTCAGGTGAGACCCAGCACATTCCCAGTTGTGGTGGCTATGGTGAGAGACTCCTTCTGCTTGAGAAAAACAAAGAGAAAATTAAGGGGACTTTGTCTTACACCTTAGGTACCATCTCGAACACAGTGGGGTAGAGCACCAAGCACATTCTTACGGCCCCCAATTCCAGGCCTTGCCTCTTAGGTGGCACTTCTAGACCTGCTCTGGCCAGAGAGGAGCCCACTGCCCTGCAGGGTAAGTCCCAGGACTGCCAGCATTCACCACAATCTGACTGAAGGAAACTTGGGCCTCACGTCAACATCAGCAGTAGCCTGGCAGTACTTCCTGTGGGCCTACGGTGGTGGTGGCCAGGGAGAGAGGCTCTTCTACTTGAGGAAAGGAGAGGGAAGAGCGGGAAAGACTTTGTCTCATGGCTTGAGTGCCAGTTTAGCTGTAGAATAGGGCATCAGGTAGATTTCTAAGGTTTTGACTCTACTCCTTGGCTAACAGACAGCATTTCTGGACCCACTTGGAGCCTACAGAAACTCACCACCCTTGAGGAAAGGACACAAGCTTCGCTGGCTTCACCACATGCTGATTATAAAGCTCAGGTGCCTTGAGCAAACATAGGCAGGAGTCAGGTAGCAATTACAGTGGGCCTTGGGCATGACCCAGTGCTGCGCTGGCTTTAGGTCTGACCCAGTGCAATTCCAGTACTGGTAGCAACATGGGTGACTGTGTCACCCCATCCCCTGCTCCAGGTGACTCAAAAGAGAGAGAGACTCCATTTGTTTGGGAGAAAGTAACGAAAGGGAACAAGAGTTTCTGCTGGTAATGTAGAGAATCCTCCCAGATCTTATCCAAGACCACAAAGGCAGTGCCCCTACAAGTCCACTTAAATCATAGTGTTACTGGGCTTGAAGTGGCCCCTAATACAGATACAGCTTACATGACAGCACCCAAGTACCTTGTATTACCTGGAAAGCCTTCCCAAGGATGACAGGTACAAACAAAGCACAGAAGTGAAGACTACAATAAATATCTAATAAATACCTAACTCTCGAATGTACAGACTCTGTCGAACAGCCACAAGATTCAAGACCATCCAGGAAAACAGGATCTCCATACACAAACTAAATTAAGGCACCAGGAACCAATCCTGGCCTGAAAGATATGGGATCTTTAACACAGAGAATTCAAAATAGCTGTTTTAAAGTTAACTCAAAGAAATTCAAGATAACAGAGAGACCAAATTTAGAATTCTATCTAGATAAATTTAACAAGGAGATTGAAATAAATAAAAAGAATGAAGCACAAATTCTAGAGTTGAAAAATGCAACTGACGCACTGAAGAATGCATCAGTGTCTCTTAATATCAGAATCGATGAAGCAGAAGAAAGAATTAGTGAGCTTGAAGACAGACTATTTAAAAATAGTCAGAGGGAACAACAACAATTAAAAAAAAGAATAAAAGAGAATAAACCATGCCTACGAGAACTAGAAAATAGCCTCAAAAGGGGAAATTTTTTCTTTTTTTTCAGACAGGGTCTCCCTCTGTCTCCCAGGTTGGAGTACAGTGGCACAAAAAATAGTCAGAGGGAACATAAAAAAAAAAAAAAGAAAACAAAAAAAGAGAATAAACCATGCCTACAAGAACTAGAAAATAGTCTCAAAAGGGGAAAGTTTTTCTTTTTTTCCAGACAGGGTCTCCCTCTGGCTAGAGTACAGTGGCACAATCACAGTTTACTGCAGCCTCAACCTCCTGGGCTAAAGAGATCCTCCTGTCTCAGCCTCCTGAGTAGCTGGGACTACAAGTATGTGTCACCATGCCCAGCTAATTTTAAAATTTTTTTGTAAAGAAGGGGTCACACTTTGTTGCCCAGGCTGCTGTCAAACTCCTACGTGCAAGCAATCTTCCCATCTTGGCCTTCCAAAGTACTGGCCTTCCAAAGTACAGGCATGAGCCACCATGTCCAGCCAAAAAAGGGAATCTAAGAGTAATTAGAATTAAAAAGGAGGTACAGAAAGAGATAGGGGTAGAAAGTTTATTCAAAGTGATAATAACAGAGATCTTTCCAAACCTGTAGAAAGATGTAAATATTCATGTACAAGAAGGTTATTGAACAACAAGCAGATTTAATGTAAAGACTACCTCAAGGCATTTAATAATCAAACTCCCAAAGGTCAAGAATAAAGAAAAGATCCTAAAAGCAACAAGAGAAAAGAAACAAATAACATCCAATGGAGATCCCACATGTGTGGCAGCAGCCTTTTCAGTGGAAATCTTACATGGCAGGAGAGAGTGGCATGAAATATTTGAAGTGCTGAAGGAAAAAAAAAGTTTACCCTAGAATAGCATATCTGGTGAAAATATCCTTTAAGCATAAATGAGAAATAAAGATGTTCCCAAACAAACAAAAGCTGAAGGATTTCATCAGCACCACACTAGTCCTATAAGAAATGTTAAGGTGCGGGGAGGGGGGGGGGTGCGGAGGGGGCAAGCACAGTGACTCACATCTGTAATCCCAGCACTTTGGGAGGCCAAGGTGGGTGGATCACCTGAGGTCAGGAATTTGAGACCAGCCTGGCCAACATGGTGAAACCCTGTCTCTACTAAAAGTACAAAAAATTAGCTGGGCGTGGAGGCGGGCACATGTAATCCCAGCTACTAGGGAGGCCGCAGCAGGAGAATCACTTGAACCTGGGAGGCGGAGATTGCAGTGAGCCAAGATTGCATCACTGCACTCCAGCCTGGGCAACAAGAGTGAAACTCTGTCTCAAAAAAAAAAAAGAAAAAAAAAAGGAAATGCTAAGGGGGATTAATCAATCAGAAAGAAAAGGACATTAATGAGCAGTAACGAATCATCTGAAGGTACAAAACTCACTGGTAGAAGTAAGTACACCAAAAAAACAAAGAATATTATCACATTATAATAATAATGTGTAATTGTGGTGTGTAAACTACTCTGGTCTTCAGAAAAAAGACAAGATGAACCAATCAAAAATAATAACTACAACTTTTCAAGACATAGTACAATGAGTTATGAATAGAAACAATAAGTTAAAAAGCGGAGAGGGGTCAAAGTTAAAGTGTAGAGTTTTCATTAGTTTTCTTTTTGCTTGTTTGTTTATACAATCATGTTAACTTGTCATTAGTTTAAAATACTGGGTTATAAAACAGTATTTGCAAGCTTCATGGTAACCTCAAATCAAAAAAACATACAATGAATACAAAAAAAGTAAAATTAAGTCATACTAACAAAGAAAATTACCTTCCCTAAAAGAAAGACAGGAAGACAGGAAAGGAAAAAGACCATAAAACAACCAGAAAACAAATAGTAAGGATGTAGAAAAGAGAGAATCCTGAAACACTGCTGCTGGTGGGAATGTGTACAACCACTATGGAGAACAGTTTGGAGCTTCCTCAAAAAACTAAAAACTGAGCTACCATATAATCCAGCAATCCCGCTGCTGGGTATATAACCACCCCCCCCGCCCCGCCAAAAAAAAAATAGATATCAGTATACCAAAGAGATATCTGCACTCCTATGTTTTTTGCAGCATTGTTTACAATAGCCAATATTTGGAAGCAACCTAAGTGTCCATCAACAGATGAATGAATAAAGAGATGTGGTACATATACGCAATGGAGTACTATTCAGCCATTAAAAAGAGTGAGATCTTGTTATCTGCAACAACATGGATAGAACTGGTGGTCGTTATGTTAAGTGAAATAAGCCAGACACAGTCATTATATTAAGTGAAATAAGCCAGACACAGAAAGACAATCTTGAGCTCCTGGAGACAAAGAGTAGAAGGATGGTTACAACAGGTTATAAAGGGTAGTGGGAAGCAGGGGGAAAGTTGGGATGGTTAATGGGAACAAAAAATATATACAGAATAAGACCTAGTACCTGATAGCACAACAGGGTGACTATAGTCAATAATAATTTAATTGTACATTATCAAATAACTAAAGCTGTATAATTGAATTGTTTGTGACACAAAGGATAAATGCTTGAGGTGATGGATACCCCATTTACCCTGATGTGATTATTACACACTGCATGTCTGTATCAAAATATTTCATGTACCCTATAAATATATATACCTACTATGTATCCACAAAATTTAAAATATAAACAAAAAATAAGTAATAGTACAGGGTACAAGGTCAATATACAAAATAAATTATATTTATACAATATAGAAAAATAAATTATATTTCTAGATACCATCATTGAACAATCCAAAAATGAAATTAGAAAACAATTCTATTACAAAAGCACCAAAAAAGAATAAAATACTTAGGAATAAATTTTACAAAAAAAAAAAGCAAAACTTGTAAGCTTAAGACACTGTTGAAAGTAATTTTAGGGCCAGGTGCAGTGGCTCACACCTGTAATCCCAGCACTTTGGGAGGCTGAGGCAGGTGGATCACCTGAGGTCAGGAGTTTGGGACCAGCCTGATCAACCTGGAGAAACTCCGTCTCTACTAAAAATACAAAATTAGCCGTGCGTGGTGGCGCATGCCTGTAATCCCAGCTACTCGGAGGCTGAGGCAGGTGAATCACTTAACCAGGAAGTGGAGGTTGCAGTGAGTCAAAATCACGCCCACTGCACTCCAGCCTGGGCAACAAGAGCAAAACTCCGTCTCAAAAAAGAAAGTAATTTTAAAAGAACTAAGTAAATTGAAATATTCATGTTCACAGATCAAAAGATTTAATATTGTTAAGAAAGATTCTCCAATTTGATCTACAAATTTAACACAATCCATATTAATATCTCGGCTAGCTTTTTTATAGAACTTGACAAGCTATCCTAAAATCTATACAGAAAAGTAAGGGAGCCAAAATAACATGAAATAACTTGAAAAGAGGCACGAAGTTGGAAGATTCACACTTTCTGATTTCAAAACCTACTAAAAAGCTACAGTGATCAACACACTATGGTAATGGCATCTGGATAAACATAGAAATCAATGGAATAGACTAGAGGGGCCAAATGCAAATCTTTACATTTATGGTAAAGTGATTTTCTACATGGGTGCCAAGTCCATTCCATTGGAAAAGAAAAGTCTTTTCAACAACTGGTTCTGGGACAACTGGATTTCCACATGCAAAACAATGAAGCAGGATGCCTTCCTTGGACCGCACACAAAACATTAACTGTGAATGGATGACATACCTAAGTATCAGAGCTAAAACTATAAAATTCTCAGAATAAAACATACAAGTAATCTTTGTAACCTTGGCTTAGGCAATGGTTTCTTAGATACAACAACAAAAGCACAAATGACAAAATAAAAACACATTAGTTGGATTTCATCAAAATTTAAAACTTCCATGCTTCAAAGGACACCATCAAGAAAGTGAAAAGACAACCTACAGAATGGGAGAAAATATTTACAAATCATATATATATGTATATATATATATCATATATATGTATATACACATATGTGTGTGTATATATATATGATAAGGAACTTCTGGATGGAGGACATAAAGAATTTTTACAACTCAATAATAAGAAAAACGAACAAAAAAATGGACAAAGGATTTGAATGGACAGTTCTCTAAGAAAAATGTACAAATGTCCAATAGGCTCATGAAAAGATGCTCAATATATCAGGAAAATTCAAATCAGAACTATAATGAGATAACTATTTCACACCATTAGAATGTCTCTAATCAAAAAAGACAGACATGTAGTTTAGCACTGAAGAGAATGGAATCTTCATCCCTTGCTAGCTGAAACATTAAATGGTGCAACCACTGCGGAAAAGAGTTTGGCAGTTCCTGGAAACGTAAAACATAGAGTTAGCATATGATCCAGAAATTCACCTCCCAGGTATATACCCGACCAAAATGAAAACATATGTCTATACAAAAACTTGCATATGAATGTTTGAAGCAACATTATTCACAATAGCTGCAAAGTAGAACCAACCCAAATATCCATCAACAGGTGAACAGATAAATAAAATGGGACAACATCCATACAATGGAATATAATTTGGCAATGAAAAGGAAGTATTGATACAGGCTACAACATGGATGAACCTTGAAAATGTTTTACTAGGTCAAAGAAACCAGACACAAAAGATCACAGGGTATGATTTCATTAATAAGAAATGCTCAAAATGGGCAAATCTATAAACTAGATTACTAGTTGATCAGGGCTGGCAAATGTGGGGTGAAATTAGGAATGACTGTTAGTGGGTGCTGGATTTCCTTTTGTGGTGATGAAAATGTTCTAACATTGATTGTAGTAGTGCCTGCATAACTGTGAATGTACTAAAAACAAATTGTACAATTTCAACGGCTGAATTCTTTGGTTATAAATAATAGTTCAAAAAAGCTGTTTAAAAAAATTACTACAGCATAACTTATAATTATCTAAAGATCAGTTAGCATAAGCTTCCCCAAAATACCCTGTTTATTATAAATCCTGAAAATGATGGTAGAATTTATTTGGTACCCCAGTTTCCTAGAATTTCAGGCAGTAAAATCTTTCAGAGCCAGTTAGAAGAAATGAAGAAAAACACCTTTTATCTTTCATTCTAGTTCATCCATACCAGAGGTGAATTTCTTGTTAATTCAGCTGATATCCTCTAAGCTACACAGAAAAGCAAGAGCTTTAGCTCTCTAACTTCAATAATCTTATTTGAAGACATGGTAAAAATTAGAGTTTTCCAAATAGAGAAAAAAAATCACATATGTATATGTATGTAAGAGTGTGTGTGTGTGTGTGTGTGTGTGTGTGTGTGTGTGTGGTGTGTATGCATATATGTATACATACAGTTTTTTAAGATGGGATCTCCCTATGTTGTCCAGGCTGGAGTGCAGTGGCTATTCACAGGCACAATAATAGCACATTGCCACCTCAAACTCTTGGCCTCAAGCAATGCTCCCACCTCGGCCTTCCAAGTAGCTGAAACTACAGGCACAAGCCATTGCACCCAACGAATATTTTACATTTTTTAAAAAAAACTGTATCTGATATTGTGGTTCATTTTATTCTGTAACTTGGAAAAATATCACTTCTGTTTCTAAATGCATTGTAATAACAATGTTTACCTTTCTCTCATCAAAAATTCCTGCTGGTGGGCCAGGTGTGGTGGCTCACACCTGTAATCCCAGCATTTTGGGAGGCTGAGGCAGGTGGATCACTTGAGGTCAGGAGTTCGAGACCAGCCTGTCCAACATGGCAAAACCCCATCTCTACTAAAAATACAAAAATTGGCTGGGTATGGTGGCGTGCACCTGTAGTCCTAGCTACTTGGGAGTCTGAGACACAAGAATCACTTGAACCTGGGAAGCGGAGGTTGCAGTGAGCCAAGACTGCACTCCAGCCAGGGCAACAGAATGAGACACTGTCTTTTAAAAAAAAAAAAGAAGAAGAAGAAAAAGAAAATTCCTGTTGGTAGATATTTCAGATATCTCCTGGGTTTTTGTTGTTGTTATTGCAAATATTACTGCAAGTTAATTAAAGCTGGAATAACCCAGAAAATTTCTTAGAAATGGCAAGATATGAATTAGGACTGAAATAATGATCATGATTTAGAATATAGAAAGTCAAATGGGAAATGTATTTCAGGAAATAGAGATGTATAAGGCAAAAAAAAAAAAGTGAGTATGAGATACAGTTAAAATAGCAAACATCTCCAAAATTAAACTCTATGTGACAAGTAGTGGGAGATGGCATGCCAATTTATCTTCTGCTAGTCCTCTGCTCAAGAAACCAATAAAGCCCAAACTCCTTAAATTAATTTTTGTTAACACAAGGTTACAATTTTTGAAAACCAAGATCATGAATACAATAGTTTAAAAAGATTAATTTGTTGGTACTAGCTGCACAAGTATGGTCAGTTTGTGAAAATTCATCAAGCTGAACACTTATGATTTGTACACTTTTCTGTGTGTATGTTATCGTTCAATAAACAGAAGGACAAAGAGACACAAAGATAGATTTTGATTTGGGAGCTAATAAGACATAAGAAGCCATTATACCAACATAGCTTGAGAAATGAAGATCTAGAATTGACAATGTCAATG
Organism: Homo sapiens; assembly: GCF_000001405.40. Taxonomy (NCBI): domain Eukaryota; kingdom Metazoa; phylum Chordata; class Mammalia; order Primates; family Hominidae; genus Homo; species Homo sapiens. Next base: position 108,788,953 of record NC_000005.10, on the reverse strand, counting down.
CGAATTAAAATGAAAGATTCTTGACCTAGTGAATGGATTTAGTGAACAAAAGAGAGACAATTCAATAAAATTTTTAAGGCTTTAGAAATCAATAATCATGACAGTATCAATAGAAATGAAAGAACAAGAATATGGAACTACTTTGAGTAAACTATAATCGTTTCAGCTGCAAGTTTTACCTTTAGGTAAAATATTAAGGTTAAAAATCCAAATTCAAGAGTCAATTACTTAAAGGTGACAGATGAAACCAACAGACTGAATGTTGACAGAAAAGCAGAGAGTCAAGGATAAAACCCATGAGAACCTGGCAGTCCAAGACTGAAAGGAGGAGAAACCAACCAAAGGATAGAAATTAAGTAAGCAAAAAGATAACAGGGGTCTGGCAGAGTCACAGGCATCAGGAGGGAAAAAAAAAAAAAGATATTAGTGTCGCAGGATCATTAGGGTGTTGCTTTGCCAGCCAGAAACCTCTGTAGCCAGTGGTGCCTCTGCTTGGGTTTCACTTGTGCCCGCTGAACTCATTCCATCCACTCAGCCTGGCAGGCTGCACTCAGCTCACACTACTGGCCTGGATCCCACACATGCCAAGGGTGAGCCAGGAGTGGAGCAGCAAGGGGTGTGTGAGTGAGCAAGCGCGGGATCTGTCCACTGTGTACAGCCAGGCACACCAGCTGCTGCAGGACAGGCAGCTCCAGGCAGGCACCAGCACAGGCGCTGGCTCTGTGCAAGGCTGCAGTTGGACCAGACATACAACACGTAGCTTCAGTAGCATCTGGACAGGGGGAAAACGATGGCACCAGAAAGCTCAGAGATACCAGGAACCACAGAGTCCCAAAAAGGGTGTTACAGCATGTCACAGTCCTGGCTCAGGTAGCCCCAAGCTCTGGAATCCCAGAAGGGCCACAGATCTTCTCTCTTTCTCGTTGCACGCAGCGTAGTGACTGGAGGGCATGTTTCTACTGTGCTCGTGTTACAGCTCTTTTTAGTCCCACCATTCAGTAGGTCCCAAGCACTTGTCCCACATCCAGAAAGAATGAGGTATGCAGACAACTGGAGGATGAGCAAGGCAGAGAGGAGCTTCACTGAGCGACAGAATGGCTCTCAGGAGACTCAAAGTGGGTAGGTCCTTTCTGCAGGCAGGTTGTCCCAATGTGTGCCCAACTCAGAAGGGAGGAGACCTGTAGTGGGCAGCTCCTTTCCACAGGCAGGTTGTCCCAACAAGCATCCAGCTCTCAGCGGAGGAGACCCATAGTGGGTAGCTCCTTTCTGCAAGCAGGTCATCTGGATTAATGTGTGTCTGGCTGAGCCTGGGATTTTTATGTGCTCAGAATCAGGGAACTGCATACTGATTCATCCATGGGCAGCCATGGTGGGCCTAGAAAAAGCCCCATCAAATTTGCCAAACAGTCATCAATGAAGTTCTCACTCTGGGCCACGGACTTCACCTAGAACTGGCAGCCCAGCCCCCAGGCTTCAGGCCATCGCTGGCCTGAGGTAAAGTTTCACCAGGGACCCACCCCTTTCTGCCTAGGAACCTGTCTGCCTTTAACATGCCATCCACGGCACCCAAACTGACTGTCCCAAGAGGCGCCTGCAGGCTGGTGCCAAGCTGCCCTCAGCCCCTGCGGCCCCCCTCCTACGCTTGTCGATACCCAAAGTCCAGAGGGGACGATGGTGGCAAGGGGCTGGCATATCAGCACCACTCTGAGCATGCACATACCTGGCCGGGTTGCAACAGTGCCTGGACTTGGCCACAGCTTTGCTCCACCCTGGAGCAGGCGCCAGAAGCAGGGAGAGGCCAGGGGGTGAGAGCAGGCACTTTCAAGCCTACAGGGGCAGGGGGCTTCCTGGGCCCCAAGCTGCAGCTGGGCAGCTGCAGCTGCACCCAGGAGCACAAAGCTCCCGCCTGTTCCCAGCCCCTGCTGGCTCTGCAGAGTGCACAGCCCCGATGGGTGCAGCCCTGGCCACACCTCCCCAGCCACAGCTGGCGTCTCCACAGCAGCTGCTCCAGATAGGCTGCCACCACCATCATTAGCAATGTCAAAAGTTAGAGGAAGATGTAAAAACTGCAAAAATCTCATCATCAAGCAGTACTTCAAAAGCTCCTACTGACAATAGTGAAAAAAAATAGGGTTTAAGAAAAAACAAAAATTTGGCCGGGCACGGTGGCTCATGCCTGTAATCCCAGCACTTTGGGAGGCTGAGGTGGGCGGATCACGAGGTTAGGAGATCGAGACCATTCTGGCTAACACAGTGAAACCCTGTCTCCACTAAACATACAAAAAATTAGCTGGGCGTGCTAGCAGGCTCCTGTAGCCCCAGCTGCTTGGTAGGCTGAGACAGGAGAATGACTTGAACCCGGGAGGCAGAGCTTGCAGTGAGCCCCCCTCGCATCACTGCACTCCAGCCTGTGTGATGGAGCAAGACTCCGTCTCAAAAAAAGAAAAAACACAAAACAAAAATTTAAACATATCACCAACAAATAAAGGAGTACAACCTTATTCCGTAAGTTTCACAGCATGGTTTCAGTGAGTCCAATACTACCCCAACCAGGCCAGAAGATATTCTGGCAAAGAAAAGTTAACAAAATCCTGAGACTTCACACTGGATACTCCAATATGAAAAGAAGCAGGCAGAGAGTGAATAGACCAAACTAGGGAAAGTCAAGAAAATATCTAAAGAGAAAGTCCCTCTGTACCAGCATAGGGCTTTAGAAAACATAGGGAGGACAGCACTGGCTTACAATTTTCCAGAACTCTATGATGAACTGGTGAATGAAATTTAAGTCCAGGCATAGAGGATGTTTAATGAACTCTTTTAAAAGTGAGTAAATCTCAGGGCCTCCAACAAAGCCAAACTCAGGGTGTTGCTGAGTATCTCTCCACTTGTTTACCTGCACACTCACATGCCACAGAAACTGAAATTAGAAGGAAAACCCAGCTTGTGGTCCAGACAAGATGGCACAGACCATTTTTTCCAGTTAATCCCCACTAAGCACAAATATAAACAAATACTGCAAGAGACAAACGAAGAACTCTGGAAGGTGGAAAGAAGAAGGCAAACTCCTTTGTAACCCTACAACAAGAAGAACAGCACAGAGGCAGGATGACTTACGCCTACCTCACCCAAGTGAAGAAGGCCACACAGACCTGGTTTTTCCCAGCCACAGCCTAGGGGCAGAAGGCAGCCCATGCAGGCTAATTCCTCCCAGAATAGAATAGATGTCCCTCTGACAAATATCAAGGAAGCCAGACACCACCAGCAAGAGAGATTAACTAGGAACCTCAACAAAAACAAACAGCCAGGGGAAACACTCTCCTTCACCATAAGGCCTGAGACTCCCCACTTTTTTTTTTCCAGTTTGTTCGTTTCTTAATTTCTAAAGCTCTGCCATAAACTTCTAGCAGGTGCCCATGTCACCTGCCACACTCACACCAGGTTGTCTGTGTAGCCAGCAAACAAATGACCACCAACAGACCAGGCCAGGGAGGTACACTGGGGTGGTTCTGCCTTGCTGCCAGTACTAATAACTTCTTGCTTCAGTTCATCTACGATGATATTTACCCCTAAGTCCCAGATCTTGATGCTGGGGCCCATGGCAGCACAGAGCCAGTAGCAGTTGGGGCTGAAGCACAGGGTGTTGATAATGCCCCCACCATCTGGCATATAAAGGTGTTTGCCTTCGTTGAGATCCCACAGCATGGCCTGGCCATCCTTGCCTCCAGATGCACAGAGGGATCCATTTGGAGACATAGTCACAGTGTTCAGATAACCTGTGTGGCCAATGTGGTTGGTCTTCAGCTTGCAGTTAGCCAGATTCCATACCTTGACCAGCTTGTCCCAGCTACAGGAGACAGTGATAGGGTTGCTGCTGTTAGGCAAGAAGCGAACACAAGACACCCACTCTGTGACTCTCATACTAGACAGTGTATCTGCATACACCCAGGTGTTGGGAACAGGCCCCCAAATCTGGCCATAAACTGGCCCCAAAACTGGCCATAAAATCTCTGCAGCACTGTGATATGTTCATGATGGCCATGACTCCCATGCTATAAGGCTGTCAGTTTACCGGAATGAGGGCAAGAAACACCTGGCCCACCCAGGGCGAGAAAACCACTTAAGGCATTCCTAAACCACAAACTATAGCAGGAGCGATCTGTGCCTGAGGGACATGTTCCTGCTGCAGATAATTAGCCAGAGCCCATCCCTTTGTTTCAGCCCATCCCTTTGTTTCCCGTAAGGAATACTTTTAGTAAATCTATAATCTACAGAAACAATGCTTATCACTGGCTTGCTGTCAATAAATATGTGGGTAAATCTCTGTTTGGGGCTCTCAGCTCTGAAGCCTGTGAGACCCCTGATTTCCCACTCCACATGTTATATTTCTGTGTGTGCGTCTTTAATTCCTCTAGCGCCGCTGAGTTAGGGTCTCCACGAACAAGCTGGTCTTGGCACCCAGGGTTTTCTATAACTTGAGGTTTTATCTCATGATCCACAGACAATCTGCTGGTTGTCAGGGGAGGCCACATTCAGCACGTCCTTGGTATGGCCCACAAATTGTCTCACGGTGATGCCCATTGTGAAATCCTAGAGGCATGGGGTTCCATCCAAGGAGCTTGAGAGGGTAATGTGACCATCTGAGGAGGTGACCAAGTCACTAAAAAAGTGGGAGTGACCCCACAGAGCATGTTGTGGGATGCCATAGTTGGAATCTTCCCTGCTCAATTTCTACGTAATGATGCTCTTGTCTTGAGAGGTGGACAGGATCTTGTCCAGGAACTGTGGAGTAGCAGTGGTCTGGTTTACCCAGCCGTTGGGGCCCTGAGGGTGCCACAAAGGGTCATCTGCTCAGTCATGATGATGGCAAATCGAGATTCCCCTTTTCCATCAAGAGAAACAAAGACAGGCATGAAACCAGAGGGCCTAGTCAGGAACCAGTCAAGAACCTCAGCCTTCACAGGTCTGAGGATCTCCTTCTCTACCCACAGACATCAGAACAGGCAGTCAGAACTGGCAAGCCAAACCCAGTTTTGCTAGATATCCAATCTCAGGAAGCCTCTTGTTCTCCACATGTCCAAGACTCTCCTCCCCTGTCCAGAGACATCAGGGTAGCAGGGAGCATGGTAAGGAAATCCCAGCCCATCCCTTCCCCAGCAATAGATATACACTAACTCAGCCTAAGAATGAATCCCTACTCCCTCAGGCAGCATCAGCAGAGACCAGTGGGAGCCCTAGTGCCACTAGATACAAGAAGCCAACCAAAACAACAGTGCAGACTCAAAATTAAACTATCATTGGAAGCACAACCCACAAAAATATAGGCTAAGACCTGCATGATAAACCTAAACAGGATGATTGCTTGTGAAAATAAAAGGTTGAACTAGCCCTCAGAATCTCCTAACATATTAGACAAAATATTTAAGTTTCAAATGGAAATCACCTGTCACACCAAGAACCAAGAAAAATCATAACTTGAATGAGAGAAGACAATCAACCAATGCAAACACCTAGATGAATCAGATGTTGAAATTATCTGACAAGAATTTTAAAACAACCATCGTAAAAATGCTTCAACAATCAATTGTAAATTCTCTTAAAACAAATGTAAAAATAGAAGATCAAAGCAAGGAAATAAAAGTTATAAAAATAACCAGATGAAAATTATGTAACTAAGAAATGCAATAACAAAAGACAAGCTAGATAGGCTCAATAGTAGAGTGAAGATGACACAGGATACAGTCAATGAGCTTATGGACAGAACAACAGAATTCACCCAATCCAAACAACACAGAAAAAAATAGAAAAAATTAAGAAAGCCTCACGGACCTGTGGGACAACAACAAAAGATCCAACATTTGTATCATCAGAGTGCAAGGAGAAGAGAAAGAGAGCCAGACTGAAAGATAATTCAAAGAAATATGGTCCAGCCTGCTGTAGAGCTACAGAAATCAAGACAGTGTACTATTAGTAGAAGACAGAAAATAGATCAATGAAACAGAACAGAGAATCCAGGAATAACCAACACAAATATGTTTAACTGATTTTTGACAAAGGGCTAACAGTAATTCAATAGAAGAAGAATAGCCTTTTCAACAAACAGTACAGGGGCAATTAGGCATCTATTGGCAGAAAAGAAAAAAGAAACTTGACTGGCAACTGTTACAAAATTTAACTCAGTCCTTGCACAGTGGCTCATACCTGTAATCCCAGCACTCTGAGAGGCCAAAGCAGGCATATTGCTTGAGCCCAGGAGTTCAAGATCAGCCTAGGCAACAAAGCGCGACCCCATCTCTACCAAAAAAATAAAAAGAAAACAAAAATTTAACTCAAAAGGATTATGGACTTACATGTAAACATAAAGCTGCTAACATTTAGAGAAAAAAAATACAGGAGGAAATCTTTCAGATCTAAAGCTAGGCAGAGTCCTTAGATTTGATACCAAAACCACAATCCAAAAAAGAAAAAATGAATAAAATGGACCTCATCAAAAGTAAAATATTTTGCTCATGTGAACAAGATAAAACAAGTTGCAACTTCTGGCTTCTACTGGGCATGTAAGAAACGTGGTCTATGCAGGAGGTTGAAGGGGGAGGATCATTTAAGGCCATGAGTTTGAGTCCAGCTTGGGCAACATAGCAAAATTTCATCTCTTAAAAAAAAAAAAAATACTTGGAAGTCACTAGGCCATCCTACCAACAAGAAAAGCTAAACAAACTGAAAAATCTACAACTCTTCTAGGATCAGTAAGAGAAATGAAGTCACACGGCAAACCACTGCCCCACAAACTGGAGGAACAGGTGACTGCAAAGAATCCCATCAAACTGAAGCAGAAAACTCTGCAGGAACCAGTGCAGGGTAGGAAAAACTGAACTGTAATTGACAAACTGCTGAAGGCTCAGTGCCAACAAGTGGGAAACTTAAAAAGCCAGGGGGACTCAGTCATAAGACAGCCTTCATACTTTTATTAGTTTCACCTCCAGTAAATCAATATGGTTCTCACAGTATGTATGACAGGGTGGGGGAAAAAAAAAAAACCCTATTACTTCTGACAGAGGGAGGGAAAACAAAATCATTTTTAAATAAGCTAGAACATTCTGTTCTTAATAAGGTCTTTCCTTCAGGAGAAACTATTTAGTCAGAGCCTGCTGGGGTTCTATCAGAGTCTAACTAACTTATAGGAAGGGAAATAGGAAATACCAATTGCAGCCCATACTAGCCATGCTGTCTTACCTTGGGAGACGGGGATAGTGCTAACAAACATCTGTGAAGGTCACACCCAGAGACACAGAGACTCATTAAAAGACTGAGATATAATCATTGGACTGTAGAATGCTTCCTATCCCCCAACACCTTACTGCCACATTACTAAAGACCTATACAGCAGCTCCTTTTACCCAAGACATCAGCTTCAGCTATCAAGAAAAATTTATATGTCACACTAAAAGGCAAAAAACACAGGCTGGGCTGGGCACGGTGGCTCACGCCTGTAATCCCAGCACTTTGGGAGGCCGAGGCAGGTGGATCACCTGAGGTCAGGAGTTCAAGACCAGCCTGGCCAACATGGTGAAATGCCATCTCTACTAAAAACACAAAAATTAGCCAGGTGTGGTAAGCAGGCGCCTGTAATCCTAGCTACTTGGGAGGCTGAGGCAGGATAATCGCTTGAACCCAGGAAGCAGAGGTTGCAGTATGCCAAGATCATACCACTGCACTCCAGCCTGGGTGACAGAGTGAGACTCCATCTCAAACAAACAAACAAAAAAACACAGTCTGAAGAAAGAGAGCTAGTATAAGAACCAGACTCAGACATGGCAAAGGATGTGAGAATCATCAGCTCAATTACTAAAAACAACTATGATTAATATGCTAAGGGTTCTAATGGATAAAATAGACTGCATATAAGAACAGATGGGCAATGTAAGCAGAGAAATGAAAATTCTAAGACAGAACCAAAAAGAAACACCAGAGATCAAAAACACTGTAACAGAAATGAAGAATGCCTATGTTGGGTTCAATTAAGTTGATAGGCTCAGTCTAGTAGACTGGACACAGCTGAGGAAAGAATATCTAAGGGATATCCCAATAGATACCTAAAAAAAAAAACTACAAAGCAAACAGAAAATAGACTGAAAAAATACAGAGCAGAATATACAAAAACTGTGGGACAACTAAAAAAGGTGTAACATACATGTAATGGGAATACCAAAAGAAGAATGAGAGAAAGGAACAGAAAAAATATTTGAAACAATAATAAATGACAATTTCACCAAATCAATGTCAGCACTAAACCACCAATCCAAAAAGCTCAGAAAACTCCAAGCAGGATAATGATTAAAAAACAAACAACCAACAACAACAAAAAACTACACCTAGGCTTATCACAATTCAAACTACAGAAAATAAAAGATAAAGAAAAAATCCTGAAAGAAGACAGTGGAAAAAAGACATTACCTATCAAAGAGCAAAGAGAATAATTACATTGACATTACCTCCAAAACCATATAAGCAAGAAGGGAGTGAAGTGAATTATTTAAAATCTTAAGATAAAAAGTAAAAAATTAAAAAAAAAAAACCCACTAACCTAGAATTATGTACCTTGAAAAATTATCCTTCAAAAGTGAAAGAGAAATAGTTTCTCAAACATAAATATTGAGGGAATTTGTTGCCAGTAGATCCAACTTGCAAGAAATGTCCAAAAGAAAAGTTCTTCAGGGGGAAGAAAAATGATAGAGGTCAGAAATTGAGATCTATATAAAGAAAAGTACTGGAGATGAATAAGTGAAGGTAAGATTTAAAGAACATTTGTTTTTCTTACTCTCAATTGATCTAACACATAAGCATCTGTTCAAAATAGCAGCAACAATATATTTGATTATGTATGCTTATGTGTTTTTCTCACTCTCAGTCGATCTAACACATAAGCATTTGTTCAAAATAGCAGCAACAATATATTCGATTATGTATGCTTATGTGTGTGTATACAGATATATGCTTATGTATGTTTATCTATAAGTGTAATAAATAACAGCAATGGTACAAAGGATGGAGGTGGTAATTAGTATTTTATTATTTTGATCCTACTAAAATCCGGAACAAGGCAAGGTTGTCCCGTCACCTCTCCTTCTCAACATCTTACTGGAAGTCCTAGCTAATGCAGTGAGATAAGAAGGAGATTTTTAAAGTGTACTGATCGGAAAAAATAAAATAAAACTGTGTTTGTTCACAGATGACAAGATTGACTGTGTAGAAAATCTGAAAGAATTGACCCAACGAACTCCTTGAACTAATATGCAATTACAGCAATGGCAGGCTTCAAGGCTAATACACAAAAGTCAATTGCTTTCCTACATACCAGCAATGAACAAGTACAATTTGAAAGTAAAAACACAACAACATTTATATTGGTAGCCTCCAAAATGACATACTTACATATAAATCTAACAAAATATGTTCAAGATGAATATGAGAAAAACTTACACACTTTTGATTAAAGAAATCAAAGAACTAAATAAATGAAGAGATATTCCATGTTCATGGACAAGAAGAGTCAATATTGTCAAAATGTCAATTCTTCCCAATTTCATTTATAGATTCAATTTAATCCCAATCAAAATCTTATCAAGTTATTTTGTGTAGATCAGTAAATAGATGCTGGCAAAAGACCCAGAATAGCCAACACAGCATTAAAGGAAAAGAATAAAGTTGGAAGACTGATACTGCCCAGTTTCAAGACTTACAATAAAGTTACAGTAATCAAGACAAGTGTGGCATGAGCAAAAGAACAGACAAATAGACCGATAGAACAGAATAGAGAGTATACAAATAGATCAACAAAAATACAGTCAACTGATCTTTGACAAAGAAAGCAATACAACCAAGAAAAGATAGTCTTTTCACTATATGGTGCTAGAACAATTGGACATCCACTTGCAAAAAAAAAAAAGAGCCTAGACACAGATCTTACACACTTCACAAAAATTAACTCAAAATCAATCATAGGCCAAAATGTAAAATGCAAAAGTAAAACTCCTAGAGGACAACATAGGAGAAAATTTAGATTCCCTTGAGTTTGAATATGACTTTTGAGATTTAACACCAAAGGCACAATCCATGAAAGAAAGAATAAGCTGAACTTCATTAAAATTATATTTTCTGCTCTTTGAAACACACTGTCAAGAGAATGAAAAGATAAACCACAAACTGGGAAAATATATTTATAACAGATATTTCTGAAAAAGGACCGTTATCCAAAATGTACAAAGAATAATAAGAAAACAACCCAATTTAAAAATGGGCCACAGACCTTAACAGACAACTCACCAAATAATATACACGGACAGAAAATAAGCATATGAAAAGATGCTCCACATCACATGATTTCTAGGAAATGCACATTAAAACAACATTGAGACACCACCTCACATTTATCAGAACAGCCAAAATCCAGGACGCTGTTTACACTAAATGCTGGTGAGGATGTGGAACAACAGGAACTTTCATTTATTGCTGGTAAGAATGCAAAATGGTATGGCCACTTTGGAAGACAGTTTGGCAGTTTCTTACAAAACTAAACATACTCTTACCATACAAAATGCAATCATATTAACTATGATTAAATTAAATGCCCCGTAAGTCCTTGGTATGGAAAGAGTTGAAATTTTATATCCACACAAAAACCTGAACATTGAACATCAATGTTTACAGCAGATTTATTCATAATTGCCAAAACTTGGAAGCAACCAAGATGTCTTTCAGTAGGTGAATAGATGAACTGTGGTAAATACAAACAATGGAATATTATTCAGCACTAAAAAGAACTGAACTATCAAGCCATGAAAAGACATGGAGAAATTTAAATGCACCTTACTAAATGAAAGAAGTCTATCAGAAAAGGCTATATATGACACAATTATACCTATATGACATTCTGAAAAAAGCAATACTATGAAGACAGTTGATATGATTTGGTTCTGTGTCCCCACCCAAATCTCATCTTGTAGCTCCCATAATTCCCACATGTTGTGGGAGGGACCCTGTGGGAGATGACTGAATCATGGGGGTGGGTCTTTCCCTTGCTATTCTCTTGATCGTGAATGGGTCTCACGAGATCTGATGGTTTTAAAAATGGGAGTTTCTCTACAGAAGCTCTCTCTTTGCCTGCTGCCATCCACGTAAGATGTGACTTGCTCCTCCTTGCCTTCCACCATGATTGTGAGGCCTCCCCAGTCATGTGGAACTGTAAGTCCAATAAACCTCTTTCTTTTGTAAAATTCCCAGTCTCAGGTATGTCTTTATCAGCAGTGTGAAAATGGACTCATACAACAGTAAAAAGATCAGTGGTTGCCAGGGTTTAGAGGGAAGAGAGGAATGAATAGTTGGAGTACAGAGGATTTTTAGGACAGTGAAACTACCCTCTATGATGCTATAATGGTGCATACATGTCACTGTATATTTTTCCAAACCCATAATATGTACAATGCCAAGAGTGAACCCTAATGTAAACTACAGTCTTTGGGGGATAATGACATATCAGTGTAGGTTCATCAATTGTAAACAAATATACCACTCTGGTGAGAAATATTGATAACAGAGGATATGTAGTGGGTGGAAGTATGTGGGAAATCTCTGTACCTTTCTCCAAATTTTGCTGTTAACTTAAAACTGCTCTAAAAAAATTCTATTACATAAAAATAAAAATAAGAATAAGACCAGCTACAGATTGGGAGCAAATATCTGCAAGCCATATCTGCAAGCCATATATCTGACAAAGTACAATTTATAACTATAAAGATCTTTCCAAATTCACCAGTTAAAAAACAACAACAATAATCCCAGGCTGGTCTCCAACTTCTGGCCTCAAGCAATCCTCCCACCCTGGCCTCCCAACGTGCTGGGATTACAGGCATAGGCCAATATGCCTGGCATGACGAGGTTAAAAAAATGAGATTTTTAAACAATAGTTTCTATGATTTCCTGCATAGTAAGTATAAATCAGGCAGAAACAGAATATTACACAAAAGTGTATGCATGTTATTAGCAACAGTATCTACTTTTAAAAAGTATATTTTTAAAAAGCAAAACTAGTAAAAATCCTACAAAGTATTGACCATTTAGATTTATTTAAATCTATCTTGTTTAATGTTATTTAATTTGGTATTTAGGATTAAGTGAGTGCTTACATGTTGAGTTTTCAATTCACCATAAATACTGATTTAAAACTTTTTTAAAAAACCATTAAAATTGCTGTTTTCTAAAATCAGAAGTTTAATTTACATAAAATAAATCTATAAATACACAGTTTTTAAACAGAAATGGAAGTTATTAAAAAGCAAAATGTAAAACAGATAACTAGTTTCCTTGGAAGGATAATCGGATTCCCACAGTATTTCTTGTGAATATAAGGGTATATGCAAGTATCTGTATAAAATGTCTCCTGTTTTTCAACTTTTGCCTCCACAACTGGCAATTTTTACATTCTCCAAGTACAAAGATGGAAATATTGTTTTTACCTAACATGAAATTTAATTAGTTTTAAATATTTGCTTTTTTGTAATTAGTAATAAATTGCCTAAATTGTAGGGGCAATTTATTTTTTAACAGGATTATGTTTTATGGTTGAAAATATTCATTTATTTATTTTAACATTGATATAGAGATTCAACTATACTACTGAAAGTACACTAATTTATAAAAATCAGAAATACGTGAATAAAAACTATGTAACAGAAATAAGAAATCCTTCATTCTTCCCCCAACATATATTCTTATTAACTAGAAGGAAATTCAATACAGCTTGAATTTATAATCCTTGACTAATAAAAACCTATCAAAATTAGTTTATGGTTCAAGTTATATTATCAGAATATGTTTGTATAAAGACTATAAAATAAAGTACAAGATGAATTATCATAAGGTATTTCCTACCTTTTACATGCTTCAATACTGACAGTTAGAAGTCACAAATAGAGTGACTGTGTTTGAATAAAATATTAAGCTGCCACAGCAAGATAGAAACAAAGTCACAAAAAGCCACTAAGCATGCAAGTACAAACCAAAAAACTAACCTCACATGAATACAAAGCGAGGTCTTTTTTCAGAAGCACTTAAACGCAGAAATGAACAGTCACCAAAGCTTAGCTACCAAAATAATATCATTCATTACCAATTAACATATGCTGACCTTCACTACCTATGGACATAATATTTAAAACTCCTCCTATGCTTTCTTAATTTGAAAGTGTTGGTTCTAACTCAATTTAATATAAAAGTTACATGCAAGTGAAACAGCACCTGACTGGCCAGCCTATTGGAGCAACATTAACGCATGATGATCTCCCACTGAGAGAAAACAATTAATAAAAACTTTGAAAGTCTATAAACAAATGAATAACATGTTTGCTTTTAAATCAACTATTATATTTTTATTTTTAAACTACATTTGAAGTACTGATATTTAAAATTATTTAAGGAGAGCAGAATTATTAACAAAAATGTTTTCTTTAAGGTATTGATATAAATCAACAGGCATTTATTAGGGAATCATGTGACAGATAATCGTAAGGGATACAAAGATGAATAAAATCTAGATTACTGCCTTCAAACAATTTACAGTGTAGTAAAAATAACTAGACAAGTTCACAGGTAATGAGGATACAATTAATTCATTCAAAATTCATTCATGGTACTAGTACCAAAACAGATATATAGACAAATGGAACAGAACAGGGACCTCAGAAATAACACCACACATCTACAACCAACTGATCCTTGACAAACCTGACAAAAACAAGCAATGGGGAAAGGATCTCCTAGTCAATAAATGGTGCTGAGAAAACTGGCTAGCCATATGCAGAAAACTGAAACTGGACCACTTCCTTACACCCTACAAAAAAATTAACTCAGATGGATTAAAGATTTAAATTTAAAACCCAAAACCATAAAAATTCTAGAAGAAAACCTAGACAAAATCATTCAGGACATAGGCATGAGCAAAGACTTCATGATGAAAATGCCAAAAACAATTGCAACAAAAGCCAAAATTGACACATGGGATCTAATTAAACTAAAGAGCTTCTGCACAGTGAAAGAAACTATCATCAGAGTGAACAGGCAACCTACAGAATGGGAGAAAATTTTTGCAATCTACCCATGTGACAAAAGTCTAATATCCAAAATTTTCAAGGAACTAAAACAAATTTACAAGAAAAAAAAAACCCTTCTAAAAGTGGGCAAAGGATATGAACAGACACATCTCAAAAAAAGACATTTATGTAGCCAACAAACATGAAAAAAAGCTCCACTGATCGTTAAAGAAATGCAAATCAAAAGCACAATGAGATAACCTCTCATGCCAATCACAATGGTGATTATTAAAAAGTCAAGAAAAAATAGATGCTGGAGAGGCTGTGGAGAAATACGAATGCTTTTACACTGTTGATGGGAATGTAAATTAGTTCAACCATTGTGGAAGACAGTATGGCAATTCCTCAAGGATCTAGAACCAGAAATACAACTTGACCCAGCAATCCCATTACTGGGTCTATATCCAAAGGAACATAAATCATTCTACTATAAAGACACACACACACGTATGTTTATTGCAGCAGCACTATTTAAAATAGCAGAGACAGAACCAACCCAAATGCCCATCAATGATAGACTGGATAAAGAAAATGTGGTACATACACACCATGGAATACTATGCAGCCATAAAAAGGAATGAGCTCATATCTTTTACAGGGACATGGATGAAGCTGCAAGCCATCATCCCCAGCAAACTAACACAGGAACAGAAAACCAAACATCCCACGTTCTCACTCATAAGTGGGAGGTGAACAATCAGAACACATGGACACAGGGAGGGGAACAACACATACCAGGGCCTGTTGGGGGGTGAGGAGGTGAGGGGAGGGAACTTACAGGATGGGTCAATAGGTGCGGCAAACCACCATGGCACACATATACCTATGTAATAAACCTGAACATTCTGCACATGTATACCAGAACTTAAAGTAAAATAAACAAACAAACAAAAACCACAATGAGATACCATCTCACACCAGTCAGAATGGTTATTATTAAAAAGTCAAAAACCAACAGATGTTGGTGAGGTTGTGGAGAAAAATGAATGCATTTACACTGTTGGTGGTAGTGTAAATTAGTTCAACCATTGTGGAAGACAGTGTGGCGATTCCTCAAAGACCTAGAGACAGAAATATCATTTGACCCAGCAATCCCATTACTGGGTATATACCCAGTGAAATACAGATCATTCTATTATAAAGATACATGCATGCATATGTTCACTGCCACACTATTCACAACAGCAAAGACACGGAATTAACCTAAATGGCCATCAATGATAGAATGGATTAAAAAAAAGTGTACATATATACCATGGAATACTATGCAGCCATAAAAAGGAATGAGATTATGTCCTTTGAAAGGACATGGATGGAATTGGAAGCCATAATTCTCAGCAAAGTAACGTAGGAACAGAAAACCAAATACCACATGTTCTTACTCCTAAGTGGGAGCTGAACAATGAGAACACATGGACACAGGGAGGGGAACAATACCCACTGGGGCCTGTGGGACAGCAGGGGTGTGGGGAAAGGGAGAGCATCAGGAAGAATAGCTAATGGATGATGGGCTTAATACCTAGGTGATGGGATGATCTGTGCAGCGAACCACCATGGCACATGTTTACCTATATAATAAACCTGCACATCCTGCACATGTAACCCTGAGCTTAAAATAATAAAAAATTAATAAATAAAAGTAAATATCCTACTTAAAAGTTATCCCTACCTCTTCCTAAAAAAGCTACACTCGTTCCAAATTTCATACCCTTCTCAAAGAAAACCTACCAAATCTATGAAACGCAAAAGCACGGAAAGAAGGTAAAAGAGAACACTCGCTGAGTGACAGTTCTACACAAGTACCAGAGAGAGAGGGTATTTAATTAAATCTTTTCTGATTGTGCTTAGCTCTGAGTGTCTCTATGTACTTGCTTACACATCATTTGCATTTTAATCTACTTCTGACTTGAAAGTATGCATTTCTGAAAGACTAGACTGCTACTGCTTTATAATGTCCAAAGCTACTATTAATAGATACATATTCCTAGATAGAATTCCTGGTTAGAAGGTGAGTATAGGCAATGGAGGGTGGAGGAGGAACGCCTTGAATTTCAATTGCTGACTAGTGCCAGCAGATCAAGTCCAACATACATCTCCCAGTTTTCTTATCTTTAACTTAATGCAACCAAATGTAAAAACCACAGCCAATGTCATGTATATTTAAAGTTGAAATTATGTTTTGAGGAAAAAAAAGCTTGGAAATGACAATGTTATCTCCAGCTATCTCAGGGAATTTAAACAAAGAGGCAAACTGCAAATAAATTTTGGTTGAATAGTATTCTAAGAAACCAGGCAATTCCCAGAAGAGATGTTAAGTACATACAAATCTTATCTCTTAAAAGAAAATACAGATCATGAAAAAAAAAGCAAGCAGCTGTTTGAAAATAAAAAAGAATAAAGAGGCATAAGAAGCAAATGCAATACATGAAACCTGCTTGAATCCTATAACAACAACAACAAAATATATACATATATATGTGTATATATATATACATACATATATATATGGCATAACAGGGGAGATCTGAATACGAACCACTGCATTAAACACTACTATGGTTTGAATATATGTGTCCCTCCAAAATTCAACTTAACCCCCCAAGGTGACAGTATTAAGAGTAGGGGCCCTCAGGAGGTGACTAGGCCATGAATGATCTGCACTCATAGACAGAATTAATGCCCTATAAAAGAGGCTGCAGAGAGCTGCATTCCCCCTTCGCAGTTCCATCCCTCCTGTCATATGAGGTCACCAAAAAGGCACAAACTATGAAGAACAAGCCTTCTCCAGACACTAAACCTGCTGGTGTCTTGATGTTGGACTTCCTAGACTCCCTAACCATGCAAAATAAATTTCTGTTGTTTATAAATTACTCAGTCTCAGGTATTTTGTCATAGCAGCCAAAATGAACAAAAAGACAAATACATTCTTAATGTTATGGTTATTTTCTTATATATGATATTGGTACTGTGATTATGTAGGAAATTACCCATGTTCTCAGGATCTGCATGCTAAAAGTTTTAAGTTATCATGATGTCTTTAATATTGTTTCAAATGATTTTTTAACATATTTTTTACATATATAAATATGTGAACAAAGAAAATGTGGCAAAATGTTAACAGTGAGTCCAGGTAAAAGGTAATATAGGTGTTCATTGTCCTATATACTCAATTTTGATGTGGCACTGAACATTTTCAATAAATGTTGAAAAGAGAGAAATACAGAAAGCATGAGAGGAGACCAGTTTGAAGCATGATGAGTGAAAGCAGCACTAGCCTCAACAATTATGAAAGCCAGCTACATGATCTTGGGCAGGTCACAGAACCTCTCTAGGTCCCAGCTAAAGGAGAAGGAAGTGGAATAATCTCCAAGGCATTTTTCAGTTATAAAATCCTACTACTACTAAAATTCTACTACTACCTCTCAGCTCTAAAACTCAAAAGATAACCATATGCAAAGTGGAAAAAATAGAACTGTTTAAGGATAAAAATAAAATAGTTAAAACAGATAACCAAATGCCTTTTATAGACAGCACACACACTAACTTTTTTGAGAAAACATCTTAAAAATTCTTCAGAGGGGCCGGGCATGGTGGCTCAAGTCTGTAATCCCAGCACTTTGGGAGGCCGAGGCAGGTGGATCACAAGGGCAGGAGTTCAAGACCAGCTTGGCCAACATGGTGAAACCCTGTCTCTACTAAAAATACAAAAATTAGCTGGGCATGGTGGCGGGCATCTGTAATCCCAGCTACTCGGGAGGATGAGACAGAACACTGCTTGAACCCGGGAGGCAGAGGTTGCAGTGAGCCGAGATCACACCACTGCACTCCAGCCTGGGTGACAGAGTGAGACTCCATCTCAAAAAAAAAAATTTTTTTTCAGAGAAAAAAATGAAAGGTAGGACTACTGATGAATTTAGAAGAAACGAATAATACACAGATTTATTTTAAGGTTTATTCCATTTCACTTTGCACCTGAAATATCAATCCTAAGAAGCTGAATATAAATATCCTCTGATGAAGCTGTAAAACCAAAAAGATAATAAATGAACCTCCTAGGAATTTAGACAAGCTAGATGCTTTCAAGTGAGGTTAGTATGACATACATCTAAGGGTGAGATGCTTGAAAATCTCCAAATAGGCCAGGCACTGTAGTTCACAGAT
Organism: Homo sapiens; assembly: GCF_000001405.40. Lineage (NCBI taxonomy): Eukaryota > Metazoa > Chordata > Mammalia > Primates > Hominidae > Homo > Homo sapiens. The sequence goes on along the minus strand of NC_000005.10, from coordinate 108,770,651 downwards.
GTAGTCCCAACACTTTGGGAGACTGAGGTGGGAGGATGGCTTGAGCTCAGGAGAACAGCCTGCACAACATAACAAAACTCTGTCTCCGTCTCCAGGCTGCAATGAGCTGTGATTGTGCAACTGCACTCCAGCCTGGGCAATACAGCGAGACTCTGTCCCATAAAGAAAGAAAAAAGGAAATCTTTGAAATAAATAACAATAAAATTACATATTAGAACTTTGAATTAACAGTCTGGGAAGATTTCGGACTGGCCAAAAATCTTAAAAGAATTATCTCTTTTAAAAGAGCACAAGGGATAGTAGACTTAAAACTCAGTATAAAAGTATAGACCAATTATTTTTACTTCCAGAAAGACTCTGAAGTCAGATAAAATTCAACTCATAATTAATTAAAAATTATACAAGGCCAGGCGCAGTGGCTCATGCCTGTAACCCCGGCACTTTGGGACACCAAGGTGGGAGGATCACCTGAGGCCGGGAGTTCGAGACCAGCCTGACCAACATGGAGAAACCTCATCTCTACTAAAAATACGAAATTAGCCGGGCATGGTGGCACATGCCTGTAATCCCAGCTACTTGGGAGGCTGAGGCAGGAGAATCGCTTGAACTCAAGAGGTGGAGGTTGTGGTGAATCGAGATTGTGCCATTGCACTCCAACCTGAGCAACAAGAGTGAAGCTCCGTCTCAAAAAAAAATCATCATCATCATCATCATCATCAGTGGAAAAAAAGCAAAATAAAGTATTAACTAGTATATATTACAAATTTGCCAGATGCTTTATTTCCAGCACTAATATTATTTCTAGCACTATAGCTAAGTGCCTTTTGCTAAAATAAGCAATCCATCAGTTAACAAGAAAGATAGTTTTCTAAAAGGTTTCTGTACATGATACCAGCTTCTAATCAGCTGCTCAAAAACCAAAATTCTTGAAGTCATCCTTGAGTATGTTCTCTCTCTCTCTTTCCATGCCCAAACAACATACAAGTCCTATGAGTTCTGTCTAAAAAAAACACAAAAATGCATCTCAAATTCATCCATCTCTCCCTTATTGCTACAACCATCATGCAGGCCATCACTATCTCACCTCAGCTCCTAAAAGCCAGCTTTCACTTTCCTTTCAACCAGTCCATGTCTCACACAGCAGTTAAAATGATATAAAATGCAAACCTCGGGCCAAACCCTTCAAAGCCCTAAATATTTCTATAATCTCTTCCTACTCAAATCTGCCTCTTTCTCTGTGTCAACCACACTGGTATTTTTTGGTCCCTCAAATTCACCAAGCTCCTTCCTCATTCAGGGTTTCTGCACACCATATTCCTTCTAATGAGAATGCTCTTCCAATCAAAAACTACTCCCTTCCCCTGCCCCAACACTCACTCTTTAAATAGCTCCTTCTCATATAATAGGTCTCATCTTAAATTACAGCCCCTCAGAGGAGCCTTATATGACCCTATCTAAAGTAGATTCCACCTCCTCAACTCCAAATTATCTGTTCTTTTGCTTTCCTTAAAAAATTGTATTATAAGGCCAGGCACAGTAGCTCACGCCTGTAATCCCAGCACTTTAGGAGGCTGAGGCAGAAAGATCATCTGAGGTCAGGAGTTTGAGAAGAGCCTGGCCAATGTGGCAAAACCCCATCTCTTCTAAAAAAATACAAAAATTAGCCAGGAGTGGTGGTGAGCTCCTGTAATCCCAGCTACTTGGGAGGCTGAGGCAGGAGAATCGCTTGAACCCAGGAGGCGGAGGTTGCAATGAGCCAAGATTGTGCCACTGCACTCCAGCCTGGGCGACAGAGCCAGACCCTGTCTCAAAAAAAAAAAAAATTGTATTATAATTCATAATTGTTTTGTCAATTTATTTTTAACCTATCCCCTCCCCCAGAATATAAGGATAGAAATAAGGATGGAACATCCAGTGTATTCATCATTACATCCTCAGAGGCAGCACACTGTATGACACTTAGAAGAATATCAATGTACCTCAAATGAATTAATGAATCAATGAATATATGATTATATTAGACAATGAGATTAATAATGCTATTAATGGAAATACAGAAATCAGAACAAAGTGCAAGTATTTGAGAAGAAAAATATGATATGTTCAGTTTGGTGCCAAATGGTTGAAAATATAGGACTGGTGGGCACACAGATTGAGGAAGAGATACAGATTGGGATTCTGCTAATTATAAGTGTTAGTTGAGAAAAATAATTATGTCACAAATGAGGTAAAATCATTGGGATAGATGACAAGCAAAAAATAAATAAACACAAATATAAAACAGTAACAGCCTACATAGACAGTAGAATAATCTAACATAAAGAATACTACAAAATCAAGACAAGTCACAATTTCAGAGACCCAAAATAAAAAACGGTTTAGTAACTTACTAAGAAGAATAAAGTAATCCTACCTTACTACTGTTCATTGCTGGTCATGCCTTAGCTAAAGTAGCGTGTCCATGATGAGGTGTCACACATTAGGGACAAAGAAGATACTTGAGAAAACGTGCAGTGAAGTCTAGCGAAAATGGTCATAGGTCTAGCCAAAAAACATGAGCTGCAAGAAGAAATTCAAGGAGTCAGAACTGTTCACTACAGAGAAAGAGATAAAAATGTACACTTTCAGTATACTTGGCTATTCCTGGAAATTAACTGTGACAGCTTATGACAATTGCTACGTTAAAAATAAGAATGCTACACTTACCTAACTTATCTATCCATTGCTTACTCCCTCCCCTATCTTTCTCTAACTTTCCGAAACAGTAATGTATTGTTACCTTCTCCTCCAACCTATTCCCTCAGTTTTCAAGAGGTAATTCATGTTTTTCTCCACGTTTACATCATAAAACTAACTTCAAGTTTGAAACACACCAGGCACAGTGGCTCACACCTGTAATCCCAACACTGTGGAAGGCCAAAGTAGGAGGATGGCCTGAGTACAGGAGTTCGAGGCCAGCCTGGGCAACACAGTGAAACCTAGTCTCTATAAGTTTAAAAATTAGTCAGGCATCGTGGCACACACCTGTAGTCTCAGCTATTTGGGAAGATGAGGTAGGAAGACTGCTTGAGCCCAGGAGGTTGAGGCTGCAGTGAGCCATGATCATGCCACTGCACCTCAGCTCGGATGACAGAGCAAGACTGTCTCAAAAACCGAAAAAGTCTGAAAGGCCATCAGAAGAAGCCAGTGATTATGCTTGTTAAAATATTATTACAGCCTAAAGTAGTAATTAAGTACATAAGAAAAACTTTTTCAAAGGCTGGGGAAGGTTTGGGAAGGATTCCCCCAGCAAACACATACTTTCTCCACTTCATATGTTTTATTTATTTATTTGCTTGTTTGTTTGTTTGAGATGGAGTCTCACTCTGTCACCCAAGCTGGAGTGCTCTGGCATGATCTCGACTCACTCAGCCTCCACCTCCTGGGTTCAAGTGATTCTCATGCCTCAGGCTCCTGAGTATCTGGGATTACAGGCATGCACCACCACGCCCAGCTGATTCTTGCATTTTTAGTACAGACAGGGTTTCACCATGTTGGTCAGGCTGGTCTCGAATTCCTGACCTCAGGTGATCCACCACCCATCTCGGCCTCCCAAAATGCTGGGATTACAGGCATGGGTCACTGCGCCTGGCCTCTGCCTCATAGGCTTCAGTATGCCAAAGTATGATCCTTGAATTGGCTGTTCTCCCTTCAGTCCTTGAAAACTGTGAACTCTTCTGAGAGGTTTTCTTGGTCACTCTCTCCTTTATCACTGAGGTCAATATATGTAGTTTACAGCCCTGTTACAACGTCTCACTTTTTGCCTGTGCCATACTATTTTTAATCCCAACTTCCTGGTTTATCATAAACTCTCCCCTTCTTCCAAGTTCTTCTTTTTTGTTTGCCTACTCTGTCTCCCATCATTTCCTCTACTGCCTTGACTTTCACATCAATCAGATGACATTCCATAAATGTTACCAACAAGATTATTCCTCTCCTTCTGGTCAGCAAACAGATCAAACACAGTATGTCAGGCATATTCTCCAAGTCTACTTTTCTAATCTTTTAACCATTTCCAAAGGGTGCCTTCGCCCTTAGGAAAACATTTTATTCCCTTCTAGATATAGCAAAGCTCCTAAAGCTAGAATTGGTTGGAAATCTAATCTATATGTAATTAAAGTGTTAATACATTTCTCTTCTTCCATAAAACTGTGACATAAATGAGACAAGAATTTCTATCTTAACACAGTCAGCCACTTGCATAGTACCTGGAACACAGTAGCCATCAAACAAGTGACTACCAAATGAATGAAATTCCAAAATGAATTATGGTTTCCTCTGATTTGTACACTTTGGTGTAAAGTAAGGCATCAACAAGAGTTGTTATATAAAACGATAAAATTCATGACAAAATTATTTTTAAATATAAAATTTTAATGATGGCCAGATGAGGTGGCTCATGCCAGTAATGTCAGCACTTTGGGAGGCCAAGGCAGGAGGATCACTTGAGTCCAGGAGTTCCAAACCCTCCTGGACAACATAGTGAGAGCCCGTCTCTACAAAAAAATTATATAAATTAGCCAGGCATGGTGGCATGTACCTGTAGTCCCTGCTACTTGAGAGGCTAAGGTGGGAGGATCACCTGAGCCCAGGAATTTGAGGTTGCAGTGAACAATGATTGTGCCACTGCACTCCAGCCTAGGCAATAAAGTGAGACCCTGCTTCAAAAAAAAAAAAAAATTCAGTCATGACTTCACTTTTGACTGCTTTCAACACATCATCTTTAATTAAATCCCCAGGGTATAGTTCAGTAAACAGTATTACTCATACAGCTTTCTGAGGAACAAAACACATTATATATGTATCCAATTCCACTCCAAAGACAAACCCAAAAATTACTAGATCATCCAATTAATATGAAAAATGTTTAAACTCTCTTCTCTATCAGCAAAGATAGTTGCATTATTTAGAATTCCCTGTTCTAGTCTCTCACTTTGCTATGGAAATGGTTATTTCCACAGACCTAAGTTCAAGAAAGACAACTATTCAACTGAGATTCCATGCCCAATATTGAGCAGTGTCAAGTATCTTGCTCAGGAAAGCTAGCCCACTGTAGTCCTAGCTACTCAAGAGGCTGAGGCAGAAGGATCACTTGAGCCTAGGAGGTCAAGCCTGCAATGAGCTGTGATCACATCACTGTACTCAAGCATGGGTAAGAGAGCAATACCCTGTCAAAAAAAAAGAAAAGAGAAAAGAAAGTAAGCTAGTCACAGGACCCATGTATTGTGTCTCAATCTCTAACTCAGTCTTTTCTATAATTTTTATTTTCCAATGAAACAAAAAGCATTTTTCTTTGATATTGAAAAGATTTGGGTTAAAAGTAACAACTTTTTTTGGTGGCATCTCTAAATGGAACTTTTTAAAATTCAAACTACTATAAACCTATGAATCAAAAAAATTATATTCCTTGCGTTACTTCAAAGGTATTATCATGCTTACCAGACTCAGCAAACGTTTCCATACATAACAGTTGAAAATGCATAATGACTGCTTTCTAATGCACCTTAATCTTCCCCAAGAACTTCCTCAATTACACATACTTTCATCTCTAACGCACATTCATAGCCAAAAAATAGTTCCTATTCCCTGAAATATGCTTGTCTTCACAAATGGGACTAGGGTGATGCAAAAGAAATACCTGGGGCGCAAAATTTAAGGAGATACTCTCAGGATCATGCAAGTGCCACCCTGCAGCTGCATGACCCTAAAAGTGATTATGTCTCATATTTTGTGTCCTAGGCAACTCTCTTGCCTTACCCTAGTCCTGGCTCTACTTCTCTTTCCCATCTCTACTCTCCCCACTTCTCTAATAAATATCCCCTTAGTTTTTCAAAATCCAATTCTGATAAACTAAATATTTATTTTAAACAAAGAATTTAAGTATAATTTTACAACCATTTAAAATTATGTTTCCACGGCCAGGTGCAGTGGCTCATGCCTGTAATCCCAGCACTTTGGGAGGTCAAGGTGGGTGGATCACCTGAGGTCAGGAGTTCAAGATCAGCCTGACCAACATGGAGAAACCCCATCTCTACTAAAAATACAAAATCAGCCGGGCATGGTGGCGCATGCCTGTAATCCCAGCTACTTGGGAGGCTGAGGCAGGAGAATCGCTTGAACACGGGAGGTAGAGGTTGCAGTGAGCCAAGATGGCGTCACTGCACTGCAGTCTGGGCAACAAGAGTGAAACTTCGTCTCAAAAATAAATAAATAAATAATAAAATTAAATTTAAAAAATAAAATAAAATTGTTTTCAAAGAAAATTTCTTGTTCATGATATGTGGTAGGTAAAAAATAAATGAAGTAGTTATATCTATATACAGTAAGATTATATTTTTTTAAATGATTGTGAGTTGCATGTGCATGTAAGTAATAGACCTGTGTTGTTTTTTACTCTGAAGCATCTATCTCCCCTTCTGTTGGTAGCAGCATCTTAATTTTCTTTTCCCAAACTATCCTTCTCTTATCATCAATCCACACGGTTTGGGTGGCATTGATCACCAGCACTCTAATGTTTCTGGGGTAGGAACATAACCTGGGTCTGGGAAATCAGCATATTCCTTCTCGCAAGCAGTAGTTTAGGAATAGGTATGTTACCCAAATTGAACAGATAATACTGAATCCCAACATTTTTGCAGAAGCTAATCAGGAAGGAAAGTCATCTTTCAGCCAAGGTTGCTAAACTGAAAGATGATGATAAGTACCTACTAGACAATCAAGCAACCCAAACAAAGAACCAAGAGAAGAGAAACGGAGAAATGTCTGAAAATATTTTGCCCCTATATATGAGTTCAGATGTAAATAGATATAGCTGCTGGAATTCAGAATTACTGCTGGGAAACAATTCACTCTGCATTTCTCATGTTCCTGCACAGAATCTTCTGACCAAAATGTACTACAAATGGATATTTGCATAACAGACAGCCTTGGAAGCTAGAGACAGTATCTCCCTAAAGATAGAAAACTCCAAAGAGCTTTGGAGAAATTAAGCCTTCTCCTTCCCCTCCCTGGAAACATTTACTTATATTCTAGGGTAAGAAACCTAAAGATACCTTCTCCCTCTCCTCTGGAAGCGATGTGTTTAATAAGTAATCTCTCTCTCGCTCTGCAGGGGAGGATGGCAGATGTGCCAACACCCTATACAAGCTTGGAGTCTCCTCATTTCAAGGCTCCTCTCCTATGATGCAAATCTGCTGCATGTGTAGGTAAACACCTGGCCCTCATCACATTGTTTTGTCACAGAGATGGGGCAGGGAGAACTAGCACTAAGATATTTCTCTGGCCACTGCTTTTACTGCAATAAACCCTCTGAGTCTCTGACCCAGGGCTCTTCTATTAATGTATGTATATAAAAGTATGGCAAGGTAACTTGCTTGTTTGCAAACAGGGTATTCTAAGTCCCTTCAGAGTTTCAGAGTTAATGGTTACGTGAGGCAACGACACATTTTTTTTTTCTTATTTATTAATTCGTTCAACAAATATTTGCTGAAAGCCTACTATGCTATCTGTGTGCCATGAGTTTTCCTATACAACAGGTAAAAATTCTTGCCTTCCTGGAGATTATATTCTAGAAAGAGGAAACAAACAAAATACAAAATAAGTAAGTAAAATACACAGTGTTAGGTAGTAATAAGCACTATTTTTAAAAGCAGAAAAAGGTAAGTATGAAGTAGGTAGGAGATTTCAAATTTATGTTGAGTGATTAAAGACTTTACAGATAAAGTGACATTTACCAAAGACCTGAAGGAGATAAGGAAGTTAGTCACATGGTTAGCTAAAGGAACCGCTATCTGGAAGAAGGGCATTCTAAGCAGAGAACAGAAAGTACAAAATGTCTATCTAAGGAAAAACAAGGAGGCCTGTGTGCAGTGAATGGTGGAGAAAATAGTAAAAAAATCCCGCATGAGGGAGGGAGAACAGAACCACAAAACCGTGGCCCATTTTAAACTACAGTTCAGAGAAGAACTAGTTCAGAGAAAGATCCTGCATGAAGGAAGGAAAGCAGGACCATGAAACTATAGCTCATTTTAAGGACTTGAGCTTTTATGTGGGAAACCCCTGAAAGATTCTGAGCAAGAAAAGACATGATCTCTTACGTCTAAAAAGGATAACACAGGCTATTTATTTAGAGCAACAGTAGTAGTGGGGAGACTTTTTAGGAATCATGCAGAAGGAGAAAAAGGATGTTGCCGAACCAGGATGATAGAAGTAGGGGTGGTGAGAGCAAGTCAGATTATAGGTATTTCTTTGAAGAAAACAGAGTATGCTGAAAGACTAAGTTGAAGAACTAAAGGAAAAGAATCAAGGATAACTTTGCTCACACTGGGGTCAGGGCAAAAACAAAGATGGAGCTGCCATTTACAAAGATGGGAAGGACTAAATTGTTAAATAGGTGTCTGCCACTGGCATCCAAAACTAGCCTAACAAACATAAAAAATTATACCACAAGGCAGGCAGATTGCCTGACGTAAGGAGTTCAAGACCAGCCTGACCAACATGGTAAAACCCTGTCTGCATTAAAAATACAAAAAAAAATTAGCCAGGTGTGGAGGCACACACCTATAGTCCCAGCTACTTGGGAGGCTGAGGCAGGAGAATCGCTTGAACCCAGGAGGCCAAGGTTGCAGTGAGCTGAGATCATGCCACTGCACTCCAGCCTGGGTGGCAAAGTGAGACTCCATCTTAAAAAAATAATAATAATAATAATTATACTAGAAATAAGGTAATACAAGTTACACTTCTAAAATGTGGGACTGAGTCAATAACAGAAAGTGAAGGAAACTTGGTAATCCTCTACTTTAGGGTAAGAAGTCAGCAATTCTTAATAAGCAAAATAGCTGGTAAATTGCTGTTCTCATAAATCAGACAAGTATATCTTGTTTTATTGCACTTCGACTTTCTGCACTTCACAAATATTCCCTTTTTTACAAATTGAAGGTCTATTATAATCCTGCACTGAGCAACTCTATTGGCACCATTTTTCCAAAGCATATACACATTTCACGCCTCTGTGTTACATTTGGTGATTCTTACAATATTTCAAACTTTTTCATTATTATCTTTTATGGTCATCTGTGATCAGTGATCTTTGATATTACTATCTTAATTGTTTTGGGGCACCAAGAACCACACTCATATATAACGGTGAACTTAACTGATAAGTGTTATGTGTGTTTTGACTGCTCTACTGACCAGCCATTCTCTACTCCCTCTCCTTCTTCTTGGACTTCCCTGTTCCATGAGACACAACAATTTGATATTAGGCCAATTAATAATCCTTCAAAGGCCTCTAAGTGTTCAAATAAAAGGAATAGTTGCACATCCCTCATTTTAAATTAAAAGCTAAATTAAGCTTAGTGAGGAAGGCATGTTGAAAGCCAAAATAGGCCAGGTGCAGTGGCTCACACCTGTAATCCCAGCACTTTGGGAGGCCGAGGTGGGGGGACCACGAGGCCAGGGGTTCGAGACCAGCCTGACAAACATGGTGAAACCCCATCTCTACTGAAAATACAAAAATTAGCTGGCGTGGTGGCGGGCACCTGTAATCCCAGCTACTCAGGAGGCTGAGGCAGGAGAATTGCTTGAACCCAGGAGGCGGAAGTTGCAGTGAGCAGAGATCGTGCCACTGCACTCCAGCCTGGGCAACAGAGCGAGACTCCATCTCAAAAAAAAAAAGAAAAGAAAAGAAAGCCAAAATAAGCTGAACCTCTTGAACCAAACACCCACATTGTAAAAGCAAAGGAAAAGTTATTGAAGAAAATTAAAAGTGCTCCTCCAGTGAACACGCAAATGACAAGAAAGCAAAACAGCCTTATTGCTGATATAAAGAAAGTTTCAGTAGTCTAGATAGATCAAACCAGCCACAAAATTTCCTCAAGCCAAGGCCTAACCCAGAACAAGGCCTTAACTCTCTTCAATTCTATGAAGTCTGGGTGAGGTGAGGAAGCTTCAGAAGACAACTCTGAAACTAGCAGAGATTGATTCATGAGGCTGAAGGAAAGAGGCTATCTCAACATAAAAGTGCAAGGTGAAGCAGCAAGTGGTGATGTACAAGTTGCAGCAAGTTATCCAAAACTCTAGCCAAGATCACTGATGAATTTGGCTACACTAAACAACAGATTTTCAGTGTATATGAAACAGCCTTATATAGAAAGAAAATGTCATCTGGGACTTTCATAGCTACAGAAGAAAAGTTAATGCGTGACTTCAAAGCTTCAAAGGACAGACTGACTCTTGTTATGGGCTAATGCAGCTGGTGACTTTAAGTTGAACCCAATGCTCATTGCCCATTCTAAATATTGCAGAGTCCATAAGAATGATACTAAATCTACTCTGCTTGTGCTATAGGAATGAAAACACAAAGGCTGTATGACAGCACATCTGTTTACAGCATGGTTTACTGAATATTTTAAGCCCATTGTTCAGACCTACTGCTCAGAAAAAAAAAAAAAAAACAGAAGACTGCTTTCAAAATATTATTGATCATCAACAATGCACCTGGTCACCCAAAAACTCTGATGGAGATGTACTAGAGTAATGTTGTTTTTGTGACTGCTAACGCAACATCCATTCTGCCATATTGGCTAAGCAAAAATCTTATTCCACTGCCAGGGCAAAAAATCCTTGTCATATCTATCCAGTGAAATATACCTGTATTATGGATGAGATATCTCTGTGGGCTGTTTCCCCTTTTTCCCTCTTCCAGTTGCTATAGTTTGAATGTGTGCTCTCCATAATTCATGTATTGAAAACTTCCCCAGGGTCATTGTATTGGAAGGTGTGGACTTTTGGAAGGTGTTTAGGTCTCAAACCTAAACCTAAACCATGATGGTGGAGTCCTCATGAATGGATTAATGCTGGTACAAAAAGAGCTTGCAGGAATGTGTTCTCTTCTCTTCTGCCATGTGAGGACACACAGTTCATCCCTCTCTTGCCCTTCGGCTTTCTGCCATGTGAGGACACAGCAAGAAGGCCCTCATGAGATGTCTACACCTTGACTTTGAAATTTCCAGCCTCTAGAACTGTGAGAGAATAAATTTCTATTATTTTTAAATTACTCAGTCTGTGGTATTCTGTTATAGAAGCACAAAATGGACTAAGACAGAAACTGGTACCAGAGAAGTGGCATGTTGCTATAACAAATACCTAAAAATGTGGAAGCAGCTCTGGAATTGGGTAATGGGTAGAAGCTATAACAGTTCTGAAGATGAATGCTAGAAAAAGCCTGTGTTGCCATGAACAGAATATTGGTAGACATATGAACAGTAAAGGCTATTCTGATGAGGTCTCAGACAGAAATGAGAACAAAGTATTGGAAACTGGGGGAAAGGCCATCCTTGTTATAAAGTGATTAAGCACTTGCCTGAATTATGTCCATGTCCAGGACTTTACAGCAGGCAGAACTTAAGAGTGATGAAGTAGGATATCAATTAAGGGTTTTTGTTGTCCACATGCTATTTTCCTTCTATCACTGAAAACTGGCCTTACTACAATTAATTATACTGGTCAACTGCAAGTTGCTAGACCCTAAGACAGTCTGTTCAAACAGAGCTAAAGAAATTATCCAGAGATCCTAGTCTTAAAGCTAGATGCAGTACTTAAACAAATCTCTTAGTTGTCTTCTTTTCTTGAGGGACAGGTGGTAAATGCATCGAAAGTTATAAGCAAGAAATTTACACAATGATAGGTGAGGGCATTTTTTTCAAGGGCATATATACAAAGGAGGAAATGTATGCACGCTAGAGGACTATAGTAAATGCGTTTTGCTCACCCAGCATCTACTCCCTCCTTCCAGGGTCACAGTATCTTCTCCTTCCTCGAGTGATTCTAACCATTGTGAATCTCAGGCCAAAGGGCTTAGACATAGCTGACCACACTTCCTATTCCTAGTTCCAGTAATTAGCACCTAATCCAGATATGGCCTATCATCATATATCATCCCTGTGACGATGGGATCAGGGATGGGGAAATGATTGGAATCCTTCAACGAGACACAATCCTGGAACTTTTGCTAGAACTAAGGAAAACAGAAGTCTTTATGTTTGGCTTCCTGAACCCAACTGAAAGAAATGTCACAGAGCTCCATATGGAGAAGGCCTACATGAGGGTCTATCTGTACCTAAAGAGAATATACTTCTAGTTTCAGTGCCCTAAGTATGAGCAGAGTTTTGGTCTCATGCAACTGAAGAATCGTGAAAATTCTAGTATTATCACCCTTAGTTTGAACTTGAAAAATCCCAAAGTTATAAGAATTAAATTATTTGTCTAAATTCATACAGCTATTACTAGGAGCACAGATTCAACTCTAGGTAGGTTTGCTCTTTTCCCCACACCACACTCCCTCTCAGGAAAACAGTCCGAAACCTCTCTATGCTTTATAATATCTGTACCCATAAGCTAAATCCTCACATGGGGTGTGTATTCTAGTAACATCTGTAGAAAGACCGAAAATGGAAGAATCACATCCCTTCCTGCTTTCTGTCCCATTCCTGCAACAGCTTGCCTCTTGTCTAGCATAGAACATTTCTACATTATTTTTATAATGTAGATTGAAGGCCATGTCTATCTCTTCACCATCTTCATCCTCTTTCAAAATCCATGATATTAGTGTATATAATAGCAAGTATCTCCAAGCTAAGACATTTAGATCTTAGAATGCCAGTTCCAGACACAGGGTAAACCAGGCTCCAAAATACAGAAAAGAAATCAGAAACTTAAAACAGGCAACCACCAAGGTAAGGTCTAGCTCCTATATTTGTTATGATTAATTGTGAAATAGTCACCATAGCAAACCCCTATTATCCCAGAAGTTAGGACACTGTTGTTTATGTTAACATTTTAAGATATTTGTCAGAACTATATTAACTTCTAGAAAGTAGTAGCTGTTAATAAACAAATTCCTTTCAAATATTATTGTTGAGGGTGCGACAGAAGGGATGGAGGACAGGATTTATGAACGTAAGATTCCTGACATTTTCAAGAAGTCTGTCTAAAGACCATGAGAATTTTTGACAGAGCTGGAACACTCAATGAAAATGTTTCACAAATTAACTTTTTTTTACCTCTAAGGCATGGAGGATTGATGTGCGTCAAGATCAAAGACTCACTGAATTCAACATTCCATTGTTAAATTTATTCAAAAATGTCTGTTTTCTAGCTAAGATCCACCACCTTCTCAGGCCTCTTTATTCTCTCTCCACTTCTAGCAGCTGGCTTTCTTTTTCAGGAAATTTTTTTACAAAGAAACATGTTATAACTTCACAGAAGTTATAGTTTAGGACAATCTCAAACAGAACAAAGCCAAAGCAAGATATAGACACAAGACTGTTAGCCAGGAGCATGAATATCTTAGGGTCTTGCTTCTAATGAGAGGAAGTAATCTCAGCAAAACTGCAAATATTTCAACATAGACCTTTAGAGTTGCTCCCAAATAGCTGAAACTTCTATTAAATCCAGGACCATTAATAGTTTACTACAGACTTTTACCATTTACATTTATTTCAGGTTTAGAGTATGAAACACCCAAGTTCAAATCCCAGTATCATTTTATAACTGGGTCTCCTTGGATAAATGATATGACCTAAAATTGGTTCCAGATCACAAAAAGAACATGCAAGCCATCAAATTCATAAATTCAAAAGAAATGTACAAAAGTGCATCACACTTTTAGCAGGCACTAAAGAAATGTTAGTGCCCCCACCATTATATCTGAAGCCATGTAATTTACTAAAAGACTTAAGACTTATATTGACAGAAACTGTCTCTACCTGGGAGGTTAAAATGTTGAGGAGGGGAGAAAAAAGAACTATACAAAAACAAAACAAAAAATGTGTGTGTGTGTAGGAGAAAGAAATTGGCTTCTTCCTTTGTAAAATTTTCTATTGTATATAAATCTACATAAAGATTCTCATACATCATCCCCAACATAAATGCTTGTAAATAATTGAAATACTGATCTATCATTAATTATATAGTATATTAATAAGTTATATTGACCTATAATTAATTACATATTACCATTATATGTTATCATTAATAATTATCTGAAACAACTACATTGTTTAGTTCCCCTTAATTACTCTCCTATAGCAAATTTATTAAATATATTAAAAGTAAACAGGCATCACAAAGTAATGGTACTTAGCCAAATACATAAATTTGGAGTAGATTCAGAATGGTCAGGAAATGCGATAGTGACTGGATTTTCCATATTACAAAGTCCATCACACACTTCTATACTGAAACAAAGAAAAAAGGTGATACCTGAAAATGTTTCCTTTGCTCCTAGTAAAGCAAAGTTTCTAAAACCTTAGTGAAAATTTAAGTAATGGTTAACCTATATAAGAACGTACATAGAAAGCATGTAATTCTAAAAGAAAAATAATTCAAGAGAAAGTCAAGACACTGTATATTTTCTTTTTATTGTATTTATTATTATTATTTTTTTTTTTTTTTTTGAGATGGAGTTTCTCGCTCTTGTCACCCAGGCTGGAGTGCAATGGCATGGTCTCGGCTCACCGCAACCTCCACCTCCCGTGTTCAAGCAATTCTCCTGCCTCAGTCTCCCAAGTAGCTGGGATTACAGGTGCGTGCCATCACACCCAGCTAATTTTTGTATTTTTTTAGTAAAGACAGGGTTTCACCATGTTGGCCAGGCTGGTCTCAAACTCCTGACCTCAGGTGATCCACCCACCTCGGCCTCCCAAAGTGCTGGGATTACAGGTGTGACCCACAGTGCCCGGCTGATACTGTATATTTTCATAAAACAAGATGTGGTATAGCTGCTAGGGTGGCTACTGACCCATTTGTTATCAAAACTGAACACTGCAGCCAGCCACTGTGGCTCATGCCTGTAATCCCAGCACTTTGGGAGGCCAAGGCGGGTGGATCACCTGAGGTCAGGAGTTTGTGACAAGCCTGACTAACATGGTGAAACCCCATCTCTACTAAATACAAAAAAATTAGCCGGGCGTGGTGGTGCATGCCTGTAATCCCAGCTACTCGGGAGGCTGAGGCAGGAGAATTGCTTGAACCCGGGAGGTGGAGGTTGCGGTGAGCCGAGATTGTGCCATTGCACTTCAGCCTGGGCAACAAGAGTGGAATTCTGTCTCAAAAAACAACAACAAAAAAACCCTGAACACTGCTAGAAGAGTCAAATGCACTTTTCTTTGTAGAATGTGAAATTAACAAGGGAGCCCCATCAATCCACGGAAGCTTGGGAAAGTCTCCCAAGCTGAAGACATCCAGAGAAAGGACACATACTACAGAAGTGTTCAACTCCAAGGAGAAAACATCCAAGAAACAGAAGCATACAGAAAAGCATTACAGCGACCAAGGACTAAACCTTGTGACAACGCAGCAAGCTTTGTGATTAAGCCAGAAATGCTCTTTTATTCTGCAAACTATAGGATACAAGGGGCAAGAATAAGAACCTTGCCTGTATACAAATAATGTAATGCAAAGTTGTCTAGTCTTCATTTCAGAAGCAAAAAAATTAATAGCTTTAATGACTCGAGTCCTCCTTACCGGATTGTACGGGTCTGAAGGGATCACTTAAACTTTTCCATTAAATTTGACTGCATTTTATGGAGGTGGTTATATCCTAGATTCACAAAGGTTTCAGGAAATACCACTTGCAAATATCAAAGGTCTACTAAGTCTTCACTTGGAACTGTATATTATACGTGGTACTTCCACATAGGATGAGTGATTTAAAATTAAGCTCTATTCATGGTAATGCAAAGATACTTTTCTGACTGAGCCAATGTAAAGAGCATTTTTACATTCTAAGTGCCTAGAAAATAAAAATTCTAGTACTGTTTCCACTTCTCTTAAAACCATGAGTCCCAATATAGAAATAGCCTTTTTGCAAGCAAAATGATTTACACTAGAAAACTAATTTCAATTTTTGTACAACAATTAGTGTTATTCCAGTCACAATACAGACTGAGGTACTGTTACCTAAATATTTTTACATGTTCATTAAGTTATTCTAACTTTTAAATATAGGTCTCTATTAATGACATAAAATTAGTGTAATAATATTTTCTTATGTAGCATTATAAGAATGATAAGAAAAACTAAAGGGGCATTCACTTCAGGAAAATGTGGAAATAACTTGGGTCCCTTACAGAATTGTAAGGTATGTCTTCAGTACTTGTTACTAACAATACTTACACACTATTTTTTTTTTTTTTTTTTTTTTTTGAGACAGGGACTCACTCTGTTGCCCAGGCCGAAGCACAGTGCTGCAATCATAGCTCAATGCAGTATTGAACTCCTGGGCTCAAGGAATCCTCCTGCCTTAGCCACCTTAGTAGTAGTACAAGCACATGCCATCATATCGGGCTAATTTTTTAACTTTTTTGTAGAGTGCCGTCTCGTTATGTTACCCAGGCTGCTCTCAAACTTCTAGGCTCAAGTGATCCTCTCGTTTCAGCCTCCCAAAATACTGTGATTACAGGCATGAGCCACTGCACCCAGCCCACATTTTTTAATGACTCACTTTCTCCAATAAATCAGAGTAGATTCAAGTTTATACCCATAATGATGTCACTCTCAATCATCTGCATTCTAATATGCTTTCTTGAATAGGAGAGAGACTGAATTAGAGCTCGCATGCTAGAAAACTGCACAGTGGAATATGTCATACATGTAAATATCTTGTACCTGGACGGGAAAAAATATAAGAAAACTGACTTGGATCACAAAAATCTGTTTTACTGCTGGATGAGACCATATGGACTCTAGTTCAACTGCTAAGTCAGTTCAGTGCTTGCTTCTCTACACAGAATAACCATAGGCTGGTCTGCCCATTTAAACTGTATGTTCTTTAAGAATTAGAACCCTGTATTTACAGAACACACAATCTGAAACAGGGATATCTGTAAAATACTGCTCCTTAAAAAATAATCATACGTTTCAGTAGGAGGTGGAAAAGACACAACTAATATACAAATAAGGGTATTATTAAATTTAAAAATGAAGTTTAAATTTTAAACAGATTGAGAAAATGTGTTTGCGGGGGCACTAGTTAGAGATTTAAGACAGTAACGTGTAGCTAATACCTGTGGTTTAAATGAAAGGAATTTAGGGCAACCATCCAAAAACACATGATCATCTAGGCAAAAAGAAAAATAAATCAGGAATCCAGACAAACTGGAGATATTTTGGAGTTAAAAATCATTTAAAGTAAATTTATAATTATCCCTGCTGAGATACAATAAGCTAAGATTTATAAAAAGAACAGCTAATCTGAGATATTTCTAACTATTTATTTGTATAAATGCAAATGTCATTCAACTTAAGTAAATTTATTGTAAATTTAAATTTAAGTAAATTTAATTATATTTTAATTTCTTATGTCTGAAACAAGGACTTTGTGGATGGTATAATAAACACATTAATACAAGGAGAGATAAAATCAATGTTATCACATAAAGAACTGAATACAGAAGCTGAATACTTCCTAAAGTCAGTTTAATACTTCCTAAATCTTACCTACATTGTCTCATTTCTTCTATGTAACAAGCTAGTGAAGCAATTTTACTATCCCTATTGAATAGATGAGAAAATTATGACTTAAAGAGATAAAATAACTTGTCCAAGATCCCACAGAACAGAAACTGGAACTAAAACCCGATTATCTGACTCTAAAATAAATGGCTCCTCTTTTCACTACACTTTGAAACCTAGCAAGGAAAACCTACATAAAATGTCCAGTCTTTTAATACCTACTAAAAAAAGTGACAATATCAAGTTTATAATGAATGGTGATGATGAATAAAAATTAGTAATTGTCTGATATGAATATTTTTAAAATAATTCCAAACATGCATGACATTAAATTTTTAAAGCTGAATTATGTAATATCCTCCAAAAATGAAGAAATCTGAACTATTTCTTGAAAAGAACCAAGAAAACTTTGTTTTACCTAGATACTTTGAATTCCAAAGAAAAAATATGGCCTCATATTTTGTCAGCCATACAGCAGTTTTATATGGTAAACTAAAATATTTATACTTACAGAATAAGAAACAGTAACTGCTTGGGTCTAATTCCTCTGTTCTGACTCTAATCTGTCCTCTATTTATTCTTTTCCATTTTTCCCCCAGATCTAGGAGCCCTCTTCTAATTTAAGGTAACAGCCTCAAGTTCAGGAACTCTTACAAATTTTGATGTGAATGCAGATACACTGAAATGAAAACCATAAAATCTCAATAATTGGTAGAGTGTTACAGAAGAAATCAAAGTTTGTTAGTTTTCAAATCATTATGGTAGAATGATGAGTGACTTCATTTTCTTCTCTATAGTTTTCTGAATTGATTGTAAGGCATTTAACATTTATAATCAAACAAAAATAAGAAAGAAAAGGAGTAAAAAAAGGGAAGGAGGAAGGGAGGGAAGGGAAAATTGGAGCCTTGATTTTAAAAAATCCAATTGTTTCTGAGTTCACTGAATCTACAACTAAAGTTCTAAAACTGTGACCTAATTGTTTCCTTCAGTCTCTCAATAGCATGATAGGTTAACCATACATAAGCATACCAAAGACAAATGAAATTTGGAAAAATAGTAATAAAGCAATCCAGAGATCTATAAATTCTGAGACATAGCCCTTAATATTTAAGAAATTACTATATGAACGAGGTAAGTATGAAAAACAGATTTAGGGTATGCAAAAACTAAAAAGCAAGATTCAAATACTTAAAAAGGTGTACACAAATTTCTCGGGTATAGAAAAATTACAAATATACAAATGTGTGAATTTATACCCATTTCCACTTATTCCTTTACTATAAATTGAAGTTTTATATCAAAATATTCCTCAGAACCATGAGACAACACCCAAGATCGTTGAGTCCTATCGAAATACTGACTTAAATTTCTCTAATTACGTCAGTCTCCATGAAGCAGTTCTACTAAAAAAAGTTCACCTTTGTAAGCTTTTTCCATTACAAAAATACATTCTTATTCCAAATGAACAGACATAAGATTGACCCAATTTATCAAGTTACCAAAATTTTACATAATTGATAGTCCCTTGGACTTCCCTCCAAAAGATGTTTATTTATAAATCAAGTACAAAACTATAATCTATTTACACAGGAGTCCAATTTTGAAGCAAAACGTTTTTTTGTATAACAAGTTCATCAGATTTCCTTTTGTCTGATTACCAAAATGCAGTTTACTTATTTGGGCCTTGATTACAAAGATGATGACTTCCTACCTCACTCACAAGATTGCTTTGAATAGTCTCATGTAATTAAGTTAGTATAGTTTTAGTAAGTACAATTCCCACTCACAAACAAAAATAAGCACCTTATAATTTGGTGGTGTGTATATACATGTATACTACATATACATGTATATACATATGCTGGGCTTTTTGTGGTTTTTTTGTTTGTTTGTTTTTTGTTTTTCTGAGATGGAGTTTCGGTCTTGTTACCTAGGCTGGAGTGCAATGGTGTGATCTCCACTCACCACAACCTCCGCCTCACGGGTTCAAGCGGTTCTCCTGCCTCAGCCTCCCGAGTAGCTGGGATTACAGGCATGCACCACCATGCCCGGCTAATTTTGTATTTTTATTAGAGACCATGTTTCTCCATTTTGGTCAGGCTGGTCTCGAACTCCCGACCTCAGGTGATCCGCCCGCCTCGGCCTCCCAAAGTGCTGGGATTACAGGCATGAGCCACCGCGCCCGGCCACATACGCTGGTTTTTTAAGCTTGATCATTTCAGTTCCTCTATTCCTTAATGTTTACTGTGTAACAGTGGTCTTGAAATCGTTATTGCTAAATATATAGGTGGTGGGTTCAACTCGACTCTTCTGCATTGTTTGAAATTTTTCATAGTAAAATAGTTGAGAAAAAACTGGCAAATTTGAAATGTTCACGGTCCAGAGTTACAGTAACATCTACATCGAAGATGAAATGTAAATGATTTGTCTACCAAAGCTTGAATTATTTCTTCTGAACTAAAGACATCAACCTTTGAAGCAGTGCAGAAGCTGCAACAACTTGACACTACATAGTTTTAGATTATGTATATTTAATGCTGTCAACAATCAATGCAGAAGAGAAACAGATCTTCACTAAAGGTCTTTCAAAGATGAAAACAGAAGTATGCCTATGTACTCTCTTAATATATTCCCAGCATCTTTGGAAGCATAATTCTCTTGGCTCAAAAGTACTAGCAGAAAAGCTTTCCTGGACTACAAAAAGATACACTCTGCTTTCCCGACTGACAAACCTGGAGCTACTCACAAATGTCTTCTTAAGGGCAACACAGGTATATATACCAGGACTACAAATACTGCACTAAAGATTTTGCAATAGTTTTTTTTTTTTATCCTATTCTCATTCCACATATGAATTGAAAAGTATTTTCTAATCTTTAATCACTAAAATAGTTTTGATCTATTCTCTTATTGATGTTCCACTACACTTTTATATATGGTAACCTCATCTGAGAAATTTATTATCTTAACATATCTGGAGAAAAGGAAAATGGAGTACACCTTTACAGCAGTTTATGTCAAAGTGATAGTGAGACAACCATTAATATACGCAACTTCTGAATTAAAAAGGTTAAAAAGCTGCTCTTTTTTTAACCATAAGGCGAAGGAAAAAAATGTAAGGCTACCAGCCGTAACAAATTATTAGATTTTGAATTGCACTACAGTGGATGGCAAAATCGCAAACGTACAAAGTGCCCACCTCATAGTACAATCCTCAATTTGTTTAAGAAGTACCTTGCCCCTACCAACACAACCCAATGAGCGTATTCAGAAAGTAGATCCTAGGGGTAACTGTAAGGCAGAAGGATGACCCCTGAAGGTGCCTCCAAACATCTCCCCAATTCTAACTGGCAAAGAGACCACAGAGCAGAAATTACCGACGACACCACTAGCTTCACACTTAAGATCTATCTCTTGATTAGACTCTTGGAGGACACCTCTGGCCAAGACCGGAGGAGAAAGATGAGGTGGGGGATAAAAGCGGGAGAAGGTGACAGATAGGAGGAGAGCTGGGGAGGACCGAGCGGGTCAAGGGAGACTGCGGGGCTCCAGAAGCAGGAAGGGATGGGGGGAATACCAGGGGTTGAGAATGCCCCCGTAGCGGGACGGCGGCGCCCAGATGAGTGCCGCCGAGAAAAGGGGTGAGGGTACAGGCAAGATTGGGTGGTGCCCACAGTCCCCCCACCACCCCGCCTCACGCCCATCAGCCCCCAGACCCCGCGACGGGGCGGAGCCACTACGCCCGCCACAGCCCTTTCGCGCCGGCACCCGCCCCCTCAGCCTTCGGGTCCCGGGATGGTGGGAGGGGCGGCCCTCGTGGGGCTGGGTGTGTAGCCCGGCCCAAGCCCCAACCAGGAATGCTCTGCTGCGGGCGGGAGGATGAGCGGATGACCCTGCAGCCAGGGACGGGGGTTGGGGGGGGCGCTGGCTGAGGGCGGAGGAAGAGCCTCGGCACAGCCCCCAACGCCCTGGCCGAATCCCGGGCGCCCCTCTGCGGGCAGGCATTGTTGCCCCCGCTCTAGGCTTGCCTTCCCTCCTCTTCCCCCCTCCCCCCGCGTTGCCCCGGGCAACAGCGCCTACCGCCGGCGGCGCGAAACGCACCTACCTAGAACCTGACAAGCCCGAACCCCTCAGACTCCGGAGCCAGTCACCACCCCGCGTCACGGGGGCTGCCACAGCCAATAGGCGCCACTGTCACGAACCTCTGCAACCAATCCCGCTGCACTCCGGTCTCCGGGCACCCTCGAGGCCTCAGCCAATGGGCAAGAGCGGAAGGCGGGCGCAGCCGCCCGGCCCTCAGCCCCCTCCTCCACTACCTCCCAGGAGGCGGGGAGCGGCCGATTGGCCCGGTCCCCGAAGGGGCAGGACTTGGGCCCTAGGCTGGGTGGGCGCACGCTTAGCCCAAGCTGCGGGCCCTGGGAGTGGAGACGCGGAGCTGCGGTCGCCGCTTTCTGGGCTCGCTCACCAGCCCGGGTGGAGTCCCGAGGTCTGCGCGTTTGTGCCGCTCTCCCCGCCTCGGTAACCTGCTCCTCCCTAGCGGGTGTCCTGGGCTGCCGTGGTGAGATGGGGCCGGAGACGGACGAAGGCCTCACAGGAAACTTTGGGAGGCTCGCCTGGCCGCGGCCGGGAAGTGGCCGGACCGGCGATGATAAGCTGAGGCCGCCTGGAAGGGACTACTCGGCGGGTCGGCAGCCGGAAAGGAATTCGGAGAGTGGGGGCGGAGGCGTGATTAAAATGTTAAGTGTGCCCGGAGGGCGCTGGGCGATCCCTGGAGCTGAAATCTCCGGGAAGGGAAGCTGCTTTAGGGCCGCGAGGCCCCCACCCCTAAAATAGGCACTTTTCAGCCTCAGAATTGGTCACTTTTTCCTGTACGTTCCCACGTTTTACTTGTATCTGTTATTAACGTGGATTGCTTTAGAATGGTTTTCAGCAACTCCAGTTTACTCTGAGTCCCTTAAGGACGGGAACTGTCTTTCAATCCTGTACTCCCAGTGCCTGAGCCTGCCTAAAAATGTTAGAAACTCAATGCTGGAATTGTAATGGATGTTTAAAAGCATACAGCAGGTCCTGGGAGTGGCCCCCTATAATAAATTCTTACCTCTTCGGGAGTCTAGAATGCGTGGAGAACCCAAACGGGTCTGCTCTTCAGTGATGGCCGTTTCTGAAGCGTCCTTCACCAAAAGAATTTGGTGAAAAATGAGTAATGTGAACTACAAGATTATTACTAGGTGATCAGTAACAGTAGGATAGGTATGCGTCATTATTCGAGGGTGTGACCCTCCCATGTTCCTGTAGTAGACTTTTTAAGGCGGTGTTATCTTTTGCATTGGTTGAACCACATAGCGTCAATCCGGTATTTCCCCTCCCTCTCAAAAACTGAGTTACATAGGAGCCAAAGAAGAGTGGTGAATATTTTCTCTAAGCAGGGTTATTTATTTAACCGTAGAGAACAGCCCTACACATAAAAAAACATAAATCTTAAGTTGGACTTTTTTTAAGTCTACTGTTTTAAAGCTAAATAAACAAAAACCAACATAAAAATTTTAAATAAGAGGCTTAATTCTCCCTATTGAAAATGGAGGATGAGATTTCCCGTCCCTTTCTCTCCGAGCATTTGTCTTAGAAAACTTAAGTACTTTCTTAATTGTTAAGTACTTTCTCAACTCTTTGAAATGTGTATAAATCCACTTGAGGACTAGATAGGTCTTGTCAACTGTATGCTCAGTCAGGAATGTCTCTGGACCTTTTTTTTTTTTTTTTTTTTGAAATGCTGCACATATCAACGGAGTAGCATCCTTCCCTATCTCCCAGTTTCTGTGAGAGAGTAGGAGCGTAACTTCGGTGAGCAACTTGCTCCGTGTTGCAAAACTACCTTCCGTCATAAAGACAGGAGAAGTTTGTTTTTCCTCTGGATAAAACCAATTAACTAACACAGATGGTCACCCCAATTATTAAGTAAAGTTAATGTCACAAATGTCAGGTCCTCTTACTTGAGGACTAGTTATTGTTCAACTTGAAAACGTGTATGTAATGGGTCGTATATACTTGGCTATACAAAAGGGCAAGATTTCTGTCTTTGCAATCTCTTAGCAAATTGCCTGTGATGTGTATCACAGTCTCGTTTAATGCTTATTCAGTAATAAAAGTGTTTTGTCTACTAACGTTTGTGGAGAGGATTTCTGGGTTGGGAGATTTTGGTTTTTAATTATATTTTTCCAACAATGCCTATACCCAGAATGTTGGGATGACAAAGTTAAGGAAAGTAGTTACTTCGGAGTTTTTAAATTGTTCTCTAAAATGATGGTTAATGTTTCATATGTATTTCATAGTGATTGTTAAATGCACAAACTGTGGTTCTGTGAGTAAACTTCTTAAAATAGAAGTTAATTTTCTGTGAACATCAAATGTTATAGTATATGTAATGTCAATAAGAATGAAATGAATGAAAATTTGGTTAGGTAAGGCCAAAATACAACTTTGGAGACTGCTTCATGACTGAATACCTTTCCCAAGAACCTTAGAATTTCTCCATTTATACAAAGGGAATCAAAATGTAGAAAGATGTGGTTGGTGAATACGTTATTACATATTTGCAGAAAGTAGCTTTCAATAAAGATATGGTAGAAATAGAGCTGTTTGATACACAACATGTGTGTTTGTGTTAAGGAACCCAAATCTAGAAAAATCAGCAAGAATCTTTCCATATCTACAATTGTTCTCTGAGTTCTCACCTATTCATTCCAAAACCTTAAAAGCTGTCTACCATATGCCAGTCATTGTGCTAGGAAATGCAGTTGTGAAAGAATATACTTGAAGTAAATGAATGTGGCAAAAATCTATGCTGCATTTTTGAAGCATACAAAAATATATAGCAAATCCAGTTTCACATTTTTTTCCTCTGTTGGAATTATCACATTGCATTGCAACACATTTAATAAACACTGTGTGTCACCTTAGTATATATTCCATGTTCTCAAATACCAAACTTTGTCTGTTCTAATAGCATTACTTACTGGACAATGAAAATAATAATGTGGACATCAAACCTAGGTGGGTAATAAAAAATGATTGAAAAGTTTTTTACTTTTTTTGATTAGCACCATCCATGCCTCACCCCATCTCTCCACCTCCCTTTTTTCCTGTTTAAAAGTATAGACTGCAAGAGGAATCTTGGTTGTGTGCCATCTTAGTTCAGTAGTTCCAATACTTACCCCTCCCTCCTTTTCTTCATCTGTGTCTCTTTTCTGCCAACTCCTTTGATTTGTGACTCTCTGCTTTCTAATCCACAATTCATACCTATCCACAATTCATAACTAACCATACACACATACTGCTCCTAAAATAGAGATCATGATGAGGTATGCAATATGGAAACCATATCTATCCTTATTCTATACATGCTGCAGTGTTTGTTTTCAGTGGATATATATTTTTTTCTTTTTGAAAATTGTTCTCTTGAATGAATACTGTTCCTAGAGGTCACATTTGTGTGAAATTTTCTTTAGGACTGTTTTGGCTTTCCAAATTTCAAATTTTCAAAATGGCTTAATCATTTCCTTTATTTTTTGAATCTGTGTTAGGAAAATAGCAGAGTAGTTGGAGGGGGAGGGAAGAAAAGAAAATGAAGTAGACTTGAAGGAAGAAAACATCCATTCTGTCTTCAAACTAGATGTCAAATGTATTAACACCATCTCCCAACCATCTTTCCCAGCCAGCGGGTGGCCATCCTAGTACTCTAATTAATATTGGTTCTCCTGCTTCCCTGACCTGCTCTCCATTAAGAAATCCACCAACATTCGTAATCAAGACATGCCTTCTCCAAAATGCCCCTGGATCACTAAAGGCCTGTCCCTTTTTAAGCCATCCTTTTCTCAGATTTTTTTTTTCATTTCTTTTTTAAAACAGAGTCTCACTGTTACCCAGGCTGGAGTGCAGTGGTGTGATCTCAGCTCACTGCAACCTCCGCCTTCCAGGTTCAGGCTGTTCTCCTGCCTCGGCCTCCAGGGATTACAGGCATGTGCCACCACGCTCAGCTAATTTTTGTATTTTTATTAGAGACAAAGTTTCACCAAGTTGGCCAGGCTGGTTTCGAACTCCTGACTTCAAGTGATCCACCTCTCTCGGGCTCCCAAAGTTCTGGGATTACAGGCATAAGCCACCGTGCCCGGCCTTTTCTCAGAATTGACCTGTCCTTTTCCTCATCCCCTTATCCCTGGTTCATTATGGCTTCAGAGTTAACTGAAAAATGTGTGTGCCTGTGTAACAGTGCTGTAATAATGAATTTATATGTGTGATATTATCAGAATCACCTGAGGATCTTTTCAAAAATAGACTCCCAGATTAACTCCCAAAGATTCTCACTTGGAAAGGCAAAAAAGTTCAGGAAAGTCTGTATGTTTGGCATGAGACCAGTGAATTATTCAACATGGTGTGTTGAACTCAGGCATTTATCTCTGCTCTGTCCTGAAAATCCTTGATATAACATAAACACAGGTCCAGGTGCCTCAGCCTCCTGAACAGCTGGGATTACAGGCATGTGCCACCACACTCAGCTAATTTTTGTATTTTTATTAGAAACGGGGTTTCACCAAGTTGGCCAGGCTAGTTTCAAACTCCTGACCTCAAGTGATCCACCTCTCTTGGCCTCCCAAAGTGCCTAGGTCCAGGCCTAGGGATCTCTGAGGGGGCATGGTTGAGAAAAGAGGCTGTAAACAACAGGATTGCTTGACAGTCTGTAAAAGGAGTAGGGAGACCCTACTTGCCCCATCAAGATCACTTCCCCCACCAAGCAGCTAGGTTAAAACACTACTCTACCACAATCCAGAGACAACAAGGTTTACTCCTTGGAGTCATTAGAGAAGCTCAGATCTTGAAGATACAGAGACAGCTGAATATTACCTAGGAGAAAAGTGCCTACTGCACATTGGGGTAAAGGGAATACATGAAAGTCTACATACTAAACTGTGAGACTTATCCTCCAAGCTCCCATAATGACTGTATTCAGGTTCCTGTCCCTCAGAGAAGACCTTAGAGGATTCCTTTTTAGGGAAATTGACTTGCCTGAGGAAAAGTATTTTTATAACTAGTGAGTACTGAGGGTGTGGGGGCGGGGGGATTTTCCAAAATGTACAGATTCCCTGCCTAATCACGTCAAAAATAAGGTCTGCCAATCCTTAAAGAAATGAAAACAGGAGGCTATTTTTCTAAAGAAAAATTCAGAGAGAGAAACGAACTTTGAAAAGTTAAAAAACAAATTAAAATTCAATAGCAGATGATAAAATGAAATTGAGAAGTCTCAAAATAAAAACAAAAAGACAAGCAGTTGAAAAATATGAGGAAAAAAATGTAGGATCAATTCAGGAGATCAAACATCTAATCTATAGAAAGAAAAAAGGAGACGGGGAGAGGGGGCAAAATTAGCAAAGAAAGACATTTCCCCAGTACTGAAGGACCTGAGTTTCCAGATTGAAAAGGATCTGATGAATGGCTTGCAAAATAATGAAAAAGACTCACACAAAAGCACTTAATCCTAAAATGTCAGAACAGCTGAGATTTTTTAAATTCCCTAAATGCTTCAGATAAAATAACAGAATGCAGACAAAAGAACAGACATGAGAACAGAGAAAGGCATTGGACTTCTTAACAATGATACTGAAAACTAGAAGAAAATTGAGCAATATCCTAAATTCCAAGGAGAGATCATTTACAATCCAGAATTCCCAATAAAACCAACAATCAATGAAGTCTAATTGTAGAATAAAAGTATTTTCAGACATGCAAGATCTCAAAAAGTTTTATTTCTATGAAATCTTTTCTCATGAAGGTACTTAAGGGTGTTTTCCACCAAAAAGAGGGCTTAAAATAAGAGAGATTGTGGCAGGACAGGTCTGACTAGCATAGGCCTCTATAACAACTGTTTCAGTACTGACTGAGTGGTTAAGTTAAATATTAAAAGCCAGTGCCCTTATACAAAGGCTGAAATGTAAGAAAAGCCCACCAAGAGTTTTGCCTAGGCCTTTCCTGGGCCTTAGAACATGACAAAAATAACAAAATTCTTAACAGGACCCATTTAGGATTAAATAAGTTTTATTGGAGATCTGAAGAAACTCCCCAGGCTTCCACAAACAAGTTTATTGGGGGTCTGAAGGAACTCCCCAAACCTCCATGATTTAGCAGGAGACAAGATAAGGGTAGTCACCCCAGTACCTGGACCCATTTACATTAAGAAAATTTACTGAGGCTCCAGAGAAAGGTCATCAGGACTCAGACCTTAGTTATAGATTAAAAGAAGTTAATCACTGATGTCTTTAGATGAATGCACACTTACACGTAGACATATAGCTTAGAAGGTATATAAGCTCAGGAAAACTTTGTAATTTTAAGTTGGTCTGGCGATAACTTCCAGGCCTTCTCCCTGTAACCAAATGCAGAAATAAAACCTCTCTTCCTCCCCGTTCATTTGCATCTCATTATTGGGCCACAAGAAATAGCAGCCCGACCCTCAGCTTGGTCCAGGAAGAAGAGGAAGACATGGAGTCAACATTGGAGAAAGGAAAGAGGAATATCCAGGATGATATCAAAAGAAATTTCTAGGATAATAGTTGTATCACAGGCCTAAAAGGCAGCCAGTGTAGATTGAAGCAAGAGAATGGATATCTCTGGAACTGATGTCTCCAGGAGAAAAAACAGTGGGGTCAATAGAGTTTCTGATGTATTTCATCACATGAAGAGATGTAGTCCCATTCTGACCAAATTTATAGATGACTTATGGGTAGGCATAAAAGAGATGAAACAAATGGAAAATAGAGCAATTATTAACCACAGGAGGAAAAAATTATTTTAAAAACAAACTTTATATTTATAAATGTAATCATAGTATTTCATGTAGCTTAGTATTAAAACTTATTGCATAATTATCTTAATCTAAGCACAAAAATTGATTAACTAAAAAATTATAATACTGTCTTTTCTATAATATTATAGGACAAGGATAAGGGAAACTGAGTGGAAGTAATGTGAGGTAGCTAAGTCCTCTTCTTCCATAGTAGGAAGTCAGCAGATAATTTCCAATATTGAAAAACCAAGAAAGAGTATTGTGAGCATGCTTCATGGTAGAAAGGGTAAACACCAGTGTTAAGAGTAGAGTTCAACTATCAGATGGTGATGGGGACTGAAGAGTACAGTGATTAGGGCTGGGAGCTGCTTTTTAGTGTTATAAATGAAGATGTCATTTCACTTGTATTGCTTTGATAAAAACAGACTTTAAAAAAAAATCTGTAGATGAGTCTGTTGCACGGCCAGGTTTGAAAGCTACTGAGAGGAAAAATAGAGCAAGGAACATCTGTCCCCATCACTGCAGATAGAATACACATTAAAAAGGATATGCCTCTTCTATGTAAGTGACATTCTAGAGGGAAAAAAAAGGGCCAGGCATGGTGGCTTACGCCCGTAATCCCAACACTCTGGGAGGCCGAGGTGAGCAGATCACTTGAGACCAGGAATTGGAGACCAGCCTGGCCAACATGGTGAAATCTTATCTCTGCTAAAAATACAAAAATGAGCTGGGCATGGTGGCAGGCACCTATAATCCCAGCTAGGGTAGCTGAGGAGGAGAATTGCTTGAACCTGGGAGGTGGAGGTTGCAGTGAGCCAAGATTGCACCATTGCACTCCAGCCTGGGTGACAAAGTGAGACTGTCTCTAATAAAATAAAAATAAGATAAAAAGAAAAAAAAAGGATATGTCAATAATAATAATGTTTTATCTTTGCTTTCTAACTTAGTTCTTTACTCAATGAATATTTCTTGAGCACTTATTTACCAAAAGCACTGTTGAGAGGCTCTGAGGATATAACAGAGAGCTGCTGCAGGGATAGGGTTCCTTCCCTGAAGTCAAATGGGACATACAGACAATCGACAAGAAAAAGGATTAACAGACAACCTACAGATTGTGATAAATGCTAGGAAGGAAGTAATAGAATGACATGAGAGAGAATAAAAAGGACTAGAAAGAAGGAAACAACTAAGCTACAAGTCTTAGAATCATAGTTATATAGTGGGAACTTAAGCAAATCACTTAGCCTTTCTGAGCTTCAATTTTTGCATTATTAATTGTGGGTAATAATTCCAACCTCACTGGTTCTTATGAGGATTTGTTAAGATGGAGTAAACCAGGCAGGGCGTGGTGGCTTACACCTGTAATCCCAGCGCTTTGGGAGACTGAGGTGGATGGATCACGAGGTCAGGAGATGGAGACCATCCTGGCTAACATGGTGAAATCCTGTCTCTACTAAAATACAAAAAATTAGCCAGGCATGGTGGCGTGGGCCTTTTGTCCCAGCTACTTCAGAGGCTGAGGCATGGGAATCACTTGAACCCAGGAGGCGGAGGCAGAGGTTGCAGTGAGCCAAGATCGTGCTACTGCACTACAGCCTGGCTACAGAGCAAGACTCCATTTAAAAAAAAAAAAAAAAGATGTACTAAACGAAAGAAACTGAAAGAATTTTCAATGGATAGATTCCTTTTCAGATATAAGGTATTTATCCTTAGGGAGCCATTGTCACCTCTTAATTGGTTTCCCTGCCTGCCACCCTAGGGCTCTGTGGTGCACATTGTCAACAGTCAGGTCACCTAACCATTATTTTCATTTTGACATTCTGATCTTCAAATGCTTTGGCTTAGAAGTATGTCTAGTTTCTTAACCTTGGCTTCAGGGACTTTTACAAACCTACAAGCAATTTATCCCGACTTATCTCCCACCACGCAGTTACCTCTCCCTCTTCCTCTCCAGCAATAGAATACTTTATGCCTCCACATTTATTTATTTTCTAATTTGCATACAGTAAAATTCACTGTTTTTGGTGTACAGTTCTATGAATTTTGACCAATGCATAGCTGTGTAACTATCACCACGATCAAAAAGCAGAACAGTTCCAACTCCCCTCCCCACAAAATTCCCTCATGCTATTCGTTCATAGTCAACCCTATCCCCACACAACCCCTGACAACCAGTGATCTGTTCTTCATCACTATTGTTTTGCCTTTTCAAAATGTCATATAAATTGAATTGTACAGTATACAGCCTTTTAAGCCTGGCTTCTTTCACTTACCATAACGTATTTGAGATTTGTCTGTTATCGTATTTGTCATTTTTTTCATTTCATCGAAGTGTAGTGTTTCATTGTTTGTTTATCCATATCTCAGTTGAGGGACATTTGGTGTTTTCCAGGTTTGGGCAATTATGAATAAAGTTGCTATAAACATTCACACACAAGTTTTATTGTATGAACACAAATTTTCAGTTCACTTGGCCAAATACTTAGGAGTGAAATTGCCAAACCCATGGTAAGTGCATATTCAGTTTTATAACTAGTAAACTTTTCTCAAGTGGCTGCACCACTTTACATTTCCACCAGTAACATATGACAGTTCCAGTTGCTCCTCTGTCTCATCAGCCCTTGGTGGTGTTGGGGTGGTACTGGAGTTTGTTTGTTTTGCCATTCATATTGGTGTGTAGTGGTATCTTGTAGGGTTTTAATTTACATTTCCCTAACGACTAATACTGTTAAGAATCTTTGCATGTGTTTACCTGCCGTCCATGTACAGTCATCCCTCTGTATATTCCAGAGATTGATTCCAGGCTCCCCACATTTATCAGAATCTGTGCATACTCAAGTCACTCAGTTGGCGCTGAGAAATCTGCTATATGAAATCGGCCCTCTGTATACTTGAGGTATGCATCTGCAAATACTGTATTTTCAGTTCACCTTTGTTTTATTTATTTATTTGCTTGTTTTTTGAGAGGGAGTCTCACTCTGTCACCCAGGCTGGAGTGCAGTGGCGCAATCTCAGCTCACTGCCAACCTCTACCTCCTGGGTGCAAGTACTTCTCTTGCCTCAGCGTCCGGAGTAGCTGGAATTACAGGCACCCGCCACCACGCCCGCCTAATGTTTATATTTTTAATAAAGACAGGGTTTCACCATGTGGACCAGGTTGGTCTTGAACTCCTGACCTCAAGTGATCCACCCACCTAGGCCTCCCAAAGTGCTGGGATTACAGGTGTGAGCCACCACGCCCAGCCTCACTTCACCTTTGGTTGAAAAAAAATCTGCCCATAAGTGGACTTGTGCAGTTCTAACCCATGTTGTTCAAGGATCAACTATATATTATTTGGTGAAATGTCTGTTCAAAGCTTTTGCCCATTTTAAAAATTTGGTTGTTGTTTTGAAAAGAAAGAAAACTCGAAGGACTCAAACAACATGATTTCAAGACTCATTATAAAGCCATAGTAATCAAGAGAGTGAGGTATTGGTAAAAACATAGGCAACCAGATCAATGGAACAGAATAAAGATCCAGAAATACACCCATGCAAATATGGTCAGTAGATTATTGGCAAAGGTGCAAAGATAATTCAGTGGAGAAGGGCAGTCTTTTTAAAAAATAGTGCTGGAACAATTGGACACTGACATAGAACCCATATCTCTCACCTATACAAAAATTAACTCAAAAATTGATCACAGAGACCTAAATGCAAAATGTAAAATGATAAAACTTTAAAAAAGAAAACACAGAAAATCTTTGTGACCTTCAGTTAAGGAAAGAGTTCTTAAATACTGCATCAAAAACACAATACATAAAAGAAAAAAAATCGGTAAATTTGACTTGATCAAATTTTTAAAATTTTGCTCTGTGAAAGATACTGTCAAGAGAATGAAAAAGTAACCCACAGAAAATATCTGTAAATCATTATTACTTTCCTGTAGAGAAATATACTTTGATAAATATACCCTAATATTCTAATCCCCTTTGTAACTAAAAACCTGTATACATTTGCCAGACACTGTATATGTATTAGATATGCTGCAGGGTGTTACCCAGGAATGAAATAAAACTTTACTAAAACAAATAATAAGTACCACAGATGGCATCATCTTACAGATCCCAAATTGCTCACATCATGTCTTAGCCCTGGGGAGGTCATATCTAATGAGGGCAGGGCTGGAAAGGAACATGTATTTTATAACTGTAGATAATGTCTTGAGTGGATCTGTGAATATGTATTTCTCTAAGCATACAGTTATATAAAGTTAAAAAACATTTTAAAAAATTCTAAATCATAATTTTATTTTGTTGAAATAGCAACTCTATTGTTTCATTTTGTTGCCACATTTACTGTTGTATTATTGCTTTCTTTCCTTTTTTTTTTTTTTTTTTTTTTGAGACAGAGTCTCACCCTGTCACCCAGGCTGGAGTGGAGTGGTGCAATCTCAGCTCACTGCAACCTCTGCCTCCCAAGTTCAAGCAATTCTCCTGCCTCAGCCTCCTGAGTAGCTGGGATTACAGGCACACGCCACCACACCCAGCTAATTTTTTGTATCTTTAGCAGAGACGGGATTTCACCATGTTGGCCAGGCTGGTCTTGAACTCCTGTCCTCATGATCCGCCTGCCTCAGCCTCCCAAGGTGCTGGGATTCCAGGTGTGAGCCACTGTGCCCAACTGCTAAGTATATTTTATAACTATAATTTGTCATTTGGATTGATGAAAAAGCTTCATACAAGAGATCAGGCAAGGCCAGGCGTGGTGGCTCACGCCTGTAACCCCAGAATTTGGGAGACTGAGGCGGAGTTGAGAACAGCTTGAGGTCACCTGAGGTCAGGAGTTTGAGACCAGCTTGGCCAACATGGCAAAACCCTGTCTCTACTAAAAATACAAACATTAGACAAGTGTGGTGGTGGGCGCCTGTAATCCCAGCTACCAGAATTGCTTGAACCCGGGAGGCAGAGGTTGCAGTGAGCCAAGATGGTGCCACTGCACTCCAGCTTGGGAGAAAGAGCAAGACTCAGTCTCAAAAAAAAAAAAAAAAAAAAAAGAGAGGGAGGAGGCAAAATATGTATCTCAGTAGTTTGTATCTGGTATGTTTTGGCTCTGTGTCCCTGCCGACCCCACCATTCTCATTTCGCATTGTAGTCCCCATAATCCCCACGAGGCCAGGGTGGGACCTGGTGGGAGGTGATTTCCCTCATGGGGGTGGTTTCCCTCATGCTGTTCTCGTGATAGTGAGTTCTGACAAGATCTGATGGTTTTATAGTGTTTAACGGTTCCTCATATGCATACGTACACTCTCTCTCTCTCTCACCTACTGCCAGGTAAGACGTAGCTGCTTCCCCTTCCACCATGACTGTAAGTTTTCTGAGGCCTCCCCAGCCATGCAGAACTGTGAGTGAATTAAACCTCTTTTCTTTATACATTATCCAGTCTCAGGTATTTCTTTATAGCAGTGTGAAAATCGACAAATAAAGTATCTGATTGCATTTCCAATTCTAAGTTTAAAAGAAAGAAATTGAGATTATATTTTTATATAATATTATGTACTTTATTTTATTCACTCTGTTTTTTACTTCCTTTTATTTCTATGGTCACTTTCAAGAAAAACAATTGAATTTGTTCTTACTTGAAATTGATAGTCTACTTTGTAACATCATGATTGTCAATGAGAAGAAATTGAACAAGTGAAGGTCCCTAAACTCTATATATTAAAAAAAATTAGTTCATCATAAAGTATTAACCTGGGAGATTTTCTCCAAATAAGAGAGATAGAAATTATGTTCTTATGGAAAGGTCTTCCCTTTCCATCATTATAATTTCATTGTTATTTAGGAATTATGTTTCATTCACACAAGAAAGAATTACTTTCTAATTGGATTTAATGGGCTTTTGTTTTTAAGTAAATACTTTGAAATTCATATTGCATTGTACCTTTGTTCATTTTCTAAGTAGCACTTTAATATTAAATGTCTAACATGTATCAGCAGTAAATTTTCCATTTCAGCAGGGAAAGAGATATTAAACAATTAAGTAAGGAAGGCCAATTCAGCGCTAAATTCTATGTAGCAAAGTAATGTGGGAAAGATTGCGTGTTGCCAGGTGCAAGGAGGGCCCTTGCTAACATTAGATGAGGAGTCTGAGAGAAGCCCTCTCTTCAGAAGGTAACACTTGAAATAAGACTTGAAGGCAAAGACAGAGCAGATCTGAGGGCAAAGTGTTCTAGATAGCAGTTACAGATTACAGTCCACGAGTTGGGAATGATTCAGAATGTTCCAGGCACAGAAAGAAGATCAGCATGACTGGAGCTAACGAACCAACCAGAAAGGAAACAGGCCAGATAAGCTGATGATTGATCAGGGCTTTATGCGATAAGAGAAAGATTCTGTGTTATATTCTGACTGCAATGAGAAGGCAGCACAGTTTTAAGCTGGCGAATAACATGCTCAATTTTACTTTTTAAACAAAGATCATTTATGCTGCTGCATGGAAAATAAATTGTGGGATAGCAAGAGGGGAAAAATCAGGAGGCTGCTGAAGTGCTCGAGAAGGAGGTAATAGTGATTCCTGTCATGGTAACAATGGGATCTAGAGAAGAGAAGGAACTCAGGATATGTTAAGAAATGTTTTCATAATTACCTTGCTATTGGAAAATAATAGATTCTATTATACATAAACATAATTTTACCAAAAATATTGTAGATTTAATTAAACTCAATCCAACAATGATTGATTACATAATATATCCCAGGTTTTCTGCCTGTTGTATTACTCATACAGTATCCCTGCCCTCCAGAAATGCAGTATTATATTTGTGAAAATATCTGTGGTAATGAAATAATCTCCAACAAAGAAGAATTTTAAAAATGTATTTTAAAGAGTCTTAAAAAATTAAAAATAAAAATAAATTATCTCAGGCTATCTTTAAAAGAAATAATGAAACTTTAGGAAAAGGGATCTGTACTTGACTCGCTCTTTCTCTCCAATTGGTTAGCAGGTGAAGAGATTCAGATACCTTTTCTTTTTGGTATATTGAAAATTCAGTTATAAATAATCATTGGGAACTCTGGAGTCCAATGTATAAAATTAAAACATAGTATTTCTTAAGCAATCTTTAGAAAGAGGCTCTACAGCATGTTCTGGAAAGAATGGAAACTTGGCATTACAATATGCTCCCCGTCCCCAAAAAGTTATGCTGTTATGGGCTAAATTGTGCCCCGCCACCCACCCTCCCCCGGCCGGCAATTCATATGTTGAAGCCCTAATTTCTCTACCTTACAATGTGACTATATTGGGATATAGGACATTTGAAAAGGTGATTAAGTTAAAATGAAATAGTTAGCATGTGACTGATTTCCTTATAAGAAGAGGAAATTTAGATACACAGACTCTAGGGATGCTCACATACAGAAGAAAGATCACATGAGGACACAGAGAAGGTGCCCATCTGCAAGCCCAGAGGCCTCAGAGAAAACCAATCCTGCCAACACCTTGATCTTGGACTTCTAGTCTCCAGAACTATGATAAAATAAATTTCTGTTATTTAAGTCACCCAGTCTGTGCTACTTTGTTGTAGCAGCCTCAGCTAACTAATACATATACCAAGGCATTTATTCATACTCATAATGTCAGCTCAATAATATTTTTAATATAAAAGAAACATAGTCTTTTAAGATTGGAAACAAATGAAAACAAAGCAAAACAGAAAAATTAAGAAATGAATGTAACAGATGTGTCCAGACGTATTAGACCCAGCATCCAAGCCATAGTAACATGATACTTGCAAGAGACAATGTCAAGGGATGATAACATGTCACTGAAGGAAATTTATCACATACAAGCTAAAATCAGACAATGTTAGCGGCTTAGTGTATTAGAGGCCACTCCAATAGTCTCAGTTTAATTTACTCACCTTTTTACAAGCCCTGTCACCAAATACAGCCACATTCCGAGGCACTCGGCTTCAATACATGAATTTTGGGAGGACACAATTCAGTCAGTAACGCTTACACCTTGGGAGCTGAAGTACCTTTTTTTTTGGTGTTTTAATGTTCATGGAAGAACATGCATTTTCTTTGACAAAACTTGTCCTATTTTTCTTCCCTGAATATATAATATTTGCTGCATAGCATATTACCACAAACTTAGTGGCTTAGAATAATACTCATTTATTATCCCATATTTCTGTAGGTCAACAGTTCGGGTAACACATAGTTGGGCCCTCTGCATCAGTCTCACAAGGCTGCCATCAAGGGTTCTACTCAGGCTATGATGTCACTCAAGCTCCAGGTCTTCCATACTCACACAGGCTGTTGGCAAAATTTAGTCCCATGCAGCTATAGAACTCATGGTGGCCTTCATCTTCTGCAAAGCAAGCAGGTAAGCAATTCTCTGCCTTTGAATCTTTGCCAAGATAATGTAACCATGGGAGTGAAATCCCATCATATGCACAAGTTGCGTGCATATTCAAGCGGGGGAGATTATACCAAGTGTGTGTGTCAATTGGGCAGGAATTTTGGGAGCTGCCTTACATGTGTGGTGTGGTTTGTTTCTTTTTATTTTTTGAGATGGGGGTCTTGCTATGTTGCCCAGGCTGGTCTCGAACTCCTGGGCTTAAGCAATCCTCCTCCCTCAGCCTCCTGAGTAGCTGGGATTATAAGTACAGTGCCACCCTGGGGTCTCTTGGGGGCCATCTTAAAATTCTGCCTATCACAATAAGATAATAGAACAGTAATTATAATTACAGCATAATACATAATTTCATAATTGAAATTACATAAGTAATTTCAGTGTGATGAGTTTAAAAGTGTTTGTTAGGAATTTTCTAGTGGCAAATATCAGAAACCCAACTTAAGCACCTTTAGGCAAACAGGGCAAAGTATTTGAAAGATGTCGTGTATTTGGAAGAAGTGTGAATAACCACAGTGCTAGAACGAGATACTTAGGGATACAGAAACAACCAAACCAAGGCCTAGCCGGTAGCCATGACTCACTTTCTCTCTCTCCTATTTTTTTCTTATCCCTCAGTTTTACTCTTTCGTATTCTTCCTGTTACATGGCACGTACACATAAACATGCTAACAAACTCTGTAGAACAGTTTCTTCTATGTGGCACTGACAGTATTCAAGTTTCATAATTCATAGATGCTACTATGGAGGAGGGAAAAAATCTTATCAATTCCAGTTTGAAAAATTCTAGAGAAGGACTGTGATTGGCTCCTCTCTCATATATCAAATATCAAGATCAGACTCAGCGCTGTGCCTCACAGCTGTAATCCCAGTACTTTGGGAGGCTGAGGTGGATGGATTGCTTGAGCCCAAAAGTTCATGACCAGCCTGGGCAACATGGTGAAACCTGCCTCTACTAAAAACACAAAAATTAGCAGGGTGTGCTGGGGTACCCCTATGGTCCCAGCTAATCGGGAGGCTGAGGCCAGAGGACTACTTGAGCCTGGGAGGTCGCAGCTGCAGTGAGCTATGATCACTAGTCACTCCAGCCTGGGTGACAGAATAAGACCCTGTCAGAAAAGAAAAGAAAAGGAAGGGAAGGGGAACGGGGCAAAGAAAAGGGAAGAAAAGGGAAGGGAAGAAAAGGGAAGGGAAGGGAAGGAAAAGGAAGGGGAGGGGAGGGGGGAATTGAGATCAGTCAAGTGTCAACAGTTGGCAGAATCATGCAAAAACATGACAGCTTCCACTGGAACTACATAGTTGAAGTGGCACAAAAGCACTTCTCAAGGGATGGGTGCTAATCTCTACCGTTGATTTCTGCTACAAGCAGCCACAGGGCTGCTTATGGCTTACTAACATGGGACAGGTAGTGTGGGGATTCTATACAGAGTTTTCTTTTTTCTTTCTTTCTTTTTTTTTTTTTTGAGACAGTCTCGCTCTGTCACCCAGACTGGAGTACAGTGTCGTGATCTTAGCTCACTGCAACCTCCACCTCCTGGGTTCAAGTGATTCTCCTGCCTCAGCCTCCTGAGTAACTGGGACTACAGGTGTGCACCACCACGCCCTGCTATTTTTTTTTTTTTTTGTATTTTCAGTAGAGATGGGGTTTCACCATGTTGGCCAGGCTGGTCTCAAACTCCTGATCTCAAGTGATCCGTCCACCTTGGCCTCCCAAAGTGCTGGGATTACAGGCGTGAGCCATGTCACCTGGCCCTCTATACAGACTTTGTATTTCAAAACTTTAGTACCCTTCGGCCGCGTGTGGTGGCTCATGCCTGTAATCCCAACCCTTTGGGCGGCTGAGGCGGGTGGATCACGAGGTCAGGAGTTCAAGAACTGCCTGGGCAAGATGGTGAAACCTCGTCTCTACTAAAAATACAAAAATTACCTGGGCATGGTGGCGGGCGCCTGTAATCCCAGCTACTTGGGAGGCTAAGGCAGAGAACTGCTTGAACCCAGGAGGCAGGGGTTGCAGTGAGCCAAGATCGTACCACTGCTCTCCAGGCTGGGTGACAGAGCAAGACTCTGTATCAAAAACAAAAAACAAAAAAACTTTAGTACCCTTTGATTATTAAATTTTTTCTAAAAGATTGTTTATAAGTTATATTTTCATAATTAAGATATACTAAATGTACTAGAAGTACTCACTATTTGTAGCAGTTTATCATGGAGTTTACAGTTGGATTTAAGGGAATCCATGTGCCTCAAAACTGTATGGGAAATTGGACAACTATATGATACAGATGCATGTAACAAGGCACAGTTTATTGGGGGAAGTGGTTAAGACTCAAAGTTCTGGCTCTAGAGCAACCCTGCTTGGATTAAGTCGTAGCTCAGTCACTTGCTACCTGGATAATCCTACTCAGGTCACATAACCTGTATACTTCAGCTTTCCTCATCTGTAAAATAAGGATAATAATAAAAACAACTCTGAAGGTTTGTCTTGAAAATAAGTACGCTAATATGTATAAAGGGTTTAGAATGGTAAGAGTTTAATAAACATTAGCTATTGTTATTTCAACAGCACTCTTTTGATTCCTAGTAGACTCCAAATGCCAAAAAGGTTAAAAATAACAGATTTGAAGAAATCTTTTTGTAAATTCTTTTTAAAATAAACTGACTAGTCACATCCACATGTATCTGTTTTCTGACTCTGGATGTTCATGTACTAGGCTTCAAAACCATGATGAAGCAATAATGACTGTGAAGATTATCTGTGTGAGAAAGACCTACCCAAAACTCTTATAAGCAAGCTTTGATTATAAAGAAGCCAAGGCATTCTTTATAAATCCTTTTCCTTGCAGAGTAAGTCTGAGCTTTTGCTGCCTATTTAATAATGATAATCAATGCCCACATTTAGAAACATCTCTTTAGTCCTTAGTCCATCATCAATGGTATGAAATACACAGAAATTACTTTCCTGATTCATAGATTGCATTTAGTCACTAATAATCTTTTGCTTCATCTCTTCTTCCTCAACTCTGGGGGAATGACTCAAAAGGTCCAAAGGGGTCTATGGGCCAGTGTTTCACTTCCTTCTAAACAAATGCCAGCTGGGCTTCTGCTTCTTCACAGGCTTTTGTCAAAGAATGTATCATATGCACTACTGGTTCCTAATAAAAACGAATATATAGTGAGCACTTATTTTATGCTCAGATATATAACAACTGCTTTTACACACACCATCTCATTTAAGTCTTATAAAAAACCTGTGGGGTTGGCACTGGTATTATCCTTATTTACAGATGTAAAAAATGAGGCAGATAGAGGTCAAATCCATGATTCACAGTCTCACAGCTTTTTAGTGTAGGTATCGTAATTTGAATCCAGGTAATCGAATGCAATGGCCACATTCCTTAACCATTATCTATGCTGCCTTGCCAGCTAGGTCTGTTAATTCAGAAGGAGAAGAGTGATTGTGAACATAAGGATGACCAACATCCATGCAAAATGACAAAACAGTAGAGAAGATCAGATCTTTTAAAGTAAAAAATAACTTGCGTGATAGACAAACCCAAGTTTGAAAACTTGCTCCACAACTTTCCAGCTACATGACCTTGAGGAAATTACTTAACTAAGTCTTAGTAATCTAGTTTTAAAACAAGGGCAATGACAGCACCAAGTTCACAAGGTGGTTGTGAGGATTAAATGGCATAATGCATGTAAAATGTCTATCAAGGTGGCTGGCATTTAATAAACACTGTATAAGTGTTGCTTACTGTTATTACTATTTTCAGTATTTTATTCTTCTTGGGCTTCTCAGCTTCAGACACCCTTTTTCTTTCTGTCTTTGTGGTCCAAGTACAGAGCTGTGTTGAACTAGGGTTGAATCTTACAAGCTCCAGGCAACCAGATCTTCACTTTCTTCCTGCAATTCTATTTGCCACCCACTATATCACTACTGATTTAGTGCCAGATTATAGATTTTCATCCACACATTTTAATTTAGAACCTTCCCTTTTATCTGGTTTTCAAGCATATTGTGTTAAAATTCCCAAATGATACCTTCAGAGTTTGCTACAAAGTCCTTATGATAGCTTTTAGAAAACTTAGTTGTTCTTAGGGGAACAATCATTGCTTTCCATTTCGTTACTGAATAGAAAATCTAGAAGAACAATATCAACTTTCAAATGAAATTATATGCCTGGAAGGGGAGTATAGATACAAAAAAAGGAGAGCACCTCATTATCACTCTTTCAAGCTGCTGGAGTGAAACTTGAGTCATTGCAAATTCCAACATCAAAAACTCTCTTGGATATACTAAAGAACATCATTATGCACATAGCGATAAAATGAGGACGTTATTAGAGGGAGCCACTACGAATAAAAGATTGCGAAATCAGATTTCTAAAATGAATAATACAATAAGCTCGTTAATAAGTATTGCGAAATAGCTCTAAAATTTCCAGCTGAAAGTGAATTCCTTGGGGTTTTTCACCAGCCAGGGGCATCAACTTTTTTTTTTTTCTTCTTAAATTACCCATACCTCTTTGCTGGCCCATGCGAGAATTTTCTATCTATAACTGTCTAAACACAAAGCAACATTTGATTTCGGTATTCATATTTATCAGAGTACTCTTCAAAATAAGTGAAATTAGGCTTCTTTTTAAGCTGGGGAACCTGCAAACGGCTTTTGAATGAAGAATAAGCATATGAAGAAGTCATGCTTCACCATTTTGCTGTAATCTTCTAAACTGCCTTCA
This sequence comes from Homo sapiens, assembly GCF_000001405.40. Classification (NCBI taxonomy): domain Eukaryota; kingdom Metazoa; phylum Chordata; class Mammalia; order Primates; family Hominidae; genus Homo; species Homo sapiens. The sequence goes on along the minus strand of NC_000005.10, from coordinate 108,729,125 downwards.
TGACGTAGAAACTTCTAATTGCAGAACATTTAAGAATTATTGCATGTCACCTCAATAAACCTAATCATTGAAGTTTCTTTTTTAGCTGATAGTAGTACATTTGGAAATACACATACCCGTCAGTTCATTTTCTCTGGCCATTTCCGTTTACCTCATACAGGCGTTTCAAGTGCGATCTGTCGCAGTCACATTCAGAGATTTTGGCCCTAAGAACTGCTCATGTTTAATGTTTGTAGTTCCAACGGTTTAACTTTTTTTCTCTCTCTCTTTTTTTTTTGGTGTGTAATTATAAATGTCTGAATTAATTAGTTGAGTAGGCTACAGGGTAGATAATAGAGCTAGTGTTAGATCCTTTTTAAAGGTTTTTAGGTCTCTATGAAGGGGGGGCGGGGAAAGGCAGGCGGGGAGTCCCCACACCCCACACTCTGCCCAAAGGTTAGGAAATTGCGGTCAGGGGTTCCTTGCCTTGGCTTCCACCACCTGAAGGCGTCTACAGCAATAATTAGAATCGAAACCAAGGAAACAAGAAATAGCTGAAAATAAAACACGAACTAAGAAATGGTAGTTTATTTTCTTTTTGCCATGCAGCAAAGGAGGGTCGAATGTAAAGCTGATACAGTTGCTGGCTGAGCTTTTCCCGCGGCAGCCAGTGCGTGCTTCCTCCACTTCTTCGAGACTTCTCCGTGCTCCTGCCCCACCTCCCAGGCTGAAGATTCATGCAGGCCCTGCGCTTAGCCCAGACTCTGGCCAGGCCCGGCCCAGCCCGAAGGTGGGCGGCTCCCGGCGCAGGGCGGCCCAGCCCCAACCACTGAGAGGAGGACCCTCCGGCGTCCTAGAGTGGCCGCAGGCCGCGGCGTCGGGTTGGAAAACCAGGAGAGCATGGAGCTTTTTCGCTGGTCCGGCGCGGTCTCTTGCGTTCCTGTGGCGGGCACCTGACTCCCCATGCCCGAGTACTGTCCTCAGGCGGAACGGCGTCTGCAGCGAGGAGCGGGGTTCCAGCAGGCTCGGCTGACGCGGTCCCTGGCATTTCCCGTGCTGGCCCTGGGTCGCCCTCGATGCTGCTTCCCGCTGGGAGCCTCCTTCTGACGGCGGAAAGGAGCTTCACCTGGGGCGGCCGGCGGGGAACGGAGAAGAATCCACCGGGGAAGTGGACGGGGCTGGCTCCCGGGCCTGGCGCTGCGGCTCTCGGGCCGTCAGACCTCCCGCGGGTTGCGTCACTTTCCTCGGTTTTCTAGACAGCAGTTGTGGGGTTGAATCCTTGCCGTGGTTTTGTAAGAATTAAATGAGATAATGAACGCGAACACCAATCATTGCTCTTTGTTGGGTGCTTCCTGTGGGCCTGGCAATATTAACAACACGAGCTCATTCATGCATTCATTTGCTACTCAGTGACTTTCCTGTCAATACTGCAAGGTGCTGGAGATGAGCCCCCACTCTTTGGTCAGTAAAACTGCCAAGATCACCGACCTTGTGAAGACATTTGAGGATGAGAGGTTGGTTGGAGCCTGGACGTGGAGACAGACTCTAAATAGTTAACTACAAGACACATGTAATTACAACTTTGAGAGCTTATAGCGGGAGGCCCTTTTGGGAAGGGGGTGGAGATGGAGAAGAGGAAGAAAGAAAGGGCTTCCCTGAGGAAGTAATATTGCAGCTGTGACCTGACAGATGAGGCCGAACCAGCTAGACTCGTGTTTCAGGCCTCGGGAATAGCATAAGGACTCCAGCTGGCTCCTTCCGGGTTGAGTCCTTATGCTGAAATTGGTATTTGGCACACACCAGTAGTAGAACGCCACTCAATGCCTTATTCTCTTCCCCTTCTCTCAGCTCTGTCCCCTCCACATAGTAGGACAATGAAACTGGTAACTATTTTTGGTCCGAATAGTCCTTCCATTATTATCTGTTATAGTCCACCATGCAGGTTCTTCCTAACTCCTTTTGATCAAAATAGATATTTTTGAAAATGTGAAGAAAGCAGTATCGTATCTTGTATGGTTTCTCATTGCCTTCTAAGTCAGATATAAACAACGAACTTGCTTGAAATGTTCTCTATCAGACCAAGGACCCATATTTAATTCCAACTTACACTCTGCTACACCCTTTCGCTAAATTCTTTAGTTGATGTTAACTGCATTTGGAACCCTGTATTCAGCGTTGAATTGCACATTCTGAAGCAATTGTGTTCTTACTCAGCACGCTCATTTCTGTATCCCAAGTATCTCCCTGCCTCCAGAACATGTTTACTCTTTAACCACTTCCTGATAATACAGTAGGCTACCATTACTCTAAATAGTTGCAGTTATTGAATATAGGCACATTTTTAAATTATAAGAATCCTATCCCAATCCAAGGTACAATTTGCTGATCGCATACTGATTCATTTTCCTCCCACTCTGGGTCCTTTCATCTGCTGTTCTCCCAGTCCAGATGCCAGCCAGGCATTTGAGAACCATCTGATGGTAACAGGATGGAGGCTGACTCAACTTCACTCCACCACCTGCCTTCCTGCCTTCAGGGAGATTTTGTACATAGCTTATCCTTTAAGTTCTTCTGCTTGTTACTGCTCACAGCACTGTGATTCTACTTTAGGCACCTTCTGTACATTCATATTCATTACTTTTTTTCTCCTCTTTCCTGTTTATGGTTAGAAAGGTGCTTCACCAATCTATTTTAGAACCAAAGAAGAGATCAAATTATAATAACATGAGCATAGTATTATGCTATAGGATACTAGTAAGAAACTCAGTTCCTCCTCTTTGTTCCCATAATATTTTGTGAATATGTCTATGATAGTATTTAATACATTGCATTATGACTTGTTGTTTGTGTCATTCTCCACTTATTAATTAGACTTCTTTGAGGATAGAGATTGAGTTTTTAAATTTGTTTCTTCATTTGTTCTTTTACTTAGCTCAATGCCTGGCAAAAAAACAAATCATTGTTAAATCAGTTTTTAGGTGAAATAGGGATAAGTGGGAGGCTAACTTATCCAGTCTTTGAAAATGCCTAGCGATCCCCTTCAGAATCCTCACACATCATCATCAATCTTCTTACCCTGTAAATAAATATACTTTTCTCACACATTAAAGATATTTGTAAAATAAATTTATTCAGTTTTTTTTTCTATTGCAGTGATATGTGTGTGTATATATGTATATAGTTGTATTTAAACTAAACAGGAGAAAAGGAGCAAGCCTGTGAAGTATTATTTCCGCATTTACCAGCAAGACAATTATCTCAGAAGATTAAAATGTGAGAGATACAACTAGTGTTCAAACCCTGCTCTTTCTGATGCCACAGTCAATGTTCTTTCTTTGGTAGAAACCAAACTGTATTTTTCTTATTGTTCAAGTAATGTAATTAACTATGGAAAAATAAGAAATTACAGATTAACAAAATAAAGCAAAAGTAAGTAAAATTCATCCATGATTTCATCATTCTGAGCTAATAATTGTTAACATTTTTGTGAATACATATACATACACACACATTACATATGCACAGTTGTTTGGGGTTTTTTACAAAAAGGGAATCACACTAATTTTAATCTTTTATAATCTACTTTTTTGCTTAACAATATGTGATAACTCCTTGATTCATTTATTCATTTATTCTAAGGTTTTTCATCCTGGGCACTGTTTACATATCGGGCCAGGTACTTCCTTGTTATGGAGGGTGATAAAAATTCTTTGCTTGACCAAACTTTATTCAGGCTCCTGAACCTTCTCCTAGGCCTGTCTGTATACTTTCTTGTAAAATCAGATTTAGCAACAAACTGTTGAGTCAGTTTAGCAACTGCCCCCCATCACCCGCATCCTTGATATATGATCACCATCAATATGTTCCTCATCCTCCAACATCCCTTAGACGAAATCTAATAACCCTAGCCTGTCATAAGCAAGAATCCTGTTAGGTTGTGTTAGCCAGAACCCTCCTTACCCTTGATGCTTCCTCTTAGCAGTTGTCCATTCACTTCTCCTACCCTGCTCCTTCTCTATAAATTCCCACTTGCCCCATGCTATATACAGAGTTGAGCACAATCTCTCTCCCCAACTGCAAAATCTTATTGCAATAGTCCCTATACCTATGGCAATGATCTTGAATAAAGTCCTCCTTGCCATGCTTTAGCAAGTGTCATTGATTTCTTTTACAGGGCCTGTCCTATGCAATGTACAATGCTTAACAGCATCCCTGGCCTTTATCCACTATATGCCATTAGTACTACCCCTTCTTCATTGTGGCAAACATACATGTCTCCAGACGTTGCCAAATGTCTCCTGGAGGACAAAATTGTCCCTGGTTGAGGACACTGATTTATTCTATATTACATTAATCAATTTTCTTTTCTTGACACTTGCCCACCCAATGACTATTAGAAACTCAATAGTAAATGCTTTGCTTTTTGCATTTTGTTCTAGAAATAGTTAATATCAAATTAGCAGAAGTTTTACAAAATTAGATGTTTTAAACTCCTTATTAAACTCTGAAATAATGCTACCAGACTCTGGAATGTTCTTTCGTCTTAGAATGTGCCCTCTTTATGACCTATGGATTTGTTGTTTAAAATTTAAAAGTTAGCTTTGAGTGAATGAAGCATAAATTATCTTAAAGCAAAGGTATAGTAACATTATGAAAAAGAGTATTAAGACTGATAGCCTTTGGGAGAAGTGAATTTGCTAAATGAGTGACTTTGATCAAATTTTTATGCACAGATATATGTACTTCGTAGATTTTTATCATTGCAATGTCTTTTGTATCTTTGATTTTCAAAAGATTTCTAAAATCAGGACATTCTGACACAAAAAATTCTTGAACATCTTTCAAAGTTTAAAAAGTCAGAAGTTTTTAGAAGCTGTTATATTTTACTTTTTAAAAAATGTTTTTATTGTTAAATGAAAACATATTATAATAATTGCATAAAAACATAAGTATGCTGTTTAATGAATTACTATAATAGGAACACTGTATAATCACCAATCAAGGTCAAGAAGTAGAATATTGGTAGGGCTCAGAAGCACCCCTACCTCCATGCCCATCCCCATCCACAGCTTCCTCTCTTCTTAAGTGTAGTCCCTTCCTGACATTTATGGGTAATACGTAGTCACATTTTTGTTCTGTTTATTCTCTATTTTTTATTTTTATTTTTATTTTAGAGACAGGGTCTCAATCTGCCACCCAGCCTGGAGTGCACTGGCACCATCATAGCTCACTGCTGATTCAAACTCCTAGGCTCAAGCAACTCTCCATCTCAGCCTCCCAAGTAGCTGGGATTACAGGTATGAGCCACCATGCCTGGTCCTTTTTTATCTTTTACCACAAAAATGTGCATCTGTTTACACTAGAGTTTAGTTTTCCTTGTTTTTGAAGTTTATATAAATGAAATTATACACTGCGTGGTCTTTTCTCTGTAGCTTAAAATTATGTTTATGAGATTCATCTGTATCATTGCATACATTACATTTTATTTGTTTGCACTGTTGTATTGTTTTACATTCTGTGAATGTATCACTACCGTTGATGAACATTTGCTTGTTTCTGGTTTTGGTCAATGACAATGCCTGTTGATACACATGTGCATACATTTTTGTTGCGTATGTATCTAGAATTAAATTGGTGCATTAAAGAGAACACATTCTACAAATTTATAGCAAAATACCAAACTGTTTCCCAAAGTGGCTCTCCACTTATATCTCCACCAGCAGTCTATGAGAGTTCTTGAATTTTCATATTCTTGGCAACACTTGGTATTTTTAGTCTTTTTTATATATAGCCATTCTGGTGGGTTTGTAGTGGCTTTAATTTGTATTTTCCTGATTCATAATGAGGTAGAGCACCTTTTCATGTGTTTATGAAAAGATATCCTCTTTTTTGACATCTGGTCAAAATGTATCCTACATATCTGGTCAAGTTTCTCGACCATTTTTCTATTGAACTTACCTTCGATCTTTTTCTTAATATTTTGTAGTAAATATTTTCTCACTATGAGTTAGTTGTGTTTCATTTCACTTCATGACTTGTTTCTTTTTAGTTTTCAACTTTTCTAAGTACTCCGTATTAGGAGTATCTCTTATGCATAACATTTAATTAGATTTTGTGGCATAATTCTTCTGAGAGTCGTTTTGTTTTCATAAGCAAATTTATTGATATAATAGACATCCCGTTTGTGTTTCTTAGTTTTTATCTTTTATTATATGACTGATACCTTTTTATGTTTGTATTTTATATTTATATGTGTTCCTTCTAAAAATGTAAAGAATTGCATTCAACATTGTTTTTAGGCTAGATGTTCCATAACTTTTTCTTTCTTCTTTCTTTCTTTTTATTTTCTTTTTTGTTGTTGTTGTTGTTGAGACAGGGTCTCCCTCTGTCACCCAGGCTGAAGTGCAGAGAAGTGATCATGGCTCACTGCAGCCTCAACCTTCTGGGCTCAAGCAATCCTCCCACCTCAGCCTCCCGAGTAGCTGTGACTACAGGTGTGTGCCACCACACCCAGCTAATTTTTTTTCTTTCATTTTTCATAGATACAAGGTTTCACCATGTTGGCCAGGCTTGTCTCAAACTCTTGACCTCAAGTGATCCATTTGCCTCAGCTTCCCAAATGGCTGGGATTACAGGTGTGAGCCACCGTGCCTGGCCCATAACTTTCTATAAAATATTTTATTCTCTATTTCTTTTAAATATGCATACTATGCATATATATATATCTCCCCACTATGAACAATAGGTCCTTTATATTTCTACTCTCTGCCCTCTAAAACCTGAGTTTAATTAAACTGTATTTTTTATATTCTTCTAATGTTTACTTCTGTATCTTGAAATGTGGTTCTATATTTATCACTTGCTCTGTCAGCTTTAAAACCTAACTTTGTAACCTCAGCTATCACATAGAGAAAATCAACATGTTACATACCTCCCACCTTTTTACCCTTTTCTCCTCTCCTCTTTTGTGAATTATAAATTTTTCTATATTTACTATAGCCCTCATGGCTGTTTTATTCTTAGTTTTAAGTTAAATGGAATCACTGCTTTCCACTGGTACCATTGGAAATAATATTAGTGTCCCAGTGTTGTTAGGAGGATCAAATGAAAAAGAATCAGCATTCGTTAAATTTTCCTGAGAATTTAGTGTATTGCAGGTCCTGTGCCAGGTATCTGGGAATACAGAGTGCAACAACATTGTCTCTGCTTTTAGGGAGCTCCCATGTTCATGGAAGTGACAAAGAATTTCAGTCCAGTGTGATAAGAGGTGTGATAGAGATAAGTACCATGTGCTCCACACCAGAGAGAAGGTGTTCCTAACTCAAGCTTGGGGATGGGGCAATGATCGGATTCCTGGAGGAGGTGCTACTGAGTTGTGTCTTGAAGCATGAATAAGATATGGCAGACTAATAAAGGTATGAAAGGAATTCTTGATCTAGACAACAGCAATGGCAGAGACATGAGAAAGAATCATGTTTAGAAATTTGTAGTAATCCTGAACATCTGGAGTTAAGCTAGCGTGTGAATGGGGAAAAGAGAAGTGAGGGAACTGAAGAAATAGGCAAGAGGGCATTCATGAGGGCTGTATGGGACCACTGTGGGGTCTTAAGTATCAAAGTGAATGAATGGATTTGTATTTCTGACGAACATTGGCAGCAGCAAAGGTGTGGACTCAGTGAAGCCAGACTGGAGGAATAAGATGAGTTGGAAAGTCACCACTCTCATAACGAGGTGATTCTTTGTAAGACCGACACCAAGACTTTAAATCCTTCATGAGGAGAGACTGAAAATGGACTAGAATGAGATTGGTTCAGGCCAACTTCCACTGAGCTATTGATGTCCCATAAAAGAGGGTATTTAAAATGAAGTTACCCAGACTTTAGGAAATGAACTGATAATGGCCCATGTATTCTGATGTGATTATTTTTGGGAACCGGATCATATCCCTATTTGGATGGGGGGTGAGGGGAGGAATGGGGGATAGAGGTTTTTGTCTACAAGGAATGTCAGTCATACTGAGAATGAAAACTGTCAGGTTTCAACCGGGTAAGGGGAAAATTTCCTCCTGTTTCTGGTGCCAGAGTCAGTTTGGAATAAAGTCAAAAGTATGGAGAGTCCTGGGGCATTTCCAGAGGGGAAGCCACCCCTGGACAGGCAGATACTGGCTAAGAATAAGATCTCTGGGACCTCTGCATGGGTCTGGGCCTGTGTAGGTTGCAAGTAACTACCTCACTCTGCTTCCTTTCTTTTATTCCTAAACCTGCAGTGAAGTTGTGTCAAAAGTTACAGTCTGGACTCAGTTATACTGTGGGGAATTCAGGAAGGGCCTATCCCATGCTTCAGAAAGAAATGCAAAGGAGAGAGCAGTAAACTTCCTCCTTGAGACCAGGGTGTTGGTAACAGAAGTCATCTGCAGAAAGCCACACTCACCTGAGCCATCATTGTGATCTTACAGAAAGATATGGCAGCCTTAGAGCCTTAGATGGCACATGGTCCCTGGAGACCTGCTGAAGAGACCATATGATGGAATCCTGAGAGTTCTCAGAAGCACCTGGTGAGTCATCTGATGAGGGCTGATTTCTGGAAATTAGTCAGGATTAAAGCCATTACACTTTGTGCAGTAAGAAAAAGTGTTTCCTTATTTTATAACCACAGGATAGTGTGATCTTGCACAATGGGGTCACACAATCATCCATGAAAGCAAGGATGAGGGCCAAATAATGCAGAGGGAGTGATGGAGGAATACTGAAGACAGAAAATCATCAGGGTATGGTAATATTGAAATCTGGGCTAAACATTTGAAAATCACAATCATAGAGATGAAAGTGGAGGCTATAGGTATAGATAATATTGCCAGGAAGACAGTAGTGAGAAAGTACTCCATAAACAGTAAAACATTTTCTAAATGTTAGCAATTAATTTCACATGCTAACAAAGTAGTCACATTATTTTAGAAGCACATCTCATACATTTTTATTTAGCACGAATATATATGTATAGATATACGTGTGTGTATGTACATGCTGTTTCTATCTTATCTTTTTAAATCCTAACCTTTTAAAGACAAAAACCTTTAGTAAGTCCATTAAAGCTGTTGATAAATTTATTTAGTGTTAGAAGAAGGTCTCTCAACCTTGGTAGTATTATTTTGGTGTGGGATTGGATAATCCTTTCATGTGGGGGATTGTCCTATGTATTGCAGGCTGTTTAGAGGTATCCCTGGCTTCTCTACCCATTAAATGCTGGTGCCTCTACTCCAACTCTTACCTGGTCCAGTTAGTGTGACAAATTAAAATGTCTCCAGACATTGCCAAATGTCCCCTGGAGGGCAACATCAACCCTGCTTGAGAACCATTAGTGGACTATACATTGCCATTAAACAGTGCTAAATATGAGATTAAAAAAAATTTTTTTTTTGAGACGGAGTTTCGCTCTTTCTCCCAGGCTGGAGTGCCGTGATGCAATCTTGGCTCACTGCAACTTCCTCTTTCTGGGTTCAAGCGATTCTCCTGCCTCAGCCTCCCAAGTAGCTGGGACTACAGGCTCATACCACCATGCCCGGCTAATTTTTGTATTTTTAGTAGAGATGGGATTTCACCATGTTGGCCAGGCTGGTCTCGAATTCCTGACCTCATGATCTCCCTGCCTCGGCCTCCCAAAGTGCTGGGATTACAGGCATGAGGCACCACGCCTAGCCGAGATTAAAATATTTTAAAACAATGAATTTTATAATGGGAACATCTATTCAACATTGCTGTAATCATTTCTAATTTCATCTGTTCTGTATACAATGCTCAGGCATTAATAAGTTTCAAGCTGAAAGTCCTAAGGAGCGTATTAAAGGTAGTATCAGCAGAACAATTAATTTGCCTCAAAGTGATTTGAAAATTTGTCAGTATTCAGAGGAACCCCAAGTTGAAGTGTGATAATGCTTACTTGGTAAGCCTTTCCTTTTTCAGCAGGTTAAGAGTTTAAACAAGTGACAAGAAGATTATTTTTATTTCTTAACAAAATAAATGTTTAAAACATCTGTAAGAACTTTTGAATTACCATTTAGAGTTTAGTAACAGATATATTAAGCAGAAATCATTCTGTGCCATCCGTTTATAGTTGGACCACGAAAGCAACTCACTTGTAGCTTGATTGAATAATTCTGAATTAGGTTTGAAAATAAGACATTTTGTCAAACATATCACATAACTCAGAATTTATTTATAATTTATTCTGTACTTCTCACAATTACCTTGATTTAGAGAGAAGTTATCATAACAAACAAACAGGTGTTAGAAAAAAAATGGCCTCCTGCTGTGAGAGTCTGCTTGTATTTATGATTTTCTTTTCTTCTAGTTTAACCTCACTTCCAGTTTCCTGCCATTATCCAGAAAAGGAAGACCACTAATTAAGAGGTAAATGGCAGTTTTATATTTTCATGGTTAAATAACACAGACTTTTAGTGCTTAAAGGAACTAGTGTTATACCCTTCATTATGAACACAAGAAAATGAGTTCTAGAATAAGTGTCCATAGCTTCAGTGCCACATATTAATAGGGAGTCAGAAAGCCTCCTCAGATAACATGTGAAAGAAGTGTGCCCAAACACTACAGAAGACTGGAGAACAGGACTGTCTTGTAACATGACAGAAAGCATGTCAATTTGGGAGGCAGAAGGACTGCAATTCAAATGGCTCTATACCTATTAGCTGGCTCTACCCCTAAATGGCTGGATTATCGGAGGCAAATTGGTTAACTTATCAGGTTCTCAGTTTCTACATTTGAAAAATGAGGATAGTGACAACTAATTTTCAGTTGTTGGAGAATTAGAAATAATATATGAATAATGTATATTGTAGATCCAAACACTAATCACAGCTGAGTTGTGTAGTAAATGCTGATTAATTTTAAATAGTATTCCTAAGTATAAAAATAACATACATGTAATATATAATATAGATAAAAGCTATATTTATATATAGATAAAAGTTTATTTATATTTTGATATATATAAGCTTTTTTATATATTTTAATTTTAATGTAATTGATCAGTATTCTCCTTTAAGTAATATACACATTTGTTTTGTGTGTGTGTAAATTAAATATATTTGTTTTCCTGTTTCAATCTTCTCTTTGGTTTTTGAATTTAAGAAATGGGTTTGAATGTATTTATTTAAGTGGGCTGATGGTATATCACATGTAAACTTATTTTAATAAAGAGAGAACATATGGTTTTCATTCTTTTATAAAATTGTGAAATATATATACATAAGAATGTATGAAATGTATATACACTATATAAATAGAAATAACAAAGTGAACATTAAGTATCTACTGTTTCTGATACAAAATAAAACACTGCCAATAATTGGAAGCTCCTTTTGTGCCTTTTCGTGAACACCGCTCCTTCCCTTCCGAAGGAAACAGCTACACTCATTTTAATGATAATCATTTTCTTGCTTCATTTTAATATTCACTCAACCTGTGTATGCATCCCTAAATGACCGATTGTATCTGTTTTTGAACTGTGTATAATAGAATCATAATGTATATATTCTGTTTTTATTGACTTTTATCACAATATTTTGTGAGATTCACACATGTTGCTAGATGTCCACTTTGCTTTCTGTATGGGGTCCCATTGTATGAGTATGCCACTACCTTTTCTACTACAATGCATATCTTAGTTATCTCCAGCTTTTCCATATGACAAACCAGGCTGCCATGAATGTTCCAATGTATGATTCTTAGTGTACATGCACAAGAATCCTTCTAGAGCACATACCCAGGAGGATGAATGAGGGTAAAAGTATGAGTGGTTCAGTCTATTAAGTATTGCTAACCTCTTTGCCAATGAAATTGTACTAATTAATACTTCTACCAATATGGATAGGAGTTTCCAATGTTAACTATATTTGATATTGTCAGGTTTGAGGTTTTAATTTGCATCTTTTTGATTACTTGTCAAATTGAGCATCTTGTTTGCATTAGCTTTTAATTTCCTCTTTTGTAAAGTCCCTGTTCTAGTCATCTGCCCATTTTTCTAGTAGGCTGTATATCTTGTTCTATTGTTTAATAGTTCTTTAAATATTCTCTATATTGGTCCCTTGTCAATATCTGACACATTTCTTTGTCTAATTTGTAGCTCATCTTTTCATTCTCTTTATCATGTTTAAGTATTTTAGTTTGTTTGTTTTTGTTTTTGTTTGAGACAGTATCTCACTCGCCCAGGCTAGAGTGCAGCGGCATAATCGTAGCTCACTGCAGCCTGGAACTCCTGGGCTCAAGTGATTCTCCCACCTCAGCCTCCTGAGTACCTGAGACCACAGGCATGCGCCACAATGCCCAACTAATTTTTTAAATTTTTTGTAGGTACAGGGTTTCACTATCTTGCCCAGGTTGGTCTCAAACTCCTGGCCTTAAACAATCCTCCTACCTCGGCCTCTCAAAGTGCTGGGATTATAGGCATAAGCCACTGTGCCTGGCCAGAAGTTCCAAATTAAATGTAACCAGATAATCCTTCTTTTCCTTTATGATTAATGCCTTTGTGCCTCATTTGAGGAATCTTTCCTATCAAAGACTATAATACTTTTTGCACATTGTTTGAAAAATTTTTTCTTAGGTCAAAATCATAGGATGTTCTCTTACATTTACTTCAAAGTATTCATATTTTCCCCCTCACATTTAGGTCTTTAATTCACCTAAAATCAATTTTAGGTGAATTAAATTATACTGTGAGGTAGGGAGTCAAAAAATTTTCCCCCACATGGATAATATATTTTTTCTGCATCATTTATTAAAGTCCATCTTCTACCTATTGATCTATGATGTGACTTCTATTATGTATTAGGTTTCCATATATGTGTGAATTTATGGGCACTTGTTCTGATTCTTTAGTAATGTCTCAATTATCATAGATTTATAATGAGACTTGAGAATTCTCACCTAAGGATCTTGTACTTTGTTCTTCAAAACTGTCTTGGCATTGTTCATTTGTTTTGTCTGGTTTTTTATTGTATAATTTAGAATCAGCTTATAAAGTCCTATGAAATACTCTTGGTATTTAAAAAAACTGCATTGAATTTACAGATTAATTTGTGGGAAATTGACATTATAAGAATATTGAAACTACTTACTCATAAACACGGTATTGCTCTCTGTTTAGAAAATGTATATTTTTTCATAAAGATCTTACACATTGTTATAAATGAACATTGCATCCCCCTAACCCTCCAAATTCATATGTCAAAACCTAACTTCCATTGTAATGGTATTTGGAAGTGGGGCCTTGGGGAGGTGATTAGGTTATAGGGGTGGAACTTTCATGACTGGGATTAGGGCCCTTATAAGGACAGACATGCTGTCTCTTGGCCATGTGAGGATAAAAGGAGACAGCTGTCTACAAACCAGAAAGAGGCCCCTACCAAAACATCAAATCCGTCAGCACCTTGATCTTAGCTTCCCAGCCCTTCAAATGGTGAGAAATAAGTATCTGTTGTTGAAGCCACACAGTCCAGGGTATCTTGTTAGAGCAGCCCTAGTGGATGAAGACACACATGTTCTGTAGAGTCATTTCTATATGCCCATGTCAGACACCTTGTGTTTGCCTCTGCATGTCTACTCGCCACTCTTCTCTGCTTTCTCGTCTCTGCTTTGTTCTTTATTCTGGGAGGAGGCTTACTTGTAAGGACTATATCCATGGGCTCCTATCCTCTCTGGCTGTGATTGTATTCATCCAAAATGGAGCTTCAGCAGTAAATCAGAGAATGAATAGGAGGAGACTGAGGTCGGTGTATCACTGATGACTGCCTCTCTCACAAGGTTACCTTGGGTTGGCTATGTTCCTACACTGAGGGTTACTTCTCTGAAAGCAGTATAACTCTCTTTTTTGCTGGGTTCTTCTCTTCATCCCTATGGGCGGAATGATAACAGCTTCTTAAAAGATAAAGAATAGAAGTCCAAGGATTGGACATTAAGGGTTATTTAAGGTTTTGTCCCGGAAGAATTAAAAAAAACCATTTTTCTTAAGTATGAGATGGTGCCATATTTCACATGATATAGAAATGTAGGAGAAATAAACACATGTGAAAAGCCTCTTAAAATAATAAGAATAATCGCTGAACACAAACTATATGCCTTGCTTTGTGCTAGGTGCTTTACATATTTTATCTCAGTCGATCTTTATGATAATCTTATTAGGTAGGTTTTATTGTCCCTTTTCACAAGTGAGGTTTTAAAAATGATTTCTAAGGTCACCAAAGCTAGTTAGTAAATAATAGAAGCAGGAGTTTAACTTAGGTCTGCCTAATTCCAAATCCATTCTATTAATTTTCTTGCTGTTCTGTGTACATTATACCATTAAATTAATACTCAAAGAATTATGTTCTTTTAGGACGTAGTTTCAGTTAAGTGATCAGGGTGTAGTTTCAGAGGAGTGATCTGGCTGGATGATCCTAAGAGATTAAATAATGAAGTGGCAAGGAAATAAAGATGGTAGTGGCACACCAGTTATTTGATAAATCTAATAATAAAAGGTTGGGGCTCAATGGTATGATTTGCTATTCATCTCATTTTTTCCACAAATTCTATACCACACAAAGTCTAACTTTTCTCACCCTGATAAATGCTTACTGATCCTCCCTGAGGAGTATTCTACATTGTTCTAACAGTGATGCCCCAGTTTTACAGGGGTTTCTTATCCTCATAGGGAAAAAGAAGCTAGACAATAAGCTTCTTGGGGACAGAGCATCTCATTCATCTCTGTGTTCCAATCACAGAGCCTAGTTTGCTTCGAACTAAACATTATGATTTGGGCTGTACTATTTGAGTCTTGCTGCAGGGCTTGTTTATACTCATTAACATTAATACAGTGACTGTCTTCCAGGTCACCTTGTCCCAGCAACACAGAAAAAGATATTTATGCCTGCCGTCCTTCTGGCTTTCCTTCCTAATAGCTCTCTTACCTAATATTTAAGTACAGACAGGGGCCATTTAACAAATGGCCATTTAACAAAAACCATTGAAGAAGTTTGGGGGAATAATCAGCTTTAACCCTGGATCACAACTCTCAAAAGAGAGCAATCACTGCTATCACAGGAAACAGAGAAATTCTCTGAGGATAGTAGTCAAAATGTAGAATGAAAACTAGTGCCCAGATTCATGGTGACCAGGTAATGAAATAGGTAACATTTTTTCCTCTCCATCTCAGATGAACAAAGACCAAGAAGAATTTAGGTCAGCCTATCTCTTACTCATGGCAGGCCTCATAAGAAAGGTATGGAACGTCCTAAAGAACAGAACACAGTTCAGCTAACTAAACTTTGCTTATTTCTTTTCATATATTTTTCTTGTTTTTATAGTATTTCACTTTTTTAATTTTTAATTTTTGTGGGTATATGGTAGGTGTAAACATTTATGGGTATAGCATTCTTCCTTCAGCTCACATACTTTATGTTTTTAACATGTTTCTTAAAAATATCTTTACTGTAGAAAGTCACAATAATAACAGTTTAACAACAATTATTAAATCATGGTACACAAGAAGTGTTATTCAAATAATTGGGAAAAGTAAATATGGAAAATAAGAACTGTGAAGACTATAGTAAAAGTCTACTTGCAAAAGATCACATCTATCCAACTAACAAGAGGGGAAAGGAATCAGCAGAATATAAGTTGTACTTATGAAAGATTAATAATGGTAATAATAATGACAATTACAGGTCAACACTCCTACTTTGAGAATTGAAGTAAATGGGAAGCCATGAAAGACTGCTAAGTATAGAACAAAAATCTCCTATTTCTGGTTTAAACTTTGGAAAGTGAATTTAAAAAATAAAAAAAGAGTGATTTACCATAGCATGGCTGAGAGAAAGTGATGCTTTGAACAAGAACTCTGGCTGCTCGTTTTAGTCTCCATAATTGAATGGCATGATAAAGCATAGTACATGAAGAAAATATGTGATCTAAGTGATGTTACAGAGGTTTTTACAAGATTTAGAAGCCCAAAACTATAAGGTAAAAGATAGTTCAGGGTGAAGTTAGATGTCTTATGTGCTTAATAATAAAGAGAATATGAGCTATTTTTAAGTTTGGGAGAAAGTTTTCCAAGGCTAAGAATGTCTCATATTTCATTTGGCATGTCAGCTAGATGGATTTCCAAATAAGTAAAATATTAGATACTTTGTAATCTGTTTCCTTACTGCAAGCACTTTTTTCTCTTGAAGGTAGCCTGTTAAATTTGGGTGAAAAGATATTTATTCCTAAATAAAAGAGAAGAAAAGTTTAAAATTAATTCCATCTTACGGAAAAAAAACTATTAGTTGGTAAAAATTTGCTTGCAAAATATTGTAAAACTTAGTGTAAATAGTGATAAGGTCTAGTTTAATATAAATTCTAAAACAGTTTTCTTTGCTATTCATCTGGTTCATCTAAATGTTACTCTATTGACAACGTAGTTTTGAATTATAATAGTAGCACAATAAGAAAATTATCACAACAAAATGGAAATGAAAAGTGAATTCACACTTTATAATATTTTACATTGACTTGACCTGACATGATTCTCAATTTTAATACAGAAAAGTTAAAATTAGATCTCTAGTCCAGGACTGGACAGAAAATAGAAGATCATTAGCCAATCTAAAATGAAAATATATCCGATATATAATGTCTCAATGAAAACAAATGACTATTATTCCAAGCTCGGTAAAATAAAAACACTCCTATTTATATATTTATGCTCCCTTTCTCAGGCATTGCAGCCTTTAGCATCTCATAAATCCTAGCTAATTACATGTCAAAAGGAAAGGTTAATTATAAATTTAATATGCTTCCCTTTTCTATCTAATGAATCAACATCACACAATGGAGAATGCTAGGGGACTAGAAGAGAAAGGCAAATACTTTAAAATAGCTGCTTTAGGTTCCATTTGTGAAGAACTTCCTAAACAATGATGCTGCCCCTTAATGGAAAAGGCTGCCTCGCTAGGCAGGCTATTTATTCAACAACCATTTATTGAGCGTCAACTATGTTCCAGGCATACTATGTTAGGATCTGGGTTGTATAAGGAACAAATATGCCTAAGACAATATTTTTGCTCCCAAGTAACTCACAACCCTGGAGTAATGAATGCCTGTTTTTGGAGCTCTTGTTCCTGCCGAAGCCTGTATGATACATGACCCCTTAGCTGCTGTCAAAGTAGTCCCTTACTGGAATGGCTGGTTGGGCTACAGACCTTGGGAGTTCCTTCTTGCCAAAGAGTTTTTGGTTTACTTCCAAAAAGAACTGTTAGACTTTTCTAAATACCATAGGATTTTGTAAATTTAAAGCAACATGTAATAACTTAAATATATCAAATATGTTTAATATAACAGGATTATAATTTCTTTTTACAATTTGAAAGAGAATAACATGTCTTTGTTGATGTTCCCTAACTCAACAGAAGATCACTATGTTGTCAAAATTATCAGCATCATAATTTTGGCTGGTGATGCTAATATATTATGCTTCATTAAGCTGTGCTGCTCTAGGAACATCAATTTATCTTTCGTCTTTTTATTTACTTTATTTAAAAGACTATAGTATCAGTATTGACTTAATTCTCTAATGTGCTGTGAATAATGTGTCATTCTTTCAATGTATTTAAGTATACATCTACCTTCACTGTAGACTCCATGACTGTGTCTCACTCCAGGGAATTTTCTTTTTATAATGTGGAGAAGAAGAATATACATTCCCACAGGGAAATCTTTCACTAAAGATTTAACTGTTTGGCATTGTTGATGCAAAACAAACGTTAGCATGAAAGCTTCACATGACACCACTAGTGGAGCTTAATGGCATCTAATTAATGAACCAGGTGCCGAGGCAGCCTCTCCACTGCCTAATTCTTTGTGGATAACATGTTGTATAAAATAATTTGGCTGTGCAATCTTTTTTATATACCCTATCTCATCTTCATAACAACTGTCTAAAATAAACTTTATAATCTTTCTTTGACAGAATAAGACATTTAATCTCCAAGGTAGGTTAAATTGTCCAGTGCTACAGAAAATAAAGACAGTCAGAGCCAGCATTTGAATACAGATCACTCTAAATTCATATTTCCCCTTTCCACCTAGCACTGCCTCTCCAGCAAATCTGTTTTCTAGCTCAAAACGGTAGTTCGACATTCAGATTAACCACCTGAATATTTAGAATGGCAGTCCTTAATAAACAATGAAAATCCAACTCAGTTGAATCACCAGTCTCTTCATAAAGCGACACAAGATAATATTAATAAAATATTCACCAAGATGTCAGAAATCTCTCAGTTCTGCTTTGCTGGGCTTTGAACACAGACCTAATGCAAACTTGTAGCCAGGTAAACATGCTAGAATATTGTGTAGACATGATAGAATATTATGGAGCTATTAAAAATGTCTGTGAATAAGAGTTTTTAATAACATAAGAAAATGCTTATGAGACTTGTAGTGGGTTGAATGGTGGATCCCAAAAGGATATGTTCTTGGCTCCTCATCCCTAGAACCTGTGAATGTGACCTTATTTGGACAAAGGATCTTTTCAGATGTAATTAAGATCTTAAGGATCTTGAGATCCTGTATTACCTGGGTGGACCCCAAATCCAATGGCAAATGTCCTTATGACACTTATGACAGAAGAGAAGACACAGACACAGAGGAGAAATCAGTGTGAAGACCAGGCAGAGATCAGAATGACATGGCTTCAGACTGAGGATGCTGTCGATCATCAGAAGCTGGAAGAGGCAAACAATGGATTCTCCCTAGATCTTCTAGCGGGAGTGCTGTGGCCCTGTCCACACGTTCATCTCAGACTTATGGCCTCCAGAACTTTGAAAGAATAAATTTCTTTTGTTTGAAGGCACAGAGTTTGTACTAATTTTTTTCAGCAACCACAGCGAACCAATACAACATGCTAAGTGAATCAAGTAGGACATGAAAAAGTATTTCCACTATAATTTCAACTATATGAAAAGATATATGGGAAATTTTAAAAGAAACCCATCAATATGTTGGCAGTGACTGCCTGTAGGTGATAAAATTGTAATAGCCTTGTTATTTGCTTGTTTATAATTTCTGTATTTTTCAAATTTTCTAGAATGACTGTTATGTAAGGAAAAGTCTTAGGACAACAAGGAGACAACATAGCTTAAAGGTTAAGACTTGTGGGCGCTGGAACCAGAGGAACTACTTTTAAAAAGACCTGCTTCTTAATAACTATGCATCTTGATGATCTCTTTGTTTCTCAGTTTTCTCATGTGAGGAATAATAAAATCGACTTAAAGATTATTTGAGGATTTAGTGAATAATACTATATTTTATCTATTCTGAAGAGAATATTTTTTCACACTTTAACTGATATTGCGCCATGACTTACAATTGATTGTCTTACAATCACAGAATTGCTGTTGCTTACACATGTAAACTTGGCTGTCACTTTTCTTGCAGTTGTTTCATCAGTTGAATTATATACATTGTGGTGCCATACAATTTGAATTTAATTACCATTTAAAGTGCCTTAAAAATTACATTGATTCACCATGGAAACAAACATTACTGTGTATGGACAATGGCATCGAAGTAGAGCAGGAGGGTTTAAATTTGATATTTAGTAAAGCAAGTATTTGTTCCTGAAGGAAAGACTGCAATTCCACTTATTCATGCAAAACAACCCAAAGAGGAAACTGTGTTATATTTTGTGACTGAGGTATGAGCGTATCGTATACCAGCCAATGGCAAAGAAACTGTGTAATCTTAAGACTATATAAAAAAGAATTTCAAAGTGATGAGAGGCTGGTATGATCAATTCATGCCTTGTGTAGAACCATCATTAAAATGTCAAGCACCAATATGTCAGAAGTTTCCTATTTACTCTAGAAGTTGCTTAACTTTCAACGACATGTGGTTCAATTGGAGAAAAAAAAATTATGTCTTGTTTGTGTTATAGTTTAGTGAGCAGTTTTTCAAAAAAAGTTATTTCTTAATGGTACATAGGGAAATGGTGCATCTTACAATCAATAACATCTCAATTTCAATGAAATATGATTCAAGGAAATGCTTTATCACCATGCCCAAAACTTGGTAAGTACTTCCTAAATTTTAGTTATATAAGTAAGCAGGAAGAAAAGCCAATTATAAAGTTGTATGTGTAACTATCTCACTGTAAAAAAAAATCACCCAAGATTCAGAGGGAATATATAAAAACACAAGTGATATCTTTTAGATTGGTTGGTTGGTGGATGTTTTTTCTTTCTTTTTCAAATTGTTAGACTTATCATTTTCTCGTAATTAAAAAAATTTAATCAAAAAACGTATTTTGTAAACATGGTAAAAAAATCCCAACAGTTTAAATTGTACATAGAGAAAATGTAAATCTCTCTCCCATCCCAGACCCCATTTTTGTTTTCCTAGAAGCAATTACTGATTTCATTTTCTTATATAACCTTCTTGAATTTTTCTATGTATAAACAAGCATATGTGTGTATGTATGTATGTTCATAAACACACTTTATTCTTATACAAATGAAAGTATACTTTACATGCAATTCTCTAGTTTTATTTGGACTGTAATGTCATAAATAGTATGTTGTTCCATAGCCCATATAAATCTTAATTCTTCTTGATATCCACATAGTATTAGTATCCATCAGGATTTAGTACAGGAAACAGAAATCACTCTAGGTATTTCAGATAGAAAGGGATTTAAAACAGGAAATTGGGTACTCACAAAATTGTGGATGGGTTCATGAAGCAGAAGACAGGGGTCTCCTACTGGATATTGATTTTAAGGGCACACTGCTGCGATCCACAGGTCAGCAAATTGCTGCTGCTTCCACTGCTTGAGCCCCACAATTGCCTCAGTTCCCCTGAAGCTGGTGACTAGACACTGACTGCTACATCTAGGGAGATGCCTCTAGGTTATGACAAAGCTGATAACTAGACACTGGAGTGCTGAGTCTAGCTGCAAACACTAATGAGCTTGCAGCTCATACAAAGGAGGCCTCCATTTACTTCCAACTTCCAAATATCACACATATGTTTCCCATTGGTGGCAGCAAATTCTCACCCAGAACTCTAGCTGCAAGAGAATTTGAGAAAACTGTTTCTTCCTGTGGGCAGGAACATAGAAAGGTGTAGAAATATATGCTCAGTGCTAATTCACCATCAAAAGCATAGTGCCCCACAGTACCAATGCACTATAAATGACTTAACTGGCCCCCAACTGTGGGAGTGGGGTGTGTGTGATACATAGACCTATTATAGAACTTTCCTATTACAAACAATATGCCAATAAGTATCAGTCTAAATATGGCTTTGAGCATGTGTCATAATACAATACATTCTAAGAAGTAAAATTGGTGATGTTATACTTTGTAGACATCTTTACATATTAAGTAATAAACTTATTATGAAGTAAAACTGGTGGCATTATAAGTTAGATGTAGACATCTTTACATAATAAATAATAAACAAAAACTCACCCCACACTAGCTGAAACACAAAATGGCATTAGTAGCTCAATGATGTCCACAAGGATATATTTAAAAATTTTTAAATGTTTAATCATGTAATGTTTTAAATCATACAGAAGGGTGCCCCACATCCCCATTTGCTCTCCTATCTCTGTGACATACAGAAATGTTTTAGAAATACCTTTATTCCTCTATCTTAAAACCTAAACGAAAGCCAGGTTTATAGTTTTATGCCTCCTACCAAAATCTCCGCCCCACTGTGGCTTCACTGTGTTTAATAGGCCTGCAGTGAGGACAGAACAAGAAGGGGTGTGGCCCACAGTTCAGAGCAAATGTAACTGGGCCACCAGCGGACGGCATCTATGAGCTCAGTAGTGCACCATTCTTACCACCTGTACCACCCAAAGCAGGCGTAACAATAATTAGCGTTCTTGGAGTGCTTGCCAGAGGCCAAGCTTCGTTCCTTCATTTAATCCGCAGGATGACTCTCTGAGGAACAGGCACCATTATGATCCCCATGTACAAATAAGGAAAGTAATCCTTAGAGAGGTGTTGAACGTGCTCAAGGTCACAGGGCTTGTTTTTTCAGGAGCCTGGATTTGAATCTCAATCATCTATCTCCAGAGGCTGTCCTTGCCATTCTCCTAGAGTGTGGATTTGTTCTTTCTTTCAGGACTAAGCAATAATTCATGAAACATGAATCTGTCTGAGGTGAGGGAACTCAGATATTTGGTGTAGTCAAAAAAGATGGAATCCCAACCTTAGGAAAACCCACAACATGTTCTATAGCCACAGACTCTACCTCACGTCAATGTGTTCTCATTATGATAACAAGCAGGAAAGTGACTGCAGATTAGAATAAATCTACTACTGGAAAAGCAACGCATAGTGCACGTATATATTCATTTAGTCAGCTAGCCAGCCAGCCAGCCAGCCATTCATTCATTAACTGGCTGCTACTCACAGAATACTGTAGGTCTGTGGGGACTAAGAAAATAATAGAAGTTACAGTCTCCCTTACACCCTAAAGGAATTTACAATCATATTAGAAAGAATAAATACATATGAAAAATTTAAGCAATTACCATACGAGACAGAACAGTATCTTTGTAACGTCCTTGTGAAATTTAAAAACTTACACTTTAATTTTTAAATATAATTTTTATGTAATTTTTTCCTATCATACTCACAATCCACAGTTGTAACTACAACTGTGGTTGTGAATATATTAAGGTTTTAAAACAATTAGAGTAACTTTCGCAATCTATCATGACATACTCAGTTCAACCTTCAGCTCCATGAAAATTATATGTACCTTTAATCCTAGTTCTAATTTCTACTAAAAACAATGATTTTTTTCAAAAAGTTCCTGTTAAAATGATTTTTAAAAAAATAGGCCGGGCGCCATGGCTCATGCCTGTAATCCCAGCACTTTGGGAGGCCAAGGCAGGTGGATCATGAGGTCAGGAGTTCAACACTAGCCTGGCCAAGATGGTGAAACCCCGTCTCTACTGAAAATATAAAAATTAGCCAGGCATAGTGGTGGGTGCCTGTAATCCCAGCTCCAGGAGGTGGAGGTTGCAGTGAGCCAAGGTCATGCCACTGAGCTCCAGCCTGGGCGACAGAGTGAGACTCCATCTCAAAAAAAAAAAGAAAAAGAGAAAAACAATGAAGGCCCTGCATCCCTTGATTGAAACTGAAGGCAAATATTCCCTCTCCCAGCAGCCAGTGCACTCAGGTGGGTTGAAGGTAGAGTGAACATGACCCAGTTTTGGTGAATTGGATGTCCCTATGTGAGGTGAGGTTCAGAGGATGGCTCAGGCTGGGTGGCCAGTGCCCAGGATTGCGGAGTCTCACAAGGTGGCAGTGAGTGTCTAGTGGTTGCATCCCAAGCAGACCATTACTGTGATGTGATTGTGACTGTAGCTTGACCCTACTGGTCCCTATCCATTTTTTCAGCCTCGTTTCAGCAGGCCTACCAGCTCAGCTCCAATAATAAATTCGTTTTGTTTTTAGCCTAAGTTAGCCAGAATCAGTAGCTGTTTGATACCACGAATCAAGAGGAATAGGAGTTTCAGGAACCTTGGGGCAGGCATTCGAGGGTGTTGAGTGCAGTGGTATCCCTAGTGGCAATGGTGGCTGCAGCTGAAAGAACTGTGTAGGGTCTCCACGATGGACAATAGTAACAAGAGCAGAGGCGCTACGCTGCCTTGGGCAGGTCCTTGAGTGCCACCCGCTTTATGGGGAAGTGCTACGCTGACGTATAAAGAACACTGAATTGCTTAATGATAGGGATTTAAAAAGAACACTGAAGGCCAGAGGTAGTGGCTCACGCCTGTAATCCCAGCACTTTGGGAGGCCAAGGCAGGCAGATCACCTGAGGTCAGGAGTTCGAGACCACCCTGGCCAACGCAAATCCCCATCTCTATTAAAAATACACAAAATTAGCTGAGTGTGGTGGTGCACACCTGTAATCCCAGCTACTCGGGAGGCTGAGGCAAGAAAATCGCTTGAACCCAGGTGGTAGAGGCTGCAATGAGCAGAGATCGTGCTGCTGCACTTTAGCCTGGGCAACAGAACAAGAATCTGTCTCAAAAAAAATCAAACAAAAAAAAAAGGACACTGAAGCCTCAATTTTAATTCAAGCATTGCCGCACTGCCTTTTAGGCCTCCGTGTCCTTTTAGGCCTGAGAGTCTCATTCATACCCTGCAGTGATGAGGATGGAGCACTGATAAGAGCCCTCCCTGTGTTATGGTTCTGTAAGTCTCCTCTATCATTCCAGACAACTAAGGTTGTGATTTTCTTTTCTTATTTTTTTTTGGAAACAGGGTCTCACTCTGTCATCTAGACTGGAGTGCAGTGGCAGGAACATAGCTCACTGCAGCCTCAACCTCCTGGAATCAAGCGATCCTGTTGTCTTAGCCTCCCATGTAGCTGGGACCACAGATGCATGTCACCATACCCAGCTAAGTTTTTTATTTTTTTGGTACAGATGGGGTATCACAATCCTGGGCTCAAGTGATCCTCCCATCTTAGCCTCCCAAATGCTGGGATTACAGGTATGAGGCACTGTGCCTAGCGCAAGGTTGTGATTTTTAATTTATTTAATTTATTTTTTGTGCAATAAATATCTATAGGCTGCATGTTCCTAGTAATAAACAATGAAGTTTTAAATTGCTGACATAATTTGCTTTCCTAATGCTGAGATGTTTACTTTCATCAAAAGATCTGAAGAAAAAATAATTTCTATGCTACTGTGTAATATTATCTTAAATATTTGTTTTATTAAATTAAAATTAATTTTTAACAAAATAATATTAAATACTAGCAAATATGTTCTTCAATGCCATCTAAAGATTATTTCTATTATACTAAGAAAATAATACAAGTTACAGTCTTCCTTACACCTTAAAATAATTTAAAATCACTTTAGAAAGAATAGATAAATACATATCAAAAATTTAAATTACAATTAGAGTACAAGACAGAACAGTATCTAAAAATTCCTAAAACAGTAATTTTGAATGTGTATGAAAAATGTATGAAGAATGTATTAGTCAGGGCTCAACAGAGAAATAGAATATATGTGCGCGTATGTGTGTTTATGTGTGATATATATATGTGTGTGTGTGTGTGTGTGTGTGTGTGTGTGTGATATATATATATATATATATATATATAGACAGAGAGGGAGAGATAGAGAGAGATTGATTTTAAAGAATTGGCTGAAATGATTATGGAGTTTTGAAGGCTGGCAAGCCCAAAATCTGGAGGGTAGGCTGGCAGACTGGACACCCAGAGAAGAGTTGCAATTGGAGTCAGAAGACATTCTGCTGGTAAAATTCCCTCTGCTTCAGGGGAAGTCAGTCTTTTTTCTCTAAAGGGTTTTTCAACTGATTGGATGAGGCTGACCCACATTATGGAGGATAATCTGCTTTACTGGAAGTCTGCCAATTTACATATTAATTTCATCCAAAAGTACTTTCATAGAAGCATCTAGAATAATATTTGACCAAATATATGGGTACCGTAGCCTAGCCAAGTTGACACATAAAATTAATCACCACAAAGATCTCACATATGGTGAAGTGTGAAAAAGCGTAGTGTGGAGAGTAAATGCCATCTATCATCGAGAGAAAGGAAGAGGGAGGGTGTCATGGAAACGGTGTGGCTTATGCTGTGCCTAGGGATAGGTGACGATGACAAGAGCATCTGTCTTTCTCACCATTCAGATAGTGAATGACAGGGATGTAGGTAAGTATGCTGCTAGCAAGGAAGATTCTTCCAGCTCTTTCTTCCCACATCATTCTCAGTGAGTGGCCACTTACCTTCCCTATGAGCCCATCTGAAACCTAATTAATTACTTTAGATGAACTTAGACCTATTACAAATCTTTTAGAACAAAACAAGACGTTATTAAGCCAAGATAAACACAGCTAACATTTATTGAGTACTTCTTATATGTATAGCCACTGAACTAAGTGTATTATCTAATTTAATGAACACAAGACACAACAATGTAAAATAGGTGCTACCGTTACCCCCACTTTATTGATGCAGAAGACTGAAGCTCAGAGAGGTTAAGTCATTTGCCCTAAATTACACAGCTAAGTCCAGGAGAAGCCAGGATTTAAATCTAGGCCTGCTTGATGTAAGAACTCATGATTTTCACCACCAAACTGGATATTAAAAAAAAGAGGAAAAAAGTGCTAACAAGGTAAGAAATTGCCAATGGTTTAAATTTATCTTTGTTTGGATTCTCCCCAAAGCAAACTTGAGATAACGTTTTGAATGTACGTAAACTCATCTGAGATGTTATTCTGGGAAACACAGTGAGGGTGTGAGGAGGTAGACAGAGAAGGGAGGGCAGCTGACAAAAAGAGTATTAACCAATACATCACTATGTAAGCTCAGTGCCCTGGAACTCTCCAAGAGACTGCAGAACATGGCTCAGAACTGACCTACCAAGGGCAAGGAAGCCGGCATTTATTTATTTATTTATTTATTTATTTAGAGATGGAGTCTTGCTCTGTCACCCTGCTGGAGTGCAGTGGTGCCGTCTTGGCTCACTGCAAGCTCCACCTCCCGGGTTCACTCCATTCTCCTGCCTCAGCCTCCCGAGTAGCTGGGACTACAGGTGCCCTCCACCACGCCCGGCTAATTTTTTTTTGTATTTTTAGTAGAGACGGAGTTTAACCGTGTTAGCCAGGATGGTCTCGATCTCCTGACCTCGTGATCTGCCGACCTTGGCCTCCCAAAGTGCTGGGATTATAGGCGTGAGCCACCGCGCCCGGCCGGAAGTTGGCATTTTAATCCACCGTTGTTCCTAAAGATGTTCATTCCACACTTTTACACTGTTGGTGGGAATATAAATTAGTTCAACCATTGTGGAAGATAGTGTGGCGATTCTTCAAGGATCTAGAACCAGAAATACCATTTGACCCAGCAATCCCATTATTGGGTATATACCCAAAGGCATGTAAGTCATTCTACCACAAAGACACACGCACACTTATGTTTATTGCAGTACTGTTTACAATAGCAAAGACATGAAACCAACCCAAATGCCCATCAATGATAGACTGGACAAAGAAAATTCCATATACACTATGGAATACTATGCACATAAAAGGAATGAGATTACGTTCCTTGCAGGGACATGGATGAAGCTGGAAGCCATCATTCTCAGCAAACTAACACAGGAACAGAAAACCAAACACCGCATGTTATCACTCATAAGGTGGGAGCTGAACAATGAGAACATATGGACACCGCGGGGAACAACACACAACAGGGCCTATTAGGGGATGGGGGACAAGGGGAGGAAACCTAGATGATGGGTCAATAGGTGCAGCAAACTACCATGGTGCACGTATACCTGTGTAACAAAATTGCACGTTCTGCACATGTATCCCAGAACTTAAAGTAAAATAAAAATTAAAACAATAATTTAAAAAAATGTTTGTTCCCTGGCACTTCTGACCTGTAGCGCACATGGGCTGAGCAGGAGGTACAAGCATTTCAGGAAGCACTTGGTGTTTACAAGAACAGGTCCCTGAAATTACAAATGACCCATGAGTTGGGCCCATGGATATAGGTGGGACTATGATTGATAACAAGATACAAATTAATTAAAACAATTAATAACCAGAAACTTTTCCTTGTTGTGTTAGAACAGTTTATTTCGTAAATAAATAGATTTCTGCTTCAGTGAAATTGTATCATAAAATAGTTTTCATCCTTTAAATTCTCAATTTAAGGAATGCTTGTAATATTACAAAAAAAAAGAAAAAACTTAAAATGATATCCATTTCTAAGAATATGCCAGAATTGATAAAAATTCACATATTAAAAAAAATTTGCAATGTTAGCCAGGCCAACCCAGCATTTCTCTGGAGAATCACCAACCATTGTCACATAAATAATTGCTGCTGTTCCTCGTGCTGGAGACACACAGCTATGTGTGTGCATGTAATTGGGCCACTGCTACAAATCTGAAAGCCTGCAGCTGTTCTGGAGGATAGGATACTTCCCTGTCTCTTTGAAGTGCCACCCCAATGACGTTTCAAAATGAATTGTGTGTGCACCCTTATGACCTAATCTTTTTTTTTTTAATGCATCAGGCCTTCCCAAACATACTCCACAATCCGTTCAGCTGTACTTTTGTGATAAAGTGATAAACAAGCAAAGACTCCATTTTATTTATATAGGTAACAAACTGGATTTCAGAACTGAAATAAACTAAAGTAGTAAACAGCCAAACCACAATTTCCCCAAAGGACAAGGTTTAGAGCTATTTTAAAATTGTTTATTTGTGTTCTTATCATGTGACTATATGTTCTAATTGATTCTAAGTCATGGGTTCTAATAGATGTTTTCCACACACTGCTTGTAGTGAAGGAGGAGGAGGCCCAAGCCCCTTCCTTTTAATTTCTTTTTTTCTTTCTTTTTTTTTTTTTTGGAGACAGGGTCCTGCTGTCTTGCCCAGGCTACAGTGCAGTGGCGTGACCTCAGCTCACTGCAACCGCTGCCTCCCAGGTTTGGGTGATTCTCCTGTCTCAGCCTCCTGAGTAGCTGGGATTACAGGCACCTGCCACCACACCCAGCTAATTTTTTTTTTTTTTTTTTTGAGACTAAGTCTCGCTCTGTTGCCCAGGCTGTAGTGTAGTGGCGCAATCTCGGCTCACTGCCACCTCTGCCTCCTGGGTTC
Organism: Homo sapiens; assembly: GCF_000001405.40. NCBI lineage: Eukaryota > Metazoa > Chordata > Mammalia > Primates > Hominidae > Homo > Homo sapiens. The sequence continues at coordinate 108,700,454 of NC_000005.10, read as the reverse complement.
AAGCAATTCTCCTACCTTAGCCTCCCCAGTAGTGGGATTACAGGCATGTGACACCATGCCTGGCTAATTTTTTGTATTTTTTTTTAGTAGAGATGGGGTTTCACTGTGCTGGCCAGGCTGGTCTTAAACTCCTGACCTCGTGATCCGCCCGCCTCGGCCTCCCAAAGTGCTGGGATTACAGAATGAGCCACCGTGCCTGGGTTAATTTTTGTATTTTTAGTAGAGACAGCGTTTCTACTAAACTAAGTCCTGACCTCAGGTGATTCATTCCCCCATCGGCCTCCCAAAGTGCTGGGATCACAGGCATGAGCCACCGCACTCGGCCTCCTTCTTTTTAATTTCTGAGTGCTGTGTTATGACTTCATAGTTAATGAGTTCAACAGAGATTTTAGATTGACTTTTTTTTTTAATTCTTTATGGGAAAATGAGCAACTTGTCACAGAATTTTTAGAACCATCTTCCAGAAACATGGAGAGTTTGTAAAGAGGATCTTGAAGAAAATGGAAAAGTAGCGAGAATGCCAGTTCACTATAACTGAGTTAACCTGAGGGTGTACTCCTGGAAATACTCTATTAAAATTATATCCTAAGCTAAAAAACCCTTTAGCTTTTTAGCCTTGAGTTTATTTCCTATAAATACCACAGCCCCTAAGTTTATTTAGTAGAGATTATAGTTATTGCCTCATAAAAAGAAAACACCCACAATTTATCTCCTTAAGGAGAAAGATTGATATTTAATCCAGAGGTGAGTTTTAAAGGACTAAAAAGACCAGTTTGGAAAGCTGAAAACTACACTCACAGATGGGAACTATATATTCATGCTATAGAATTTTTTTAACCTTCTTATAAACGTGAACAAAAGATCTTAATGTGCTCTAGGATGTAATTTTTATTTAACAGATAGTTGTCACCATGGATATTTTCTTTAATCTAGAAAAGTGCCTCAAAGGATAATTAGACTGAATAATAAATTAAGAATGAATAATAAAATACTACATCCATTTCCATCATAATCAAAGTCAAAGCCACAGTTCTAATTTAGCATTCAGTATTTGAACCCATCTAGGTGGATGATCCTTTGGGAATTTGCAGAATTTTTTTTTACTGAAAGTTCATTAAGCAAAAACTTAATCTAAAACTGCCAGACTTTGCACCCCAAGATTATCAGGTTATTCTTGAGAAATTCTCTGCCTGTCCTCTTTGTCTGCATTGATTTCTTGGGTCTCAGTGACAACTTTTTTTTTTTCCATGTGAGCTTGAGAAGAAGCAATTTATGTTAATAGTGTGTTTATGTTAGGACACTGGGAATGTAGAATATATTCCACCTGCCCTTTGCAACTGATATCACCTGTCTCACCATCAGAATTATTACACAGAATTTTTTTTTGCCTTTAGCATATGCTTACAGAGAGAACTAAATATTTGAGATTAAAAAAAAAACACTCCACTAGAAAGAATAAAATATAACCATTCCTCAAATTTGATGTAAAAGTTTTAAATCCTACTTAGGGGGTGGTAAAAATAGCCAACTTCAAAGTCTATCTTATTTATTTCCAAAGCTAAAAAAATAAAACCAAAAACTAACTGTTCTGGAATGAGTAGGAATGCAGGACTTAATTTCTTATCAGGCTGTACCTATATTAATGGAAAAATAAGTCCAGCATATTGCGTTTTCATTGTGCTACATTTCACAAACACAAGCACAAATGAGTTTCCTATGTCAGTTATGACTGCTTATTTATAGATAACAAAGTTATTGCATTTCTGCCCTCTATTATCTTTCTTCAGTTTCCATTTTTAGTGTATTTTTGTTGTTATGCTTTAACCCAGACATTCTCTCTGAATTAACCTTCTTCTACCTTTGGCAACATCCTTCTCTCTTCCAAGGATTTCAATACATTGTAAAGTTCTGCACATCCCAGTAGCTGCTGGAGAAGCCTTCTGTGTGTGCTGCCCTATAATCCAATTATAATCACACAGTGCTATTTTCTGGAGGTGTTTATAGTTGGAGATACTTAGTTTACAAGTTAAATAAGACAAAAAAATTGTAAGTGCTTCTGAATGTTCAGCTGTCCTTTTGAGGGTCAAGACACATCAGCTCTGTGAAACTCAGCTTCCTCATCTGTGGAGCGAAGGGGTTAGAATACATAATCTCTAAGTTTCTTTCTGCTGAGATTCTAGATCTTAGGCTCTGCATCAGAATGCCTAGGTTTGAATCTTGATTATTTCTTTACCACTTTGAAAAACTTGCTTAACCTTCCAGTTAATAAGGATAATAAATAATACCTACCTACCTAATAGGGTTGCTATAAATATTAAATAAATTAATACATGTCAAGCACATTGGATAGTGCTAGGCATATAAATATGCTTTAATAAATGTTAGCTCCTATTATTACATTGTAAAATTATAATATCTTCATTGTGTAAGTAGATATTTATTTAACCTTTCATTTATTTACTTAACAGATATTTACTAACCATCTATTTGGTATAGCTCTGTATTGGGGATACCAAAAAAAAAGCCAAATAAGATATTATTCCTGATCTCAAGCTTCTTAGGTCTCATGGAGAAGAAAAACAAATAAATGATTATAATTCAATGGAGTAAGTGCTTTAATAGTAGAAAGAATCTTGGGCGTGAGTAGGATGGAGTGAGGGAAGGCTTATGGTGAATGAGATCATGTCTAAGTTGAATCTTAAATTTGAGCTGGAGTTAACCAGAGTTAGCAAGGGGCAGGGCAGTAGCAAGGGTAGGGACTGGGGGATGGAAGGAGTGAGGAGGTCCAAGTAGAGGGAATATCATGGGCCAAGACTCAGATGCATGAAAGAGCATGAAAGAACTGTAGATGTTCTGTTTGTCTGGAGAGGAGGATGCAAGCAGCAAGTGACAGGCAAGCTAGTGAGGTAGAGAGAGTGCCAGCATTTAAGAGAGAGGCAGGGGAAGGGGGATCTGGGAAGGAGACAGAGAAAGAGCGGCCAGGTGGGGAGAAGGAAATTAAGGTTGAGTCATAGAAGACAAGGGAAGAGGGCTCAGGTGGACACTCAATTGCATGGGATGCAGCAGGGAGCATAAGTGTTACTTTTTTTCTGCTTCTTCTCTTTTCCTTTGGATTAATTGAGCTTAATGTTTCCATTTTTCTCCAGTATTGACTTACTACCTATACTTCTCTGTTTCATTGATATTTTTAGTGGTTGTTCTAAGGCAGGGATGGCAAATTTTTCTGTAAAGGGCCAGATAGTAAATATTTTAGCTCTGTGGGTCCTGCAAATATGAAAACAAATGAGCTTGGCTGTGTTCCAGTAAAACTTTATTTACAAAACAATGGGCAGGCCAAATTTGGCTGGCAGGCTGTAGTTTGCCAACTCCTTCTCTAGGGTTTACAATACACATCTTGAAGTTTTCACGGTATACCTTTAAAAAATATTTTACCACTTTATATTTTAAGAACTATGCTACAGTATACTTCCATTTTCTTCCTCTCCTACTTTGTGCTGTTGTTGTCATATTGCCATAATTTTACTTCTACACGTTATAAACTCTACAATAAATACCCTGCTATTTTTACTTAAGCAATGATCTCTTTTAAAAGATTTTTTTAACGAGAAAAATATAACTATTTTTTATTTATGTACTGATTCACCATTTCTGGTGCTGCTCATTTATCTGTCTAGATCCAAGTTTCCATCCGATGTAATTTTCTTCTGCCTCAGTTGGGATTCGGAATGGCTGCAATTGCTAGGGGCAGGTCAGGTATCCGTCTTTTTCCACATGCCCCTCTCGTGTGGCTAGCTTGGGCTTCCTCATGACATGGCAGTCTCAGGGTAGTCTTTATTTATTTATTTATTTATTTATTTATTTATTTATTTATTTAACCTGATGGCTGGCTTTCCCCAGAGCAAGCGTTCTAAGAGTAAGTGCTTTTAGAGACCCAGAAAGAAACTAGTTTTTTTTAATTACCTAGCTTTGGAAGTTACACAGTTTCATTTCCATTAAATTCTATTAGTTTAAGTGAGTTACAGGGTTAGCCCAGATGAGGGCTACTCAAGGGTTTGAATACCATGAGTATGGTTCATGGGGGAGGGAGGACATTTTAAAAGACAAACATGCTCCCCAATGACAATAAAGATTTTTAGGAGGAAGAAATTATTATGTATAGGATCGTTGAGGAAGACATTTCACTGACAGGATGATAAGATGAGACAGTAGGGCTTTGAAGGACATGTGCATTCCCTCTAAGGCAAAAGAAAAAAAAATGCCAACAGTGAAATGAGTACATCCTCTTAGGAGGATCTGGATTTGAACCCTGCCTCTTCCATTTATTAACCCTGTGTCTGGGTTCAAAACCTCACTGATTAGTTGGTGGAGGTGGGGGGATGTCAGAAATACCAGTATATTCAAAAAGCCTGGATTCTATCAGGAGCTCATTTAAAAAATGGAGCTATTATTACTTATAAAATGATGACATTCTAAGCTGTGTAAAAATGGAAGCTATAGGACATATTGAGGGCATAGTGAGTGAACTACAACCTGAAGACAGTGGTGGTAAAAATGGATTTTTTTCTTTATGCATAATGTATATCACTCTCACTCCCTTCTTGTTTTCTAGGGCTGTTTTTTCCCCCTCCTCTTGAGACAGGATTTTGCTCTGTTATCTAGGCTGCTGGAGTGCAGTGGCACGATCAGGGCTCACTGCAGCATTGACCTCCCAGGCTCAAGCCATCCTCCCACCTCAGCCTCCCAAGTAGCTGGGAGTATAGGCACGTGCCACCATACCTGGCAAAACTTACGTAATTTTTGAGACAAGTTTTCACCATGTTGCCCAGCTGTCTGGCAGCTTTTAAGATTTTCTCTTTATCACTTATTTTCATCAATTTGACTATGATGTCCTTTGGTGTTTGTATTAATTTGCTATTGCTGTGGTAACAAATTACTATGAACTTAGTTTATCTTATGGTTCTAGATATGAAATGCCCAAAAATATGCCCTGAAGAGTTAAACTCAAGGTGTTGGCAGGGCTACCTTCCTTCTGGAGGCTCTACGGGAGGCTCTGTACCTTGTCTTTTTCAGCTTCTAGAGGCTGCCTGTATTCTTTGATTCATGGCTTACTCCTTGCTTACTCCAACCTCCACTTCCATTGCCACATCTTCTCCGATTCTCTCTTGCCACCTTATTATAAGAACTCTTGTGATTACATTGGGCCTGCCCATATAATTCAGGTTAATCTCCCCATAACAAAATCTTTACATTAATCTCATTTGCAAAGTGTTATAAGGTAACATTCACAGGTTCCAAGAATTAGGACATGGACATCTAGGGGGACCATTAATCTGCCTACTATAGCGTTTTTGTTTTGTTTCATTTTTCTTCACTTGAAGTTTGCTGAGCTTCTTATATCTGTGGATTTATTGTTTTCATTAAGCTTGAGGAAATATTTCATTAATTTTTTTTCCATTTTGCCCTGCCCTTCCTTCTGTGACTTCAGTATATGTTTATTAGACTGCCTGATAATGGTTCCAAAAGTCATTGCTTCTGCATTCATTTTTTCTTCAGTCTTTTTTCTCTCTGAGGATAGTTTCTATTCCAATGTCTTTAAGTCCAATGATCTAATTTGCTGTTAATTTCATCCAATATAGTTTTCATTTTAGGTATTACATAATCACCTCTAGATGTCTTATCTATATCTTCTATCTTTAATTTCTCTTCTCATTACTTTCAATGTTTTCTTCTACCTTCTTGAACATAAGAAATATATTTATAATAGATGTTTTATTATTTTTGCTTGTTGATTCTAACATATTTGTGATTGATTTTTTCTTAGCTGACAATCATATTGTCCTGCTTTTTGCATGCCTGCTAGTTTTGATTGGATAACAGATATTTTGAATTTCAGGTTGTTGAGTGTTGTGTTTTGCTGTTTTTCATTAACTCTTGTTGAGCTTTGTTTTGGGATGTAGTTAAGTAACTTTGAATTAGCTTTGATAATTTTGAAGCTTGCTTTTAAGATTTGTCTGGTTTGGATCAAAATAGCCTTTAGTTTAGAGCTAATTTGTGATTGCCACTAAAATCATATCTTTGGAAGGTCTGCCCAATGCCCCATGTATGAGGAGGTCTTCCCATTTGGACCGTTATGAACATAAATTACTCCTAGATATGCATGAATTCTGGTAATTCCTATGCCTATTCCTTCCTGTTGGTTCACTCATTGGCCTTGGGTAGCTTCCTTACAAACATGCTTACTCAGATCAATACTCCACTAAAGATCTGAGGAAAGTCCTGTGCAGACCTCTCTTTGCAGCTCTTTCTCTTCTTTACTTTGCCCCACAAATTCTAACCACATTGGCCTTCATGCACTTTAAAATCAGTGAGAATGCCAGGCCCTACCTATGTTGTGGTCTCCTCAGGCAATAAATGGGGATAATTATAGGATTCATCGCTTGTGGATTACAGTTCTGTACTACCTGTTATCTAATGTAGCATACATTAGATATACTAACAATTTTTTTACATATTTGTCTGGTTTTCTAACTGTTTAAGGTGAGACGGTAAATCCAGTCCTTATTACTCCATCATGGCCAAAAGCTTTTAGTATTTTTTAAAGTATAAAAACAAATATACATTAGATATGTATATTTATATAACAGAATGATTTATTAGCATTTTTACAGCTATTTCTTCAGAAGCCTTTCTTAAAACAGGAACAGTCAATACCAGCTTCTACTGTCCTTAATTCCACAAAATCTGGGCCCCTAGATCAAAGACCAATCACAATATGAAGCAGGCAGTATATTAACTATCCCCCTCTCTGATATGGTTTGGCTGTGTCCCCACCCAAATCTCACCAACTGTAATAATCACCACGTGTCAAGGATGGGGCCAGTTTCCCCCATACTATTCTCGTGGTAGTGAATAAGTCTCACAAGATCTGATGGTTTTATAAATGGGAGTTCCCTGCACAAGCTCTTTTGCCTGCTGGCATGCAAGATGTGACTTTGCTCCTCGTTCTCCTTCTGCCATGATTGTGAGGCCTCCTCATCCGTGTGGAACTGTGAGTCAGTTAAAACTCTTTCCTTTATAAATTACCCAGTCTGAGGTATGTCTTTATTAGCAGCGTGAGAACAGACTAATACACACTCCATCTTCCATCTAATGAGATTTAGAATTTATTTGGGTAGATGGCTTACAATAACACCCTTAATTGCCTCTGCTGCCCACCTTTTAATCACTCTAATTCTCAAATATGATGGTTAATTTTATGTGTCAATTTGACTGGGCCACAGGATGCCCACACACCTGGTTAAACATTTTCTGGGTGTGTCTGTGAGTATATTTTTGGAAGACATTAGCATTTGAATTGGGAGACTAGGCAAAACAGATGGCTCTCCCCAGTGTGGATAGGTGCCATCCAATCAAACCATTGAAGGCTTGAATAGAAGAAAAAGGTGAAAGAAGGCTGAAATCTCTGCATGTCTGAGCTAACACGCTGGTCTTCTCCTGCCCTCGGTGCTTCTGATTCTCAGGCCTTTAGACTCAGACTGGAATATAAATCATTCATTCTCCAGCTCTCAGACCTTTGAACACCACCATCAGCTTTCCTAGGACTCTAGCTTGCAGATGGTAGATTACAAGACTTCTCAGCCTCCATAATCATGTGAGTCAATTCCTTATATAAATCTTATTATTTCTCTATATCTATCTATCTATCTATCTATCTATCTATCTATCTATCTATCTATCTATCTATCTATCTCCTACTCATTCTGTTTGGTCTGAGAATCCTGACTAACATATCAGGGGTGGGTTTCCATGGTCCTATCTCTTCACTGTGACCCTACCTGCCATGAATACAGCTGATTGTACTAGAGCTGGGCCAATCATTAAATAAAATTTTTGACTAGATAGAGGTTGCAAGAGTTTGTGTGGTTGAACTATATCATATGAACTCAGGAGCTAGAAGCTGCCACGATCAGTGTGGACTGAAGTGAGCTATCCAACAGATGCAGAGAGAGAAAAATGTAGCATATGTCCAGTGAGAAGCAGAGATGGTAAAATATGGCCTGCGGTCCTGATGATTTTCTTATTCCCAATTCCAGTTGCTTCTTGAATTCCTGACCTTGGCTCTTATGATAACCCTATCCTTCTCTTTGGCTAAAACTAGTTTGCAGAGATTTGTTACCAGCCTGGATTTTGAGTTGCCCAGAGCAAACTGCTGGATTTCCACATTCCACATTGTGTCTCCTTTGCTGCCAGTCAAATTTGGGGAAAGCTCATTGTTCTCTGACTTACAGCTCTTTCCACCACTGTGTGCTCCAGTTTCCAAGATTTGCTTTTTTTCTCTGGTCTCGGTAACTTGTCTCTCCCCCTTGCCAGATTTTCCCGGGCATCTAAAGTCTTGCCCCAGTCCTCAGTGACTGCAGCCTCTCTGCCTGATCTGCAGATTGATTTTTACGATAAAGCCCACCTGACTCAAGGGCCATTCATCCAGGGTTCCTGGCTCCTGCGCTGCTGCCTGAGAGAGACCTGTTGATCACATAGACGAGGCCACCACGCTTTACATACAAGGCCAGGTGACACAAAGGTGACACAGATTTTTCTTCTGACATGATAACTTCTGGGACAAAGCAGGCTGCTGCACTTTCTAATATTCTTTCCAATCCAGTCAAAGTTGTGGGAGGAGGTTGGGCAGTAAGAGAGTGAAGCACTATTCATCATGTCTCCCCTTTTCTCTCAAGAGAGCACCACACTAACGCCAATCTATATAAAAATGTGTAATTGAACACATTAATAATGAAAACTGAATTATGCTATTTTCCTGGATTGCAAACACAATGAAAACTGGCAATTTTAGAATAAAAATGGACAAGTATTGTCTCCTATATCTTGAGCGTGTATTATTATTAGAATTCATTTTTTATTTTACATGCCCACGTTTCTCTCCAACTGATAATAAATTTGCTAAGCCCTGACATAAAACAATTTTTAGCAAGAGGGTGCATGAGGAAAGTCATAGTGGGTTTATTAAGGCAGTACAGAGAAACCTAAATATTACTGAATAGGTCATAAACGAATCTTTAAAAGGAGTGGTTACATAACCTAAGAATACTGATTATTGAAATAAAGTTATGAGATTCCATGTGAATTTAAACTATGATTATTAAATTATTAAACTCTTTCATGAATTTACTCAAACTCAACGATACGAACATGTTTTAAAGAAAAGAAGGTTTTTGTGCCTCTAATGATTTTCAAGGTTTTTTTTTTTCCATTTTATGACCTGACCTAAAAATCCATCGTCAATTTCTGTCCTGTAATAATAAGCCTTTCTATCCAAACCAGAGATATTAAAATAAAGAGTATATTATATCCAACTTTAAAAAATGACTACCTAGCCTCAAATTCTACTTAACAAAACTAAGAAAAATCAGCCAAGGATATGAATAGAAAATGTATAGATGACTAAATATAAATGACTAATAAATACTATATATAAAAATATGGTCAACCCTCAACAAAAATTCAAACTTATATCACAACATGGTACTATTATTTCTTTATCATATCAATAAAAAGTTTTAAGAAGATAATACTTGATGCTGGTAAAGATACATTGAAATGGTCCCTCATATACTGCTCATGGGAATGTAAATTGATGCAGACTTTCTCAGAATAAATTGGCAATAAATATAAAGAACATTGGCCAGGCACAGTGGCTCATGCCTGTAATCCCAGCACTTTGGGAGGCCATCGTGAGAGGGTCGCTTGAGCCCAGGAAGTCAAGACCAGCCTGGGCAATATAGTGAGACTCCATATCTCAAGAAAAATGTATTAAAAAAAGAACATTAAACATGTTCATAGTCTTTGACCCTGAACCTTTTCTTCAGAGATTCTATCTTAGGAAATAATCAGAGATATAAACAAAGATTTATGCATGAAGATTGTTGTAAAAGTAGAAAAAAATTTGTGTCAGAATAATTTTACCTGCAAGTGTCTGAAATCCTGATACAAGATGACTTAAATAAAAAGCAAATTTATGTCACATAACAAGAAGTACAGAGGAGGAGGTGAACTTCAAGGCTACAGTTCAGTGATTCATCAGTTTTGTGAAATAACTAAGTTTCATTCATCTCTTCTGTGATTTTTCAGAAGTAAGATGGCTGACCACTCAGAATTCACAATGTCTAGAGGAAGAAAAGAGACAATATTTTCTAATGACTCTGTCTTAGATGTGAGAAAACTTTCCCAAATCTTTCTAACCAAACTTCCCTTCATATGTTATTGGCTAGAAGTAGTCATATGCCATTTCTGAACCAATCGTTGGATTGGTCTATTATTCTTAGACCAGTCAGGTCCACTCCTAGAACTCGTAGTGAAATCATCTCTTTAAGATGTTTGGCTATTTGGAGGAAGACTGTATTACTGGAAAAAAAATATTTTTGGAAAACAGAAAGGGCAACCCAAAGTGTGCATTATATATCTAAATGAATTAAAATAGCAGTATGTTAAATTATAGTACATTCATGTTTTACGGGGGATGATTATCTGATCATTATAAATGTTGGGTTTGGAGAATGTTTAAAATGAAAAAAATTATAAATGCTGTCTTAGTCAGCTCATGTTGCCATAACAGAATACCATAGAATGGGTGGCTTAAACAAAAACTTATTTATCACAGTTTGGTAGGCTAGAAAATCTAAGATCAAGGTGCTGTGTAATTCAGTTCTTGGTGAAGGCTCTATTCCTGTTCTCACTGTGTCCTCATATGGCAGAGAGAGACAGAGAAAACGCAAACTCTCTGGTATCTTTTTTTATGAGGGCACTAATCTCATCATGAAGGCCTCACTTTTTTGACCTCATTTAATCCTAATGACCTTCCAAAGACCCAGACTCCAAATGCCATTATATTGAGGGTTAGGGATTCAAAATATGATTTTGGGGTGGGAGGAAATAACACGAACATTCAGTCAATAACAAATGTTATATCAAAAAAAGAGAATATTCTTGATGTCTTAGGCATGAGAAAAAGAATAGAAAATGTATATACATTATACCTATGTGATATATATATATATATATATATATATATATATATATATATATATTAGCATGTATGGAGACAAATCATGAAGAAATGATAAAAAGTTAGCCGTGCATATCTCTGTGTAATAAGATTATTGTTGATTTTTTTTTTCTTTTTTTTTTGAGACAGAGTCTCACTCTGTGGCCCAAGCTGGATTGCAGTGGCACGGTCCCGACTCACTGCAACCTCCTATCTCAGCCTCCCAAGTAGCTGGGATCACAGGCGCCCATCACCACGCCCAGCTAATTTTTGTATTTTTTAGTAGAGATGGGGTTTTGCCATGTTGGGTAGGCTGGTCTTGAACTCCTGACCTCAGGTGATCCGCCGGCCTCGGCCTCCCAAAGTGCTGGGACTATAGGTGTGAGCCACCGCGCCCGGCCTTTTGTTGATTTTTATTGTCTTTTTTTCTATATATTTTTATTTTTTCTACATGGGTATACATAAAAAAGAACAAAAGTTATTTATAAAAATTGGACTCATATTTGAGGCTAATGACACCTCTAATTTTAGTAATGTCAATTCTCCACCTTTGGTTACTATGTGGTCTATACTTCTTGGATCTACAGAAGACCAAGTTTGCTGGTTTATTTGGTCAGAAGTCTTTAAAGCTACTTCCCTTTGACTGTTTATACAGTACCCAATTAAATAGCTGTTGTTTTACTACCCAAAGATCCAGCCTACCTTTGATGTCAGCACCTGCAATACTTGTGATAAACTTTTTGAGGAGTGCATGGTAGTGGCAGCAGCTGTCTTCTGTTGGGGCTTGATGGCATCTGTCTCTAAGACAAGTGATTGAGGACTAGTGTGAAATGCTTTTTTACAAGCCCATGGCTCAGTGGCCCTTTGACTAGCTATAGCCATGTGAATATATTTGAATAAGTGGGACCCTTCTATTCTCAGGTTGAGACAGACTCATTCAGTCTTATCACCTTTGGTCTAAACGGATACTGGAAGAGTTGGATAAGAAAATATTCAAGGACTGGAAAAGAGGGATTTTAGGGTGTTCCTTCTAACAGTCAGGTACAGTGACCAACTGTCCGAGTTTGTTCGTTAGGGACTAACAGGTTTCCCAGGATGAGAGATTTTCAATGCTAAAACCAGAAAGTCCTGGGAAAGTTGGGATGGGTTTGTCTCCCTAGTCACAGCTTCAGAAACTGCTAGAGCCAAAAGAGCCACACATTGGTGTCACTGAAAAATGATTTGGGGAGCTGAAAAATATTCATGTTGTGTTTTGTTTTCTTCCATTTTCTTATTAACATCTCTCTTGGAACATTCCAAGCTGTTTCTGTTGCACTACTAAGGAATGGAATTTTTTGCCTCTTTTCAGCCAGCAGTTAAGGGAAGCAGAAAGACTCCACGGGCCAGGCTGGGTGTCAGCATCAGGAAACCATTAGAAGGCAAAGAGGGAAGTAAAACCCAGTGGGAGAGGCCCTTCTTGTCCAGAGGGATCTCCTACAGAAACCTTACCTACTGGAAAATTTTCTTTTTTAAAAATTAAAGATTTGATCCTTTTACAAGGTATGCAACCTAAAATTTCATTCATCTTTAGCCTCACTTTCAGTTTTCAAGCTCTGTTGTCATGACAACATCATGAACTGAGTGGTTCAACCTCCTTAATGTTTGTTGGTGTTTGCTATGTTATTTAAAACCGCAAGGTTTTCTTAAAAAAAAAAAAACTTGATATTTTATCTCTCAATTGCCTCAGAAATTCTATGGACTTATGATGCTTTTTTTTGACATGAACACCAGAGCCATATTCAACACATAAGTAATCTCAAGAATTTTATCATAGGCCTTATCCTCATATATAGAGGTTATGTGCAAAACTATACCATGTTTTCACAAGGCTGTACAGATCAATGCATTCTGTGCAGTATGTTATACACTGCCCTATCTTTTTTCACTGGTGTGATTGTCAGAAAGGTCAATAAAAAAATCTTAAAATGTGAAAATGCTTATACAGCTAACAACAGCATGCAATCAGAAACTGAAGAATATGAGAGTTAGGCTCAGGGAAGTGGCTGAAGCCTGTAATCCCAGCAATTTGGGAGGCTGAGGCGGGAGGATCACTTGAGCCCAGGAGTTCAACACTAGTCTGGGCAATGTAGGGAGACCTCCTCTCCACAAAAACTAAACAAAATTATCTGGGTGTCCTGGCACATGCCTGTGGCCCCAGCTACTTGTGGAACTGAGGTGGAAGGAGTGCTTGGGCCAGGGAAGTCAAGGCTGAAGTAAGCTATGCACTCAAACCTGGGCAACAGACCCTGTCTCACACACACACACACACACACACACACACACACACACACGAACATGAGAGATAAAAGCATACTTAAGACATGAATGATTAGTGTAGTTTCCAATATTGGGTGTTACTGAGGAAAAAAATATATTTAATACTTGAATTACAATTCAGACAGGTTTCTTGAATACTATACTAGCTATACTGAATGAATGGCTAAACTCAGACTCCAGTGCCTTTAGGCTAATGAGATGCATTTTTTTTTTCTTTCTGGAATTAGCATGTGAATGCACATGCTTTAGCATCTGAATGCCTTTGTGTTTGTTGAATGAATCAGTTTATTCTTTAGAATGTTTGGAAGAAAATATGCTTGAGAAATTAACCAATATTATTTTTTTCTTTTTATTTCTTCTACTTCTCCCTTCCTTCAGGCTATGTGTTGGTCTGATCATATGAAAAATGTGGCAGAAAGAGAACTATCCTACGTATCTAGGTAGGCTTTCTCATCGGCCACCTAGAAATAAGATTCTGATGCCCCAAATATGGCACAGAAGTTGCAGAGCTGTGCTAAGCAGCACAATGGACCACTCTGCTATAAAACAAGATGGGTGGACAATTGATATCCAGAGGGGCCCACCTTGATCCTGGGTGCTGAAACTTTGGCCCAACTGGTGAGAGGTAGGAGTTGGAATGGGTCCTAGACTTAGGAAGCAAAACTCCCCCCAAAAACTACATTTGATTGCTGGCAAGATGGCTGAATAGGAACAGCTCTGGTCTGCAGCTCCCAGAGAGATCGCGCAGAAGGTGGGTGATTTCTGCATTTCCAACTGAGGTACCTGGTTCATCTCATTAGGACGGGTTGGACAGTGGGTGCAACCCACGGAGGGCGAGCCCAAGCAAGCAGGGTGGGGCGTTGCCTCACCTGGGAAGCACAAGGGGTCGGGGGATTTCCAGTTCCTAGCCAAGAGAAGCCGTGAGAGACTGTACTGGGAGGAACAGTGCACTCTGGCCCAGATACTGCGCTTTTCCCATGGTCTTCACAACCGGCAAACCAGGAGATTCCCTCCCGTGCCTGGCCCGGTGGGTCCCACCTCCACGGCACCCAGCAAGCTAAGATCCACTGGCTTGAAATTCTCCCTGCTAGCACCGCAGTCTGAGGTTGGCCTGGGATGCTGGAGCTTGGTGGGGGGAGGGGCGTCCACCATTGCTGAGGCTTGAATAGGTGGTTTTACCCTCACAGTGTAAACAAAGCCACGGGGAAGTTTGAACTGGGCGGAGTCCACCACAGCTCAGCAAGTCCGCTGCAGCCAGACTGACTCTCTAGACAGGGCATCTCTGAAAAAACGACAGCAGCCCCAGTCAGGGACTTACAGATAAAACCCTCATCTCCCTGGGACAGAGCACCTGGGGGAAGGGGCGGCTGTGGGCACAGCTTCAGCGGACTTAAGCTCTACTGCCTGACAGCTCTTAAGAGAGCAGCGGATCTCCCAGCACAGCGTTCAAGCTCTGGTAAGGGACAGGCTGCCTCCTCAAATGGAGCCCTGACCCCTGTGTATCCTGACTGGGAGACACCTCCCAGTAGGGGCCGACAGACACCTCATACAGGAGAGCTCTTGCTGGCATCTGGCAGGTGCCCCTCTGGGATGAAGCTTCCAGAGGACGGAACAGGCAGCAATCTTTGCTGTTCTGCAGCTCCGCTGGTGATACCCAGGAAAACAGGGTCTGGAGTGGACCTCCAGCAAACTCCAGCAGACCTGCAGAAGAGGAGCCTGTTAGAAGGAAAACTAACTAACAGAAAGAAATAGTAGCAACATCGACAAAAAGGACGTCCACTCAGAAATCCCATCTGAATGTCACCAACATCAAAGACCAAAGCTAGAAAAATCCACAAAGATAGGGAGAAACCAGCGCTAAAAGGCTGAAAACTCCAAAAATCAGAAGGCCTCTTCTCCTCCAAAGGATCACAACTCCTCGCCAGCAAGGGAACAAAACTGGTGGAGAATGAGTTTGACGAATTGACAGTAGTAGCTTCAGAAGGTGGGTAATAACAAACTCCTCTGAGCTGAAGAAGCATGTTCTAACCCAATGCAAAGAAGCTAAGAACGTTGAAAAAAAGTTAGAGGAATTGCTAACTAGAATAACAAGTTTAGAGAAGAACATAAATGATCTGATGGAGCTGAAAAACACAGCCAAGAACTTCGGGAAGCATACACAAGTATCAACAGCCAAATCGATCAAGCGGAAGAAAGCATATCAGAGATTGAAGATCAACTCAATGAAATAACACAAGAAGGCAAGAGTAGAGAAAAAAGAGTGAAAAGAAATGAACAAAGCCTCCAAGAGATATGGGACTATATATGAAAAGATCAAATCTACTTTTGATTGGTGTACCTGAAAGTGACGGGGAGAATGGAACCAAGGTGGAAAACACACTTCAGGATATTATCCAGGAGAACTTCCCCAACCTAACAAGGCAGGCCAACATACAAATTCAGGAAATACAGAGAACAACACAAAGATATTCCTCGAGAAGAGCAACCCCAAGACACATAATCGTCAGATTCACCAAGGTTGAAATGAAGGAAAAAATGTTAAGTGCATCCAGAGAGAAAGGCTGGGTTCATAACCCTTAAAGATAGAAACATTTCCCCTCTGTAGGTGGCTCCTAAAACCCTGGACATTTTACATACTGGAGTCAGATTCAAAAATAAACTATTTCCTTATATACCTGCCTCCTTTTTGAAATAACGTTCCTTATTTTTCTTATCACCAGATATGGTTGCTGTTTTTTTCCCTCAATTTGATCATTTGTTTTCCCTCTGGGACATAAAAGTTGTGATGAGGACTGGAAGTGGGATCTATAAACTGACTAGCACAGAGCCTAGCACTTGACATCCATTCAGTCAGTGCAAAGACAGCTGCATTCTTTCATCAAAAGACCAATACATTTCTATAATACATATGCAAAGAAAGTTTTAACTTTTAAGCCTTTTTTTCACAGCTTGAGAAGACAATATAAATTTTCTTTTTAAAATATAAATAAGAGAAGAACTATAGCTTAAACAGGAAAGACTTTTAAAATCCCACGTAACAAGAATGGTGGTGTAAATAATTATCATGGACACAGTTCTGTGGGTCAAGAGTCTGGGCACAGCAATTGCTCAACTGGGTCTTCTACTCAGGGTTTAGCAGAGCTGAAATCAAGGCATCAGCAGGACAGGGCTCATCTGGAGGCTCTTGAGGAGATTCTGCTTTCCAGCGCATTCAGTTTGTTGGCAGAATTCAGTTTCTTTTTTTTCTTTTTTTTTTTTTTGAGACATTGTCTTGCTCTGTCGCCCAGGCTGGAGTGCGGTGGCACGATCTCGGCTCACTGCAAGCTCCGCCTCCCACGTTCACGCCATTCTCCCGCCTCAGACTCCTGAGTAACTGGGACTACAGGTGCCCGCTGCCATGCCCGGCTAATTTTTTGTATTTTTAATAGAGATGGGGTTTCACCGTGTTAGCTAGGATGATCTCAATCTCCTGACCTCATGATCTGCCTGCCTCGGCCTCCCAAAGTGTTGGGATTACAGGCGTGAGCCACTGCACCCTGCCAGAATTCAGTTTCTTGAGGTTATAGGACTGAGGTTGCCATTTCCTTGACATGGTTACCTTAATCTTCAAGTTAACAGCAGCACTTTTAATCCTTTTCATCTTGGAATATCTGACTTTATCTTCTACTACTAGCTGGAAAAATATCTCTGCTTTTAAGAGCTCACGTGATTCCATTGGGCCTACTTGGATAAGCCAATATAACCTTCCATTTTAGGTCAGCTGATTAGTAACCTTAATTACACCTGTCAAGTCCATTCTGCCATGTAAAGTAACATATTCACAGGAGTGACTCCAGAGGGAGAAGGTCATGAGGCCCAACATTCTGCCTACCACAGATGGGTTTGGAATATATTTCATAGGTGGAAGTGGAAAGATTGGCTTCAAAAAGTATTTAACATCATATCTAATGAGACATTTATCCCTTATCTAGAAACTTCTTCTTTTTTCTTTTCTTTTCTTTTTTTTTTTTGAGACAGGATCTCAGTCTGTTGCCCAGGCTGGAGTAAAGTGGTATGATCATGATCACGGCTCACTGTAGCCTCAACCTGCTGGGCTCAA
This sequence comes from Homo sapiens, assembly GCF_000001405.40. Lineage (NCBI taxonomy): Eukaryota > Metazoa > Chordata > Mammalia > Primates > Hominidae > Homo > Homo sapiens. Next base: position 108,682,983 of record NC_000005.10, on the reverse strand, counting down.
GCGATTCTCCCATCTCAGCCTCCCAAGTTGCTGGGACCACAGGTACCCATCACCATGCCTGGCTATTTAAAAATTTTTTTGTGTGGAAATAGGGCCTCCTTCTTTTGCCCAGGCTGGCGCTGAACTCCTAGGCTCAAGCAATCCTCCCACTTCAGCCTCTCAGAGTATTGGGGTTACAGGCATGAGCCACCACACCTGGCCTAGAAGCTTCTTTGAGGCCCCAATCATTTCCTTGAGTTCTCCCCTTCATCAGTCCCCAAATATCCTACTTGAGATCTTTGGGTGTGCAGAAAGAAGAGAAAGACAACTATCACTCAAGAAAAAATTTGAATTTGGGAATAAGAATTGTAGTTTGTGAGGCAAAAAACATGATGAAATGAAGCAGGAATTTGTGAGTGTGGAGGTCACTTTTCCTGTGGCTCTCCTTCTGCCTGGGTGTGCTGGCATGAAGGAAGCAGAAGAAATGAGTAAAGAGAAAAATAATCTGGGACTTGGGGTCATACATGATATGTGAGGAGGAGAAACCAGAAGCATTTCATATTAAAAAAGGTAAAACAGCAAAGAAGATCCAGAAAGCCCTAAGCAGGAAGGGAACAAATAAAGGCAGAGACAATGTTAAGGCCACACAATATCATTGACTAACTAACTGCTTTAGGAAAAAAAAATTATTAATATGTGTACATTTTAAAAAGAAACCATTTTCATAGAAGACATAATCTCACTACTTAGAATCAACCCTGTAATTTCCTAATGATAGTCAAGTATTTACCAAGTTCCTTGTCAAGTACGTTATATGCATATATACATACAAACATTGGAGGGAGGGGCTGTTATTATTTTTTATTTTATTTTATTTGTTTTTGAGACGGAGTTTTGCTCTTGTAGCCCAGGCTGGAATGCAGTGGCGTGATCTCGGCTCACTGCAACCTCCATCTCCCGGGTTCGAGTGATTCTCTTGCCTCAGCCTCCCAAGTAGTTTGGATTACAGGCACCTGCCACCACGCGTGGCTAATTTTTTTTTTTTTTTTTTTTTTTTTTTTGTATTTTTAGTAGAGACGGGGTTTCACCATGTTGGGCAGGCTGGTTTCAAACATCTGACCTCAGGTGATCTGCCCGCCTTGGCCTTCCAAAGTGCTGGGATTGCAAGCATGAGCCACCACGCCCGGCTGAGGATGTTATTTTTAGAAGGAAAAGGCCACATTGAAAACTGAGTGGACAGCTTGATAAATCTAAGATAGGAAAATTTTGCTGAACCAAAGGACCTTTTGGAGTGTTCTATTTTTTCTCACAAGCCCAGGACCTCTGCAAAAAACATCCAAAACTACTATAGAAAATGCACATTTTATTCTACTGTTTCTTCCAGCAGATGTGGATTTTTAGCGAGGAGCAATTTCACGTTCTTGGTCCAAATTTTAAAACTGCTAGGTCACTGTGTAAGAAACAGTTGACTAGGTTTTGCTTTCCATTGCCTTGGACCAGCTAAAACAATTGTGCCCTCTAGCCTATGAAGTCTGTACTGCAAAGGCCATTTCAACAGTGTTTGCTTCAGGTTTATCCTCAATTTTGGTTCTTGAAATCAAAAGTCATAAAAAAATATGGTAGAGATTCACAAAGACCTCTCCAGTTTTCTCTTTCAGTTGTAAATAACAGAATAACTAAAATGAAAACAGCTTAAACAGTGAAGACTTTTAAAACCCCACATAACAAGAATTGTGTAATAATGTAATGGTGTAAGTAAAGCAATTAATCTCACTTGGGTGCATAAACTGACTATTGTGAGGTTCATTTACTTCCTTAGCTCTACCAGAAAAACAAAGTAACTATACTACACTTTTGTCTTCATATTTTAAAAACCTTACCTATTATAGGAAAATATTCCCTAAAATATTGCTAAGTAGGAAGGTATTGATCATTTCCTAATAAAGGCACACGACTAAGCTTATACTGATAAAGTCCGGAAGTTGCCTGCTTGACCTTTATTAATCACCTGGCATTTAGGATACTGATTTTTTTAAAGCTACATTTTAGTCAGTTAAAGCCACCTCAGCATCTTTAAAGAATGCTTTGATTTGATCTATTTCTACTTTTTCTTTGAGGAAATCAAGCTGGGAGTTCTGAGAGCACATTCTGTTTGCTTATTTGTTCCTTTTATCCCTTTCTGTCCTCTCTGCATGCTAGGGCACACCTCACCTTGAAAAGAACTCATCAGCCGCCCTCAAGATGGGAATTGCAATGCCTTCATCTTGAGCCACTTTTAACAGAGTTTCATTTTTTTTCTGCTTTGATTTTGAATAGTGCCTATGTTTGAACACACTAAACACATTTTGGCCAAGTTTCCTTCATAGAGTTGGAATTCAGATTGGTTGTCAGGTTATTTAAAATAACTTTCTGTCTGGATTGGATCACTGTTAATTGCTCTGATCAACTGCAGTACATGGTTAAGGTAAAAAAAAAATATTGAGAAGAGACCCCCAGTCAATCTGATCTTACTTCATAGACACAGACAAATGATGAATTTATGTTAGTTAGGGAGGCCAAGGAAGGAAGAGGAGACATCATTAAAGAGTAAATGTTTCCAGCATTAGTTTCTGGGTCATTAAGCCCTAATGATTGATCTTATTTGGTTATTTTAAAGGCTACTGGAAACTAAAATGGAAACAGTTCAGAATACTTCCTTTGTATACAGAAGATTTTGTTCATGGCAACAGCTATGTGTGCCTAAACATTTTGTGTCACACAAACTCCTGCATTTGACATTTCTATCAGAGAGAACAAATAAAAATCATCCTAGAGCTTTCAAACACTCAAGCCATGTTGGGGCTTTGAAAGATCTTGTCATTTCAGAAGTGAAGAAATGGGGATGCTCTCAAGAGCAAGGGCAGCTTAATGGATTCCCCCAAAGCCCCAAAAGCACCTTCTCATGACTTAATTACTCTAAAAATTTCTATTTTTTACATTGCCTAAAATTTTCATCAATAAGAAATCATTTGATTTATTAATACCAAAACCTCATATGAAGATAGTAAACACCTTTGGGATGGTTAAGGTAATCTCACCATTCACAAATGTATGTATATTATCAGGTGAGATTGATTTAATAAATCTTTGGGACAATAAAGGGTATTTTTCTTAATTAAAAATTACAATGGAAAATTCAGTATCAGTCATGTTTAGGAGTTCTTCCTCTTCTCTAGTGTTATGTAAGGGTCCCAAGCAGCTTGTGCTATCCAAAAACCTTGGGGAGGAGAGCCTGGTATGAGCTCATCATAGTTGCACTGAGATCCTCATTATTTGTACTTATTACATGGCACTCTGCTGATTGTGGCACCTGCCCCTCTGCACCGAAGTCAGCCACTGGGTCCTCTGAGGAGGCTCTAAAGACTGAGGCATTCTGTGCTCAGCAAACAGGCATTCTTGCACCAGTCCCATCAGACATCCTTCTGAGTTTCTGTGTAGGGGAGGGCACAAGTGTCAACTACAAGAACCTACCACCCCTTTACTTCTTCTAGGCTCTGGAAAGCGTCCATACTTAGAACTGGGTTCTCTCCTCTCTTTCAATCAACAGAGCCCTCCCTATCCACACAATCCTGCGGTTAGAGAGAGGGAGGGAGAGAGAGAGAGAGACAGAGAGACAGAGACACAGAAAGATAGAGACACAGAGAGAGGGACAGAAACTTTCGAAAACAAAGACTTAACCTTCTGAGCAAAGACAGCTTCAGACCTCCAGGATACCTGCCCTTTTGAGAAAAGAAAGATGAAAGCCCCTATTACGGAGAGCTGTTCTGTTCAAGTTATCTATTGCTATGCCATGAAAGGTAGCTGGGCCTGGGGTCATCTTGAAGGCCCTTCCACCATTTATAGCTGGTAGTTGTACTGGGGAGACTCCAGCAGCTAGGGCTGGAACAGTTGAGTTCCTTGGGTATCTCTCCCTCTATGTTGCCCCCCAACATGGTCTCAAGGAAACCTCAGGGCAGCTGGACTTCTTACTGAGTGGCCAAAGGCTCCCAGAGTGAGTAGAGTGAGTATCCCAGGGGCACCAGCCAAGGCTGCCTGGTCTTTTCTAGCCTAGCCAATAAGGGACTCAGTGTCACTTCCAGTGTACTCTATTCATTGAGGCAGTCACGAAGATCCACTCAGTTTCAAGAGGAGGGGCCATGGACTTTACCTCTTGGTGGGAGAAGTGTGAAAGAATTTGTGGACGTGTTTTAAAACCACCACAAGAGCATATAAGAAAGAAGGAGGAGGAGGAGGAGGAGGAAGTGAAGGAGGAAGAGGAGGATGAGGAAGTGAAGGAGGAAGAGGGAGAGGAGGAGGAGGAGGAGAAGAAATTACTTGTTTTTCAGTTAGATTCTTTTTCTCCTCTATGTCCACCCATGACCACCAGGCTGCTGAGAACTATCTCCCTTGCTTGGAAATCCTCTGTAAAGCTCTCCTGCTCTCACTTTTGGTCCCACTGTCCCAAATCCTGATCATCACTCTCTGCCATGCCCCTTTAGACTAAAGGCAGGTTGGGTTCTGTTTCTGATCACTCTCTGCAGTTCTGTGTACCGGCACCTATGGGCAAGTGATACTATTTCAGTCCTGGCCAGACCATGGGGGAAACCAGGTCCCAGCCGGGGGCAAGAAACAGCTCCAGTTTTCTGGGAGGAAGACTGGGAGGTGTTAGAGGCACTGAGGTTTGAAAAAGAGAGCTGTGCATATGCAAATGGCATTCTTTAATTCAGCAGTTCACTGGGCTTTCTGCTCTGTGGCCAAGAGTTGGAGAAATGTCTCTGTGCTTCACGTCTTTCCTCTTGGAATCCCATGGTTTCCCTCACAGGACACAGAGTACAGACTGATTCTGTTGGTGCTGACGGTAGTTCCATATGGATTCCCTGTGAGCCTCCATTCTCACTTATAAAATGGACAGCCTTGCAGTATTAGGCATCTAAAACTCTTACTGTGATATGGGTCTCGCCCACATCAATTCTGTAGCAGTGCTTTTTCTTTAGCAAGATGTATCCTAAGCTCTGACCTACCCACTTACCAAAGAAATGGAATCATAAACCCACCGTATATTGGATTTTACTTATAATAAGTGAGGATCTTACCACATTAACACTGATTCAGAATCAACTTGCAGAACAGATTCTTTCTGACACTTCTAGTGAACTGGTTTTTTTTTTGTTTTAACAATTCACAAAATTTTGGCAGATTTTATTCATTTTGGATTTTAAAAATATTATTTTAACAAAATTCCTCCTCAAATAAGTGCTTATTCTTTACACACAATTCAGTGAACTACTTCTTTCAGCCTCAATAGGAAAAAAATCATGAAAGCAGTTCCATTTCTTCTTCTGCATATAATGAATCTTTTCACATTTCTTGTAGTTAATGTCTTAAAAAATAAAAATGAATGACAGCCTGAAACATGCTTCTCATATTCATCTGTGATGTTGTGTGGTTAATAGTCCAGCCTCACATTTGCATGGGACCAGCTGTCAAAGATGGCACTGCAGGGAATCCACTATAATTTTAAAACATGTTGCAAAGTCACATATGTCCATAAATCTACATTCACTAGAATGCTTATGGGGACATATTATCATCAGATTTGAAAATAATCCTTTATTGCTTTCATTTTGAACTTCACCCTTTACTTGACTCAAATTATCTTTATCAGGTAATGAATGAGGGGCTTCATCATGAGTGAAGAAGTTTCCAGGAGCAATCTCATTTGCAAAACTTCTTAAAATTCTTGTCAGAGTCCATTTTGGACATAGGGCAATTTTCTCTGTTCCTTGTAAGAAAAATCTCTTTGACCTAGCTAATATCTCTGATATGTTACAGTTAACATGTGAGGAGAACAACAGTCAGAACCATAAATCCATTTAATAAGTGCAGATTAAGAAATTTGAAATCCACATATTGCCAACCATAAAAATATAGTGTCCTCATCACACACATTGTAAAGATGGGCATACCCTACAAAGCTGTCTCTATCTGCTTAATAAAAACCATCTTTTACTTATATATAAAACATAGCCCTGAAGTTTGTTAAAAGGGAAGAAATGGAATTCAAGTCAAATACTTTCTTATTAGTTCCTAAAAAGTCAATGCAGTTACTATTAATTTATTTAATGATTTAAGATTAGGACAATATAAGTCATAGCCTTTAATCTTGCATATTCCTAAGAATAAGTATAAAATCTTAAATAAGTATTCATTCTCAAAAGAAAGTATAAAATAATATTTAGATGTGATTTAAGCCATCCTGCAGCACACCCACCCCCATTCCAAACCTTGGAAGAGTTTCCCAATATACAAAAAATGAGGTGACTAAAATTTTCAGACCTCTCTCCAAAATCATCCCACCAAATTAAATAGGTATGTATGTGGGGCAACATAATATTTCATATTTCTCCACAAATATATCCAATACTAAAATGAAAGCTAAATCCCAGCAAGGCATATAATTATCTATATCAGACACAGCGAAGTATAACATCCCATTAAAATAAAGAGATCTTTTTATTCTGAAGTTAGTTATGGCTCCTTATGTTAAACTTTCATCATATATCTGTGGAAGTAAATATATGAATACATATATAATCATAAATAATTTCTTCACATGCAAAGATCATTTATCTTAAAAAGTGAAAATAAGTTTCTTTTGTAGTTGAAAAAAAAGCTAAGTTAAGGGAACTTGAGCATGTTCCTTAAACCTCTCTGAGCCTCCATCACCTCATCTGCAAAGTGGGCAGAAAAATACTTTCATGTGGGAGAATTAGACAGGATGCAGGAGTAAGTGGTCAGTTTATTATTTCTTTAACTGGGATAGATGGGTCTTTTTCTCCAGTCCTGACCTTGATTAATCTCTGTGTAGAATAAGTTAACAGCACCCTCTTCTCATTCGCTATCTTTCCATCCCAGATCCCCCTCAGAGCCTGCCATTCCCCTACCCTGCACCTCAGTACTTGTCCAGTTCTGCCAAGGGGCCCCTAAGGGATGTTAGAGAAAACTCCATGTCTGGAATTGCAGATGTGTGGTTCCAGCATCAGAGGAGCCCCACCTCAGCCTTACAGATGGCTCAGCATGCTACTGAGTTCACTCACCATCAGGGGCAATTTCACTCACACCCCTCTAGATTTCTTCTATCCTCACTCTCCATCTCTTTCTCAGCAGATCTTGCCTCTTGTGACACTAGGAAAATGGAGACCTGGCCGGGCGCGGTAGCTCACGACTGTAATCCCAGCACTTTGGGAGGCCAAGGCGGGTGGATCACGAGGTCAGGAGTTCGAGACCAGCCTGGCCACCCCCTCTCTACTAAAAATACAAAAATTAGCTGGGCGTGGTGGTAGGCGCCTGTAATCCCAGCTACTCGTGAGGCTGAGGCAGAGAATTGCTTGAACCCAGGAGACGGAGGTTGCAGTGAGCCGAGATCGCATCACTGCACTCCAGCCTGGGTGACAGAGCGAGACTCTGTCTCAAAAAAAAAAAGAAAAAAAAAAAAGAAAAGAAAAATGGAAACCTAAAGGCAGGTGTTCAACTTCTCACCTCCTCCCTGGCTCCCATCCTAGCTCTGTTCTTCATTTCTTTGATTTTATCTGTTCTCTAATCAGTGTTTGATCTTTTCTTCTTCATTGATTTCTCCTCAGCTTATAAATGTAGCCAAGCTCAGCCAATCCAAAAAGAGTTCCCATCAACCCTGCTTTCTTCTCTAGCCATCTTCAACTCTCAATCTTTTTCCTCTTTCACTGTCAGCATTCTTGAGTGTCCTGGACAATCTTCATTTCCATCCCGTATGGGTTTCATTCCAACTATGTTATTGGTGCTGCTATGATTAACAATGAGTGCATTGATGAATTCAATTTCTAGGAATGGAACTAGGCACTGAGGATACAGTGGTGAACAAAGCAGACATAATTTCTGTCTTCATGGAACATAAAATATAGTGGGGTGTCAGTTCTGATCCTTTGAGAAACAGTTCCCAAAGCAGAATTAGATGTGTAAGAGATTTATAGAGGGAAATGCCTGTGAAGAATAAAGGAACTGGAGTAGGCAAGGAGAGCCCTTAGATCACAGTGCAGGTGGGGTACCTGTGAAGAGAGAGAAGGAAGGAAGGGTTGGATGGGAAGGGCCACAGGCCACAGTTCAGCTTTAAGAAAATCTCACATGTGCTGATAGAGCATCCTGGAGCAAAAGTTGCCTGTTACTGTTGCTATAGAATGAATGTTTGTCTGCCCTAAGTGCCTATGTTGAAATCCTATAGGCTTCATGCTCTTATAAAAGAGACTCTGGAGAATTCCCTTGCCTCTCTGCCATGTGGGGACACACTGAAACGAGAGCCATCTATGTGCCAAAAAGTGGGCTTGCCAGACACCAAATTTGCTGGAGGCTTGATCTTGGACTCCCAGCCGTCAGAACTGTGAGAAATAACTTTCTGTTGTTGAGAAGCCACCCAGCCTATGGTATTTTGTTATAGAAGCCCAAACAGACTGAGGGAGAAAACTGGCACTGAGAAGTGAGTGTGTTGTAATAAATACCTAAAAATGTGGAAGTGGCTTTGGAATTGGATACTGGGTAGAGGCTGGAAGAGTTTTGAGATGTGTGCTAGACAAAGCCTACATTTCAATGAGCAGATATTTAAAGGCAATTCTGATGATGGCTCAGAAAGAGAGGAAAGCTGCAGGGAAGGCCTCAATCTTCTCAGAGAAGATTGATCTAAGTGGTCATGAACAGAATGTTGTTAGAAATATGGACAGTAAAGCCCATTCTGATGAAGTCTCAGGTGGAAAAAAGGAACATGCTATTGAACAACGGAGGAAAGGCAATCCTTGTTATAAAGTGGCAAATAACATGGAGACATGTTCATGTCTTGTGTTTTGTGTTTTGTAGAAGGCACAGCTGGTCCTAAGAGGCTGCACATATAGGCATCCATGCGATCTGGGAGAGGGATCCTGGAGCACCTGTGATGAAGTTCTAAACCACCTGCCTGTGCAGTTTACTTCTGCCCTCTGGTCTTGCTTCTGGCTGCAGATTTTAAGCAGCACTGGCCAATTTTGCCCCATGGGATGCCATGCTCTATTAATTTTCTCCACAACTCCCTGGAGTCAAGCATCCTTGACTGCCCCTTGGTCCTTGTTGGTCAATACAATAATTGTGGGCTTCTGGCTTTTAGTGGCTAAGCACCACTTCTTGGCTCTATTTGTTCACTTCTTCATTTTGAGTCTAGCTCTATGAACGCCTCTCTTACCATCGTCCCTGGCCTGCAGAGGAGGCCACCACTGAATATTCGAGCATTGCTGCTGCCCCTCTCACCAGTACATTCCTGATTGTCATAGTGAATGGCATATTCTCTGGGCCTCTCCATGGAATATCATCCTGTGGTAAGTCTTCTGGTTTCGTATACTATACCCACTCCAGTATCCCACTTTCTACAGCTTTATTACTCCCTCCTCCATCATGCACAGGGCAACTCAGTCATTTCCATTTTGCCTAGCATAGGGTATTATTTTTTCCAGGCTTCTAAGAGCCACCCTAGCTAAAAGTTTGTCCTATTCTTTTGAGTCCTTGCCAGGGTGGTGAATCTCATGTCCTGAGGAAGTGACACAAATTACTGAATTTCTACTTATCCAGTTTTATGTTCTATAATAACTCCCTTTATCAAGCACTCTTGAAATGCACTCCCAAGGGTATTTTCCCAGCTCTTGTATACACATGTTGGTTAATTTTTGCAACTCCTTCAGCAGATATCTCTTTCCTTCATTTTCAGGTTCAGCATGTCCTCAGCTGGATTATGTTATCCTGACAGCCAGGATGTAGGCAGAATTAACCCCTGAAGAGGGTACCTATTACTTTATGGGGGAAAGACCTTTGCAGTATCTTTCCTCTGAGGCTGCTAGCTCTTCCTCTGGAGAGGTAGGCCCCCCTCTCTAATCTCAGAGGTTTCAGGGGCCTCTGCAGAGGTAAAACTTACAGAAGCATTTCCTAGATGTCCTCATTTCGTTTCAGAAACCAGGTTTTCCCAACCTCAGCCCTTACCTTAACAAATAGACCTGCTTTGGCTGAGCATTTAAGTATCTCTGGAGTTAGGCAACCTCATCTCTCAGACCTTAATTTTGCTCCTCAGCTCTGATTGTTCTACCACTGCAGGAGATAAGGGCCCTTTTGTAAACCATTTAAACTCACACTTAGCCTTTAACTGTTTGTTAACTCTCACTTCTCATTCTCCCCCTGTGGGGCTTCAATACAGCTTAGTAATAACCGGTCATTAACCAAAGTAGGCTTTCCTTGACCCATATTTTTCAACTGCTTTAATCATCTCACTGACAAGGGCATTTTCCTTCACTGGATGTTTCCTGTGTCATCACCTTCCCAGTGTCATCCCAAACCACCTTTCCAACCTCATCTCCTGCCACCCGCCTTCTCTCATAAGCACTTTAGTCTCACAGTTCTGTCAGCATTTTTTGGGCTGCATCCAGTCTATACGGCTGTGGGGTTGTCTTGGCCTACAGTTTTTCATTGTTCTTCACCTCCTATCATCCATCATTGTTCAATGGTCAGCCCAGGCATTGTCTACTGGAAGAGTCACAGAGAGAACATGCATTTGCTTTCCCAGCTCTACCACTTACTGCTGCAAGAATCCAGCAGCTTTCTCAGGATGTAAACCCCTTTGTGAATGCTCAAACTGCAGGCACGGTGAGTTTCCAGGTAAGCCCCAGAGTGCAGATCCAGGCTATGGTAAGGGTGTATTCAGGTGCCCAGATTGGGTACAAATGGGAGATGGATTGGGGTTGGGGCTTTTAAACATGCATCCAAGGATTTTAAAGGCCAAACTACCTCTGTAGGCCTTGGGAAGCCTCAATCAGTCAGAAGAGGTGTGATAGTGACTGCTTGAGTGGTGAGATGTGAAGCAGATGAACCAGTGGCACAAAGCCGGTCTGTTGTCAAGGTAAGGGCTGAGGTTGGGAAAACCTTGTTTCTAAAATGAAATGAGGACATCTGGGAAATGCTTCTGTGAGTTTTACGTCTGCAGAGGTAAAGTCTTAACAGTGGTTAAGAACCAGAATGGATCTAGATTCAAATCCTGACTCTGCTACTCAGCTGAATGACTGTGCTCAGTTCACTTAAGCTCTCTGAACTTCAGTGTCTTCATGGGAAACCTGGAAACTAAGCCTGGATGACACATGTAGTAAGGGCTGACTGATAGAGTGCATAGAAATTACCTGGCACTCTGTTCACAACATCCTGGAAAAAATGAAGAAATAACACTGACCAGTCTACATTCCCGTGCCAGGTGAGGGGCTCTCTTTAGGATAGAGAACCTGCCATAGGTGGCAAAAGGGATCTTCTGAGTGGATTCTAGGCCTGATGAGCCCAGCTGGCCTTCTTTGTCTCTAAAGCTCCTTGTTCTTTCTTTTTTCCTGACCCTTGATCTCCCTCTGTGCACTGGGTGCTCTGTTTCTGCCCAGGATGCTGAGCACAGTTCTCCCAGCTTGTGCCCAATGCAGAATCTCATTTATTCCCTTACTTCATCAACAGTTACCTGCTCTGCCTCCCTTTGATTAGGGCCTTGCTGGGCATCCAACTAATTAATCTGGTGAAGCAATTCAGGGCAGGGCATTAATGGCTGATAATGCTGCATTCCTTCTAGGGACTCTGCTGTGCTTTAGTAAAAGTCTCCTTAACTTGATGCAAAGAAGTGACTAATGGGTTAATTTCAGGACACTTTTAAGGTCAACACTAGGACAACAACCTACATACCATCCAGCTGGATGACCAAATAGGAGGGTGAGCAGAAGAAGTGTGGCTGAGAACAGAGCTCTATTGTCCCTTAAATCTGGTTCATGCTGCAGAGGCAACAGAGCTACTTCAAGGAGCATACCAAGCTGAACTGTGCAGGGGAGAGGGCCCAGACAAGTGCATTTTTGAGCCACTGCTTCGATCCGGGACTCAGCGTGTCTCACCTGGCCTAGCATAGAAGGCTCTTCTCTGGTCTCCCTGCCTCCTTGATGGGTCTCTCTCTCTCTAGTCTCTTTTCCATACCATTGCTGGGAGACCTTTAAAAGATCCATTCTGGAAATGTCATCCCCTTGCTCAAAATCTTTTGTTGGGTTCCCATTACCTTCGTGGTACAGCCTGAACTCCTCAGCCTGACATGCAAACTCCTCCTGCCAGGCTCCCTTCTCCAGGCTTATCTCCTGCCACCCACGGCACACACCCACACTCCAGACTGATCAAATGACTTACTGTTCCCGAAAGTCCTGAAGACCTAGCATTTGCAGTTCCCAGCATGTACAGTATCTTCCTCCTCACCCTGTGCCCTGACACCCCTGGCACCCCGCCTGTCATCTCCTCATTCTCCCTGTCTTTGATTGTCCCATGGACTCCTGTCTATTTTCCAAGATTCATCTCTTATCACATGCTGGTGATAGTGCCACTCTCCTTTCACTCTCACTGCACTCTGGCAAAGTGAGCCATTTTCTCTTTTGCCTACCAAGCATACCTCTGTTATAAAATGTATGCTTTAAAAAATATGTTTTACCCCACATTAGGTAAAAGTTCTTTGAGCATTTGGAAACTGCCCTGTTTGTTCGAATCCTCAGCTTCAGAGATTCAAGAAAATCAATGTGTTCTGAACAAAATGAATATGGCCATGAATAACCAGAATTTAATTTTCATTTTGTATCCATCACACATAATTTATTTAATCTCTCATACCTCCATTTCCTTTTTTGGCAAAAGAAAATCAAATACCTACCTCTGAGGATGGAAGTGAGATTTTATGTATGTGAAGTGTCCTGTCTCAGGCTGCACACAGAATTGGCTGTCACATTGGGCTGCTGCTGCCACTTTTACTCACCTCGGTGTATATCTGGGTTGAGTTGCAGTACCTTTGAAGATACACCTCAAGATTCAAGGGAGAAATCAAGAAACTCAGGGAAAACCAGAATTTGCCAGTGTCTTCTGTGTGCCTAGCCTTATGCCTTGGCATTTTACACACTGTTCCCAAGGCCCTTTCTGGGTGTCCGATTTGCTATCTTGCCTTACTGCATAGAGTTGGAGGGTAATAGTGGTTGCTCAATAAATATTTTAATTTAAATGAATGGGGTAGAATCTTTCCTATGTTGATTAGTAGTTTACAGAGGACCCTTTTCTTCCACTGTACCTTCTTAGTAATTAAGTTACAGATTAGATTTTCCTTGAACAACTACTATTATGCTGACAGATTTATATGCTGTTACTGTTGATTGATTGAAGACTAGTCCTTCAGACTGGAATAAATGAGTTTGGCCCCCAGTTTTTGTCAGCTTTGTGAGTAAAGAGTTCAAAGAAATAAATCTCTACTGCTGTTGACATTTTCTCTATTAACAAGTAGAGGGAGTGAAAGAGACAGAGAGGGAGATTACTATATGTGTACAGATACATACGGAGATAAATATCCCTCCCATTTGATAGCTATTCAAAGCACCCTTCTAGCCTGGTGTCCTGGAATAGCCTATTTGTTAAATGCTAGAAGAATCAAGTAACTCTACAAGATTCAAATTGCTACTGAATGTCAGTCTTAGAAATATATTGTCTGCTCAAATAAACTGACAAGCAAATCTTTTAGAAGCCAGGAGAAGACCTTCTGGATGTAAAAGGAAAAATCTAACAGAGAGCTCTTGGTTATGAAACACTTTTAAAACAAAGGGAGGTGACAATAAAATATCATTTCCTTGGCTTTGTACATATTCAGTCTGTCAGTACCTGGGCAAGATTATTACAGTCCTTTACTACCAGATCTGGATTGTAATATATGCTGTTACTTACTCCTTACAGAATGTTGTCTCTTAAGAAGTGTTTCCATAAAAGGGTACTAATATAATGGCATTTTCCTGATGTCTAACTTGCATACATTTATTTGTGATTAAGCAATTATTTATAGCATGCCTAGTATGGGCCAGGTGTGCTTTAGATACTGGGGATGTCACAGAGAACAAGACAATGTTTACTCTCATGGAGTTTACATTCTGAAGGCTGGTGCTGGGGAGATGGAGAAAATATGGTTGTTAAATTGATGAATAAGAAAAATATTAGAGAGTAACAAATGTTACGCACAGGGAACATAAAAGCATCTACAGCGAGAATGGGCTTGGTGTGTTGAAGGATCAGAAGTCAGGTCAATGTAGTTGGAGTGAAGTGACAAATGTAGCAGTAGGAGATAAGGCGGAGCATTAGATGTGGAAAGTCTAGATACTGAGTTTGGATTTTATTGACAGTGCAATGGGAAGTTGTTGGAGGGATTTCTAACCTCAGTAGTGACAAAATCTGAAGAACATTTAGAAATGTGATTATAGAACAGATTCCAGTGAGTCAAGAGTGGAAACAAGATTTGCACTTAGAAGGTATAGTTCTGGGTCAGGAAAGACATGATGGTGGCATAGACTAGGGAGATGCTAGTGAAGATGAAACCAGTGGGAAGATGCTACATATAAGTCACATATGGCTTCTGTTAACTGATTGCTCATGATGCTTTTCTAAACAAAATTTTAAGCATGGGAACAAACTCCTCTGTGAAACAATTCCAAACCTGCCAAAAAGATGGCAAAAAATAGAATATGTTCGCTTTTTGGACATTTAAATGCCAAATCTAAGCCAAGCACCACGACTTACACATTATCTAGTTTAATCATCATTACAACCTATGAAGGAGATGTTATAATTATTCCTATTACACTAAGGATAATTGATAAGGAAACTGACACTTAGAGGACTGATGTCACACAGCTAACAAAGGGTATAATGAGGGCTTGTAATCCAGGCCAATTTCTACCAAAACCAGTGAATTTAACTACCAAACTAAACCACTCTCCAAGAATGAAATATACAAGTGATTCGCTGTAAACATCTTCTCTTCCATCATAGTTTTACTAAGGACTCTAAGTTCTATTGTTGACTTGTATTGGAGCAGGAAGTCTATGGCTGTGACTTTGGATGGAATATAACAAAGAGGACCAAAGAGTTGCCAGATGGATTGTACATTTCTCTTAAGCTCTAGCCTGGGTGCAAGCATCTGGCCAAGAATTTACAGGACAGTTTTCATGAGTCAAAAGCAGGTTAACAACCCAAATTTGTGTTCTAATTTGTGTTTCAAATTTGTGTTCTAATTTGAAAATCTTGTTGACTCTCCTTCAATGCCTCATAACCTTACAGTTCTTTTTCCATAGCCTCTTTTCATATCCTAGTCTGGGCCCTTATCATCTGGTGCCTAATGAAAGTAATATCAGTAGTGCCTTATAATTTACTGCCAAAAGCAATCCACAAATTCAACACATTCCCCATCAAAATACCACAACCATTCTTCACAGAATTAGAAAAAAATTCTAAAATTCATATGGAACCAAAAAGGAGTCCACATAGCCAAGGCAAGACTAAGTATAAAGAAGAAATCTAGGGGCATCACACTATCTGGTTTCAAACTATACTATAAGGCCATAGTCACCAAAACAGCATGGTACTGGTATAAAAATAGGCACATAGACCAATGGAACAGAATAGAGACCCAGAAACAAACCCAAATACTTACAGCCAGCTGATATTTGACAAAGCAAACAAAAACATAAAGTAGGGAAAGGACACCCTTTTCAACAAATGGTGCTGGGATAATTAGCTAGGCACATGTAGGAGAATGAAACTGGATCCTTATCTCTCACCTTATACAAAAATCAACTCAAGATGGATTAAGGACTTAAATCTAGAACCTGAAACTATACAAATTGTAGAAGATAACATTAGAAAAACCCTTCTAGACATTGGCTTAGGTAAGGATTTCATGACCAAGAACCCAAAAGCAAATGCAATAAAAACAAATCTAAATAGCTGGGACTTAATTACACTAAAGAGCTTTTGCACAGCAAAGAAGTAGTCAGCAGAGTAAACAGACAACCCAGAGAGTGGGAGAAAATCTTCACAGTCTATACATCTGACGAAGGACTAATATCCAGAATCTACAAAGAACTCAAACAAATCAATAAGAAAAAAACAAACAGGCCAGACGTGGTGGCTCACACCTATAATCTCAGCACTTTGGGAGGCCGAGGTGGGTGGATAACCTGAGGTCGGGAGTTCGAAACCAGCCTGCCCAACATGGTGGAACCCCATCTCTACTAAAATACAAAAATTAGCTGGGCATGGTGGTGGGTCCCTGTAATCCCAGCTACTCGGGAGGCTGAGGCAGGAGAATCGCTTGAACCCGGGAGGAGGAGGTTGCATTGAGCTGAGATCACGCCACTGCACTCCAGCCTGGGTGACAGAGTGAGACTCCCTCTGAAAAACAAACATACAAACAAACAAATCCACCAAAAAGTGGGCTAAGGACATGAATAGACAATTCTGGAAAGAAGATATACTAATGGCCAACAAACATGAAAAAATACTCAGCATCACTAATGATCAGGGAAATGCAAATCAAAACCACAGTGTGATACCACCTCACTCCTGCAAGAATGGCCATAATCAAAAAATCAAAAAAAACAGTAGATGTTGGCGTGGATGTGGTGATCAGAGAACACTTCTTCACTACTGGTGGGAATGTAAATTAGTACAGCCACTATGGAAAACAGTGTAGAGATTCCTTAAAGAACTAAAAGTAGAACTACCATTTGATCCAGCAATCCCACTACTGGGTATCCACCCAGAGGAAAAGAAGTCATTATACAAAA
The DNA here is from genome assembly GCF_000001405.40 of Homo sapiens. Lineage (NCBI taxonomy): Eukaryota > Metazoa > Chordata > Mammalia > Primates > Hominidae > Homo > Homo sapiens. The sequence continues at coordinate 108,666,298 of NC_000005.10, read as the reverse complement.
AATATACTTGCACATGCATGTTTATAGCAGCACAATTTGCAATTGCCAAAATCGTGGAACCAACCCAAATGCCCATCAACTAACAAGTGGATAAAAAAAGTGGTATATATATACGATGGAATACTACTCAGCCATAAAAAAGAATGAATTAACAGCATTTGCAGCAACCTGGATGAGATCGGAGACTACTATTCTAAGTGAAGTAACTCAGGAATGGAAAACCAGACATCCTATGTTCTCACTGACATGTGGAGCTAAGCTACGGAACGCAAAGGCATAAGAATGATACCATGGACTTTGGGGACTTTGGGGGGAAGGTGGGAGGGGGTTGAGGAAGAAAAGACTTCAAATAGGGTGCAGTGTATACTGCTTGGGTGATGAGTGCACCAAAATCTCACAAATCACCACTAAAGAACTTACTCATGTCACATACCACCTGTACCCCAATAACCTATGGAAAAATTTTAAAAAAAAGATTGTCCTGCAAAAACAAACAACCCCCCCCAAAAAACCAAAACCCTTTCACATATATTACATCAACTCTCACAACATTATGAAATAGATATCACTGCATTTTGTTGGTTTGTTGATAGATATATCTTTCTTTTTCTTAGTTTAACATATTTAAAATTGGAATGGGGTTATACCCAATGGCAACTTACAACTGCTATTGACATGAAGGCAGTTGTGGTGTATTTGTTATTGCCTCTATGAGCTCAGTCTGACATATTTTTCCTGGTAGTGTGAATGGAACTCAGTGTTCTCAACGTCTAGATTTCAATAGACTGTTCTGGTTATTGCCGAAAAATGAGTTCTAAGTACGAGTTCTGGTTATTGCCTAAAAACTTTTCATGAACATCTTTGAATATTTTCCAACAACAAAATTTCCAAAATGAACGGAGCTTGAAAAAATATATTGCAAAGACAGTAGTGGAGCATTCTTAAAAAACTGCATTGCCAATGCATCTATGGCACAGGCATAATGCTGTACACATTGAACATGGATGTGGACTACTGTGAATCAAAGAGTGATCCAGAAGAATTGCAGTATGGATGTCAAGAAGTTTTAGGAATACTTAACCCAGAGATTCTCAAACTTTCTTGGTTGATGGCACTTCTAGTTTCTTAGTACCTTTTTCCCAGCACCCTTAGGCCAAGAGAAATATCTAACATTTCCATTTATTAGATAGGTCCAACAACTTAGTAGCCATTTGAAAAAATATTTTCATTTTATCCTTAAATAACTAGAATTACCTATTTATGGGATGGGTGTGCTTCTTGAGCACTGCACAACATCCCAAATCTTGGGATCAAATTGGACATTGCCATCTTCATTTCCTATTCCATTTTGTTTTTGCAGTACTCACTTTTTAAAAAAACACAGCAATTGCCATCAACCCAAGCTTCACAAAATATAATGTCATCAAAAGGAATGTAGCCTGATCTAATGTTGGAATTGTCACTAACGTTGAGCTAGAAGTTTATACCATATCTGAACAGATGTCAAGAATCATTGTGTTAAAAATATTATATCCCACAGCACCCCAGTAAGTGCCCAGTAGCTCCTTGAAGTGCTGTGGTACATGGTTTGGGAACCATGGCCTTGGGCAATCTATTTTGCTCATAGTTTACTTTTATGAAAGTATAAGATAAATCTATGATAAAAAGCAATCTCTAAATAAGTATAAAAGAGCAATTCAATAAGGATGAAATAAAAATTCCAAAGTGATAAGGAATCATTTTGCCATTGTTTTATTACAATTTTTCTTTCTTTGGGGTATATCTAAGTGCTTCTAATAACTGATGGCACCTTAGATTCTATTTTATAGATCATGCTAATCAAGCATTGGATTCTAAATTGATCTTCCTGCCTCTAGGCACTTATGCTATATTTTATTACCAGATCAGCTGTCCTAACTCATAATTTTCACTATGTCACTTCCTCTTATCAAATTATTCAATAATTTGCTGTGGCCTCTAAGATAAAATTCAGATTTCTCAATGTGACAAGTAATGGTCTCTGCAATCTAAGATACCTACCTTGTATCCTTACTCTGTCTCTACCTTTCAGAGACAAGGGACTCTCAGCCTACATTTTCTGCTAATGGGTAAATCACTTCTCCACTCTAGGCCTCAGTTTCCCCATTTATAAGATGAGAAGTTGGACTTGATCACTGGTTCCTAGCTTTTTTGAAAAAAAATAATTGGAGACTGACATAATGTTACTAGGTTTTAGTCTATGATTAAATCTAATATTTACCTAGGTACAGTTGGCCCTCCATATTCATAGGCTTCACATCTTTTTAGTCAACCAGTCACAGATAAAAAATATTTGAAAAAGTGGATGGTCGAGTATGTACTGAACATGCACAGGCTTTTTTCTTGGCATTATTTCCTAAACAATACGGTATAGCAACTATTTACATAGCATTTACATTGTATTAGGTATTATAAGTAATCTAGAGATGATTTAATGTATCCCAGAAGATGCGCAGAGATGATAGGCAACTACTACACCTTTTTACATATGGGACTTGAGCATTCATGGAGTTTGGTATCTGCAGGGGTCCTGGAGCCAATCCCCCACAGATACTGAGGGATGACTGTAGTCTGTTTTAATCATCTTGTGTTGCAAATACAGTGAATTATATCTCAACATAAATAATCAAAAACTGAATAAAGCTACCTGTAAAAAACTTCAGTCTATTGTCTTGCTGTTTTCATTTAACTATAGACTTCTTTATAGACTGTTAAGCACTGGTTCTTAGAACAGCATTTGGGACCAAAGGGCTAGACCTTTATTACTCAAATTGTAGCCTTAGATCAGGGACATCGCATCACCTGTAAGCTTGTCAGAAATGCTTCATCTCAGGTCCTGTCCTGGACCAGCTGAATCACAGTATGCATTTTAACATGATCCCCAAGTTATTTGAATCCATATTAGAGTCTGAGTAGCCTTGAGCTAGAGGCCATTCGGCACATGCATTCTCTATTATTTGTGATTCTCTTGTACAAACAACATAGCTACCTAACCATGACTTGCACTGTGACTTTTATCCAACTAGTCTTGTATTATTCCTCTGAGTTTTCTATTGCTGGCCTACCTCTGTGACTTCCTCCTATCTATTCTTCAATAGTTGGCTCAGCTTTTGTCTTTGCTTCTCTATGTTCCAGCTCTGTGTGACTTTAGAAAACTTGATTTTTCAGTAAGTCAACTTCTTTGACCACAAAATGGGGATCATAATATCCATTTCATAACACTTTTGAAAAGATGAAATGAGCTAATAAATGTAAACTTTGTACCATGGTGCTTGGTGTAATAGCTCCTCCAAAAGGGGTAGCTGCTACTGTTATTGTCCTTATTCCTACTTCAATGGTAATAATACAGCAGTGTACCAAATAGACAAAATCTCCTGCCCTGTGAAGATTACTTTCCAGTGCGTACTGCTAAATAAATGCTTGTCAGGTACTGTAGTCATGCCTTAATTTGCCACACAGTCACTTGTAGGCTTAATGGGTCTTAGAGATTGTTGGAAAGCTAGTTGTGAGATTTTGTATGCCTTGCTTATGATATTTACCATATTATGCTTTGTATTATGGCTATTTAGGAGAGTATTTTCTCACTCATCAAACTCTAAGTGTATTGTTTCTATGTGCAGTCCCATGGCACTTGACAAACAGTAAGTATGCTTAGTGAATGAAAGCACTGAGGAAGCCTTTATCCTTTCATCATGAGACAGCTGTGGCAAAGGCTGTCTGAACAGCCATTGTGGATAAAGGTGTTCTCAGCTCCAATTAGTTGCTGTTCTCTCTGAATTACTCTGCTTTCCCCAGCTGTTTAATGTGGACACCAGTATAGCCTCACTATCTTTTTTTTTTCTTTTAGAGACAGAGTCTCACTCTGTTGCCCAGGCTGGAGTGCAGTGGTACTATTATGGCTCATTGCAACAGCAAACTCCTGGGCTCAAGCAGTCCTTCCCTCTCAGCCTCCCGAGTAGCTGGGACGACATGCATGTGCCACCATGCCCGGCTCATTCATTTTTTGTAAAGACGAGGGTCTCCCTATATTGGCCGGCTGGTCTCAAACTACTAGCCTCAAGCAGTCCTCCAACGTCAGCCTCCCAAAGTCCTAGGATTACAGGTGTGAGCCACCTTGCCAGGCCCTCACTATCTTTAAGTTGTCTTGTCACAGATGCTAATAGCTTTAGGGAAAACTTCCAGCTAGAAAAAACAATGCTAACCACAGGCTGGTACAGAGTGCACAGACTTTTGATCTATTATAGTACACGATGCATCCATTCTCTCTGATTTTCCAATGTGGCCCTTCCTGTAGTGTTAGATGACTATCATAAAAAAGATCTTGGAAACTTTAGTGTAAATATAAATATTAACTCTAAACAAATTTCAAGGAAATACAGAACTGTCATAGGTTTCCTTTTGGCCTTGTCTGCCCCATGATGTAATTGACACTCATTCCTTTTCCATTAATCACTCGATTTGTTTTGGCAAATCTAAGGTAAATACAACTTGTCTTCTCCCTATCAACTCTTTGGTAAGGTCAAGGCTGTGTGCTTGTGTGAATCCATTTCCTGAAACTAGCTCAATATGAGCAGAGGAGGCTTGGAAACCAAGGTTGTCTGGTCCACAAAAACAGCTTAAAAATCACCCTCCAACTGGGGTCACTCTCCTTAATGGAGTCTCACTGCCAATTTGCTGATTAGTTTCTCTTTCTATAACAAGCTCCGATAAAGCTGCATCTCTCATTGGAAACACTCATGTTCCCTGCATCCTCAAATCTACTATCTAAATCCAAGATGCTTGGGGACATCATTAATTCAGACATTTGACTGAACAGAGCCCTTTATCCCTTTTTTCCCCCAAGTAGCAAGTTATGCTAAATGCAGGGTAGGAAAACTCAATAACTCATAGAGAAGTCATTCATTTTACTTTCAAATTTCAATCACTAGGGTGAAGGGTCAGAAAAGGCCATGACAGAAATTCTTGCAGAAGAAAATCCCCCTGTTGCCCTGCAGCCAGTCATCTTCCTGCTGCATACATAAATCATTGCATTCTGTAGAATGTCAGTGGCAGCTGTAATCAGACTGCCAAAGAGAAGGGCTTTCTTCAGGGCTTCTGACTGAGACAGTTGTATTTATTTGGGCTTGGACTGACAGCTGAACGGCCCTTTCAAAATAGCAAGATTCATGAAAGATTTGTTCCTATGCATGCACTTGGCACTGGCCTGGTCCCACTGTGGCAATGTGGAATCCACATTGTTGTGCATGGTCTCTGCCTGCAGCATGCTCAGACCCCCTGCTTCCCTCTAAGGTGACCTGAGGTGGCTGTCCATGTCCTCCTGCTTCACTCCTTTTGGTAGAATACCACAACATTTAAAAGACTGGGAGGATCCAAACTCTTGACTCTAATCTGTAGCAAATGAACAAAGTAGGAAGTCCAGAAAAATGGATTTTTCTCAACCAGATATTCTTGGACTTCTTAAAGCCTTTCCATTCTTTTCTGCTCTCTGCAGAGTCAGGAATGAGACTTATAGGCAGGCTGGAGGCTGGCCTCAGACCTGTAGGGAAGGATATACATTTGGCTTTGACCATCCCGTCCCGCATTTTGCTTCTCTCCCAGAGGGCACCCCTTCCTTCTTATCACCTGTTTTCTCAGCTCACTCACACGTGCTCATATTCCCCTCCCACAGTGCTCCAAGACTTGACTTCTCCCTGTTATGACCAGGCTGTTTCCCACCTTGGTTGGAACGAATGCTAAAATAGTGTTCTGCTTTATTCAGGAAGGCTGGGGGGAGGAGAGTGCAGCTCATGGGTTTGAGAGTTCCTGCTAACTTCTGCTTTCTGCACACCCAGAGCCCAGTGAAGGTCGTCACCCCATTGGGATCAATTCTGTCTACAGGAATCTCAAACTGAGCTTTTCCATGTGATTCTTGCAGGATGAGACAATGTCTGCCCACATTTCCGCAAAGAAAGAAGTTAAAGCACAAGGTGGGACCTCATTTGGCCAAAGATTCTCTAATACTATGTGCGTTGGACCCCCTGGGGTTCCCACAGGCGAGTCAGAAGGAAGGAACCTCACTCTCATGGTGCCTCTACTTATGGGGGAATGAGGTTTCTTTTACCTGCTTTTCAACCATGTTTCACATTTCCATTAAGCATCCGACCTTTGGCACCAGCAGGCATCTCTTTCTTGCCTATGTTGTAGGATCTGAGTGCTGCAAGGCAAGGACTTCCCTCTGGCTCAAAGTAACCACCCTCATATACCTGAGAGAGCCTTTTTTTCAGGTCAGTGATTCTCAAATTTAAGCATACACCAGATTCACTTGGAGGGCTTGTTCAAACACAGACTACTGGTACTAACCTCTGGAGGTACTGATTTACTAGGTCTAAGGTACAGCCCAAGAATATGCATTTCTCATAAGTTCCCCAGTGGTGCTGATGCTGCTTTTGCTGGGACTACACTTTGAGAACCACGATTTTATCTAAACTGAGTTGTGTTAGTGTAGCAGAAGTTAGTGATTAACCATCAGCGAGGTCCCAGGAAAGGGCAGCCTCGAACAGGTGAAAAAGTCAGATGTTGGCCTTGGGTGTGACACTGTCTTTCTCTGACCTCACCATCAGCATAGACATTTCTTCTGCTCCTGATAAAAGGCAGCAAAACACATGGAGCCAACTTATTTGTTCCTGGCTCCCTCCCTCTTCCCATTCTTCCTTTCTTTTCCTTTTTTCTCTCCTTTTCTTTCTTCCTTTTGAAGGTCGCTTTATTGAGATACCTTGTATAAGAGGTATCTCAAAATTAGATTTACAAGCAAACCAGAATCCCACTTAGCAACAGATTTCAACTAGGGTTGGAAATGGAGGAGAGTCCTATGGTATGGAGGAGAGTCCTGTGAGGAGTGAAGTGAGAAATTCAAGAAGGACAGAAAGATTAAATCCTTCTCCAGCTTCAAACTCCTCTCTTGCAAATTAGGCAAGTTAAACACAATTAGGCAAGTTAAACACAAAATATTGCTTTTGCACCATACGTATTTTACTTAATCTTTACAACCGTATGAAGTGGTATGGTCACTTAGCCTTTTTTTAGAAGAGGAAATCAAGGTTTCGAAAAGCTAATAACATGACCACAATCACACAGTGACTCTGCTCCAGAGGAAAGGTCTTAGCCCAGGTCTGGGATGACTTCCTTCACAAGAGCCACCATAATGAATGTGACAATAATGGTGTTGTGGGTGGGGGGTCATGGGGGATGATAATTCACAGAGGAACTATTTTGACAAGTAACTAGAGAATGGAGAATGGAAAGACTTATGCAGACTGGCTAACAAACTCAGAGGATTAGAATATGCATGAGGAATAAAAAGTAAGAAAACGGAAGGAAGAAAAGAAAACTTTCAATTGTTAGGGGAGAGGTCAAGAACGAATCAGTCAGTTATACAAAGAAGTGGTCCAGTACTCTTTCCTTATTTCTGTTATCATCCATAGTGGCCACCTGGGCAAAGCCCACATCCTCGATTTCTCTTTAGTACCTGTAGGGACCCCACATACAATCGCTGGGTGTGAACAGAGAAACCATCCAGACAAGCCACTCTCTGCTCCAGTGGCTCTTGCCCTCATCCTGGCTTTCTGCCTCCTGGAATTACCTTGGTGTTTACTGCTATTATCCTTTTGGATCTGGCTCTGCTTCTGGATTTTATTCCAACTTCATTTCCCAGCTGACTGATGAAAATCTCTACCGAGAGCACCACCTATCCTCAAACTCAGCACTTCCAAGCTAAACCGCTTCACCCCCAGACAACTCCTCCTGACTCTCCCATTTCTCCTGTTAACCGGACTTGAAAACAACAATCATATTTGGTGCCTCATTTTCTCTTCCACAGAATTCAGCCAATAACCAAGTTGATACAAACTTCTAAAATGTCTCCTTAATCCATTGCCCTTCAAATATCAAGGCCACAATTCTAGTTCAGACCCTTATTTTCTTTTCCTTTTTTCTTTTTCTTTTCTTTTCTTTTTTTTTTTTTTTGAGACAGAGTCTCACTCTGTCACCCAGGCTGGAATGCAGTGGTGTGATCATGGCTCACTGCAGCCTCAGCTTCCTGGGCTCCAGTGATCCTCCCACCTCAGTCTCCTGAGTAGCTGGGACTACAGGCTTAGGCTACCAGGCCTAGCTAATTTTTGTACTTTTGGTAGAGATGGAGTTTTGCCATGTTGCCCATGCTGGTCTTGAACTCTTGAGCTTAAGCGATCCACCTGCCTCAGCCTCCCAAAGTGCTAGAATTTCAGGCATGAGCCACCGCACCAGGCTGAGACTCTTATTTTCTTTTTAAAACATTATTACTGAATCATCTTTTCTGTCGCAGGCACTTTCAGTCCCTCTCAACTCTTATCTGTTCTCTACCTTGGGACCAGATCATTCTGGAACTACTCTAATCATGCTGCTTCTTTGCCTAAAATTTTTCAGTGGCTCAAGTGCATTTTCTTCAGATTGGTTTCAGAGCCTGGTGGGGACACCTGGTGTTTTTTCTACCCAACAGGCAGTTATTTATTTGGTAGGGCTTTAAGTTTCTTTACAGGTACCCATTCCTTCATCCCAGTTTGTCTGGCAATGATCCTTCTTCTTGGCTCTAGGAGTGAACACATGACGAATCCTCCTAGACCCAATAATTGGGTCAGGGACAGGCATAAATTAGTTAAGTCAGATAAATGAATCTCTATTCTGAGGCTTTTGTCTGAGCAGTTGAGAAAGAGCAGCTCATTTTCTGTTGAGGCTGCTAGAAGTCACTATGGTAAAAGACAAAAGTAGCTAGGATTACCAACTATAACACAAAGCCAACAGAAAAAAAAGAGGTAAAGTTTATTGAGCAAAGTGAGACTCCCTGGATCCAGCTATGAGTGAAGCCAGAGCACCTCCTTGACTTTGTGCTTTTTGTTTTTGTTTAGAGACAGGATCCTCGCTATATTGCCCAGGCTAGTCTTGAACTCCTGAGCTCAAAGGATCCTCCCGTCTCAGCCTCCTGAGTAGCTGCGATTACAGTCGCATGCCACCAACCCAGCGTTCTTGACTTTCCAGTTAAATAGGCCAATACCTGCCTTTCTGAGCTTAGTTCGATTTTAGTTATGTTGCAGTCACCTTTAGCCTAAAGAATCCTATAGCTTTCTTCTCTTTTTAAACAGCTCTTTCAATCCCTCTGTCATTTGCTAAACCATTCACTCTTGTCTCCAAGCATAATTATTTTATATATCCGTGCTTTTGCTTGTGTTGTTCTTTCTATCTGGGACACATCTGGGAGATGAAGGCATCTCCATTGGCCCAATCTTCTAAGATCTATTTTGGATGTTACTCTCACATACGATGTCTTTTCTGCCCTTCAGCCACATAAAGTCTTATCCCTATTTGAATCCCCCCATACCCTGCTGAGTCTTCTTCATCATTAAATATTTAACATCTTTCACCAGTGGTCCATATTAGATGCTCAGTAAACTAGTGTGAATTGAATCAGAGAAAAGGAAAATGAAGCTAATGCTTGTTGGATTCAGTCGACTTAAGGTTCTGAGGAAAATAACAGGAAATAGCTGATTATCCTTTCTATATCATACCTAGCTTTCATTTCTTCCAGTAGACAGGTAGACATTTTTACTGCTACTTCTTTAATCACATATGATGCTGTAAACTATAATTTTGCAGAATAAAAGCACTTTCATTTGAACCCATGGAACATAGCAGTAAGTCTGGTTATAGGAAGATATTTTATTTACTTTAACATTGGTTGCTTCTCTTTGTACATAAACTTTATTGTTTTTGTTGCTCTTATTGCTGTTTTGGTGTTGTTTTTTCCAAAGTCAATTTTGTAGATTTGTTTTACTAGCAATTTCAGTATTTCCGAGGCTGCTATATATTGCTTTCTTCTTTGGAATATTGCAAAATTCTTTGAGTCTTGTTCAAGTTTTAATGTGACATTATTTGAAAGGAATGTTTAGTTGTATTCAGTGTTTACGTAACACCTGCCGGTTTATTCTCTGAGTAATTTACAGCTCCTCTAGGGAATAGGAAAGTAACCACAAGGTAATCTGGCAGAAGAGGGGTTCTTTCTATAAATGCCAACCTGAGTGGTTAAACATGAAAAATTCGATCAAACAACTTGAGCTCTTGTCTATGTGATGCCAAAGACACACTTTTTACCCCCGAGTTAAAATAGTTACTTTGATATCACATAAACACAACTCATGGAATCAACATTGAATTTAAAAGGCATTGTAGGACTGAGATCCAGACCCTTTCCCCCTTGCTGCCACAGGCTGCATATACTTGAAGGGCTGCTTTATAGTGCAGCAGAAAAAAAATCTAGGAGTTTATGTTTGTCTTAGTAAGTGGCTTAGAAAAGGAACTAGAGATAGTTTATGCTTTTTCCCATATTCAGCTCAAATACCATTGAGAATTTTTTTTTCCAGATCTGAAGGGTGGGGGAACTTGTAGGTTTGGATTTTATATGTACATGTATGTGAGTTTCTGAATCAAGGTATTTCTGTTTCCACATGCTTTTTTAGCTGGCTTTATAAGTAATACTTACACTGTTTCTACCTGATTTTTCAAGTAATACATATTCACTTACAAAAAAAAAAAAAGACTACAAGCCGGCTACGTTGGCTCATGCCTGTAATCCCAGCACTTTGGGAGGCCAAGGCAGGAGGATTGCTTGAAGCCAGGAGTTTGAGACCAGCCCGGGTAACAAAGGAAGACCCTACCCCCAACCTGTCTCTACAAAAAAAAAAATTAATTAGTTAAAAATATGCATGTTGTAGCATCTATCAGTACTTCATTTCTTTTAAAAAAGACTACAATAAAATATTATTTTATAGCCACTTTATTAATTAAATTAAGAGATTTGGCATTCCAAGTACTGGAGAGGATATAAATCAACAGCATCTTTTATATGTCAAGAGTTTAATTGGTTTAACTACACTGAAAAATAATTTGGTATTATGTTGAAGAGTTGAGAATTCATAAACCTATGGCACAACAATTGTACTCCTTAGACTATGCCCAAAGGAACACGTACCAGGAATTATATACAAGAATGTTTACAGCAACCCTGTAACAGCAATAAGTAAACCAACCAACCAACAAAAACTGGAAACAATCGAAATGCCCAGCGACTAGGAAATGTATAAATTAACCATTGAATAATTAAGCATCAGTGAAAATGAGTGAGTTATAACTACATGCAACAGGCTGTATTAATCCAAGTAACATACTGCTGAATAAGAAAAGCAAGTCTCAGAAGACTGCATACAACATGATGTCCTTTAGTAAAGTTCAAAAGCAATGTGTACTAAACAACATTTCATTTCAGCATACACACATATAATAAAAAAGAAAAGTAAGAGAATGATAAACCCCAATTTAGGAAAATGATTATTTATGGCAGGAAAGCAAAAGCATGCAATAGGGAAGAGTATATGGGAGGGTTGAATCATTGTTATTGTTCTAATTATTGGATTATGTGGTAATTTGTGGGTGTTTGTTATGTTACCAAGAAATAAAATGAGACCATGCTATGAATGGGCCAAGGATGGTAGCATGCCATTAACCAAGAATGAAGATGAATCCAATTCTGTGTACCTGAAGTCCAGAGTTTAAAAATAAAGGACAGTAATTGTATACAAGCATAATAAGAAAAATCCATATTACCTGAAAGTACTTTTCTCAGTTTTAGGTAAACAGGAACCAGCTTCCTTATCTCTTCTTGGACTGCCATTCTTAGTAGGACTTCCACTCTCAGGAAGGCTAAAGCCAAAGGCGCATGCTGACCGAGGCTATGCTCTTTTAAAAGGATCCTCAAAGTCCCATTTAGCTTCTATGAGGCTTTTTAAAATCTCTGCCTTTATTAATCCTGCTGGTTCCCACCAACTTCTCTCTATTCCCTTCTCTCTTTCACATTGCTTCTGTTTATTATCTCTCATTGCTTCTGATTATTCATGACCTCAGTATCTTACCTTCTCTGTTATTTGGCTTTGTTCCCAAAACAAATGATTCATTCCAATGCCTTACATTGAGAACTCCTTGGGAGAGATCTATTTGGGAAAAGCTCATATATCAACAACCTAAAATGTCTCTAACCAGTAGATCGATTGCCTGCCCTGATTCATTCACTTGGGACCACAGGTAACAGCAAGGCAACTTTTGGGAAAATCTCATTTGAGAAGGGCTGTGGGCATGCTGGACATTCCCAAACGTGGCCCATCCAGGACAAGCCAGCTCATAATGTACAGCAACATAGGCAGGAAGAGCATAAAGTGATTAGGAAGAGGGAGGATTTCTATCTCCTTATGGTTTCAGGGAACATTAGCAACTCATTTTAGACTAATGTGTAAAGGATTCTTGGAGGAGGTTTTTTTGTGTTTTGTTTTTTAAAGGAAAAGGAAGGAATTTCACATTGACTTGGGAAAGCCTTAAACAAAGAATTGAGGAGAAAGGAATGAGCCTGCAATGAACGGAAGTGGGTTGAAATATTAGGATGTCTGACATGGTAAGAGAAGAGAGAAAGAGAGTCTGGTGTAACTGGTAGAGAGAGATTGGTGACAATATTAATCAATCCATTCATTCAACAAACATTTATTTTTGAATAGATACATGTACATGAATTAAAATATGTTAACCACTGATAATAGTGCCAGGTTTTGTTCCAGGTCTTGCTATATACCAGTAAATAAAACCACAAAAATATCTGCCCTGTGGAATTTATATTCTATTATTATTTAAGTTGGGTGCTTAAATAACTTGACTCACTTTATCTTCATGGGAGTACTCTGAAGTAGAGTCATCTATATGAGCTTGCGTGATCTACTCTCTGCCAGGCTCCACTCCAAAAGTTTTACACACTTTACTTCAGATACTCCTTACAACAACTCTATGAGTCAAGGTAATGTTATCACCCTCATTTTAGAGGTGGGAAAACTGAAGCATGTGGATAGGTTAAGTCACACAAGCAATAGGTGATAGAGCTGGGATTTAACTAGTGGATCTAGCTTCAGAGTCTGTGATTCTTGTTACTTTGTGATGCTACTTTTCTGCTGTGCTGTAATATTATTCAAGACACAGAGGTAGGTATCAAAACTCAGGTCTGACTCCACACAGTAGGTATTCTGGCTACAGTCATACACCATAAAATTGAGACTTTGAACTTGATCTATAGAACCATCAGAAGTTGTTAAGGAGTTTCGTGAAGGAGGTACAATGGCCCAAACAGGGAGAAGTAGAAAAAGAGAAAGAATGAAGGTGGTAGATTCAAGTAGGAAGTTGCAGACATCTAGGTGAGGGTGAAGAGTGTACAGATCAATGACTAACATGGGAATAAAGAGGTCAGAATGAATTGAGTCAATATTAGTTGCCAGTCTGCAGGAAAGTATCATCAACATTTGGGAAATGGCCTGATTTCAGATATTCTAAAAGAAGTAGAATGGGTCAGGCGCGGTGGCTCACACCTGTAATCGCAGCACTTTGGGAGGCTGAGGTTGGTGGATCACGAGGTCAGGAGTTTGAGAGCAGCCTGACCGACATGACCCCGTTTCTACTAAAAATACAAAAATTAGCTGGGCGTGGTGGCACACGCTTGTAATCCCAGCTACTTCAGGAGGCTGAGGCAGGAGAATTGCTTGAACCCGGGAGGCAGAGGTTGCGGTGAGACTCGATCCTGCCACTGCACTCCAGCCTGGGTGACAGAGGAAGACTCTGTGTAAAAAAAAAAAAAAAAATAGAATGAGATAAGCACAAGCTTTAATAATATTATATAAATACTGTATTATGAACTTTATGGACATGGCAAACAACACTTAAAAGAGGAAATTATATGAAATAAAAAGTGAATTTATCCTTTCTCTTTCTCCCCCAATACTAGTTTTTTAAAAATACAACTGATGATTATGATCATAACTCTAAATAATCAATTTCTGCATACATCAATTTAACAGTATCTGTTGATGCCTAATAATATGAAATGAGGAAATTAGTACTCCCACACTATTTCTGCACTTCTGCTATCTTCCCAAATTCTTAGTTTTATCATGGCTTTTACACTGTTGTTGACATTTACATTCTACTTTACAACTATAGTTGTCTTTCATGCTTTACATAAAGGACAATTTTTTTCTCAAAAATTAGAAGCCAAAACACAAAATGATAAATATTATGATAATGTTAATATTATTCCCTGTATAATCGACTAATGTGACTGGAACCACAGGAAAGAAATGTAGGTTATGTTATAGACTTGTGCCATTCAAAAAATAAATGTTCAGATACAAGGCATAAGTGGATTTTCTTTTCTTACTCTGTACCAATTATTCAAAATAATAGTATATCTAAGTTTGCTTCACACTCATCCTGTGATTTTCTGGTACAGTTTTCTGTTTTTCCTGACATTTTTAGTTGCCTTCCATCATTCTGGTTCAATGAAGAAATATGACTTTTTCTATCACACCACTAAGATTTCTGGCTTCTTTGTTATTCCTCTTGAAATAGGAGGCTGCTCACATCCAGTTCTGATTTTGTATGATTGCTTTCTAGGATTGCTGCTCAGCTATCTTTCTGATATTACTTTCCTCTTGCATTCTTAGCTTAGTCTGTTCTATTGGATTCCATGTTGCCCTCTTCAGTGAATTCTTACATTTGTTTTTCTGTGGTATATCCTCAAATATTTTTGGAAAAGTAAATGGAAGTAAATTTTTTGAGTCTTTCAGTGCCTAGAAAAGTTTTTATTTTGCTTATACCTTCTTCTTTTAATAAATATTCTAGATGAGTCTAGGTTAAAAATAATTATCCTTCAGAATCTAAATGTATTGTTTCATTGTCTTTTGGTAACCAGTATTGCTGTTGAGGAGTCTGATGCCAATCAAATTTGAATTCCTTTGTAAATGACCATTTTTTCCTCTCTAAACTTTTAGAATATTTTTGAAAAATCATGAGGATGTGACTAAATATGTTTTTCTTTATTAGTCATACTTATAGGTTGTTATGAGAGTGAATGAGATAATCCATGGAAGGCACTTAGTGGATGGTGTCAACAATATTATTCCTGCTAGTAGTAGTCATCCTGCTCAGTGGTGAATAAGCCTTTCAATCTGAAGACTTGTGTCTTTCATTAAGGAAAATGTTATTCAGCTATTTCCTCAATAATTTCCCCATGGCATGTTTTCCTCATTATGCATGCCTTATTAGACAGATTTTAGAGTGTTCAGCTGTATTCTCTGTATCCCTGAACTTTTCAAAAATTTTTATATTTTTCATCCTTTTATATCTTTGTCCTACTTCTGAAAGATTTCTTTTACTTTATCTTTGCTATTTTATTATGTATTTTAGGTTTGGCAATCATGTTTTGGATTTTTTCTTTTATTATTCCTTTTTATAGCAGCTATTCCTGTTTATAGAAGCTATATCTCACTGGACTGATGCTAATTAGAATTCTCAAAAAATTCCTTCTTCCTCTACCCACCCACCCCTGCTTTTCCCTTCAATTGTTTATGTCCTCAGCTATTTATTCCTCTGGGTAACTTTTTATTCTATTTGTTTCTCTCACGCCATGGATGAGCCTTGGTTTTCTACTCAGCTTTGTGAATTAAGGAAGAGGTTGTTTAATAATGATCGCTGATACAGGTTTCTCTGCTGCTGTATGGGTCTTTCGCTCACTCCAGGATTGCACTGTAATTTCTAGGTGTGTGGCTCGCATCGCTCCCCAGATGTGGGGACAGGGCACAGGAAGGATTACCCCCAGCCACACTCCTTTTGGTGCCAGAATTTTCAGGGCTTTACTCTGGAGCCATTTTTTCTTTAGAGACCAGCCCTACGGTTTGTCCCAAGGACAAAAATAATGGCAACCACTTCCAGTTTCAGCAGGGAGCAGAATTAAGGGACAGACCAGCAGAGCTGTTCTGAAGATACTTCTCCAGGTTCCATCCTGATTGCTACTCCTGTTCTTGCTTGTCTCTCCTTCTGACTTTTAGTTGGGAGCCTCTGCACACTGGGAAGAGAAGCTCCCACCTGTGCTTCATCCCTCTTGTGCACACTCTTGGCTATCGTTCTTTCAGTTTTAACTTCTCTATCAGTATAATCTACAATTCCATCTTCTAAAAGTCTATAAAAAATCTCTGGTCTGATGATAGCTGCTCTTTCCTGCTTTCAGTATTATTATGGACTTATCCCCCTTCAGATATTTTTACTGTCATTTCTGTGGGACATGGGGGAAGGTAAATAAATACAGGTTTTCAATCAATTTCCTGAACCAGAAATATAGCTTCTACATTTTGATGGGCTTATGTTCACTTTCACTTGCATCCTTGAAAGCTATATATTTTCACAAAATAAACCTCCTCTTCTGGTATCATAGCAGCATCACAGTGAGCCACAAATTTTAGAAGAGGCGAATTTTGGCAAAGGCAAAGTTCAGCCACTTAAACAGGAAACTGGGCCAGTGAGATAATTTGTGGCCTCACTCTCTGGGGAAGGACACATCCCCTAGAAATTTAGCTAAATGACTGACCATCAGTGGATGTTTTCTGATATGCTTTGTGCCTAGGAAAGAAATGAAGAAGACTAATTCCTAGCCCTCTAGGAATTAATCTTTTTAGGATCAGTTAAAGTTGGCAAGAAAAATCTAGACGCTCAGCTCAGACAGGCCTGCAAATAGCATTTGTTGACTACCTTATTGTTGTCTCTTTTTTTGACTCAGCAGAGAGTATTTATGGCATCATAACACAACCATGGAACAAGAAACAGAGTGCCTGTTATACAATGTACTTAGTATGCAGTAAAATATTTGATTTTCTGGTGAGGATTGTAAGCCCCAGTGCTTGGTTCTCAACACTGGCAGCACATTAAGAACCATCTGGTGGACTTTGAAGTCCTCACACCCAGCTCAGTAACATCAGACTCTCTGGGGATGGGACAAAGCCATCAGTATCTCTTGAAGCTCTCTGCAGTTGAGAACCATATCCCTAGAGAAATTCACAGCAAGAAAAGGGAAATAATGTCTGGTATGCAAAGAAGGGAATAGGATGTTTTTGGCATGAAAGAAGGAGGAAGACTTTAGAGTGAGAACATGAGCAAAAGTCCGGCTCTGGAACAGAGGCTGAGAGGATTCAGTAAGAACACAAGCTGGACAACAGTAGGATGCTCTTGTCTGAGAAAAGTACAAGCACATTTGGAAAGACAAATTTGAAAGAGGTATTTAAAAGTCAGCCTGCACACTATTAGAATGGCAAAAATCCAAAACACTGGTAACACCAAATGCTGTTAAGGATGTGGAGCAACAACGTGTCTCATTCACTGCTGGGGGGAATGCAAAATGGAACAGCTACCTCAGAAGACAGTTCAGCAGTTCCCTATAAATCTAAACTCTAACCATACAATTCAGCAATCTCGCTCCTTGGGATTTGCCCAAATGAGTTGAAAGCTTATGTCAATGCAAAAACTTACATATGGAGGTGTATTAGTCCATTCTTACATTGCTATAAAGAAATACCTGAGACTGGCTCATTTATAAATTGGCTCATGGTTCTGCAGGTTATACAGAAAGCATGGCAACATTTGCTTTTGAGGAGGCCTCCAGGAGCTTTTACTCCAATGTGGAAGACAAAGCAGGAGCAGGAACCTTACATGGCAGGAGCAGGCTTATGTGGCAGCAGCAGGACTGGGAGAGAGAGCTCACTCACTATTATAAGAACAGCACAAAGAAAGATGATGTTAAACCATTCATGAGAAACAGCCTCCATGATCCAACCACTTCCCAGCAGGTCTCACCTCCAACACTGGGGATTACAATTTGACATGAAATTTGAAGGGTGGGGGACACAGATCCAAACCATATCATTCTGCCCATGGCCTCTCCCAAATCTCATGTCCTTTTCACATTGCAAAATCCAATCATGCCTTTCCAACAGTCTCCCAAAGTCTTAACTCATTCCAGCATCAGCTCAAAAGTCCACAATCCAAAGTCTCATCTGAGACAAGGAGAGTCCTTTCTGCCTATGAGCCTGTAAGATCAAAAAATCAAGTTAATTACTTCCAAGATACAATGGGGGTTTAGGCATTGTATTTACACAATGGGAGTAATTCCCATTCCAAAAGGGAGAAATCAGCCAAAAGAAAAACACTACAGGCCCCATGCAAGTCTGAAACTCAGCAAGGCAATCATTAAATCTTAAAGCTCCAAAATAATCTCTTTTGACTTCATGTTTCATATGCAGTGCACACTGGGGCTCCAAAGGCCTAGGGCAGCTCTGCCCCCATGGCTTTGCAGGGTTCAGCCCCTAGGGTTTCTCTTAAGAGCTGGTGTTGAGTGCTTGTGGCTTTTCCAGGTGCACAGAGCAAGCTTTCAGTGGATCTTCCATTCTGGGGTCTGAAGGACAGTGGCCTTCTTCTCACAGCTCCACTAGGCAGTGCCCCAGTGGGGACTTGATGTGGGGGCTCCCAATTTTCCCTCTGCACTACCCTAGTAGAGGTTCTCCATGAGGGCTCTGCCTTTGCAGTAGGCTTCTGCTTGGATGTCCAGGCTTTTCCACACATCCTCTGAAATCTAGGCAGATGGCCCCAAGCCTCAACTCTTGCACTCTGTGCATCTGCAGGCTCAACATCATGTGTAAACCACTAAGGCTTATAGCTTGCACCCTCTGGAGCAGTGGCCTGAGCTGTACCTGAGCCCCTTTTAGCTGAAGCTGGAATGACTCGGATGCAGGGAACAGTGTCCTGAGGCTGCTCAGGGAAGCAGGACCCTGGGCTTGGCCCACAAAACCATTCTTCCCTCCTAGGCCTCTGGGCCTGTGATAGGAGGGGCTGCCACAAAGTCTCTGAAATGCCTTCACGGTCTTTCCCCCATTGTCTTGGCTATCAGAACTTGCCTTCCTTTTAGTTATGCAAAATTCTGCAGCCTGCATGAATTCCTCCCCAGAAAATAGGCTTCTCTTTTCTACCACATGGCCAGGCTGCAAATTTTCCAAACTTTTATGCTCTGCTTCCCTTTTAAATGTAAGTTCCAGTTTCAGATCATTTCTTTACTCATAGATATGAGCTATGCTGTTAGAAGCAGCCATGCTGACTCTTGAATGCTTTGCTGCTTAGAAATTTCTTCTGTCAAATATTCTAAATCATCACTCTCAAGTATAAAGTTCCACAGGTTCCTAGAACAGGGTACAATCCAACCAAGTTTGCTAAAGCATAGCAAAAGTGACCTTTATTCCAGTTCTAAATAAGTTCATTTCCATCTGAAAGCCTCCTCAGCCTGGACTTAATTGTCCATATCACTGTCAGTACTTTTGTCATAATCATTCAACAAGTTTCCAGGACATTCCAAACTTTCCCTCATCTTCCTGTCTTCCTTTGACCCCTCCAAACTCTTCCAACCTCTGCCCACTTAGTACCAATTTCCTGTATTAGTCCATTCTCACATTGCTATAAAGAAATACGTCAGACTGGGTACTTTATAAAGAAAATAAGTTTAATTGGCCCATAGTTACACAGGCTGTCCAAGGAGGCACAGCAGCAACTGCTTCTGGGGAGGCCTCCGGGAGCTTTTACTCATGGTGCGAGGCAAAGTGGGAGCAGGCATCTTACATGGCAAGAGCAGGACCGAGAGAGAGATGGGAGGTGCTTCACACTGTTAAACAACTAGACCTCATGAGAACCCACTCACTATCACAAGAACAGCACCAAGGGGGGATGGTATTAAATGACTCATGATAAACTGCCCCCATGATCCAATCACCTCCCACCAGACCCCACCTCCAATACTGGGGATTACAATTCAGCATGAGATTTGGGTGGGGGACATATCAGGATGTTCATTGCAGCTTTGTTCATTTCTTCTAAAATTTGGAAGCAACCAAGATTCCCTTCATTAGTGAATAAACTGTGGTATATCTACACATGGATTAAGATTCAGTGATAAAAAGAGAAATGAACTATCAAGCTAGAAAAAAAAAAACCATGGAGGAACCAAATGCATGTTACTAAGTCAAAAAAGCCAATTTGAAAAGGCTACATACTGTATGATTCCAACTATATAACAGTGTGGAAAGGGCAAAACTATGGAGACAGTAAAAAGATCAATGGTTGTGGGAGGGAGAAGAATAGATAAAGCACAGAAGATTTTTAGGCAATGAAATTATTCTGTATGATAATCATGAACACATGTCATTATACATTGTCAAAACCCACAGAATGCACATCAAGAACAAACTCTATACAAACTACGGATTTAGGATGATAAGGATGTGTAAATGTATGTTCATTGATTGCAATAAATGTGCCTCTCTAGTATAGGATGATGACAGTGAGGGAGGCTGTATGTGTGGGAGAGGAAGGCATATACAGGAACTCTCTACACTTTCTGTTCAATTTTGCTGTGATCCTAAAACTATCCTAAAAAGTAAAGTCTATTTTAAAAATTTTTAAAAAGCAAGTCAGGATAAGGAGTTGAAAGTTTAGACTGGAGCTCGTAGATTGCTCTTATCATTTCTTGAACAGGGAATAACATGGTTAAGAGGAATGTTTGAAGAATGACACCTTCCACAATGTATAGAGTGGATCACAACATCAGGAGGCTGTGGCAACAACACAGATGCAAGGTGATGAGAGAGGGAATGAAGGTTTAGTGATGACCTGAGATTTGGCAATTATGAAGGAAGACTTGATGATTGACAACTCCTCATTGCAAGACCTTTAGTTTTCGTTTAATTATTCCAATAAATGAAAGTAGTAGTGAAGTCATCTAAAAGGAAAGGCAGAAGTATGAATTAGGAGTTGAAATGTGCATTCAGTTCTGAAAACTCTGTTCTTCAGAACAAGGCTGGAAGGCTGCGCATGGGAGGCACCTGAGTACATAAAAAAGCTGCTCTGTGAATTATTTTAAAAATCTAATTTGCAAAGGCCACTGGCATTGCTTGGGTGCATTTGTGTAAATCAGGCACTCGCTTAAGTCATCTTCAACAGCTAAAGTTATAATTTCCATGCAAAGGCTCAGAATATTAAAACGTTAATTGAAAAAGAGTACTTTGAAAATCCTGTTCACAGAGTTCATTCAGCTGGGCAAGATAGGGTCAGGCCAGTTTTTCATCTGCAGAATAGGCTAAGCCTTTTTGCATGATTTTCCTGGAAAACAAATCCTTCATATGGCAAATGAATGACTCCTTGGTCTGTTTGCTTTATTAAAGGCTATCGTGGTCCTCTTTATTTATTATCCTCTCAGTTTCTGCTAAACTCACAAACTTGAATATAAAATGTCCTGCATTATTTAATCTGCTAGCTATTGTTTATCCCCTCTCTTAAGAAGCCAGGGCTGGCAGACTCAGCTTCTATTACAATGGCTGTAAAGTGTCTGTGGCATCTGTGACAAGGATCATCCTGGCAGGGCAGGGGTCTGCTGCTCTGTGCTCTTCTGCTGCAGGCTGGCAACTTGGGGTAGTGGGCACAGATGCTCCCCAAGCTCTCCCTTCTACCTCCCAACTGCTCCTGCCAAGCCTTAGATCACCTTTACAGAACAGAGGGTAACTCAATGACAGCATCTCACACAAGCTAATCTTTCCTCTGAGGCAGCTGACAAAAGCTGCTGAGAACAGGAGAGTGATTCTGGGTTCCCTCTCTGAAGGTCTTTGCTGATTTCAAGGTCAGGTAGGTAATGCACATGGTATCTTAATTACAGCAGATGCCACATTGTCTGGAATGAAATAGAAAACAGGGATGAAGATAATTCACATGCCTCATCTGGTCCTGATACTTTCCCTACATTATCACATTTTATCCCTCTCACATCTTATGAGAAAAGAAACATTATTTTCCCTCTCCTTATAGGTGAAAAAAATGAAAGCATAGGGATATAAAAGAACCTGCAGGCAGGCATTCTGATAAGCAGTGATTAGTAAGTGCAGAACTTGGGGGGCTAAGCCAGGCCTGCCTAACTTCAGAGCCCAGGGCTTTTCCCTCCACTGATTCTTGCCTTGGAGTTTTCCAGGCCCACTTGGGACCCCAGAATTCTGTGCCTCCCCTACCTGTACTTACATTACTACATTACTTCCAAGTCCTTGCCTGAATGGCAGAACCCAAGGGCTCACCCATAAAGTTACTTCTCTGTCTCTCCCACAGACTGCAGGTCAGTTGGGAGATTTTCATTCTTATCACGCACATCAATTTTTGTCAGTGGTAGGATTAATTTAGCCCATTAAGTACTTTCCCATTAGGCCTGTGGCTCAACTGAGGTGTCAAAATTTGATGTCTTATATTTTATGAATTACACTGATATTCTACTTCTTTGATTCCTTTTCATAGTCTGTGTTATGACCATCTGGACACCTCCTTCTTTTGGAGTTTTGGGATAGCAACAAAGCAAGTACAGAATACTGAACAGATCAATATAGTTAAGCGCATTACCATAATCCACAGACATTAAAACGTCAATACCTCATTCCCCTGACAAAGCTTATATCAACAGAAGGCCCCATGGCACAAGAGATAGATTCATTAGGCTTTCACCTCTGGGAATGGGTTTCAACAAGCTTAGGTCACTTACAAAGATGAGTTTCATGGTCTTAACTTTGCCAAACTTCGTTTATTAGTATTTGGGCTCCAATTATAATCCAATCAAGCCAATAACTTTTCCTTACGAAAGGGACATTCTCCACATGCATCCCATCAAATGCATAATGTCAACATGAGAATTTATTTGAGCTGTGTGTGACCAGTCTCCTGTTCTACTAAAAATACTTGCAAACATTTAGACTGAGAAGCTTTGCATATAACCACATCAGTATGTTAATCCAAGACATGACGAATCATCATTATTTTATTTTTTTTAGAAACAGGGTCTTGTTCTGTTGCTCAGACTGGAGTCCAGTGGCACAATCTTAGCTCACTGCAGCCTCAAACTCCCGGGCTCAAGCAATCCTCTTGGTTCAGCCTACCAAATAGCTGGGACTACAGGCACAAGACACCATACCTGGCTAATTTTTAATAATTTTTTTAGAGATGGAGTCTCACTACGTTGCCTTGATCTTGAATTCCTGGCCTCGAGCCATCCTCCTGCCTCAGCCTCCCAAAGCACTGAGATTACAGCCACCACACCTGGCCTCTTGAAGAATTTTAAAACTCAGTGAGTATTTCTTGGGCACCTACTGTGTGCCTGGCACTGTTCAGGACACTGGAGACATAGTGGTGTGCACAAAAGACTAGGAGTTTATATTGTAGCTGAGGAGACAGATAAGGAAACATGTACATGAAGTCATCTCACGTAACTAACTATAGATGCTGGGAAGAAAACAGACATGATAATGTGATGTGGGGACACACGAGGTAGGGTGGTGAGAGAAGTTTCTGAGGAGTTGGATCCACTGTGTAAAGAAAGTGGCCATGCAGGAAGTTAAGGGAAAGGTGCCCTAGATATAAAGAATAGCAAGTGTGATTGCCTTGAGGTGAGAATGAGTTTGTTTATATAAGGAATAGAAATCAGGCCATGGGGGCCTTAAAGTCAGAGAGGTTGGCAGGAACCAGATCATGCAGAGCCTTCCTGGCTGTGGTAAGAGACTTGGGGAGTCACTGGAGGGTTTAAATGAGAGAAGTGACATTACTATTATTGTTATTTTATTTTATTTTAAATTTTACTACTTACCATTATCATTAATTATGACTCATTTTTTAAAAGTAAAAATTGTTCATGCTATGGCAGGGATTCTCAACAGGGGGTGATTTTTGCCTCCTGGGGACATTTGTCCATGCCTGGAGACAGCTTCAGTTGTCACACTGGGGAGTGCTACTGACATCTAGTGGGCAAAGGCCAAAGATGCTGCTAAACAGCCTACCATGTCTGGACTACCCCCTACAACAAAGAAATAGGCAGCCTAAACTGTCCGTCGTGACGTGCTTGAGAAACCCTGAGCTATGGCAGGGAGAATGGAGAACTGGAGAAGGGGAAAGAGTGGAAGCAGGAGGCTGGAGCAGAAACTCAGAAGAAATGTTGGTTATTTGGACTGGAACGGTAGCAGCAGGGCTGGAGAGAGTGACTCAGGATACATTTTGGAGATAAAGCTGATAGGACCTGTCAGTCAGTTAGCTGTGGAAAGTAAAGGAAAAGGAGTCAAGGGTTACTCTCATATTTTCAGTCGGAGCAACTGGGTAGACAGTAAGGTCATTTACCAAGATGGGGCACAATATGCGAGGAATAGGTTGAGAGGGGAAGATCAAGAATATTGTTTTGGACACATTAAATATGAACTCTGTTAAACTTCCCTGTGGAGATATCAAATAAGGGCTGAATATATGGTTCTGAAACTAAGGGTAAGGGCCAGTTATCAGCAGGTAGATTAGGGGACAAAGTGAGGAAGAAGATCCAGTGGTGGGGACCAGGAGAGGGAGGTTAGGAAACCAGGAAACTACAGTGCCCTGGAAGCCATGGGGGAAAGGATTTGAAGAATGGTGCTGTTATCTGTGTTGAATGTTTCTGAGGAGCCAGTGAGGTAAGAGCAAAAAATAACCCCAGAATTTGGGTGTCCTGGCTGGCTTTCGTCAAGGCAGTCATGACACAGACTATCACAGCTTTGTTGGAGTGGACAGGATTGAGTTCTGATTGAAGTGGGCTTCAGAGAGCAAGGGGGTGTAGGAAATGTAATCAAAGAATATTACTTCTTTCAGTAAATATTGATGAAAAGAGAATCAGAGAAATAAGGCAGTAACAGAATTCCAATTATAGAACAACACAAAAAGTGTTATTTTAAAAAACAGGGTTCTTTTTTTGTAAGTCCCAATTTGTGACATTTACTTATGAAATTAACCAATAGAATTTAAATGAATATTTTCGTGGTGTTGCAGGTGTTGGTAAATAACACATGCATTTCATTCAAATTAGAACTCTGTTTTATAAATGAAATTCCAATAAAATTTTCTAGAACCACTGAAAAACCACTAAAACTTTAGAATGGTAATTTTTGGAAGAATGCATTTGGAAAACCACTATACAAAATTAGCTTTAACAGCAAAATTTCATACATCAATCAGTCAGTAGGGTAATAAACTTATACTCACAATAGGCCTTTCTCTTGGCCCTGAAATTATAGCAAGATTTCAATCCTGTTTTTTTTTTTTAATCCTGTTTTGTTTGTTTGTTTGTTTGTTTGTTTGTTTGTTTTGGAGATGGAGTTTCACTCTTGTTGCCCAGGCTGGAGTGCAATCTTGGCTCACTGCAACCTCTGCCTCCCAGATTCAAGCAATTCTCTTGCCTCAGCCTCCTGAGTAGCTGGGATTACAGGCATGTGCCATCACACCCGGCTAATTTTTGTGTTTTTAGTAGAGACGGGGTTTCTCCATGTTGGTCAGTCTGGTCTGGAACCCTTGACCTCAGGTGATCCGCCCACCTTGGCCTCCCAAAGTGCTGGGATTACAGGCATGAGCCACTGCGCCCAGCCAAGATTTTAATCCTGTTGCTGTCACTTCTTAGCTGTTTGACCTTGAGCAAGTTACTTAACCTCTTGACATGAAAGATTCTCCATTTATAAACCAGTCAAGGTGAGTGTGAAGACTAAATGAAATAATATATGCAAACATGTGTCCGGCATGGGGTCCACATTCTCCTTCTTTCTGGCACCTCCACTTTAGCACTCTCTGACCAAAGTTAGCCTTGCAATGACTCTGTGGAACATGACATACAGCAAAGTTGATCATCATGGGAGGCTCTGGCTCTGGTTTTGTCCTCAGCTCACCTGTGATATCTTTGTACCTCATCTAGCACACATCCAGACCCAGAATGGGCTTTGCAAACAACGGATGCCTATTACCTTGAAGCATCTAAATGATGTAAAACCAAGGAAAGATTTGTTTTTGTGGTTTTTGGATTTTGGTGTATGAGATATTATAGAAAACTAAATATGTAAGCTGTGACAACTTCAATGAGAGAATGCCAGCAAATTTTTAGATTAGGGTTTAGACACAGCCAGGACCATAAAATAGTTACTTTTCCCCAATCTTTCAATCACAAATAGAAGGTTTTTCAAAGGAAGGAAGGTAAAAAAGACCAATAATAATAATAATAATAATAATAATAATAACTCTTGGATTATTTACACTAGTAGAAGTGAAAAAAGTACTTTCAAATTAAAAAAATTTCACTGACCTAATATTGAGATTGTTGAAGAGAAAAGAACTTATTTGTTGATTTGTATTCTCTTTTCAGTAATGGGGACTGCTAAAAGAAATCCATACAGGAGACAAGGAAATTATATTAATGAAATCTTTGTATAATTTAAGCTAAGCAATCATCTCCAGTACACCAAACCACAGGCTTCCTGTACTCATCAGTCCAGACGAATGACATATTCACAAATGTATCATTAGAGTTAGCAAGAGGTTTCTTGTTTTGTTCTTTATTTTTAGACATTGCTAGGGAATATTTATTTCTGTGCAATTCCTAAATTCTGTTAAGTCTTCAACTGATTTAAATGAACAAAAGACATCACTAAGTCATAGCCTAGAATTGGAAGGAAGCTTAAAAAAGCCAGAGGCCCAACTACTCCTCAGCAATGTTCATAACCACTGGTCATCCAGGCCTCCAATTCAACTCTCTAGAGATTTAGAAGTGACTGTTGAACTAGGCAGCCCATGCTGATTCCAGTCTACTCAGATGTCTATAAATTCCATCCTTTAAAGCCACACAGAAACAGGCTAACGCCTTTTTCCAGGCAGGCATTTCCTGTAACGCAACTCAACTCCTCCTAGTAGAGAGTGATGGCTATAGGAGGGAGGGGATGATTAGGAAGCGGTTGCTGTGGGTAGGTCACCAGGCACTGCAGGGCTCTTGCTTCTTGTGAGAGGAGTATTGGTGAGTGAGAGTGGACAATGCTCTCTGTTGACACTGACCATGTTTCAAGATGTAGTTTGAGCCTTACAGACAGACTGAAGGATGTATGCAATTTCAGTCCCAATTATAGCTGTCAACAAGTGAGTTTCACATATTTTCCCCTTGCAGTCCCAATTTCTCCACTACCACTCTGCATTTCTTAGGCTCCAGAAGTCATCCATGTGAATATTCTGGGATGTACTAATGGCAGGGAGATAATACCCCTGGATTAGGGTAGAGGACTGTCTTTGAGATTTTTACCTATGTCCAGCACCCTTCCTGGGCAGCTTCCGTGATGAATGAATTCTGTTTTCAAACATGGAGTGCACTTGGGCTTTCAAAAATATGAACGTCTTTTACTGTCACATGGAGTCAGTGGCAATGAGAATTAATCAGGATCTGATGGTCATTTCTGCCATGCAAACCTCCTTTATGTAAATAGAGAGAGCTTCCAAATTTCTTCAGGCTCAAAACAGGGTGCAAAAACTCCACAGTCCTCCCATATTACCAGCATCCTTAGTGTAAGGTTTCTGATACAGAAAATCTTCAAAGATTCCATTTTCAGGGGACGTTTCTTCATTTTGATCATGCTTTACTTTCCCTCAGTGTCATTTTTATCTGTCTTGGATTCATTTTACTTTCTTAAAAACACTTTCTTTTTTTGAAGATGAGGTCTCACTCTGTTGCCCAGGCTGGAGTCCAGTGGCACAATCATAGCTCACTGTAGCCTCAAACTCCTGAGTTCAAACAATCCTCCCCTCTCAGTCTCCCAAGTAGCTGGGACCACAGGTATGTGCCACCATGTCCAGTTCATTCCTTTTATTTTTTTGTAGAGACAGGGGTCTCACTATGTTGCCCAGACTGGTCTCAAAGTTCTGGCCTCAAACAATCCTCCCACCTTAACCTCCCAAAGTGCTGACATTACAAGTGTGAGCTGCTGCTCTTGGCCAATTTTTTTTTTTTTTAAATTTTAGGTTATGTGGGTTACTTTACAGCCCTGAGACAAAGTCAATTAGTAACAATTAAGCAGTATCTAGATTTAATGATTTTCAGAATTTTTATACTTACAACCCTTTAAAAGTTAAAAATATGTCATGCTTCCCAGAACATTATAGTAGTAGAATATTTAGTAGCCATTGATTGAGAAATTATCTAATGACTAAAGCAGAAGCTTTTGAACACATCCCAGTAGCAACTGAACAAGTCCACAAGTTTGAAAAATTGAATAGAAGTGAGTCACATTAATCCTTTTTAGGTAGTGCTTAGTATGCATACTCTTCAACTCAGTGTCTGCTCAGAAGTTTGCACCCACCCTTTCCCCATGTTCCCTCCTTCCCCCCTACAGACTTCCCCGAAGAATCGACATATTTCTTTAGCAGCTTCTTAATTCATAATACTTATTGGTTTTGCCCAGAATGCAAGCTAAAGCTTCTAGCTTGACCTAATTAGATTTTACCTTAAAACCACAGAAAGTTGGAGCTGGAAGGAATAATAGAGGTCATCTAGTTTTACCTCCTTAATTCCCAAATAAGAAAACTAAGACCCCAAGGCTTACAAGCAGCTGCCCTGGGGCACAGAGAATAGGACAGAACCAGGTTCTTCTGGTAGCATTCTGGTCCCAGTCTCTGCCTGGATCTGGTGCACAGAGCTACTAGGCCTGCATCTGGAGCACTGGTCACTCCAAACGGCTAGAAGTTTCTCCAGTATCAGGCTGTGTCCTGCTGCTAGCATATTATTTGTGTAACTCCTCTTGCCCAGAATCGATTTCTCCCCACAATTACTTGGTAGCAATTTAGTTCATCTTCCAGACTCAGCTAGAGTAAAACCTTCCCATGAAGCATCTTTAGACCCTCAAATAAGACACCCCACCTCTTTTGTGCTTCTACTGTAGAAATAATAAGAATAATGGCTAACATTTACTGAGCACTTACTACATGCCAGTAACATTACATGTTACATCTCACTTAATCCTCATAACATATTATGCCATAGGAAGTATTATTTGCCTTTAGCTTAAAAATAAGGAAATGGAAGCTTAGGGATATTGAGTAATTTGTATAAGTGTCAGAAGTGAGATGCTCCCTCTCACAGTGTGAGTCAAGTATCACACACTTAACCACTCTGTTATGTTGCTGTGTGTTGCACAACAGTTGTAGCACAGCATTCATAACATCTGAGCGTACTTATGTTTTGATGTATGTCTTTCACTCCCATTAGACTATAAGCACCTCAGAGAAAGGAATAATATTTTATCTGTCTTTTTCCTCCCCATACCTAGCAGTTTCTGTCACAGAGTATGTTCTCAATGTATATTTGCTAAATGAATGAATGCATGAATGAAATAATCACTGCATAGGTGGTTTTTAAAGTGCAGTTCCAAAAGAATTCATGCATAATGATCGTTTATAAGTGAGAGGGCAGAACTATTGATTTATCTGCGTGAATGATGACTTCCCAAAATAGATACAAACTGTGGCAAAAATGTCAGATAATAGAAGGCTTTATATATTAGCAGAAGCAAATATTGCTATAGGCCAGTATGGAAACTTCAGATTTCTTCCTCTCTCAATCCCTTTCTCTCTCCCCAGGCCCCTCCTTGTTAAGGAAGAACACAGAGGAAGCAGAGAACATGGAAGTAGCATTAGAGTGGAATCAGGAGAGCTGGACCCAAACCCTGCAGTCACTTAGCTTCCGGTGAGACTCTGGCATGTGAGATGACCTGAAAAAACCACTCTTTCCATTTCTTCTAAGCAGGGATATGCTTCTAAATGCTCTCTAAGGCCTTTCAGATGCAAACATTCTGGAATTCTAAAATTCACCAGGTGGTCTGTGGGCTGATCCAAAATGAAAGTCATTTAAAAAAAAGTCTGTTATTTTGGGCTTCCCCAAAGCATATATTTTCTATATTGCAGATTTGAAGCCGCATTTTAAAAGACAGAAAATAAAGATTTTAAAAATTAAAACTAAACCTGCACTTCTTTTGCAGGGGCAAGGCCCCCAAAGATTTTGCATTTGTGGTGGTGGAAAGAATTAGAACAGGCTAGGCACAGTGGCTCACGGCTGTAATCCAAGCACTTTGGGAGGCTGAAACAAGAGGGTCACTTGAGTCCAGGAGTTGCCTGGGCAGCAAAGCAAGATCCTGTCTCTACAAACAAATAAAAAATTACCTGGGCATGGTGGCATGTGCCTATAGTCCCAGCTGAGGTGGGAGGATCATTTGTTTGGGCCAGGGAGGTTGAGGCTGCAGTGAGCCATGATTATACCACTGCACTCAGCCTGGGTGACAGAGTGAGACCCTGTGTCAAAAAAAAAAAAAAAAAATTAGAAGAGTTCTTACATATAGGAGGGTTTTAGCCAGAAAAAGCAGGAAAGGGGCTGAGCTAATCCCCTAGCCCATCTTGGTCTACCTGTCTGTCACATGGAAGGGTGGGAGCTCATCAAAGTTCTTTTCTAGAGCAAACATTCCACGCTTTCATGTGCTCCTGAAATCAACGCAGGATCTCTCTTCACACAACCAGTGAGGGGGAGCCCCCATTTGGAAGCCCCTGCCACTGTGTTACTACTTCTTCCACTGCCTTTCTACTGATGTTGTGGCTTTGGTCATGTCCATCATCACTTTATGACCATTATAAGGTCAAATTCAATTGCTTCTGTTTTTGTTTGTTTGTTTGTTTACTTTGATCCCTATCTATATTTTTTGGGGGGATGCTTGTGAATTATCTTAGGAAAGGCAAATGCTCATGTATGTCATATTCTAGCCATAAATCAAGGGGTCTGCACCTATCTCTTACAATCAGAAAAATACAATATGTATGCATTTAACATGGGACTTTAGCCAGGCATGGTGATGTGCATCTGTAGTACCCGCTATTTGTGAGGCTGAGGCAGGAGGATCACTCGAGCCCAGGAGTTCAAGACCAGCCTGGGCAACATAGCAAGACCTCATCTCTAAATAAATAAATAAAAAGGAAAAAATAAATAAACTGGGATTTCCCTTGGAATGAGTATTCTTAATTTTATAAATAAATGATTTGGTTTGACACTTGAAATTATCTTCATTTTTAATTTTCATGATTTTTCTCATGAAATATATTTTGCTTTAAAAAATAATATAGTGTTTGAAATTAGCCATAAATGTCCATGATTTAATTAATATAAGGTGCTATGACATTTTTAGTGATAAACTATGAAAATCACAGCACACAAGTTTCCCATAGATATTTTTGGAGAAATTATGTCAGCTGTTCTTATAAAGCTTCCTTTTATCCTTTACCACTTTCCTTTTTAAACTTGCTATATATATTTACAGAACAGCAAAATTTCCCCACAAGATGTTTTAATTTGCATTTCTCTCAATGACTAATCTGACATACCAGATAGGAGATTCTTATTTTTTCCATCACAGTAAATGCTAACCAAGTATTTTGTTTTTGTGAATTGAGAAATCTAGCAATAATAGACAAGAAATAAAGAGTCCAGTGTTTGCATATCCTCTTTCTCAAGATGGCCATATTTTTGAGATTATCCTTTTTGCAAAATGGTAGTCCACGTTTCCATTTCAGTAACTTTGCTGTAATGGAAAGTCATACAAGTGTTGCCAGAATCAATAGTTTAGATTCTTGTATCTGTCTCAGACAGCAGGGTTGCTGTATACAATGTATTTCCATTTGATATTACCAGAGTTTCTTATTTGTAGTTATCTTTTAGGATAGTGTGATCTGAGTTTACTCCCAAAGTGATACATGATTTTATTTTCTTGTTTTTTTTTTTAAAAAAGAAAAAAACACATTTTCTCATTTGTAAAACATTGAGTAATTATTCATTTTTTTTGTCTTTGTACCAAGAAGAAGGAAGCATTTACCCATTTCTGTCTTATCTGTCACATTAGTTGGCAAGCTAATCCTCCATGAGCTTCCATTGGATGTTTTTCTCCCAGCTATTTATAGTCAACTAATGGTCACTTTTCAGGAATTTTTGTCTGTGTTCCACATGTTTGATTGTAACAAGGCAGTTAACTGGCAAGAAGTTTCAATGAGGAGGCCCCTCAAAAACTGGCTTCAGGATTTTCCATAACTGTTGCTGCTTAGAAACAGGACTTGGGAAGTATTCATTCTGCACTTGTCACCAATGACAAACTGAGGATCTACAATAAATTGAGGCATCCCCATATGAATGGTAGTCCAGGTTCCTAAATGTAGACCACATGTGTAATTGCACTGTTTCTGCTGGTATTTACACACTTTAAGTAAATCTTGCATCTGGCCAATGGGATACATCATCTAGGAAATCCCTCATGACTGTGAGAATGGAAACCACTAAGTTCAAAGGGTAGCCAGGAGCTGAGGCTGAAGGAAGGCAAAAACTAAAAAAGAGAAAAATATTTCAATTTGTGAAATAAATGAGACAAGCAAATTGCCTGACTTATTGGTACCTTTACTTTTGAAACAGTCATGAAGATTTCTTGGGAAGGTAGGCAGAAGGACCAGAGACTGAGAATGGGAGCAAGGCAGAGGTTAAACAGACATCTCCAGACTGAGATATGAGTAAAAACCATTTCCAAAGCTGGAGAGCGCAGGACTAAGTTGTCCATTCAGTAGCGTTTATTGAGTACCTACTGAATGTGTCACTGATTATATTACTATGCATTTCCAGCTCACTACTAAACAGATTGCTACTTTGCTGGCATTGCTGCCTTGAGTGGACAGGCATTGCTGTGTCTGTCTAGAACAGTACCCCTTCTTCTCTGGGGAATCATTCTTCACTCATTCCAACCATGTGGCTGTGTTGAGGGAGGCCACTCATCCTCCCTCTATGAGGAGTGGGTACCTAGCTCAGATAAGTCAAGCTTTATACCCATTCCTGCTTGCCACAGTGACTGTACGAGGGTGTATGACCTAGGTCAAGCCAATCAGAGTCCTTTCTCAGAATTTTTCTAACTGCAGCTGGTAGGGCAGATCCCTCTTTCATCCCTTGTCGTGAAATTGTCAGGATGTAAGCCTAAATCTGGCTATCATTAGAGTCTTATAAAGACAGCTGGCCTGGACGACCAAAGCTGACATTCAGAAAGAAGAGAAGTTATTTGAAGAAAGACACGGAGAAACATTGACCTGTTGGCTTTTGAGGTCTGTATCCAATCACCTGTAAGGTCAGATCCCAGGTATTCCATGGCATTATGTGGGCTGATTCACTTCTTCTCCAGAGAGTTAGAACTGTGTCTCTGCAACTTGCAACTGAGAATCTTGAGTATCCATTGAAATTTGTTCTTTTGTTAAGATGGTTGTCATGATAATACTAGAAGAGGTTTTAAATGGGAGGCCGAGGCGGGTGGATCACGAGGTCAGGAGATCGAGACCATCCTGGCTAACACGGTGAAACTCCGTCTCTACTAAAAATACAAAAAATTAGCCGGGCGTGGTAGCAGGCGCCTGTAGTTCCAGCTCCTCGGGAGGCTGAGGCAGAAGAATGGCGTGAACCCGGGAGGCGGAGCTTGCAGTGAGCCAAGATCGCGCCACTGCACTCCAGCCTGGGTAACAGAGCGAGACTCCGTCCCCCGCCCCCACTGCCCAAAAAAAAAGGGTTGAAGAGGAAAGGCATATACTGGGAAGATGGAGGCAGAGGTAGTGTGGAGAACTGCATTCCCAAGTCTCGGCCCCAGGAGAAATCACCAAGCCCTCAGTCAAGAGCAGAGAAGGCAAGGGCCAAGCCACAAGCCAGCGATTATAATCTGACAAAAAGAAGAGATTGCTGGTTTACCATTCAGTTGCTGGATCTGTTCTGAACTAGCGTAGATAATAGCTTATCATGGTTAGGCTATTAATGCATTACCAAAGCACAAATGCTCAGGTCTATTTTCTGAATCCTGATTTGATATTTTGTAGTTTAAGAAGTCGCTCTACTCAAATAGTGCCAGCATTTAGCTCATCTGTCTTCTTTTCAGATTAAGCAGAAACCAGACACCAAAAAGAAAAATAGTAAAACCTTGAATATCCTGGAAGAGGCAGGAACAATAGAATGGAATAGATGTTAAGCAACAATGACACATTTTAGGCCTTGTATTGATTTAAAGAAAGTAACTAAAAGTAAGTAAATATTCATTGGAAGATTAGTAACTGCAAATAACTGAAAACCCAACTCAAACTGGTTTGAGCATGACAGATAAATTATGCTTTACATCGTTTATGTGGGGGTGTTCAGGTGACATTGACTTGGGTCATATCCCTTTCTCTGTAATTCTCTAGGCTTTTCCAGGTTTTCAGTGAGGGCTTCTCTTAGAAAACACATGCTTCACTTTTCTTTGTTTTTGTACAAGCTCTGTTAAGACTAAGCTTGCCTTTTTATTTTATGATCCTTCTGAAGACCACAGGCATTCTAACCCATTGAGTTTTGTCAGGTTTTCTAGTGCTACAGCCTCAGAGGGCATGTGGTCACAATCCCTGTGTTTAACCAGCTGATGTGCTATCACATGACAATGATCGCCAATTTCCCAGACTAGAATAAAGGTCCACTACCTTCTACCTAATTTTCATTCAGCAACCCTGGCAATTTACAGTCTGTTACTTTCAACTCCACATTCTTGGGAACAAATTCTGGGTCCATTAAGATGTATTTGGTTGGAAGTAACAGAACATGCAGAGTAACAGAACATTCAGCTTAAGCACTGAAAGTGCTTTATTGGCTCATGTAATACACAGTTTGGCTCACACTGGTAATACCAGCACTTTGGGAGGCTGAGGCATGAGGATCCCTTGAGGCCAGGAGTGTGAGAACAGCCTGGCAACATAGTGAGACCCCATCTCTCCAAAAATAAACAGTTTGGTGGTCATGTGGCTTTAAGCCTGGTTTCATCAGGGCTCTGGCTCCACTTCTCTGGAGTGCTTGGCTGTGCCCCTTCCCTGTGTTGGTTTGGGTTTCAGGCTGGCCTCCCTCATGGTAGTGGCATGGCTGCCAATGGCTAACAAGGCTACATGTTTCTTGTTTACAAATAATTTCTTTCTAAATTTCACAGTTTTTGTGTCATATTAGTGGAGAGGCAAGGGAGTTCTGGTCCACAACTAAGTTGTAGGTAATAGTTCCCCTTCCCTACATAGTAACCTAACAAAATGTAAACCCTTCGCAAAATTAGGAGACAGGAAACCTCAGCCCACTAATTAATTTTTACAAGCATTTTTTTTTAGGGCACCTGACACTAAGCAGGTTTTTCTCTTATTAGACCCTAAGACCCATTTTTAATTCTTCTTGCCCTCAAATAGAACAATTTTCTTGTTTCCAGATTGATGTCTGACAGCAAGGAGGATGTACGGTGGTTGGTAATAATAGGAAGACCTTGGGAAAGGGGCTGTGAAAGGGGCTGTGTCGTAAAGAACATGCTATTATCCTACTTCTTCCCTTATGGCCTATTATGGGCTAAATTATGCCACTCACTCTCACATTCATATCTTGAAGTCCTAATCCTCAGTACCTCAGAATGGAACTGTATTTGGATATAGGAACTTTAAAGACGTAATTAACTTAAAATGGATTTTTTAGGGTGGGCCTTAGTCCAATATGACTGGCATACTTATAAGAAGAGATTAGGACACAGGTAACATCGACAAAGGAAAGAAGACGGCTATCTATAACACACAACTTTCTTCCTTCTCTCTTCTCTTCTCATCCTTCCCTTAGAATTATCAGTAGAAAGAGGAACAGGTCATTCTTCAGAGGAGAAACAGCTACTGGGACAATGTTACCACCCACCTTACGCACACACCCTGGAATTTAGAGACCTGGTTGTATGAGGATGTCTGCTCCTTCACTTCTATGCCAGCTCTGCAGAGGGTCCCTCGACACCACTTCACACCCAGGATAGTCATATTATAGACTCATAGATCTTGTTACTCTATTTTTGCTAAGGCATAAACACATCATAGTTTTCAAGTTGAATTCAAGCCAGTTCCTTAAGAATGAATTTAGGTATTGGAATAGTTTATGTATAAACCTGCGTTTATTTAGTATGTCCAACCACATGTTCAATTGGAAAGGAAATAACAGGTTATGAGGAAGATATAGTCAGAGGAGTACCTATAAATATGCTAAGGCAGAGGCCTAGCCCTCTTCTCTGTGTCTGTGAAATGTGCAGAAATGTCCAGGAGAAGGCCTGGGGGAAGTCCAGGGAACATGCTCCCTCCTTCCTTAAATAAATTATGGGAAATTCCCAAAGAAAAATAGCAGAAGGAGGAAAATTTGGAAAAGGCAACATAAATAACTCAGAAGTCACAGCAAACAATATTAGATTTGATGGTTCAAGCTTATAATTCTCTCCCCAAAGTGCCATCCTTTGAGAGCTTACATGGAACTATGTTTAAAACACCGCCTTTTCTGTCACTCTGCCCTTTGTGATTTAAATGCCACAACTAAGCAGAGTACAACCTGACACCACCTCAGTCTTGACAACAGATCAAGGACCACAGCATCTGCTGCTGGGTTGGGTACAGCTGTGAGTTCAGCTGGTGGACAACCAGTCTAAATTGCTCATGGCTGCTGTCTCAGAAGAGCTCTCACTTCTCACCCAGGCAGCTATCCTGTTTCCCAAGCTGCTCAAATGCCCAGCAATTTGATCATGTGATAAATATAAATAAAGTTTTTGGTTTTCCTCATCCTTCTTTATTATGAACACTGGGTGAAGCCAACTTAAAGGAATAAGTGTTCACGGAAAAAAATAGTTATTGTGTTATCATTGTACAAAAAACAGGTGGGTGCAAATTCCTCACTTAATTGCTTTGTTTGGTTTGGTTCATTTCCTTCCACCCAGACCTTCTCCCTCTCTCCATAATCTCTTTTGTATTCTGCTCATAGATCTAGGCCCTCGTCCCCAAAGAAAGAAAGCTAAATTGTTTTTAGATAAAAGTGTCATCTGCCTCCCTCAAAATGGGAAATTCAATCATACAAATGATCGTACAAATGACTGCGGAGGCTGGTTCTCCATTTCCAATGTGGTGTCACTTAGAACGAGATGTTCCTCAGCATCTGTTGTGCACTATTATGGAGGCTGAAAGCCCATGCCACCAATCATAGCAAAGGACACCCAAAGCTGCTGGACTCCGTCCTCAAACAAATTACTTCAGGCTGTAAAATCTTAATTGTCAACAGCAACCAAAAGAGCAGATTGCATTTGGGAAGTCCAACGTACCATGCTTGGAGTACAAGCCAGAGACAGAAAATGGGAGCAGGGACTTGCTGTGTGGTCAGGGGACCAATGAGTGCCCCTTCTAACTGTGGACTCCTCTGTGAGGTGAAGGTATACGGGATCTGAGAGCCACAAGAGGAGAAGGGTCACAAAGCTTGGTTTCATGTCAGCTGGCCTCAGCCAAACCTCTACCCTCTCATTCCAACAAAATATTTTCCTGCGACTGCTGCCCTTCTCTGTTGGATATTGTTCTTTAGGTACATTTAGAACATGTTTTAAAGGTCTATCCCTTTTAGTAGATGCAGTTTAAGGACAAGTTTAATTTATGAAATACATATATCATACAGTCTTATGATTGAAGGAAAAAGGACTAATGATTTGAGATACCTGGCAGAGAATAATTCAGTGGAAATGTACAACAAAGTCATTCTAATGTGCTCAGATAACTATTATCCCCACAAGATGGCAGACAATAAATTAAAGTGCATCAGCTTTTTCATTTGGCATCCACAAAGATGGTAAAGGGAAAGGGAATAAATATTTACTGCATATCTGTCTGGGGCCAGGTCTCATTGTAAAAGATCTTCATATACATTATCTCATCAAGTCCTAGAAAACCTTGTTAGGAATTATTATTTCCATTTTTACAGGTGACGATATTGAGGCTGACACTACTTAAATTGCCCAAATTTCTACAAAGAGAGTGAGTGAAGTAGAATCTGACCTAGCTGACTCTGTGTTCTTTTCATTACATATTTCAATTTTGGTTATACGACTTTAAGAAAGTAGATATCAGTAAATCTTTCCTACCTTGGGTCCACTTGATTTTTAGAGTATGTGCTATATGGAAATATTATGTCTTTGGAAGCAAATTACTCATAACTCAAGTAATATAAGTTTCTCCTCAGTATTTCCACTTCCACAGTCTTCTCTTCCCTTTTCCTATTCGCATGAGCAAGAAATTTGTAATAATAGAGTAAAATAGTAATGCTAGGAAATATGTGATCATAGTCCTCAAAAAAATACTAAAGTTCTAGTCCAGGGGAACCCATGTAATTCCTCCCTTCATTGAAAATCATGAAGATCCCATGGGTCATGACAGCAAATGAAAGTCATGAAGAGAAATACCAAAAAAGAAAAACCCCAACACACACACACACACTGATGGTTTGGCTGGCTTGGCCACTGCTCCAATTGCTGGTATGGGTCTGAGGGTTTGATTGAGAGAGCCCAGGGCTTACATAGCTAAGGGACAAATAAGCCAGCTTATGCTCTGCAGGAAAAATGTGGAAAAATCAAGGCCAAAGGGTTAGAGGTAGGATAGAAGTTGAAGGTGCAGAGACAAGTGGTGAGAGTCTGATAGAAGCAGAGATCAAGGCAAGGTCAGGGCAGGAACAACACTGAAGGCAGTGACCACAAACAGCCTTGAAGCATTGGTAAATCTTTCCCATGTTCGGATTGCTCAGTCTTTCAAGTATAGTGTATGTAATGTGGGTTGTATGTGGTGGAGTGGACAAGTACCTAGGATGGAGAGCCACAAAAATTATCCATGCATTCTATATGGAATTCTTCTTCTTGTTTTTATCTTATTTTAGGGTGACTCTCCCCAGTGCCAATAACCAACACCTCCATTCTTCTTTGCAGAGAAAGCACTTTATCCTTTTCCTTTCTGTGAGGTTACTCCTACTGGACCTCTTCCTGATGCATACATGCTATTGCACTTCTATGTTACACATTTTCTTACCTTCCATTTTCTGCCATGTTTTCTATTATCTGTATTATTCCAAGTGCGATTTACATTTTTTTACTGAGTACTGTAGTCATTCATCTGTCTCCTTTTCATAAAAATCCCTAAAAAAAAGTTTTAATAAATAAAATATATTTTAATAAATAAAATAAAAAATAAACAAAGTATTATTGCCTGTAAAGACAGAAAAACTTAGAACATCAGCATTCAGATAGTCCTGTAGCCATGGTGCCCAATGGAAACCTGTCCTCTTATACAAACATTCCCTTTTAATATTATACAAAAAATCTGGTGTATTAGAAGTCCCCCTGGAAAAACAAAGTAAGCACTACTATAAACTTGCTTTGCAATACCTAGGCAAGGGACATTGTGACTCAACTTTGAATTATAAAACACTGAAGGACAAAAATTGTTGGACCTGCTGTTGCACTTAAAATAAAATAAATGCAATTCTCAAGCTAAAAATCAGAAAGCTGTAAGCCAAAAGTGGGCCTGGCTTGAGGTGGGAACCCCCTCAGACTATTTCTCCTCATTCTTCACCCCTTGTAGGAAAGAGCCACACTTGGGGCTATGTGTTCTTGGCCAAAGTACTTGCACTCTGCCTAGAGCAAAACACATTCTCTTCAAATAAGTGTGCCCTAAAGGGAATATCATGGAGGCAGAGGAACACTCTATCAAAACTTCTACTCCCTCTTTGCAAACTTCTTCAGAGAATCAGAGAGGTGTCAAGACTCAGGGGTCTTCAACCAGGTTGGTTTCAGCAAACCTCTCAATCAACTCTAAATTGCATTTGGGGTAGAAAACCAGGGGGTGGTATTTTTTTCTCCCTACACCTCTGGGGCTTGCTTTGATTGAATATCTTGACTCACGAAGGCAGGTCAGACTCCAAGCTTCTTTAGGGTTAAAATGTGCCTGTGAACAGGTTGCCAGCATTCTGAGCCTGATTTTTCTTCTTCTTTTGAATTCAGAACACCTCCTGAGGTTTCTTCACTACATCCTCACACAGTCCCCTTAGCGGACTCATGGTTGGTCTGGTTAAAAGCTAGTCTGAACACTATCTTCGCTACCTGCTGTGGGCTGACAGACTCTAACTTTGTTGTGTTTCCAGATCTTTGTCTCTTACTGTTTGGAAATGGGAATATACAGCTGCAATGTGGCAATCAAAGTGGGGGAGGTGATCATTTACATTCTAACACACAGAGACTTCCTAGTCAAGGTTACTTATAAATCAAATGGATGTCATTTCATAAACACCCCCAAACAACTGTATTTCATTATGAAAATGTGAAGCAGTGCTGTTAATTGATATCTAAGGACTAAAATCAATTTAACTTACAGACACTCAGCTGCTACAACAGTTGTGAACATGTCTGAATGTTAATAAACACTGATTAGTATTAATACCATACAAGATTTTAAATGTGGCTGGCATGAAATTCTCAATCTAATGGACAGGGAAGCCTGTTGACAAAGATTTATTCTCTATATTCTCTTGTAGACAGAAATTTTCTTAGGCTTGACAGCATCACCATCAGTTTCACAAGCGTACTATGGCACTTGGTTTTTTAGAGACTATAACAATCTCATGAAAAGAAAGAGGGTTGAACACTCATTTGTCACTCAGACACAACACTGAAATGACACAGAGCAAACTGAGGAGCAGCAAGTGAAATGTGAAAATGAAGAGGAAAGAGAAAGTGAAGATGCACAGGCCATAATAATACAGAACAGCGGTACAGATGAGGGACTGTTCCCCAGAGAAGTTGACAGTAGCCATGACCTCCAAAACAAGTGATAATGCAGAGACACAGCTTACTTTTGTTACCTTTCAACACAATGTAAAGGAGCAAAATGAAAGGAAGAAAAATATATTGATTGGAATTGCAGAGATCGTCTGATTTTAGCAAGTTTCATGTGAACTCTGATTCTCTTTTCTCGCTCACCATTATTTGCCTTGACTATTCTGTATAGAAAATGTCTCCACTCAGAGTGGAGAGGTAAGGTCAGGATTAATATGATTCAGTGGGTTTTACTTGAATAATATCTCTGTTCTAGGATAGTTATATTTTAACTGAACACAGTTAAACACAAAAATATTTCAAAACCACTTCAACTTCCACCAGTCTCCACTGTAGGAAAAAGTATACAAAGAGGCTCAACAAATGTTTCACCTAAAAAAACAGGTGAAAAGAGAACACTACCTTTAAAAATGCAATCAAATTTAAATGACAGTCCATGCAAAATTTTTGTTTTGGAAATTGGCAATCAAATTCTAAAACTTAGATGGAAAGGCAAAGAGCCAAGCATAGCTAAGGCAATCTTAAAGAAAAACAAAGCTGCTGGACTTGTATTATCAGATACCAAGAGCTGTAATAATTAAGACAGTATGGTAGTGGCATAAGAATTGACAAATAGAGCAATGGAAGAGAAAAGAAAGTCCAGAAATAGGCCTAAACATATATGGTTACCTGATTTATGACAAAGATGACATTGCAGTGCAGTGGGGAAAGAATAATCTTCTTAATAATTGGTGTTGGATCAAGTAGATACCCAGATGGGAAAAATAAATTTGTGCCCCACCTCTCACCATACAAAAAAATAAATTCTAAATGGGTTGCAGATCCAAATGTGAAAGGTAAAACAAAGTTTCTAGAAGAAAATGTAGGAGAATTTCTTCATGACTGTGACATGGGCAAAATTTCTTAACCATATAAAGAAAAAGATTGATAAATTGAACTTCAAGCACTGTGTATTAAAGGACACCATTAAATGGGTAAAACTACCACCCATCATATAGGGAAGATATTTGTAATACAGATAACCAACCAAGGACTTAAAGCCAGATTATGTAAAGAATAATGCAAATTGGGAAAAACTCTAATATTTTATGGTGTTTTCTCTGCTCTCACACCACAAAAATCATCAACATAGAAGACTTCTGGGACCAAATGTGTGTGTGAGAAGGCTCTCCCCACCACCAAGTGGGCAATCAGTTCCCCAGTGGACAGCACTGGGTGTCCCCCCATTCAGTTCCGACACTATCTACCTGGAGATAACATCAGATCTCACAGGTTGAAGGCTCGGTCCCCAAGAATATCCACTTTCAGATACCAGTCTCAAGTCCTGGCCTCTGGAACTTCTGACCAACAAGCTTCAAGTTAAGCTTCCCACGACCCTCTCTTTGGGTTTGATTAATTTGCTGGAGTGGCTCACAGAACTCAAGGAAACACTTACATTTACTGGTTTATTATAAAGGATATTACAAAGGCTACAGATGAAGAGATACATAAGGAGAGGAGGGGAAGGTGTGTGGAGCTTCCATGCCCTCCCTGGGAGCACCACCCTCTAGGAACCTCCATGTATTCAGCTATCTGGAAGCTCACCAAACCCTGTCCTTTTGGGTTTTTATGGAGGCTTCATTACAT
Organism: Homo sapiens; assembly: GCF_000001405.40. Taxonomy (NCBI): domain Eukaryota; kingdom Metazoa; phylum Chordata; class Mammalia; order Primates; family Hominidae; genus Homo; species Homo sapiens. The sequence continues at coordinate 108,624,083 of NC_000005.10, read as the reverse complement.
AGGCATGATTGACAACTTCATAGACATGTGACTGGACAAGAGTATGATCTCATACTAGAAGACTGAGTGGGGAAACTCAGCAAGACCTGTCTGTTCAGATTCTTCTTGTCCATTCTGTGCAGCATTCCTTCCTCCAGAGTATGGGGTGGGACCCTCTCTGGAATAAGGGTCTTTTGACCCACAATTAGATTAGAGTCCTGTTTTGAGCAGGTAAAAGGAGGCCAGGATAAAATTAGAGAGAGAGATTCTGTTTCCTGGGGCCTGCTCCTGAAGCCTAAAACACCCCAAAATTATAACAAAAGATTGTAACAAAGGCTATGGGATTTATGAGACTATAACAAAGGCTAAAGGAGTGATGAGCCAGGAACTGTGGACAAAATACATATAATATATATATATTATATTATATATTATACATATTTTATATAATACATTATATAATTAATATATAATCAACTGTATATTACATATTTAAATAATATATAATTTATAGATAATATATAAATTAATGTATATATAGATTTTTTCTTATTCATTTGTGTGATAGGAATGTATAGATGTATATATGAAAAAGACAAATAACCTAATACAAAAATAAGGTTTTACTTGGACAGAGAATATCCAAGTGGTCAACGAACATATGAGAATGAACTCAAGTTCATCATAAGCAAATGCCACACTGAAGAAAATAAAATATACTTATCAAAAGTAAAAGTTGGGTATTATCACCTTCTGGTACACCTAATAATTGGATGTTCTTTCTTCTAGGTCTTTCTGTTAGTACATATGGCCAACTGGCCTACTCTAGTGGGCAGTATGTACACAGGTAAGGAAAGTTGCACTTTTCTCCTTCTTGGCTTATGTGTATAACCATTTTTCCCAAGACAGGAATAATACAGGGCGATCATAGGAAAATAGAAAATTCCGGGCAGCAGTTTCACATGACTAGCAAAAGCAAACTGCTGAAATAACTGCAGAATCTAGGGGCCGAGAAGATCCTGAAAAACCAAGGTGTAGGCCAAGCTGGCTAAGACTGACTGGACCCACCATGGCACTAGATTTGACCGAGGATTCACCTAGGACTGCATTATGTGCTCATTAGCATACTAAACCCACACCCATCAGTACCATGACAGTTCTGGGAACACTCATTTTTGTCGTAAAAATGAGTGGCACGCCAGGTGCGGTGGCTCACACTTGTAACCCCAGCACTTTGGGAGGCCGAGGCGGGCAGATCACCTGAGGTCGGGAGTTTGAGACCAGCCTGACCAACATGGAGAAACCCCGTCTCTACTAAAAATACAAAATTAGCCAGGCGTGGTGGCATATGCCTGTAATCCCAGCTACTAGGGAGGCTGAGGCAGGAGAATCGCTTGAACCTGGGAGGCAGAGGTTGCGGTGAGCCGAGATTGCGCCATTGCACTCCAGCCTGGGCAACAAGAGCGAAACTCCGTCTTAAAAAAAAAAAAAAGAGTGGCATCACAGTTCCCAGAAATCTCCATCTTTTTCCAGGAATATTCATGAATATTCTACCCTTTGGTTAAAGAAACTCATAAAGATAGCAGCCCCAAACTGCCCTGTGTGTGTGGGAGTATGCCCACACTCCGCTTTGTTGTGTACTTTTCATTTTGCAATAATCTCCATACTTTCTCTGTTTTCTGACTCATCCTTGAATTCATTCTCAAGGTGATGTCAAGAGCCTGGACACTGGTTGGGGTCGAGGTCCCACTGCCATTTCGGGACCTCCCCGAGCACACTGGTATCACTCCTATCCAATCTATTGATGCAAAGCAACAGGATCTATCAAGCACATATATCTTTGCTTTATAAGTGGGCTTCTGGGGTCCTAGTAATATACTTTCTATCTGGACATTGATTATACAGGTGTGTTCAGTTTGTAAAAATCATCCAACTGTGTACCCATAATTTGTTTACTTCTCTGTATAAATGTTATACACATATTATAGCTGTTATACTTCAATAAAAAGTTTTAAAAATCAAATAACACCTGAACCTAAAATCTTAACGGATCCTTATTCTCTGCTACAACCTACAGGAATATTGAAAGATCTGTTAATACAATGAACACACATACACTATATACTATATTCACCAATTAGTAAAATTTTGCCACATTTGCTTTCTCTCTTTCTCTCCATCCATATACACACCATTTTATCTGAACCAGTTAGGAGTAAGCTGTGGACATCATTATACTTTACTTCTAAATTCTTCAGTGTATCTCCTAAAAACAAGAATATGACCACACAAACACTTGTAAAAGGAAAAAACAAACTACTTTTTCCTCTGTACTTTCACACTCAACACAGCACAGAATACTTCTTTTTGTTTTAGAAGACAGTTTTAAAACTGTATACATTTATTGTGTACAGCATGATGTTTTGAAATATGTATACATTGTGGAATGGTTAAATCAAGCTAATTAACATATGTATTACCTCACATACTTATCATTTTTTTTGTGTGGCAAGAATGCCAAAAATCCACTCTTTTGGTGATCTTCAAGAATTTGTTATTAACTATAGTCACTGTGTTGTACAACAGATCTCTTGATCTTACTCCTTCTAACTGTAAGTTTTTATCCTTTGACCAATATCTCCCAAACCACCCTGCTCCGCCAACTCCTGGTAACCACCATTCTACTCTCTGCTTCTATTGTGTTCAATTTTTTTAGATTCCACACCTAAGTGAGATAATGTGATATTTATCTTTCTGTGCCTGGCTTCATTTAATGTCTTCCAGGTTCATCCATTTTGTTGCAAATGACAGGAATCTCCTCTCTTTTTAAAGTCTGAATAGTATCTCATTGTGTATATATGCCACATTTTCTTTACCCATTCGTCCAGTTGTTACAGTAGTGTAGCTAGTCAGACAAGAGTGGGGCAGGAGAGCAATCCCCCAACCAGGAATGTCAGGTGACCATCAGGTGATGGTTAGGCAGTTGTTAACTCTTGTTAACTGTCTCTCAAAAATAGTAATTGTTCACAGCCAGGACCACGGAAAGGTAGTCTCCCAAAAGATATGAAAAACCTGAATCTGGTGATCAGCACCTTCCCCAGAAGATCTCAGGAGTTGGTGAAGTGGGCTTACACATGTGCAGTAAGAGAAAAAATGGAGAAGCTTTACTGGTATATGACCTTACAGGAACACTCAACTGGTAAGGGAAGAACGTCTCAAGTGAGCATGCATACAACTTCAGTAAACACACTGCATGCAGCCCTTCCCAGGCGCCAGCAGGCCACTGTACATGTAGACAGCCCACCCCAAGGGAAGAATCAGGGGAGAAGTAACGCGACCCTGGAAGCATGCCAATCTATAAAACCCCAAGTCAAAGGTCAACCTGTGCACTTGATCTCTCAAGTTGCCTGCTTGGCCCTCTTCCAAGTGTACTTTACTTCCTTTCATTCCCACTCTAAAGCATTTGAATAAACTTTCACTCCTGCTCTAAAACTTGCCTCAGTCTTTCACTCTGCCTTATGCCCCTCCGTCAAATTCTTTCTTCTAAGGAGGCAAGACTGGAGGTTGCTGCAGACCTGCACAGATTCGCTACCACTAACACGGGGATGGACACCTAAGTTAATTCCATACCATAGCTATTGTGAATGATACTGCAATGAACATGGGAGTGCAGATGTGTCTTGACATACTGTGAAAAGATTTTTTTTTTTTTTTCTGGAGACGGAGTCTCGCTCTGATGCCCAGGCTGGGGTGCAGTGGCATGATCTCAGCTCGCTGCAACCTCCGCCTCCCGGTTCAAGCGATTCTCCTCCTTCAGCCTCCCGAGTAGCTGGGACTACAGGTGCATGCCGCCACACCCGGCCAATTTTTTGTATTTCAGTAGAGACAGGGTTTCACCATTGTTGCCCAGGCTGGTCTCGAACTCCTGAGCTCAGCCAATCCACCCGTCTCAGCCTCCCAAAGTGCTAGGATTACAGGCATGAGCCACCGTGCCTGTGAGAAGATATTTTAATTGTCCAGTTGCAAGGCATGATAAATCTAAGCACTGGCAGCCAGCCTGCGGGCGTAACAAACCGCAGGGCTCATGCACCTAGAAAGTCACGATAAGCGAACAGAATGTAAAGGAGGGGTCAGCCCATAAAAGGGAATAAAGTTTCATTATTGAAAAATCAAAACTTAAGCAGGGAAGGGGACCTGAGTATGATCTTATAAGGGGATAATGAAACTTGGGCGATGTCCGGGAAGATTGTAACCCCATAGTGCTCAACCAATGAGGAACTGGGAAGAGGGACTTGTGTGCTAGGAAATAAATTGCCTGCTGTAACTGCCCCAGGTGTGCCTGCCTACCAGACACCCGATCTTGCAAGACCGCCATTAAAAGTCTCGCTTCCGCTATTCTTTGTGTCTCTGAGTACATTGTTTGGGTTTGGACAGGTGAGTGTGTTTCTCACAATACTGATTTCGTTTTTTCATTTTCTTTGGATATATACCCGACGGTGGGATTGCTGGATCATATGGTAGTTCTATTTTGAAATTTTTAAAGTCTTTTTGAAATTTTTGAAGTTTCCATAATGGGTATACTAATTTATATTCCCACCAAAAGTGTACAAGTGTTCCTTCTCTCCACATCCTTACCAATACTTGTTAGCTTTCATCTTTTTTATAATGGCCATTCTAACAGGTGTGAGGTGATATCTCATTATGTTTTTGATTTGCATTTCTCTGATGATTAGTGATTTTGAGGATTTTTTCATTTACTTGTTGGCCATTTGTATGTCTTATTTCAAAATGTCTATTTAGGTCCTTAGCCCATTTTTAAGTTGGGTTATTTGTTTTCTATTTAGTTGCTTGAGTTCTTGTATATTTTTGGATGTTAACCCATTATCAGATGTATGGTTTGCAAAATATTTTCTCCCATTCCATAGGTAGTCTCTTCACTCTCTTGATTGTTTCCTTTGTGGTGCAGAAGCTTTTTAGTTTGATGCCATTCAATTTGTTTATTTTTGCTTTGTTGCCTGTGCTTTTGTGGTCATAGCCAAAAAATCTTCACCCAGACCAATGTCATGAAGCTTTCCCCCTATGGTTTCTTCCAGTAGTTTTACAGTTTCAGGTCTTATATTTAAGTCTTCAACGCATTTTCAGTTGATTTTTATGTATGATGTGAGATGAGGGCCTAATTTCATTCTTCTGCATGTGAATATTCAGTTTTTGCAACACCATTTATTGAATAGACTTTTCTTTCCCCATTGTACAGAGCACTTCTGTGACCATATGTGTAGGGATTATTCCCCACATGCCAAGCAATTCTCCAACTCTCTAAATGCCAGCTGGATGTCCTATAATTCACTTCGATTCTGACATTACCTGGAGAGCATTGGATACCACAGGTGAAGGGCTCACTGCCACAAGACTGCTCCTACTGTAGATGCCAATCACAAGTTCCAGGTTGTAGCCTGTGCTTCTGACTGAGCAGCTATAAATCGAGGTTCCTATCTCCACCTTCTTGGGTTTGATAATTCACTAGGATCACTTATAGAACCCAGGGAAACATTTTATGTACATTTATTGTTTTATTATAAAGGATATTATAAAGGATACAGATGAATAGCCACATGAAGAAATGCATAGGGCAAAGTATGGAGGAAGAGGTGTGGAGCTTCCATGCTCTCCTCAGGCATGCCACGTAGCACCTCCAAGTGTTCAAGAGGTTTTATACAGCTTAATCTCCAGCCTCCTCACCTCCTCGCCTCCTTGCCCCCTCCCACCCTTTACTGGAGGTTGGGTGGTGGGACTGAAAGTTCCAACTCTAATCTTCTAATCCTTAGGTATTCATGGCAACCAGCCCCTTCACGGGCTATCCTAGAGCCCCACCCTGAGTCACCTCATTAGCAAAAACTTAGGCAAAGGGTGTTATGAATAACAAAGACACTCCTATTACTCGGGAAATTCCAAGAATTTTAAGAGCTTTGTGATAAGAATCAGTGACAGAGACTAAATATATTTTATGTTATACCACAGCACTACGTAACCAGAAGACCACTATTATACTGAAAATATTGAACAGTTCTTATGTAAATTCCATATTCAAATTTCTCCAATTGTCCCAATAATATCCTTTATAGATTTTTGTTTTCCTAGAGATCCGGGTCTCAAACAATTTGTTGTCAAGTCTCTTCAGTAGCAGTTGCTCTCCTTCTCCTGGCTACCTGGTGAGGGAGACATTCTGCATTCTCTACCTTGCCCCAGTCTTCCTCCAAAGTGCCCACTGGGGTCTGTGCAGAGTAGCCTGGAAGTGCTTGTAAATGTCCCTTGTACCTAAGGCCTCCAGTGGCTCTGTATTTTCAGACTTGCCCATACTCAACTTTTAGCAATTCATTAATAATTTTACCTTAAATTGTACTCACTTGTATAATGACCTCATCTTCCTCTGTGCTCTGCCAAAGGCAACCCACTGCTCATGCGCTGTCTCTTCCTGGAAGCATCCATTTTTAACTTATACTAGTTGCATACACTGGAAAACGTAGCTCTTAGATGGGTTCAAGAAAATGATGCCTTTTTACAATATGTAACATTCACTTGATCTTTGGGTTGGAATGACACCTTCCAACTTTCCACATCTTAAGAAGCTGGAACTCAACTTGATTTTAAACATTTAATGTATTCTTTTTCACATTAGAATTTTGAATGTGAAACAATTTGAGCATCAAAATGATACCTTCAAGCTGCCTCTTGTGACATTTTGACATGTTGCCATTCATTCTTGAGCACTTCCCTTCTAGCATAAGATCTTCCATGCTCACACTGTACTTTTTCTGCTTCAGATCTGGAACTGGTCTTGTCTTTACAGATCTTTGGTTCCTTTTAGTGGGAAGTAGCAAGGGGAGACCTGAATGCTAAATGTGTTCATTTCCACGGAGTTGTCATTATTTCTAGGAACTTTTAGTGATAAAGCTAACAAATATATAATTTTTAAAAAAATATTAGTTTGTACAGATATTGCCTATTCCATTTCCACACCACATTCCTCCTCTCCTTCTTTATTTCCTTATTGTATTTTCCTTCCCACAGTAAGAACTCTGGTTCAAACATTGATGAATTTAAATTTAATCATCTGCTCTGTTTTATAACACAATAATTTTATTTCAGAATCAGTATATTTATACTAGTATCAAGAACAAACCAACTAAGTAAAATCCAAAATTTCCTTGCAGTTCTGAGGGTGTATACTATATACATATAGTGTACTGTGTTCAGAAGTTGCTTGAATTGATTCATTTTTGGTGCTTATGTTAAAATTTGATATTCAAAATTTTAGCTTCATTTGTTTTTGTTTATATTCAATTTTAGGCCTTTTCATCCTTGTAGATATAAGTATATTTCTTAAAATATATAAAACATTACTTCAAACGTAAAATGTATATTACAAGATATACTCAGGAGGTCTCACTCCCTTCCCTATTCCTTCCATTCTGTTCTCATCCATCACTTGCAGGTAATCAGTTCCATTAGTTTCTGATTTATACACATATTATACATACACACATTTACTTAAAGACCAGTAAAATAAGCAAGTGGTTTTGCCAGCAGTTATCTTGGGTTTATGAGTGCAAATTTATTTACAAGAGAGGAAAATTCCTTTTTTTCTCATAAAGATGACAACTGACTTGAGAAATTAAAAGCTTCTTGGCCAGGTGCGGTGGCTCACACCTGTAATCCCAACACTTTGGGAGGCCGAGGTGAGCGGATCACCTGAGGTCAGGAGTTCAAGACCAGCCTGACCAACATGGTGAAACCCTGTCTCCACTAAAAAAAAAAAATACAAAAATTAGCCTGGCGTGGTGGCAGGCACCTATGATCCCAGGTACTCGGGAGGCTGAGGTGGGAGAATCGCTTGAACCCGGGAGGCAGAGGTTGCAGTGGGTCGAGATCGTGCCATCGAACTCCAGCCTGGGGGACAAGAGCGAAACTTTGTCTCAAAAAGTAAAAAATAAAAAAAATAAAATAAAAGTTTCTCAAAAATCTTTATGCAGAGAACTATGTTCTCTTGCATCATCTGTCAACTACAATTTTTTGTTGTATTAGAGCATAACAGAAAATATAATTGTTAAAGACTGTGATAAACATCAATACATTTCTTCCACTCTTTTTCCTATATTTTCTTTCCTTCCTCCTTTCTTTTCTTCCTTTATTACATGGATACTCTGTATCCTTCTATGTATGAGGTACAGAGATGAATAATACAGGTGAAACTCCTTCCCTTAAGAAAGTTATATTCTATTTGGGGAGACAGTGAATGAATAGAGCAGTATAAAAAGATGAGTTACCATTTCCCCATATTACTGTAGGCTGGTGACAGCAGCTGAAGTGAAGGATACCTATGAATACTCCGAGTTGTGTTAACATCTCAGTATTCACCTATTTGCCTTCTTCTTTTCCAGGTTGAACAAATAGAAGTTTGGAAGAGGTCATTAATGGTATGAAATTCCTTTCCTTCCCTTTGTTTAACCGGCCAAATTTGCTTTGACATATGTTAGAGATGGGAGCTTTGGGATTAAAGACTGTAAAACAGAAACTCCTTTACAAACTAACTTTGAATTTAGGAGTTTGGAGAGAGACAAACAAAACTATATGTTTGTGTAAGAGTATTGCCTCAGCCCCATCTCAGCAGAGTATCACTGCCAACAGATGGTGTCAGCAGTTATGGAGTTAAATTAGTCATAGGCATAGTGCTGTTTTTTTGCCCCATGACAATTTGTAACATTTGTCCTTCATTTCCAGATCTGTTACCAGATCATATAAAATCCCGTAAATTCAAAAGCATTGAATGTGCTTAAAAAATGATAGAAATCAAAGTGATGTTAGCTCCATATTGATGTTTATACATTGTTCATATAAATGTTACATTGTCCTTATAAATAAATGGACGTAGGATCAGACTTTAAAATCTAACCTGTGTATAACTATAAGAGTTTCTGAACTTAATTATATAAGAATTAATTCTGTGTCTTTATGATATACACCTTCCAGCAGCATTGGGTCCTAAAGTCATTTAGTCAGGAATCCCCTGTAGTCAAAATGGTCTTTGAAAATTCCTAAATGGGTTTGTGTATGTAACTGTATAAAAATTCGAAATTTTGAAGACTATTGAGTTAGTCTTTTAAAAATGAATGAAAATAACCTCTCAATGCATTCAACTCTGCATTCAAGTCATTCATCCTTTAAGATAATCATCAAATCTCTGGTTAGCATGGGGGATAGATGAGAATTCTAAGCTGTCTTTGCTTATCTTCAGGATGACTTTATATTTTAATAGCAGAAAGCACATTTATTTTTAACATTGTGGAATTAATGAGGTATGTAATATGTGAAAGCATCCAGCCCAGGGCCCAGCACATAGCTGGTCCTCAATAAATAAATAGGGGCTGATTTTGAGTCTAAGATTTGTTTGATCAGGACCACATGCATACTGATTTTAAAAAGTAATAGAGAAGGACTCAGCCACCTGCTGCTTGCCATTTCAAATACGCATTTCTTGTGACTCTGCTGAACTGCTGTCACACTCATGGCTTTGGGAATTGGTGTTAAGCTCCCTTAAGTGGAGTCACAATCACCCAAGGGATAGGTTCTCAAATCAATATGAAAAATAAATGCATTTGGACAGCATGACTAAAGTATAGATGTCCTCTTATCTGTAGTTCAATGAACAATTCATTTTCTCCATCATTCACAAATATTTGTGTTTCCTTTTCTTCCTTTCTCATCTCTGACTATCAGAGCCCATGAAGTCTTGCAGGATGCCCCTTGCTCATTTTTTAGCATTTTTTTCACAATAGGAATATGCAGACTCCAGGAGAACTCCTTGGCAATTATTTAACTTCCCAGTAATGACATAGAAACTATTAATAACATCCTTTCTTAATTTTACTCACTTGAGTATTAATTAATTTGCAAAGTAGTGTGGATTTTTTTCTGTATCTATATCTAGAGCTTAACTAAATTTGAAATATAGCCTGTTGAGAGAAGTGCTCTTCTTTAAATATTTTTATTATCAATTTTTATAACTAAATTGCCAACATATTCTCTGTATTAAAACACACACACACAATAGAGAAGAATTTAAAGTGAGATATCATAATCCTTATCATGCTGTATTAGTCCTTTTTCATGCTGTTGATAAAGACATACCCAAGACTGGATAATTTACAAAAGAAAAATATTTTATTGGACTTACAGTTCCACGTGGCTGGGGAAGCCTCACAATCATGGTGGAAGGCAAGGAGGAGCAGGTCCTATCTTACATGGATGACAGCAGGCAAAGAGAGAATGAAGAAGACGTAAAAGCAGAGACCCCTAGTAAAACCATCAGATCTGTTGAGACTTATTCACTACCACAAGAACAGTATGGGGGAAACTGTCCCCATGATTGAATTATCTCCCACTGGGTCCCTCCCACAACACATGGAAATTATGGAAGTGCAATTCAAGATGAGATTTGGGTGGGGACACAGAGCCAAACCATATAATTCTGCTCTGGCCCCTGCCAAATCTCATGTCCTCATATTTCAAAACCAATCATGCCTTCCCAACAGTCCCCCAAAGTCTTAACTCATTTCAGCATTAACTCAAAAGTCCACAGTCCAAAGTCTCATCCGAGATAAGGTGAGTCCCTTCCACCTATGAGCCTGTAAAATCAAAAGCAAGCTAGTTATTTCCTAGATAAAATGAGAGTACAGACATTGGGTAAATACAACCATTCCAAATGGGAGAAATTGGCCAAAACAAATGGGCTACAGGGCCCATGGAAGTCCAAAATCCAGCAGGGGAGTCAAATCTTAAAGCTACAGAATGATCTCCTTTGACTCCATGTCTCATATTCAGGTCACGCTGATGTAAGAGGTGGGCTTCCATGGCCTTGGGCAGCTCTGCCCCTGTGGCTTTGCAGGGTATAGCACCCCTCGTGGCTGTTTTCACAGGCTGGTGTTGAGTGTCTGTGGCTTTTCCAGGTGCACAGTGCAAGCTGTCAGTGGATCTACCATTCTGGGGTCTGGAGGACCATGGCCCTCTTCTCATAGCTCCACTAGACAGTGCCCCAGTAGGGACTCTGTGTGGGGGTTCCGATCCCACATTTCCCTTCCATACTGCCCTAGCAGAAGTTCCCCAAGAGAGCCCCGCCACTGCAGCAAACTTCTGCCTGGACATCCAGGCATTTCCATACATCCTCTGAAATTTAGGCAGAGATTCCCAAACCCCAATTCTTGACTTCTGTACACTGGCTAGCTAAACACCATGTGGGAGCTTCCAAGGCTTGAGGCTTGCACTCTCTGAAGCCATGGCCTGAGTTCTACATTGGCCCCTTTCAGCCATGGCTGGAGTGGCTGGGACACAGGGCACCAAGTCCCTAGGCTGCACACAGCACAGGGACCCTGGGTCCAGCACACAAAACCACTTTTTCCTCCTAGGCCTCTGGGCCTGTGATGGGAGGGGCTGCCAAGAAGACCACTGACATGCTCTGGAGAAATTTTCCCCATTGTCTTGGGAATTAACATTCGACTCCTTGTTACTTATGCAAATTTCTGCAGCCACTTTGAACTTCTCCTTAAAAAATAGGATTTTCTTTTCTGTGTCACATTGTAAGGCTGCAAATTTTCCAAACTTTTATGCTGTGCTTCCCTTATAAAACTGAATGCCTTTATCAGCACCTAAGTCACCTCTCGAATGCTTTGTTGCTTAGAAATTTCTTCCACCAGATACCCTAAATTGTATCTCTCAAGTTCGAAGTTCCACATATCTCTAGGGCAGGGGCAAAATGCTGCCAGTCTCTTTGCTAAAACATAATAAGAGTCACCCTTGCTCCAGTTCCCAACAAGTTCCCCATTTCCATCTGAAACCATTTCAGCCTGGACCTTATTGTCCATTTCACTATCAGCATTTTGGGCAATGCCATTCAACAAGTCTCTAGGAAGTTCCAAACTTTCCCACATTTTCCTGTCTTCTTCTGAGCCCTCCAAACTGTTCCAGCCTCTGCCTGTTACCCAGTTCCAAAGTCGCTTCCACAATTTTGGGTATCTTTTCAGCAATGCCCCACTCTACTGGTACCAGTTTACTGCATTAGTCCATTTTCATGCTGCTGATAAAGAAATACCTGAGGATATGAACAGATACTTCTCAAAAGAAGACATTTATGCAGCCAATAGACACATGAAAAAAATGCTCATCATCACTGGCCATCAGAGAAATGCAAATCAAAACCACAATGAGATACCATCTCACACCAGTTAGAATGGCAATCATTAAAAAGTCAGGAAACAACAGGTGCTGGAGAGGATGTGGAGAAATAGGAACACTTTTACACTGTTGGTGGGACTGTAAACTAGTTCAACCATTGTGGAAGACAGTGTGGCAATTCCTCAAGGATCTAGAACTGGAAATACCATTTGACCCAGCTCTCCCATTACTGGGCATATACCCAAAAGATTATAAATCATGCTGCTATAAAGACACATGCACATGTATGTTTATTGCGGCACTATTCACAATAGCAAAGACTCGGAACCAACCCAAATGTCCATCAATGATAGACTGGATTAAGAAAATGTGGCATATATACACCATGGAATACTATGCAGACATAAAAAAGGATGAGTTCATGTCCTTTTTAGGGACATGGATGAAGCTGGAAACCATCATTCTGAGCAAACTATTGCAAGGACAGAAAACCAAACACCACATGTTCTCATTCATAGGTGGGAATTGAACAATGAGAACACTTGGACACAGAGTGGGGAACATCACACACTGGGGCCTGTTGTGGGGTGGGGGGAGAGAGGAGAGTTAGCATTAGGAGATATACCTAATGTAAATGACGAGTTAATGGGTGCAGCACACCAACATGGCACATGTATACATATGTAACAAACCTGCACATTGTGCACATGTACCCTAGAACTTAAAGTATAATTTAAAAAAAGAAAATTCTTTGTAAAACTATTAGATCATACTTGCAAATTTTATTATAAGTACCATATACCCTTATCTCTTTTTCATTTGTTTTTGTCAATGAATTCTGAAAGGAGTAAACTGACATCTTCCATTAAAATTCTGGTTGATTTTTCCTTGTAAAATCTTATTAGTGATTGCTCAACATATTACAAATCTATTTTGTTAAATGCATACATTTTCTTGACTGGTATGACTTCTTGGTGGATGGTAACTTCTTGCTAAAATGAAATTTAACTCTTCATTTATTTTAGTGGATTTCATTTTTCAAATCTATTGATACATTTTTTTTATAGCACTTGTCTGAAGTATCTGTTTTTTCCCTTTATTTTCAGTCATCTTGTGCCATTTTGTTTTCTTGTAAATAGCATGTAATTGGATTTTTTTATAACCCATTCACCATTTTTGTATTACATACTCCAAGTTATTCCTTTCATCTTATGTTTCTATTGACTATGCTATTTTTTTCTTTTTTAAAAAATATTTCTACCATTTGCTGGCTTTACTGAATTTTTATTTTTTCCCTAATATTTCTGTTAATAATTTGGAAGTCACTCATATTGATTGTAGTCTTCTAGAAATTGTTTCTGTATATTTAAAGGCACATTTAAATAACTTCTTTTTCCCCCTCCTCCTTCACCTCTTCCTTCCTTCTCCCTTAACTCTTGTCCTCTACCGCACCTTCTCCTTTTCAAGATATTTTCCATGTGTCTTCAGTTTTATGTCCTCTCTATTTCCCTTTCTCCCTCATTCCTCTCTCCTTTTTCTTTGTGTTCTAGGATATTTTCTAAACTTGATCATTTGTATGTCTGTTTTGTTTTCATCTTGATTCATTTTATTATTAAGCCTTTCTACTTTTTGTTTTTCAAATTACAACAACCACGTTGTCAATGAAAAGAGTCAAATTCTGTAAAATATTTGAAGAGATTTATTCTGAGCCAAATATGAGTGACCATGGCCCATGACACAGCCCTCAGGAGGTCCTGAGAACATGTGGCTGTTAGATATGAGTTCTAAATTTATTTTCAAAGAATTAATATGTTGGTATGTTCAATTCTTTGCCTTCTACTTTTAAACTTAACTTCCTCGTAAAGCAACCTTTTTCGATCACCTACTCCACCTTGACTCATTCTGATCACCTGCTCCATCCTAACTCATTCTGACCACCTGCTCCACCCTAACTCATTCTGATCACCTGCTACCTGCTCTGCCCTGACTCCCGCCAAAGCACTCACCCTGTCGTTCTCTTTAAATTAGCCGCCAATTGGAATTAGTTTAGCCTATGCAGTCTAACCCTAGCCAATAGGGGAACAACACAGCAGCAGGGGCCACGTGACTCAGGGATAAGAACCCCTTCCCCTCCTTTGTCTAAATGTGCACTCACCATTGCTCCATCTGTAAGGGCACACCCTTCTATATAGAAGTAACTTGCCTTGCTGAGAATCAAAAAGAAAATTTTATATTCAAGTGCTATTTCTTTTGTGGCACCGAAACTTTATATATAACATGGCCAAGGTGGTTGGGGCACAGCTTGGTTTTACACATTTTAGGGAGGCATGAGACATCAATTAAATACATTTAAGAAATACAGTGGGTTGATCTAGGGAGGGGAACTCAAATTCCGTGGGAGGTGTGGGTGGCTGAAGGGAAATTTAAACATTTTCTGGTTGACAATTGGTTGAGTTTATCTAAACACCTGAGATCCATAGAAAGAAAATGTTCAGGTTAAGACAAAAGATTGTGGGCCAGGCATGGTTGCTCACACCTGTAATCCTAGCATTTTGGGAGGCTGAGGCGGGTGGATCACCTGAGATCAGGAGTTGGAGACCAGCCTGGCCAACATGGTTAAACTCCCGTCTCCAATAAAATTACAAAAATTAGCTGGGTGTGGTGGCAGATACTTGTAATCCCAGCTACTCAGGAGGCTGAGGCAGGAGAATCACTTGAACCCGGGGGTGGAGGTTATAGGTGAGCTGAGATTGCACCACTTCACTCCAGCCTGGGTGAAAGAGTGAGACTTCATCTCAAAAAAAAAAAAGATAAAAGATTGTGGAGACCAAGGTTCTTTTGAAGTCTTACAGTGGCTGCCCTTAGAGATGAGATGACAAAAGTTTTCTCTTCAGCGCATTAAAAGGTGCTAGACTTTTAGTAAATCTCTTTAGAATTGGGAGATCCTGGAAGAAAAAGATCTAGCTATGTTAATAGAGATTATTTACAGATGCAAATTTTCCCCCACAAAGGACAGTTTTGCAGGGCCATTTCAAAACTGGGAAATGAATGGGAAAGAAACATGATTTGGGGTAAAATATTTTGATTTTCTTCCTTGTCTCGTAATGTTATGCCAGAGTCAGGTTGGAAAGTAAGTCACGATATATAGAGTTAAATAAGACCCATCTGATGAGAATTTAGGGTTTGTAGGACCTGACTACCCAAACCCCTTAGATAGGAATTTGGGAAAGATAAAAATAATCAGAGGTTAGTTCTCAATGTTTTAAATTTAAAATAAACTTTTTCTGGCTTTTTCTTAAAACCAGTCTTATTTTATGAATACAAAATCTTCTTTAGCCTTTCCAAGAATACCAATAATTTTTTTTTTTTTTTTTACAGTTCTTTTCTGCCCTTTGGATTCTCTTTCCTTTCTCAGGAATCATTTATTTTCTTTGTTCTTTTTTTTTTGTTCATGCATTTGGTATTTGTATTAGTCTGTTTGGGCTGCTGTAACAGCATACCATAAACTGGTGGCTTAAACAACAAGAATTTATTGCTCACAGATCCGGAGACTAAGAAGCCCAAGATCAAGGTGCCGGCCAATTTGGTTCCCCAGTGAGGGCTCTTCTGGCTTGCAGAAGTCTTAAGCTCTGCTTTCTCTTTCTTTTCTTATAAGGACACTAATCTCATCATAGGGGCCATAATGACCTCATGTAAATGCAATTATTTCCCAAAGACCCCACCTTCAAATGTTGTCACATTTTGGGTTAGGACTTGTATGAATTTGGCGTAAGGGGACACAATTCAATCCATAGCGGTACCCTAGGTTATCAGTGCATTTTTATGACTGAAAACACTAGGTCAAATAATAGGTATTGCATTAATTTTTTATTGCTGCATAACAAGTTACCACAAATTTATCAGCTGAAAACAACGCAAACATATCTCACAATTTCAGTGGGTCAGCAGTTGGTATAAGTCAGTTGGAACCTCTAGTCTCGTTCCATCTGGAGGTGGGAGCATGTTGACTTGCTGGTTTTGCAAGTTATCAAAAATAAGGAACTGTGACACTAGGAATGAAAGTCCTTAGGAGATTTTATTCCAGGAAAAGCAGCTTTTCAAATAGGATATTCAATCAACATAAATTCTGTTCTGCCTCCTCTTAACTTCATACACCCAGCTAGGAACTTTAGATAGGTAGTTCAAATTCTTTATCACACAGATCTTGGGTTTTAACCTGTGATCAAGCATTGCAGCAGCCTGTTGCTGAGGTGGATTGAGTTAGGAGGTCTCACTGGCCCTGCTGTTCTGCATCAATCTCTTTAATTAATTTTCCTGACAGCAGCGCCCCAGGGTCCCATCCTGAACTTGCCATTTGCTCAGTCTGAGCTTGAAGTTTGCTACATCCATCATTACCTCTGAAGGTGTAGTTGTTGCTGGTGGTGGTGGTTGTGGGGTTAGTGGTGTGTGTGTGTGTGTGTGTTTGCGTGTGTCTATCTTTTTTTTTTTTTGAGATGGATTCTTGCTGTTGCCAGGCTGGAGTGCAGTGGCACAGTCTCAGCTCACTACAACCTCTGCCACCCGGGTTCAAGCAATTCTCCTGCCTCAGCCTCCTGAGTAGCTGGGACTACAGGCACGGACCACAACGCCCAGCTAATTTTTGTATTTTTAGTAGAGACAAAGTTTCACCGTGTTGGCCAGGATGGTCTCAATTTCTTGACCTCGTGATCCGCCCGCCTCAGCCTCCCAAAGTGCTGGGATTACAGGCGTGAGCCACAGCACCCAGCCATGGCTATCTTTTTCTCCATTTTGTCCCATGTGCTTTCTATTTCCTAGGAATTTTTCACAATTTTTGATCTGTTGATAGCACTTTCAAAATCTAATTTATTTTCTTGTGATTCTAAAGATTTATTCATTGCAAAATATGGTTTCACTTTTTTAAAGGGATTTGAGTGGGAAAGGAGGTAGATGCATGGCTCAGTCCAGCATTTTGCTCTAATCCCTCATTTTTGGTCTTCTAATTTTAAAATATCAAGATTTTTTTTTTACAATTAGGGTTAACTGTCTGCTGGTAGATAATTTAGTCAACTCTCAAGTTGTTTTCCTGCTCATTTATTCTTTTTATCTTTATTCTTCCTTCCTTAGTTGTCCAAATAAAGAGGACAAGGAGAAGGCAAATACAAAAATCAAATATCACTTTTCCTTTTGTGTTCATTACTGTGAAAAAAGGCTGACTTTGGGTGACATTGCTGGCTGAAATAAAGCCCCTGCATTATTAGTGGGTTTCTTCTATGCCTGAATCCTTATTGGATGTGCAGGGGAGAGATAAGAATTAAGTTGGCATAAAACAGATTAACAGGAGAAAAACTATTTTTAATTACATATGTATGCACAGGAGTCCCACTAAATATCAAACATCAAAGAAGGGCCATATCATTGAAGATTTTATAGTATTCTGAGCCACAGAAAGGAAACAGGTCTTGGGCTTCTGAGAGGTGTTGGAGACAAGTTATGGGAGGGTGAGGGCAGGAAATGTGTGGTGAATAAAGGTTGCCTCATTATGGGGATAAGAAGTCTCTTAGGTAATAAAAGTCTCAAGCAGCCCTTTTTCTGGTACAGATATTTTAACAATGTAGATTTATTTTATAGACATAAATTTCTTTTACAAAAGTCCAGCTTTTGAGAGCTACTCCTGCATCTGCAGTTTCTTAAAACAACCTGTTTGAAATATGCCACAAAAGTATATTTTGGAGTGGCATATTCTGGTCTTCTATAGTCATATTTTGGGGAGGTGTGTCCTGAGCCCTAACACATAGATAACTGAGGCACTTTCATTACTTACAAATGACTAGAACATTTTAATGAAACAAGCTTATTCAATAAGCCCTCAAAAGCAAAAATAAAGTGGAATCAACTTAGTAGCCTCTCTTAGGGAACTAATGTAAAAGTACTGAGAGAGCCCAACCTTACAGAGAATAATGAAGTTTCCTAATTGGATAACAAAGTACAAAACATCTTGTCAAGAGATAACATGGCATAGTTTAGCCTATGATTTAAGGGAGAGATTTTAAAGAATCAGATTTTGAAAATCATACAAATATTTAAATCAAACAACATATGCAATTAGTATATGTGCAATTACACAAATACATATACAATTGATTGTCCAGCTCAGAGAACAAGGTGGTCAAATTTGAACTACATTCAACTAAATCTATAGTAGACTTGTATGCTAAATGTATATAAGAGATCAGAGTATGAACTCAGATCCTGAGAGAGTAGTAGTAACTGACATATAGGACAGGGGAGAGCCATTTCACATGTTCTTTCAGCATAAATATAGTAGAGGGAAAAAAAATGTTTCAGAGAAAGCCATGGGTTGCAAAATGGGCCAGGTGGAAAGAATATTAATTCTAATACACAAGGCAAGCATTCGAGGGTGAAGGACTAGAGATTGTAATCCATCCTTTTCTATGCCAGATTGAGTGCCATCCATGCCATGCCAGGAAAATGTTCTTTTTTAGGGCCATGAACCGAGTGAAAAATTGAGTACCATCTATAAATTCTATTCACTCCTTTTTCCAGATCATTAAAGGCATTAAAGTAGACCAGACCCAACATGGACTCTTGCAACGCCCTACTACACATTGCCCTAGAGTTAATTATGCTATCATTAATCATTTGCCCATTGTTTATAATCACCCAAGCATTTTTAATATAACTAGATGATATTGACCCAAATCATACTTATTGTTTAAAATATTAATTACATATCTGTTTTATTCCTTATTCACGTCTCTGCTCATGTCTTTATTTTTAGTAGTTCATGCTAGTTCTCCATTTGAAGTAACTTGTTGATGTATTTCTTTAACATCATCTAGTCCTTTTATGCTTGGATGTGTGTCATATACATTATCCTTTTGGATGTACTAAATGTTTTATTACTTTTTCAGACTAAGTTTTGGAGGTTTTTTTCTCATTACTTCCTACAGACTTTCTTATTTCTTCTAAAGACTTTCAAAAAACAATCTTTTATCTTCCTTTTAAAATAAGTTATACATCTCTGCATTTATTACTGGACTCTATTCTTTTCCAGCTCTCTCTCTCTTTATCTTTAGCTAATAAAATGTAGCGCACATAGCTACACATAGTTTAGAATCAAATAATTTTACAAGGTATGTAAGGAAAAATAACAGTCTCCCATCCCCACTCCAGCATTTCCCTCTTTGAGAGACAACAAATTTCAACACATTGCTGAATATTTTGATATTTACCTCTATGACTTGAATTAATGTGCTTGAATTTCTACCATTTGATTTTTATTTTTGGCATTATCTATTGCCTTCACACTATAGAAGATGGGGATTTTCTCATCTATACCATACTAAGCCTCACCTGTTCCTACCACATATGTAGTTCCTTTCCTTTACCTCATTCTCTGCATAACTTTTATTAGATTAATATGAGGGTTTATTTTATTATGACTACATAAGTACTATCTGTAACTGAAATAAATTATAAACTCTGATAAGTTACTTTTACTTGATCGTTACTTTTACTGCACAACTTGTTTTTTTCTCGAATTAATGATTATCTTCTTTTTGATTTTTGTTTTACTTACCATTCATTTATCCCCTAACTTATGTTTTGATGAACGCTCCCCTCAAGACTGCCAGACTCATTAGATATTATCTTCATTTCATCTTCCTGCAGAAGGCCCTTCCAGAGCCTCTGACATATTCCAGTCTGAAATGGCGGCACTCTAGGTCTGATACTCAGCTTTCATCCTGGGATCCCCCTTCACCACTGTCCTGGGATTCATTTATCTCCTCTTCTGTTGGCTCTCCTGGTCCCTCAGTCTTGTGTTTTCCACTTTCTTGACTTATTCTCTAGGCTTTCTAAAACTGCAGGCATGGGAGATGATTTTTTGGGGTAACCTGTATGTCTGAAGATGCTATACGGCCACACTTGTCCAACCTGCAGCCCACAGGCTGCCTGTGGCCCAGGATGGCTTTAAATGTGGCCCTACACAAATTCGTAAACTTTCTTAAAACATTATGAGATTTTTTTTTTGCGGTTTTTTTTTTGTTTTGCTTTTTTATTTTTTGCTTATCAACTATCATTAGTGTTAGTGTATTTTATGTGTGGCCCAAGACAATTCTTCTTCTTCCAATATGGTCCAGGGAAGCCAAAAGATTGGACACTCCTGCAAGTTTACACTATCCTTATACAATCATTGACTGGGAATAGAGATCTAGATTGGAACTATTTTCTTTCAGATTGTTTAAGGCAATACTCTGGTGCTTTCTGTAATAGCTTCCAACATTGTTGTTGAGAAGTCTGAAGCATTAAGATTCCCGCTCTTTTAGTACTTAATGAGTTTTCTCTTTCTTTCCGGAAGCTTCTATTCCCTTTTCATTGTTCTCTGTGTTCTGAAATTTTACAGTGATGAACCTTGATATAGATCTCTTTTTATCTATATGTGCTGTAGATTTGGTGGGCCCTTTAAATCTGGAAGCTAGTTAACGCAGTTCTAATACATTTTTACCCGATTACTTGTTGATTGCCTCCCTTCTATTTTCTTTCTTTCCTCTTTTGGAACTCCAGTTATTTGAATATTAACCTGAATTAATCTTCTAGTTTTATTTTCATTTTATTCTCTTTCACTTTCCATATTTTTACTTTTTGCTCTGCTTTCTATTTCCTTAATTTTATCTTTCAACCCTTCTATTAAGCTATTCATTTTTATCATATTTTCAGTTTCAAATATTTTATCTAATAAGTTTAGTTTCAGATTCTAATACATCTAATAGAATGTTCTTTTTTTTAAATGGCATCCTGTCTGGTTTCATTTTTACATCATCTTTTGCTACCTAAGCATATTTTCTCCAACATTTTATTACGAAAAATTTTAAACATACACAAATGGTAAAAGAGTAGTAGTATGATGAATAACCATATATATACTACCCAAATTCAATCATTGTTAACATTTTACTATATTTGTTTTATCTGTATGTATACATGTATATGTATACATTTTTTGCCAAACCACTTGAAAATAAATTGTAGACATTGTGTCACTTAACCCCTAAATTCTTCAGTGGGTATAGGATGATCAGCTCATCCTGATCTGATTTTTTTTTTTTTTTTTTTTTGAGATGGAGTCTCGCTCTGTCGCCCAGGCTGCAGTGCAGTGGTGCGATCTCAGCTCATTGCAAGCTCCGCCTCCCAGGTTCACGCCATTCTCCTGCCTCAGCCTTCCCAGCAGCTGGGACTGCAGGCGCCTGCCACCACGCCCGGCTAATTTTTTGCATTTTTTAGTAGAGACTGGGTTTCACCGTGTTAGCCAAGATGGTCTCGATCTCCCGACCTCATGATCCCACCCGCCTCAGCCTCCCAAAATGCTGGGATTACAGGCGTGAGCCACTGTGCCCGGCCCCTGGTCTGATTTTTAAATGGAAAGTCTTGTGTCTTGAGAACTCGTCCACCCCCTCCCCATGTCCCAGCAAACCAGGACAGTTGATCATCCTAAGTGGGTGGCTCATAGTGATGACATTCTCCTACAGACCCACAGGACCATTATCGCACCTAAGGAAATTAATGCTAATTTCATAATATCATCTTGATGCCACTCTACATTCAAATTTATCTAATTGTCTATTATAGCATATATATATGTACGTGTGTGTGTGTGTGTGTGTGTACTGTCTCTCCCTCTCTCTCTGACATTGAGAAACCAGACCAGCTACTTATAGAATAATGTTTCAAATTATATTTTGAATTTTTCCAATTATTTCTTCTGGATATTATTTATCTTTCTCCTCTAACAATGTTGTATACTGCATGCTAGTACTAAGGTCAGGAAGTTGAATAGATTGAAGTTAAATATATTTGGCAAAAGTGTTCCGTAGATTATACCATGTACCTCAGAGCGCATCACAGCAGGAGGTACAAAGTGTCAAGTTTCCCCACTATTAGTGATGTTAAGTTTGAACTCTCAAGTAAGGTGAAGATCAGCAGATCTCTCTACTGAAAATGAATGTCATTTCCTTTGCAGTTAGCAGGTAATCCACATGATGGTTATTTGGGGGCTCTGAAAATATTCTGTTCCCCACAACATGATTTTAGCATCAATTAATCATTTTTATTTGGAACATTATTTCGAATGGGGTTACAAAATGCTGATTTGTCTAATTCACTCATTACTTGCAAATTTTTTAGCTGATGGTCTTCTGTAACAAAGAACTTAACCCTGAACTAGAAATAAAATAGAGGTTCTCATAAAGAGGCTCAGTAAATGTTTACATTTTTCTCTTTCATTGCCAATTTTCAGTCAGGAATGGTGCTATTGCCTCCATTGGTGGCAAATAGGGTCTCTCTCTCTCTCTCTCTCTCTCTTTTTCTCTTTCTCTCTGTCCCCCCCATATCTGGAATTATAGATATTTTTGTTAATATAAAAGCTTTAAAAATTAGTTTACTAAGATTTTCTTAAATTTCTGCCACATATAAAAAGATTGATTTTTCCTGATGATGTTAAAATGAACAATTTGTTTGATAATTTTCCTATTGCAGTAGTGTTTAATAAAGTGATTCCTGGCAGCTTATTTTCTAAAAACTCAAAACACCAGATATAATTCTGGGTATGTAAATATCTATCTCTCTACATGCAGTTCCTTTTCCCAAAATGGAACTAGAGTGGAGACATCTATCAATGTCCACCATTCCCAAATACCTTCGCATCTGTTTTTACTGTGTAGCCTGTCTCTGTCCGCTGATTTAAAGGGTAAAGCTGATTGGATCTGGCTAGTGGGCATCTGTTTCAAATGCTGGTGAGCCCACCATAGCCTGTGTGTCCTGCCTCAAAAAGAATAATTGGGCCAATTACATTTCTTTCCCAGGAATTTGGCATTGGAAAACTGAGAAACTAAAGCAGTTAGCAGTAACACTGAAGTAGAGGTAGGACCAGAGAGGCTTTGATAAGCCACGTTAAAGCAACAGCCCCATGAAAGGCAAAAGTCCTGGGGAGGAGAAGCTGTAAGCATAACAGAGAAGGCAAGTCAGGTGGGTCGATGAGCCAGGATAGTGTTTCTCCTGTTGTTCATCTCTGGGAATGGCACCATCAGGTATCCAGTAGCCCCAGCCTGATACAAGACATTGTTCTTGCTTACCTAGAGTAACAGGCTTACCTGCATCCCCTTCAACCATTTTCTTCAAGCTATTCTCCACCAAAAATATAAATCTTATCCTGTTATCACTACTCCCACCTCAACACTTACCCCTATAAATTCCATGAAGGACTTCCCATTTTTCATAAGAGGGAGACAGAACTTTCCACATGGCTTGTTCTGAAGTACTGTATAGTCTCCCCAGCATACCCACTTTGGTCTTCTTGGTGCCTTGTTCTCTCTCTGAGCCATTGGGACTTTCCACATACTGCCCCTTGTTCTTGGAGCACTACCGCCTCTTTCTTAGACAACTCTTATTCCCACTTTGGCAGTAGCATCACCTCTTCAGGACGCTCATTCCTCTCTTATAGCCTCTAATAGATCTATGAACCCCCTCTTTATAGTGTACAGTTTAAATTGTTTATTTTATATTTGTGCCTGTTTAACATCTCTCTTCCCCATTATTCTAGAACCCCTGTGACCACTGTATCTGGTTATTGCTTACTATTTTATCTCAGTATCTAGCACAGGTATCAACACATGGAAGTGACTCAGGAAACAGCTATTAGACGAATAAATGAGAAGCAAAGAAGCCAGGGAAGAGGGAGAACATGAACTTGTTTCTCTTTCATTCTCTCCACTTCACACTTAATTCATTAGTCAGTTGTGCAGAATCTACCTGTAAAAATGTGGATTCACACCTGAATCTGAATACTTCTCATTACCACCACTTCTGCTAACCTAGTCCAAGCCACCATTAACTCTCATTTGTATTATTATATTAACCTTCTTCTTGGTCTCCCTTCTACTGTAGGTCCCTATAGAGCAGTCAGAGTGGTCTCTTACAACACCAGTCCCACATGACACCCTCCAATGCCTCCCATAACAAAGAGAGTCAAGTCTAAACTTTTTTTACACTCATGAGCTCTACATGATCCTTGGCTACTTCCTCCAGTTCACCTCCTCCATTTCTGTCTTCACACTACCCAGTCATGCTGGCCTGTTTGTTATTCCTTCAACATATGAAAACCATTCTGGCCCCAAGAATTCAAACATTTATATTTTCTTTGCCTGGAATACATACCCCTACATTGCCTCCTCCAATCTTTCAGGTGTCTGCTCAAAAGTCACCTTCCCCAATAGGCCTTTTCTGACCACTCTAATAGTCCACCTGCCATCCTTGTCAATCTATGTCACCTTTTTGTTCTTTTTCTTCATAGACAATTTTACTTTCTCGGATTAAATCACACATTATTTTCTCATCTTCCCCAATGGAATATAATTCCCAGGAAGGTAGACACTGTATCAACGACCAGACACTGTATTGCTATTGTATTAGGCAAAAACCAGGGTCCAGAACAAAGGCACATAGAGGTTGCTTAATAAATATTATGGAATGAATAAATTAAAAAGAGAACTAGCACCAAGACAGTGCCCAGTACATAGCAGTTGCTCAACAAATAATGTTATTACATTTCTAAAGATACTTAACCTTTGATATCATGAAAAAATTGAGACTAAATTCTCAAATTAAGACAAATATAAATGGCATTTTAAAACAAGTATATTTAATGGGAGAAAGAATAATCTTTTCAATAAATTATGCCAGGACAACTGGATATGTACAGGCAAAAGAATGAAGTTAGATCCCCACCATATACCATATACGAAATTAACTGAAAATGGATCAAGCACCTAAATATAGACCTGAAATCATACAATTCTTAGAAGAAAATATGATTATAAATCTTTGTAACTTTGGATTAGGCAATGATGTGTTAGACATGACACCCAAAGCACAAGCCATTGAAGCAAAAAAGTACATAAATTCGGCCAGGTGCGGTGGCTCATGCCTGTAATCCCAACACTTTGGGAGGCCGAGGTGGGCGGATCACCTGAGGTCAGGAGTTCGAGACAAGAGACCAGCTTGGCCAACATGGTGAAACTCTGTCTCTACTAAAAATACAAAAATCAGCTGGGTGTGGTGGCACACGCCTGTGATCCCAGAGGCTGAGGCAGGAGAATTGCTCGAACCCAGGAGGCAGAAGTTGCAGTGAGCCGAGATTGTGCCAGTGTGCTCCAGCCTAGGTGATAGAGTGAGACTCCTTCTCAAAAAAAAAAAAAAAAAAAAAAAAAAAGTAGATAAATTGGATTTCAGAAAAATTTAAAACTTCTTAGATTCAAAGAATACCATCCATAAAATGAAAAGACAATCCACAGAATGGGAGAAAATATTTGTAAATCACATATCTGAAAAGTAATGTTAAAGAAGTATTTATTGATACCTATGTAACCAAGTGTTTTTATCTGGAATGAGTACTGAATTTTTTTAAAAGATCTTTACAGGGCTTTTGAAGATAAGCATATGGATTTTCTCCTTAGATATACTAATATGGTGAATTAGGCAAATAGTTTTCCTAATACTAAATTATACTTCCATTTTTAAACCAAAAATAAAATTCTAAGCCTCCCAGTCATCTGGATGGATCACTCCTCTTGGCCAAGCACATTGCAAAGTTAACTTGAAAAACTAGTTCAGGCCATGATGGGTAGGGGGTGTTAGACATGCCTCATTATACCCTCCTCTCTTTTGGAATTACTGATAGAACAGGCTCTTTAAGTTTGATAAGAAACATTTACAATCTATTCTATCTGAAACCTGCTACCTGGAGGCTTCATTGAAACCTTGGTCTTTACGACCCCTTATCATAACCCAGACACTCCTTTCCATTTCTTCCAGGTCTTCAGATAATAACCCTTTCAACCAATTGCCAATCAGAAAATCTCTGAATCTGCCTATGACCTAGAAGCTACCCTGCTTCCAGTTGTCCTGCCTTTATGGACCAAAATGCATAGAACCAAGTTGTAACCTAACTACCTTGGGCTCTTGTTCTCAGGATCTCCTGAAGGCTGTGTCATGGGCCATTGGTCACTCATATTTGGTTTGAAATAAATCTCTTCAAATATTTTAGACTGTTTTGGTTGACACATTCTTGAAGACTAGACTTTTGTAAATTTTCTCTATTTTAATGGCTACATGGTTGATTTCCCTTTGTTCTTCCCAACCTTGTGCATCTGTGTTTTCTTTTTTTCTTCCTAAGGTCAGTAATGTGGGTACTTTGTTGATATTTTTCAATTTATGAGGTTATTTATTGAAATTTTTGTTGTACTGTTTTCTTTTACCATTTCCAAATTTTTGCTTTTATCTTTTTTTAGTTTACTTTTTTCTAAATTAATTTCATTTTTATTTTATTTTATTAATGTAAATGAGGAAATGGCAACTTTTTTTGTAAAGGATCAAATAGTCTATAGCTTTGATTTGGTGGGCCATATTCTTCCTACTGCAACTACTCAATTCTGCCTTTGCAGTAGGAAAGCAGCCATAGACAGTATTTAAATGAATGGCATGGCTGAGTTCAAATATAACTTTTCAAAACAAATGGCAGGTTGAGTTTGGCCCACTGGCTGTGGCTTGATGATCCCTGGTATGAGTTGTTAAAGCTATGAATTTTATTTTGAGAACAGTTTTAATTGTATCCCATAGATTATGATATGTAGTGATTTCTTTGGTTTTAGAGATTTTTGCAACATCAGTGTATTTTCCCTTTAACTCAAGCATTATATATTACAGTTTATAACTTGGTCAGGTAAAATGTACTTTTACAAAATTTTATTTCTAATTTTATTGCATTACAGTTAGCAAATGTTGTATTAGTTCTACCTCATGGAACTCATTGAGATTTTCTTTGTAAACGAATATATAGTAAAATATCATTCATGTTCCATAAATGTTTGAAAAGACAATGTATTTTTTATAACCAAGGAATAAAAATTGTTATATTTTCATTATATTTATTTTATGTTGTGCATGTATTTGTTTCCTTGACCTGTCTTGAACTGAGTGAGATAAAGGTCTTTTATTAGATATTTCTATTTCTCATTACATTCTTATATTTTCTGCCTTATGCAGCTGCTGTGTAATTTATGTATAGGTAATTATAACTGTTACAGTTTCATTGTGAATTATGGCATTATAAAAAGTCCTTCTTTGTCTTATCATTTATTGCTTTTTTACTTGCATTATTCTTTGTCAGATATCAAAATCACAAACATTGCTTAAATTTTATTTTTATGCTTACTTTTGCCTTATATGTTTTCCCCCTTTCCTTTATTTTTAGTCTTGCCGAATCACTTTGTTTTAGGTATATCACTTTGGTGAGTTAGGCTCACTTATATTTATAAGTAAAATTGATATATTTGATCTGAGGGGTATGTATAGTGTGTCTTGTGTTGACTATGTCTTTCAATATGCAATCTTAGCTCTTTTAAAACTGTTGGAAAATGTTTAAATACTTACAAAGGTTTGTGTTTTTGTTTCATGGTAGCCTTTATATTAATAATTCGGTTACTGCTTTTTGTCCCCTGCTTTTTCTTATTTAGCTTCTTGTTATCACAAAAACTTTACACAATATGTTTTGATGGCCATCAGTTACCTCTGCAGTAGTTAACAAGTTTTTTCTTCTTTCTCTCTCCTGCTTTCCTTAAGTATATGACAATTAATATATATTCATTTTAGTTCTCATATTATTACCTTGTCAGGAGAAATAGTTACATGCTTTCAAATTCTTTTAGAAGAGTTTAGAGTTCTGTATTTTTCTAGTGAACTACTTTTGCATAATAACTGATGTCAAACCTAATGGTTTAAAAAAGCCTACCATTTTATTATATCTCAAGATTTTGTGGATCAAAAATTCAGACAGAGCTTGGATGGGTGATTCTTCTGCTTTATTGGCACTAACTAATGTCATTACACAGTATTCATTACACAGTATTCAGTTGGCAACTGAGCTGGTCTTAAGGATCCAAGATGGCAATCACTTAGATGGCTCATACCATGGCAGGAATGGCTGCAAGGCTGGGTTTAACCCCTTCCTCTCCATATAATCTCAGGGCGTCTTTATGAGTTCTTCCTAACAGGGTAGTGAGCTTTTTACATTGTGGCTTTAGGGCTCAAAGACCTAGTTTTTCCAGAGATGAGAAGTAGAAGCTTCCAGTTTACATCCTGGGCCTAAAAATGGACACAGCAGGCCTTCTACAATATTCTGTTGCTCAAAGTAGTCATGGAGCCCAGCTGCAAGAAGAGGTGACTTAAAACTCACCTGTCAATGAGAGAAGGGTCAAGAGAATTTGTAGCCATTTTGAGTCCACCACAAATATTCTCTGAACTATTGCATTTTAAAAATTGTTTTTCTATATTCTTAAAACTTGACTGATAATTTGGCTGGATATAAAATCTTTGACTCACATTTTCCTTAAGTTTTTTGAATATGTTTCTCCACTATTGTCTTGCTTTGTTTATTGCTGTTGAGTCATTGATGTCAATTTTATTTTATTTTTTAAGTGACTGGAGAACTCAATGGACATTTAATTTTTAAGGTCTAAGAGTTTTACTAACACCTTCAAGTTTACTAATCTGGGAAAATTTTCCTGGTAAACAGTGGGTTCTTTTATATGTAAATTAAGAACTTTTTTTCTTTCAGAAAACTTTTCTTTAATTATAGTTTGAATATAGTTCTAGTATGTTGTATTGCATTATCTTCTAGGAATTTATATGTACTTTGGATCTTATTTTCCTGTTGTTTTGGTAGTTTTCACCTTTGTCTTCATTTCTACATTTCTTTTGGTTCTTTTACTTTCTAGACCATATAATTCTTACTGTACCAGGTCCTATGTATTTTCCATGGGTATCTTGTAATTTAGTTTTTATTTTAAATATGATTCTGTCTTTTGAAACAAAAATTATTTCCATGAGTTTATTCAGATTGCATTTTAAATCTTTTTATTGCTTGCCCATTACTATGCTGAATTTTTAATTTCTGATCTGTGGTGGTCCTTCACATTTGCAGTTGCTTTGGGGATTATACTTAGTTCATGGAGAATATTTTGTTTCAGTTTTCCTCTCTTTCATAGTTTTGTTCTTTATTTTCCTTTGCTTTGTTTTTCATTGTTTTAATCTGCTAAAAAGTTTTTATTTTCATTATGTTTTTTTTTTCACATTATAACTTGCATGGATGCTGTTTTTAATGACTATTTCTACTGTGTTTTTCAAATCCAGAAATAATAAGCAATTCTGTTCTAAGGAGGAGGGGATTTGACTAGTTTACTTTATTTCTTGGTGCGAGATTACCTTCTTGGCCAGGCAGGGTGGCTCTCACCTGTAATCCCAGCACTTTGGGAGGCCGAGGCGGACAGATCACGAGGTCAGGAGATCGAGACCATCCTGGCTAACACAGCGAAACCCCATCTCTACTAAAAATACAAAAAAATTTAGCTGGGTGTGGTGGCGGGTGCCTGTAGTCCCAGCTACTCAGGAGGCTGAGGCAGGAGAATGGTGTGAACCTGGGAGGCGGAGCTTGCAGTGAGCCGAGATTGGGCCACTGCATTCCAGCCTGGGCGACAAAGCGAGACTCCGTCTCAAAAAAAAAAGATTACCTTCTTTTGTTGATATAATGCAGTTCCCTTAATAAATTATGCTTTAGAAAAATGTTTTCAGCTCTAATTTTTATGTTATATTATTTTAACAGGTCCTTATATTCAGCCACTCCCTTTGCCTTTATTGCCAATTTACAAAGGACATCACCTCCCTCTCAACCAGAAGTGGGGCTTTCTCAAAACTGACACCTCTGGTTTGTTTGTATTTTTAAGAGATGGGGGTCTCTTTTTTTTTTTTTTACAACTGGTAATCAATTTATTGAAATAGTTGACTTAAGCATCTGCAATGGTGACTTCCACCTCAACTCCTGGCTCAATACTGATGGAAGTAATCTGCTTAACAATCTCAGAAGGACTGTGCAAGTCAATAAGTCGCTTGTGAATTCTCATTTGGAAACGATCCCATGTCTTAGAACCTTCACCACAAGGAGTTTTTTTTGTAGTGATTCTCAAAGTCTTGGTAGGCATTCGAACTCGTCCTTTCACTTTGAGATTCTTCTCCTTTGCGCTTCTAATCAAGTCAGCACACACCTTTTCTAGGGATTTTACACTGCGGCTCTTAGGGTGATTCGAATTCGGTGAATTGCCACCTCCGGCTCCACGGGTGTTTTTCCAGTATCCTTAAAAGCCATGGTTACTGCGTGGCTTCCTGACCGACTTGTTCCTCGGCGAGAGCGAACGGCGGTGAGTCAGGAGCAGGAGTGTGCGGACCAGAGATCCACAGCACCTACGACCACGTCCTTCCTTTTTCAAAAAGCGGGGGTCTCTGAAAGGTTCAGCCCAGGCTGAACTTGAACTCCTGGGTAAGCAATCCTTCTGCCTCCATCTCCTATGAGCTGAGACTACAGGTGCAAGCGACTGCACCCAGCTATTCTGATTTAACACATTTCCCAGCCCCTTACTTTTGATTAATTAGTAGCCAGGTCTCAGATTTGTCTTAGTATTTTCCCACGCAAATGGGATTCTCACCTTTTTGAGATGAACCCACTATACTCTCTTCTCTTCTGCATGATCTCTGCCTGACCATTAAATCTCTTGTGTGTCCTGGAGCTAATTCTGCTTGTCTTGGATATTTGTTTTTTGACTTGTATGTTTTCTCAGTCTCCTAGTTATGATGCAGGTGTGGGCTATGGGTAATTTTACTGCTACTTGTTCATCTGAATATTTTTATTATAAAGGATGTGCAGTGGTTTTCCAAAATAGGTAAGCACCATTTTCACTTAATCATATACTTGTGTGTACACACACAGGCACACGCATGAACACTCTTTTTTGAAGTTTCTTCTCCCTGTGGAGTCTCTATTTCCTACAGATTGCTTTCTTCCGTTTCCTTGTTTTGATGCCTTTGTTATGTTGGAGGCTTTTTCCCTAATGACTGGTTATCCATAGAAGCTGGAGATTTCAGCATTCTGTATGTAAAGGTCACTCATTTGCCCTGTTTTCAGTGTTCCCTATTCTACATACCTTTTATTCTCTCCAAGTTAAGTCTTTTCGCGGTGGCTGGGCAGGATCGATAACTTGGCTGTGTGGAATGAGGGAGAGGATATGGCAATCTAACTGTTTCTTAAACAGACTCTCACCCTAGTCCTCATTTTAAGAACTCCTGCGGCCGAGCGCAATGGCTCATGCCTGTGAATCCCAGCACTTCGGGAGGCTGAGGTGGGTGGATCACCTGAGGTCAGGAGTTCAAGGCCAGCCTGGCCAACGTGGCGAAACCCCGTCTTTACTAAAAATACAAAAAAAAATTAGCCAGGCATTGTGGCAGGCACCTGTAATCCCAGCTACTTGGGAGGCTGAGACAAGAGAATTGCTTGAACCTGGGTGGCAAAGGTTGGCAGTGAGCTGAGATAGTGCCACGGCACTCCAGCCCGAGCAACAGAGCGAGCCTCTGTCTCAATTAACAACAACAAAAAAAAACAAAATACAAAAAACAAAAAGAATTCCTGCTAACCCTCTCTTCTACAAATACCTACTACTACCTATTTCTGAGGCTTTTTGGGATTCTATGGTATAAATCTTTCAACTCTCCTTGCTGCTGGCTTGTTATGTCATTTTCTCACATCTACCCTGATATTTAAGATTTATTCATCTGCTTTCTGGCTTCCAAGACATTGTTGCTGTTTTGCTCCTAAACTTCTCTCTATGTTCTTGTAGGTTGATGTCTTTTTCAATCCTAGGACTATTTTTTCATGAGGTTGCAAGAGTCAAAATAAATATATTTCTGTACCATGCCATCCTTATTGTCTGGAATTTTTATCTCAGGATATTTTTAAAAATGGCTTTTACTCTTGCTTACATTAGTTGGTATTACTTCATATGGTTTAATTTGAATCTGCTCTTATAAAATCCCAACTCCCCACTCCCCATCTTTCTGCAAAGCTTTTGATGAAAAAACATATTTCTATACTGCTGCACCCCCCACCTTCTTTTTACCGAATTTCCAATACCAGGATCCTCAGGGCTCCTAGTTGTACTTCTGATCATTACATTGGAGCCTCTTTGTCATATATTATTTTTCAGAAGAATGACAAATGGCTTTATTCTGATTATGATATCATTTGTTAGAGCACGTATTTTTTCAAATTTGACACATATTTTTACGACATACAATCAAATCTCATTTCATTTCTAAACTCCATAGAAATTCCTGTTCTCTGACTTACGGGCCTTGGGTCCCTTCTTTTTAATATACTTTATCTGATCAGGAGATGCCCTATGTTTACTCTATCACAGTCATGACTGTGAGCAATGCAACTTTCTCAGTACTATTTTAAAATCCACAAATAACGTATTGTATCAATATTCCTGGTTCAAACAAAGTTAATGGAAACAACAATATGAGAAAGGTCCTTACACTCTCTTGACACCCAAACAAATACAACTTCTGAGTTTCTTACCAACATCTATGCATATGCATGGATACGTTTTTATAGTTATCACAGTGTAGATACAATTTTATGTTTGTTTTTCATTTAATGTCTCATAATAATTTTCCTTGTTGTTGAATAGTCTTCAAAATTTTAAATCTTAATGACTGCACAGTGTCCCCCAAAGATCACTGAAAAAAGCACAGGAGGCTGATAAGAGAGAAACCCATACCATTTCTCCCAAGCAAATCTAAATAATACAGTGAAAAATCTGGATGGAATTGCTTATGGGAAATGTACACTATCATACTTTCTTATGGTCTGATGATAACTGGCCCATATTAAGCTCCCCATTTTGACCCGTCTCACCTCTAACCACATCCTGACTGTGAACACGCTTAACTTCTTTCATAGCTTTTTGCCTTCATGAAGTATAACTGTAGAAATCCTGGTATTCAGACACTTCAGCTTTGTCTAAGAAGCAGGTATGCAAACTGGAGCAACCCTCCTCAACCCCAGGTTAGGTTGGAGAATTGCCTCAGAAGATTGAAGGTATAGGAATGGGGAATCCATAGGCCACTAGACCTGGCCACGCTGACCCTATGGCATGGCTTTTCCCTTACCTACAACACCACAAGTCCTTTTGTGGTCTCTCCTAGTCAGCTCTCCCCATATCTGTGTCCTCTGTATTGGTCCCTTTCCCCTCACATCCCACATTCAGTGCCAATATGTTTATTCTACATCAAATCATGTCTCCCATGATTGTCTCACCATTCTCCCTGCCATTACCCTGCCTCATGCCTTCAGAATCGTATCACTGATATGTTACAAATGCTCCTTACAGGATTTCATTCCTTCCCACGGCTCCCAAACACACACTCGCAAAACTTACATATATACAATGCTCCCCCCACCCCTGCCACACACATACTCTACTAGCAATATGGCTATGAGTTATTTTTCTTAAGGTGCATCCAAACATGTCCCTCCTCTTTATATATTAAAATAGGTTTACTGTGTAGTTATCACATGCCATTTATTATGCTTTACTTTGGAAATACAGAGTGTATTAGTCAGGGTTCTCTAGAGGGAGAGAATATGATAGATATATATACAAAAAGGGGAGTTTATTAAGTATTAACTCACACAATCACAAGGTCCCTCAATAGGCCATCTGCAAGCTAAGAAGCAAGAAAAGCCATTCCGAGTCCCAAACTGAAGAACTTGGGAGTCTGATGTTTGAGGGAAGGAAGGGTCCAGCACAGGAGAAAGATATAGGCTGGGAGGCTAGGCCAGCTTCATCTTTTCATGTTTTTCTGACTGCTTTATATTCTAGCCACTTTGGCAGCTGATTAGATGGCGCCCACCCAGATTAAGGGTGGGTCTGCCTTTACCAGCCCACTGACTCAAATGTTAATCTCCTTTGGCAACACCCTCACAGACACATCCAGGATCAATACTTTGCATCCTTCAATCCAATCAAGTTGACACTCAGTACTAACTATCACACAGAGATACAAGACAGTCTTGCCCTCAATGAGCATCCCAACTATCACGAGACACAAGTCACTGCAGTGCAATGTGGCAGATCTTAGGTTTGTGGCCCTTTGGAGGGCTACCCAACCCAAAACAGAGGCAGAGAGAAGCTAGAGAAGAATTTTTAAAGAAGAAAACACTTGAGATTTGGGAAGGATATATATGAATATTTAAATGTTCAAGTTTTACAATTTTAGCAAGAGTAATATAGGTTTATAGCTTCAGAAAAGCTTAAACACTACTAAAGACCTTATAATGTAAAGCAACTGTCTCCCTCAGTGGAATTCTCAGTACCCAGGGACAATCACTTTAAATTATTTCTGTTTGTAATTCTCTTAGAGGTTACTGCCATATGTCTAAATAAAACATTTATTATAACTTTTCTTGATTTGTTAGATAGCATCTTTTAACTTTCTGCTCTTATAGATGAAAATTTACCTCATTTTAACTACTTCTGCAGTGTAAAGAAAACTCCTCTCTCTCCTTACCTGGGGGTAATTAAAAATATGTTTGCAAATTATTTAAACTCTTCATTTCAGAAGATAAAATTATAGTCCCCTCTCCTTGAATGTGGGAAGGATTCACTGCTAACAAGTTGTGGTAGAAGTGATGTTATGTGACTTCTGCCTGGTCTCTCTTAGGATGGTTGGTCTTAGAACCTAGCCACCATCTTTTGAGGAAGCCCAAGCAATCTAGAGAGTCCACATGTGAATGTTGTGGCCTATATCCCCAGTTAGGTAGGTCCTCAGCCAATAGCCAGGATCAACTCCACCCTAGACATATGAATGAAGATTCTAGCCCCGCTCCCCTCCACGCCCCTCTACCCCATCTTCAAGCCTTCTTTCTGAAGCTTGATATTGTGGAACAGAGATAAGCCATCTCACTCACAGAAACCATGGGAGATAATAAAATATTATTGTTAAAGGCAAGCCTCTTTAGTGAGTCAAACAGAAAAACACTTGACTCCCCTCTGGGAAGTATACTCAGACTTTCAGAAACACTGTGTTGACCTCCTTTTCAGAAATGAAGATGAGAACAAAAGATGCATTAATTAGCTTATTTCTTATGTCACCATCTGTTCACCTGATCATAACTCCCTGCATTGTAACTTTGGGAAAAGTTAACCAAATGTAGCTTGTACAAATAAATGGAGTTTACTGCTTCAAGTACATGAAAGGTCCAGCATGAATCCTGCTTCCACAACCTTCCAAGTTTAAGTCTAACAACAACAAAATATCCTCTCAGCGGATTCAGCAAAACATCTGAGTACATTTCATTGGCCCTGATTGGGTGTGTGTCCATCTGTGGACAAATACTACGTATCAGGGGAATGGAATGCTCTGATTACCTAGATGTAAGTCACAGGAACCTCCTTGAAGCACATGAATTGAAAATGCAGAAGAAGGTGATTCTGGGAAGGCATCAGAATTTAGTTAAAAAAAGAAAGATATATAGGTGGATAAAAATAACAGTTGTAAAGAACCTGAGTAGTCTAACTCTCCTCTGCCATACCATTCCTTAATATTTCTAGTCTTACCACATAACCTGCCTGGGGCTGATGCCACCAGTCATCAAAGACCTGCTGGGAGCATAACCTGGTTTTGTGTCCAGCTCCCTTTCCCAAATCTTGGCCTTTATTTTGTGCTCTACCATTAACCTAGTGGCTCTTCCCATGAGGCTCCTCTTTTTTGGCTCTAAGCTAAATCCTAACTTTGGATATAATTACAATAAAAATCTCTACAGACTGTAAATTTCCCTATGTCTCAGCCAATATACTTGCTTGATTTGCTCTTTTACAAGTTGAGGCTGGGTTCCAATATAAACAGAATTGAGTTAGCCTTTGAAGGCCACACTGATTGGATTTAACTTGAAGGTTCTTATAAAATTCATCCAACCAGATGTTTCAGTCTCTGAAATTCTTAACCATATAGGAGGATGAGAGGAAGCCAGAGTGCAATGCAATGACACTTTTTATTTGAACAACAAGATAATTAAAAAGCAATCTGAGAATTGGGAATTTATCTTTACCACACATAACCTTTTCTCTTAAGAATCTGCTGTACATGGCTAAATTTTTATTTGCAACATTATAGAACTCAATTCAGCACAGTGCTTATTTGAAAGAAGTGTTTTAATATATTATTAATTTTCAATCATTAATAATGAAGGAATTTCCATATTATGACTCCGTGAGTCAAAACACACAAGTCTTTTTCTTTCCTTCGAAGGCTTTTTTAATGTTAATTCTGCAATCATAGTTAACAAAAAATATTCTATTCTTCCTTTTTGAAGTTGTTTACTAAGTAGAACATAGATATTTTATCATACATACAGAGAATAACTAGCCAAGGAGTCTATTATGTACAATCATAAATACAGTAGTATAATATTTTTAAAATATTTACCTGCCTCTGAACTGCAAATATGCTTTGCTCAGTACAGTGGTGCAAATACGATTACAAATCCAATAGAAGAAAAAGGCTTAAGTTTACATGCATTATCCTTTAGGAATTGCATAAAATGTAACTGCAGAAATGCACTTAGAATGATTTACTTTTCTTTGTAGTTGCATTTTAAAAGAATATATTTTTCTAATAGATTTTCTGCACAAATTTTACCAATATTTTATTTATTTTAAAAATATATTATTAATATTATTTTTAACTGGCAAATAATAATTATATACATTTAAGGGGTACAACATGATGTTTTGATACATGTATCCAATGTGACATGATCTAATCAAGCAAATTAACATGTCCATCACCTCACTTACCTATTATTTTTTATGGTGTGAGACACTGAATTTACTCTTAGTTATTTTGAAATATAGAATACGTTATTATTGACTATAGTCACCCTGATGTGTAATAGGTATCAAAACCTATTCCTCTTGTCTATCTGAAACTTTGTACCCTTTGATCAACAACCCCCCTTCCCTCTCTCCCCACCCTCTCAGTCTCTAGTCACCATCACTCTACTCTCTACTTCTATGAGTTTTACTTTATTAGATTCTACATGTAAGTGAGATCATGTGCTATTTGTCCTTCCATGCCTGGCTTATTTTGCTCAGCATAATTTCCTCCAGGTTCATCCATGTTGTTACAAATGTCCAAATTTCCCCTCTTTTAAGGCTGAATAGTATTCTATTATGTATACATACCACATTTTCTTTATTCATTCTCTCTCGATGGACACTTTAGGTTAATCCCTATCATGGTTATTTTGAATAATGCTACAATAAACATGGGAGTGCAGTTATCCCTTTGACACACTGATTTCAGTTCCTTTGAATATATACCCAGAAGTGGGTTTACTGGATCATATGGTAGTTCTACATTTAGGTTTAGGTTTTGAGGAACCTTTGTACTGTACCAACTTACATTCCAATCTACAGTGTACAGGGTTTCCTTTTCTCTGCATCCTTTCCAACACTTGTTATATTTCATGTTTTTGACAAAAGCCGTTCAAACAGGTATGAGGTAATATCTCACTGTAGTTTTAAGTTGCATTTCCCTAGTGATTAGTGATGCTAAGCATTTTCCATGTACCTGTTGGACATTTGTATGCCTTCTTTAGAGAAAGTCTATTCAGGTCTTTTGCCCATTTTCAAATCAGGTTGTTTTCCTGCTATTAAGTTGAGTTCCTTGTATTTTGAATATTAACTCCTTATCAGATGTACCATTTGCAAATATTTTCTCCCTTTCTCTGGGTTGTCTCTTTACTCCATTGTTTCCTTTGCTGTGCAGAAGCTTTTAAGCCCATGTGATCTCATTTGTCTATTTTTGCTTCTGTTGCCTGTGCTTTTGGTGTCATATCCAAAAAATCATTGCCCAGATCAGTGTCGTGGAGCTTTTCCCTTATGTTTTCTTCTAGCAGTTTTACAGTTTCAGGTCTTACATTTAATCCAGTTTGAGTTGAGTTTTTTTTTTAATACGGTATAAGATGAGGATCTAATTTCATTCTTCTGCTTATGGATATTCAGTTTTTCCAACACCATTTATTGAAGAGACTGTTCTTTCCCAATTGTACACACAGAACATTCTGTGACCAGCTATGTAGAGAATTTTCCCCAATACACCAAGGAATTCTCCAACTATTATGGATAATCATAAATCGTATACTATTTTAAAAATATGTATCAACCTCTGAACTGTAAATATGCCTTATTAAGTACAGTGGTACAAATATGATTAAGGATTCCATAGAGGAAAAAGGCTTAAATTTACATGCATTATTCTTTAGGAACTGCATAAAATGCAATGGCAGGAATATTTTTAGAAAGATTTACCTGTCTTTGTGGTTATGTTTTAAAAATACATATTTTTCCAATAGGTTTTCTGTATAAAATTACCAACATTTTAATTATAAAAGTATTTTTTGCTATCAGAAGACTGTTCCTTCATCTGCTATGTGCAGGAACCAAAATAACTTTGAGTTATATAAACTGAGGTTTTGGAGCTTTACATTTAAATTATATAATTCTATTTTAGCAAGGTTAACAAAAAGGAATGTATGCTTATACCCTGATCGGTTATCTGATGTTACCTATGCCTCATGAAAGTAGAAAAAGGGTTCAGCCATAGAGAGGGTGACCTTTTACATTTACCAGTTTGCAAAACCAAAGAAGGATTCTAAGTTGAATATAATTTTACATAGTTGCCAAACACACATTCAAGATCTTTTATTATTGTTGTTGTTGATGATGCATTCAGGGTTATTCCTTTCAGGTTGATGTCTACTGGTTGTCCACTTTTTGTTCTCTGTATGTTGACCCTTCACAACATAGGACACATAGTATTGGTCCTCCATATTATGGGACTAATAAGATCTATAGCTGGGCCAATGACTGCTATATTGTGCAGGAAATCAAGCAAATCTTCAAATATAGTGGGGAGTGATGTTCAGGTCTCAGTAGGTCATTTGTTTTTATACTCTCTAAAATGATATTTTATTTGCTGGATCAATGATCCCATAAATCAATGTTAAATTAATTAGCCCGAGACCAGAAATGTGTCCTACTTTGACTATCAAACATTTCTGGATGCAAGTGTCAGAAAGGAATTCTATAATACAGATGAATGACCTCTCCCTGTTCTGCTGATGAATCTGCTTCTATTCGTATTTCATTTTGGTTAGCAATGAAAGGAATTCAAAGGATACTGTTAAGTATTCTACATATTTATTCTTTCTTCTTTTTAATAAAAGGGTGCCCTGTGTTTTAGCTTGGAACATCACTGCCTAGTTTGAGACTGCATTTCTCAGTCCTTCTTATAACTAAGCGAAGCCAAATGGGATTCAGCATAATAGATTGAGATAGGAGCATACATGTGGGAAATTCTGGTCATTTCCATAAAGAGAAACCACTTCCTCTGGGCTCCTTTTCCCATTCCCAACATTAGGGAAATGGCAACTGGAGGAGCTGCCTTGGACCTACAGATGTAAGCTATGTATTAAGGATGGTTGGGCTGGCCCAGCAGCCTGGATTTTGGATAAGCGTGTGAAGTAGTGACTCCATCATTCACTCTATTTGGGGGTATCTTTGTTATGTCAGCTTAGCCTGCATCCTAACTAATGGAAAATCTCTGAAAATCTTTTTTATTTATTTATTTTTTATTTTTTGAGACAGAGTTTCATTCTTGTTGCCCAGGCTGGAGTGCAATGGCATGATCTTGGCTCACTGCAACTTCTGCCTCCTGGGTTCAAGAGATTCTCTTGCCTCAGCCTCCCGAGTAGCTGGAATTACAGGTGTCAGCCACTCCACCTGGCTAATTTTTTGTATTTTTAGTAGAGATGAGTTTTTGCCATGTTGGCCAGGCTGGTCTTGAACTCGTAACCTCAGGTGATCCACCTGCCTCAGCCTCCCAAAGTGCTGGGATTACAGGCGTGAGCCACCGCGCCTGGCCAGGAAAATCTCTGAAAATCTTAACCACTCTTAGAACCAGCATAATCACTGCCATTTTTATTGTCCTAATGAAAACACCTTTATCTATTGTCACCTGATTTATTCACTAATTAAATAAACTGCCCATGTCAATATTAGCATATCAACAGTGACAACATACAACATTATAGGTGCAATACAACACGTGTTGCAGGTTACAATGACAACAGCAAATACATGTAGGTCTGGAACAGTGCTTTTATGCCAAAGGCAAGTTTGAGTAAGGTATGTGTACAGACGTCACATCTCTTCACCAGACTCTGGAGTATCAGAGAGGTGACATACTACAGATCCTTTG
Source organism: Homo sapiens (assembly GCF_000001405.40). NCBI lineage: Eukaryota > Metazoa > Chordata > Mammalia > Primates > Hominidae > Homo > Homo sapiens. The sequence continues at coordinate 108,583,595 of NC_000005.10, read as the reverse complement.
CAACAGGCAGGAGTGCAATCAGGAAACTGGGGAATGGAAAGATGTGACTAAAGTTTGGAATCTCAAGTTGTATCTCTCTTGGAAATGTATTTGCTACTAAGTAACTGGTACTAAAATCTATTATATTTTGAAACTAAAACTGACAGTTTCAGTGAAACTTTAGGGCAAATATACCACTCTTCGAGGGCAAAAAGGCAGAGTATACATGCATCATCTAATTTGTGCCTGTGGGTAAAATTCATCACCTCTTCAGGCTGCCATGACCTATCTTCTGCCCCTCCTCCCTTTTATTCTCTAGAGCAAAGGCTGGCCAAGCAGAGACTGAGGGCAGCTGCAGGCTACCAGGAATTGCTGGCAGTGAAGCTGTCTTTAGGTTTTTCTGTGTTATTAGAATTCTATTTCCAAGGATTTTAATGCAGCAATAGAATATATTAAAATATTTCTATTACTCACTAGTCCTACTTAGCTACACACAAAAAGTTTATTCTATATTCAGGGTCTCTAAGTCTTAGAAGCTTCATAGACAAGAGTATTTCTTTCTATAATCTGAAAAGGAGGTGAACGTGAGAATTTCTCCTTGGAAAAGAAAATAGCCTCAAACATCTGAGACCTTCCTGCCACAAATTTACCCTCTCCTGAGAAGCTCAAATCTCCTCTCCAAATTTATGAATATGTAAAGGTTCTTGCCTTTCATGCCTGAGTACATGGGGCATGTACTGCTGAAAATCCCTGAAAAATAGACTTAATTAGCACAGGAATGTGCCCGAAAACAGTCTTATAGGGACAAATCAAATGATTCTTTAACTTTATAAAGCCTAGCAAACTGAATGTCTCTTGCCCACAGATCTTGAGCAATACAAGTTATTCATTTTTAGTGCTCACATTGACAATTCACATTGGTGAAAATTATCATATTCCAGCAAGGTCAGTTAAATTAGCACTACTCTGACCTCTTTGCTGTGTGTCCCAGCAATCATTCAGTGTGCTAAGTCTCTAAGGGCAAGTCCTTGGGACAGGTCCCTGTGAAGTGAATGTCATCATCATTTACACCATAAAATCAACTGTTACTGTGTGCTATGTTTTGAGTTGAATAGATAGAATAATGACAATTTGGTCCTCTTATGAAACTTAGAAGCTAGTTGAGAAGCAAGACACAAGTATGACAAGCTTAACACTTTTCCTTACCTGCTAAGTAGAATAAGAGGCATACAAAAGTAAATTCTTAATAAGGTACCCAGCCCTGGGCTAAGGACTTTCCATGTACAGTCCCATGTAATCCTTTCTACAGCTTCTAAGGTATTATCCCCATTCTAGAAAACTCAGGTTTAGAGAAGCACTTTGATTAAATTCACACAACTGGTAGATGAGGGGTTTGGGATTGGAATCCAGACCTGTTTTCTCTAATGATTTTAGTGTAGTGGACTGATTAGACTTCTTGGGAGAGAAGTAACCTGATATGAGCTGAATCTTAAAGGACTGAGCATGTGGCTAAAAGAAGGACAAGAGCCTTCCAAGTTGGGTATGAGGTGCTTCAGTCTGGATGTTTGAGTCCTCCTAAAACTCATATGTTGAAACCTAACGTACAGTGATAGTATAAGGAAGTGGGGTCTTTAGGAGGTGATTAAGGCATGACAATGGAGCCGTCATGAAAGGGATTAGCGCCCTTATAAAAGAGGTCCTAGAGAGACTCCTTGCCCCTTCCACCACATGAGGACACTGCTAGAAGCATCATCTATGAACAAGGAAATGGACCCTCACCAGATACCAAATCTGCTGGCACCCTGATCTTAGACTTCCCAGCCTCTAGAACTGTGAGAAACAAATTTCTGCTGTTTATAAGCCCCCTAGGTTGTGGTATTCTGTTATAGCAGCCCAAATGGACTAAGAAGGAAAGAAATGACTGGAAGGTAGAAGCCTGAGGCTGGCCTGTCTGTCCTAAAGCTCTCAATCCTGGGGTATTATTACCTTCTTCCCTTTGCTATGGCATTCAGAGAGCTACAGTTAGTTGTTTCTAGTATACTCACTTTCTGCATTTACATTTTCTCTTTGTTTCACTGGTGGTCTAATAGTGTGAGTTAGCTTTGGGGTCAGAAAAACCTGCATTCCATAATTCAAAAGAAAAAAAAGTCCTCAGTTTCTTTCTATAGAACAGCATCTGAGTATTAGCATTTCCAATTGTGCCTAGGAGCCAAGAAATAGATAAACACATCAGAAAGTTGACTTTTCATTATGTCCTTGAGCAGCTCATTGCAATGAAAACTTTAGTCCAATTAGGGTTTATGCTGCAAACCTAAAGTTCCAATAAAGCTACTAAATTTGTAAAGAAGATTCTGTTTTAAACCTGCTGGAAATTTCAAGCTGGTATCTCCTAGGGTTTCTAAGATTCAATTGTCTCCAAATTGGCCCTTTGTGTTATGCCCTAGGGCAGCACAGCAGAGTTGCAATTGTGTCTAATTAACCTCCTGCTAAACACAAAATGTCAGAAAGGCAAATCACCAAACTAGAGAGAGATGCTGGGTTGTTGTTATTTTCAATAAGGATAGAACTAGCTATCCTGTTTTAGATTTTTGAGGCAATTACTCTGAAATTTGGCATAATATTAGCATCATTTGCATTTCAAAGATGAGATTTGAATAGGTCTTAACTTTGATGAGGTCATATTTTAAAATCAGTGCTGAGAAAGGCACAGAGGTTATTATAGCTGAATATTAATTTGGGAGGAGGTAAGATTTTTAAACTAAGTTTTGGATCCATGCAAAATTCTGTTGTCTGCATAACTCAAGGTGACTATCATAGCTGGGTTTTTTCTTTGTTCAATAATGTGGTAGCCTGGCAGGGAGAGCAAAAAACTGCCTTATAATTCAGTCAAGATAAGCTAAAGTATGCTTTAGTAACAACTCCAAAATCATAGTTGCTTTAAATACTAAAGCTTCATTTTGCAACCACACCACATGTCCATTGGGTCAGCTGGAACCTAGCTTAAAGGAGGCTCCATATCTGTGTTGCCACAATTGCCAATTTGTTTTCTATTGCTCTGTATCATATTATCACCAACTTAGCAATTTAAGAAAAAAACCACCTGCTTATTTTCTCACAGGTTTTATGGGTCAGGAATCCAGGCATGGCTTGAATTGGGTCCTTGGCTTCAAGATCTCTCACAAGGCTGCTATCAAGGTGTTAGTCAGGGTTGGGAGTCTCACCTGAAGGTTTTTCTGGGGAAGGATTTGCTTCCAAGCTTATGTGGTTGTTGATAGATTTCAGTTCCTTGCAGGAAGAGAATGTGCTAGCAAGATAGAGTTTATAGTTTTATGTAATACAATAATGGAAGTGGCCTCCCATCACCTTTGCCATATTCTAGTGATTTGTTGCAGGTCATCAAATCAGCCCACACTCAAGGGTAGGGGATTGCACATGGATGTGAATTCCAGGTGGCAAGGATTATTGGGGGCCATCTGAAAGTCTGTCTACCACTCACCAAGGCACACACACACACAAAAATGGACATAAGAGTTCATGCCCTGACTCTTAAAGACACAACATTTTCACTCCCATTTCATTGGTCACATCAAGTCACAAGGCCATATGGCAATATCTGTCTTGTGTGTGGAGTGTGGGAAGGATGGAGGGTGGGAAGGATGGAAACCTACCATATACCTGGACAGAGGAGAAACAGAACATTTGTGGATAGCCCCAGTGACAATCAAATTTTGTCTATGAAATAAAATCACTTTGGTCTCTATAGAAAGATTTACCAGTTACAAACATATCAGCGCATAGAAGAAGAGTTAAAAATTAAATAGTATAATTTACTATTATACTCTTACACTATTGTCTTAGCTTGGTTTCTCTAGAAGCAAACTCTGAGTTGGGAAATTGAGTACAAGTAGTTTATTTGGGAAGTGATCACAGGGGAGTGAAAGTGTGAGGGGGGAAGGGAAGGAAGCTAAAAGGAGTGTATCATCACAGTGGTTGTGACAGGAGGCAACTGGTGCTCTAACCCTCTGGGAACACTCCTAAGATTTATCCCACCTATGGGATTAGAGAAGTAGGATATTTTTCTTTTGACTCCCATCTATCATTGGCTGAGGCTATTCCCAGGGGCCTTAATTCTGAGCACTTCTGCCCTGCCCTTTCGACTGGCCGAGAGAGGGCACTCAGGCTAAGAGTTTCATCTGCTTGCAGTAGGACCCTGTCTACATGTACTGGCACAGCAAGTGATGAGGGTTTTTATGGCCTGTGCCCAATAGTATCTGCTACAACCGTTAGACTTGTCTTACGTTGTGCTGAAAATGAAAGGAACTGGATTTCAGAAGGAGGTTTTTATACCACTGAGTAATTTGATATTTGTGTCACTGAAATTCTGTGCTCCTCTCATACCTTGAGCTTGCTTCTAAGTGTGTCTGGAAAAAAAGGGTAGTAAAAAGTTATCCCTAAGCTTCTTAGTTGTAGATAACAATACTAGTTATTCATTACCATTATTTAGTAATAGTGATGAGTAATAACAATAAACCTGAAAGTCCGTGCATGCTTTTATAATATCACCAGGGGACTATAGAAGAAAGGGGAGAAAGAGGGGGACAGTTTGTTATTATGACCAGTAACTTTCCTGACTTATCTACATATGGCTGTTGATGAGGTATCAAGGTAATAGGGTCAAAGGCATCAGAGGCTGGGGAACTCTGAGGGAGGTGGAGACATAGGAACAGGAAGATAACTTCATGACTTAAGGTAACTTCTGGCCATGTGTATTGGTTTACTGGGCTGCCATAATAAAGTACCATGAATTAGGTGGCTTATAAAACAGAAGGTATTGTCTCACAGTTGTGGAGCTAAAAGTCCAAGATTAAGTTATCAGTAGAGTTGGTTCCTTCTGAAGGTTGTAAGAATCTGTTCCATGCCTCTCTCCTAGCTTCTGATAGTTTGCTGACAATCATTGGCATTCCTTGGCTTGTAGAAACATCACACCAATCTCTGCCTTCATCTTCACATAGAGTTCTCCCTGTGTGCATGTCTTTAGAGGTTCCCTTGACTGATCCCGACCTCAACTTTTATACTGATGGAAGTTCCTTTGTAGAAAAAGGACTTTGAAAAGCAGGGTATGCAGTGGTCAGTGATAATGGAATACTTGAAAGTAATCCCCTCACTCCAGGAACTAGTGCTCAGCTGGCAGAACTAATAGCCCTCACTGAAGCACTAGAATTAGGAAAAGGAAAAAGGGTAAATATATATACAGACTCTAAGTATGCTCACCTAGTCCTCCATGCCCATGCAGCAATATGGAAAGAAAGGGAATTCCTAACTTCCGAGGGAACACCTATCAAACATCAAGAAGCCATTAGGAAATTATTATTGGCTGTACAGAAATCTAAAGAGGTGGCAGTCTTACACTGCCGGGGTCATCAGAAAGGAAAGGAAAGAGAAATAGAAGGGAATTGCCAAGTGGATATTGAAGCCAAAAGAGCCGCAAGACAGGACCCTCCATTAGAAATGCTTATAGAAGGACCCCTAGTATGGGGTAATCCCCTCCAGGAAACCAAGCCCCAGTACTCAGCAGGAGAAATAGAATGGGGAACCTCACGAGAACATAGTTTTCTCCCCTCAGGATGGCAAGCCACTGAAGAAAGGAAAATATTTTGCCTGCAGCTAACCAATGGAAATTACTTAAAACCCTTCACCAAACCTTTCATTTAGGAATTGATAGCACCCATCAGATGGCCAAATCATTATTTACTGGACCAGGCCTTTTCAAAACTATCAAGCAGATAGTCAGGGCCTGTAAAATGTGCCAAAGACTCACGCCTGTAATCCCAGCACTTTGGGAGGCCGAGGCGGGTGGATCACGAGGTCAGGAGATTGAGACCATCCTGGCTAACACAGTGAAACCCCGTCTCTACTAAAAAACACAAAAAATTAGCCGGGCGTGGTGGCGGGCGCCTGTAGTCCCAGCTACGCGGGAGGCTGAGGCAGGAGAATGGCGTGAACCCGGGAGGTGGAGCTTGCAGTGAGCCGAGATCGTGCCACTGCACTCCAGCCTGGGTGACAGAGCGAGACTCCGTCTCAAAAAAAAAAAAAAAAAAAAAAAATGTGCCAAAGAAATAATCCCCTGCCTTATCTCCAAGCTCCTTCAGGAGAACAAAGAACAGGCCATTACCCAGGAGAAGACTGGCAACTAGATTTTACCCACATGCCCAAATCTCAGGGATTTCAGTATCTACAAGTCTGGGTAGATACTTTCACTGGTTAGGCAGAGGTCTCCCCCTGTAGGACAGAAAAGGCCCAAGAGGCAATAAAGGCACTAGTTCATGAAATAATTCCCAGATTCGGATTTCCCCGAGGCTTACAAAGTGACAATGGCGCTGCTTTCAAGGCTACAGTAACCCAGGGAGTATCACAGGCATTAGGTATACAATATCATTTACACTGTGCGTGGAGGCCACAGTCCTCAGGGAAGGTCGAGAAAAAGAACAAAACACACAAAAGACATCCAAAAAAGCTAGCCCAGGAAACCCACCTCGCATGGCCTGCTCTGTTGCCTATAGCCTTACTAAGGATCCGAAACTCTCCTCAAAAAGCAGGACTTAGCCCATACGAAATGCTATATAGATGACCCTTCCTAACCAATGACCATGTGCTTGACCGAGAGATGGCCAACTTAGTTGCAGACATCACCTCCTTAACCAAATATCAACAAGTTCTTAAAACATTACAAGGAGCCTGTCCCCGAGAAGAGGGAAAGGAACTATTCCACCCTGGTGACATGGTATTAGTCAAGTCCCTTCCCTCTAACTCCCCATCCCTAGATACATCCTGGGAAGGACCCTACGCAGTCATTTTATCTACCCCAACCACGGTTAAGGTGGCTAGAGTAGAGTCTTGGATACATCACACTCAAGTCAAACCCTAGATACTGCCAAAGGAACCCAAAAATCCAGGAGACAACGCTAACTATTCCTGTGAACCTCTAGAGGATCTGCACCTGCTCTTCAAACGACAACCAAGAGGAAAGTAACTAAAATGGTAAATCCCCCTGGCCCTCCCTTATCATATTTTTCTCTTTACTGTTCTCTTACCCCCTTTCACTCTCACTGCACCCCCTCCATGCCACTGTACCACCAATAGCTCCCCTTACCAAGAGTTTCTATAGAGAATGAGGCATCCCGGAAATATTGATGCCCCATCATATAGGAGTTTATCTAACGGAATCCCCCCTTCACTGCCCACACCCATATGCCCTGCAACTGTTATAACTCTGCCACTCTTTGCATGCATGCAAATACTCATTATTAGACAGGAAAAATATTAATCCTAGTTGTCCTGGAGGACTTGGAGCTACTGTCTGTTGGACTTACTTCACCCATACCGGTATGTCTGATGGAGGTGGAGTTCAAGATCAGGCAAGAGAAAAACATGTAAAGGAAGTAATCTCCCAACTGACCCAGGTACATAGCACCCCTAGCCCCTACAAAGGACTAGATCTCTCAAAACTACATGAAACCCTCCGTACCCACACTCACTTAGTAAGCCTATTTAATACCACCCTCACTGGGCTCCATGAGGTCTCAGCCCAAAACCCTACTAACTGTTGGATGTGCCTCCCCCTGCACTTCAGGCCATATGTTTCAATCCCTGTACCTGAACAATGGAACAACTTCAGCACAGAAATAAACACCACTTCCATTTTAGTAGGACCTCTTGTTTCCAATCTGAAAATAACCCATACCTCAAACCTCACCTGTGTAAAATTTAGCAACAATATAGACACAACCAACTCCCAATGCAACAGGTGGGTAACTCCTCCCACATGAATAGTCTGCCTACCCTCAGGAATATTTTTTGTCTGTAGTACCTCAGCCTATCATTGTTTAAATGGCTCTTCAGAATCTATATGCTTCCTCTCATTCTTAGTGCCCCTTATGACCATTTATACTGAACAAGATTTATAAAATTATGTTGTACCTAAGCCCCACAACAAAAGAGTACCCATTCTTCCTTTTGTTATCGGAGCAGGAGTGTTAGGTGGACTAGGTACTGGCATTGGCAGTATCACAACCTCTACTCAGTTCTACTACAAACTATCTCAAGAACTAAATGGTGACAAGGAACAGGTCGCCGACTCCCTGGTCACCTTGCAAGATCAACTTAACTCCCTAGCAACAGTAGTCTTTCAAAATTGAAGAGCTTTAGATTTGCTAACCTCCGAAAGAGGAGGAATCTGTTTATTTTTAAAGGAAGAATGCTGTTATTATGTTAATCAATCCAGAATCGTCACTGAGAAAGTTAAAGAAATTCGAAATCAAATACAACGTAGAGCAAAAGAGCTTCAAAACGTGGGACACTGAGGCCTCCTCAGCCAATGGATGCCCTGGATTTTCCCCTTCTTAGGACCTCTAGCAGCTATAATATTGCTACTCATTTTTAGACCCTGTATCTTTAACCTCCTTGTTAAGTTTGTCTCTTCCAGAATCGAAGCTGTAAAACTACAAATCATTCTTCAAATGGAGCCCCAGATGCAGCCCATAACTAAGATCTACCGCGGACCCCTGGACTGGCCTGCTAGCCCATGCTCTGATGTTAATGACATTGAAGGCACCCCTCCAGAGGAAATTTCAACTGCACAACCCCTACTACACCCCAATTCAGCAGGAAGCAGTTAGAGTGGTCGTCGGCCAACCTCCCCAACAGCACTTAGGTTTTCCTGTTGAGAGGGGGTACTGAGAGACAGGACTAGCTGGATTTCCTAGGCCGACTAAGAATCCCTAAGCCTAGCTGGGAAGGTGACCGCATCCACCTTTAAACATGGGGCTTGCAACTGAGCACACACCTGACCAATCAGAGAGCACAGTAAAATGCTAATTAGGCAAAAATAGGAGGTAAAGAAATAGCCAATCATCTATTGCCTGAGAGCACAGCAGGAGGGACAAGGATCAGGATATAAATCCAGGCATTCGAGCTGGCAACGGCAATCCCCTTTGGGTCCCCTCCTTGTATGGAGCTCTGTTTTCACTCTATTTCACTCTATTAAATCTTGCAACTGCACTCTTCTGGTCTGTGTTTGTTAAGACTTGAGCTGAGCTTTTGCTTGCCATCCACCACTGCTGTTTCGCTGTTGTCACAGACCTGCCACTGACTTCCATCCCTCCAGATCCAGCAGGGTGTCCACTGTGCTCCTGATCCAGGGAGGCACCCATTGCCACTCCCGATCAGGCTAAAGGCTTGTCATTGTTCCTGCACGACTGAGTGCCTGGGTTCATCCTAATCGAGCTGAACACTAGTCACTGGGTTCCACGGTTCTCTTCCGTGACCCACAACTTCTAATAGAGCCACAACACTCACCACATGGCCCAAGATTCCATTCCTTGGAATCCGTGAGGCCAAGAACCCCAGGTGAAAGAACACGAGGCTTGCCACCATCTTGGAAGTGGCCCACTGCCATTTTAGAAGTTGCCCACCACCATCTTAGGAGCTCTAGGAGCAAGGACCCCCAGTAACATTTTTACTCTCTTCTCCAACCTCTCTCACTATCCCTCAACCTCTTTCTCCTTTCAATCTTGGTGCCACACTTCAATCTCTCCCTTCTCTTAATTTCAGTTCCTTTCCTTTTCTGGTAGAGACAAAGGAGATGTGTTTTATCCACAGACCCAAAACTCTGGCACTGGTCACAGACTCAGGAAGACAGTCTTCCCTTGGTGTTTAATCATGCAGGGATGCCTGCCTGATTATTCACTCATGTTTCAGAGGTGTCTGACCATGCAGGGACGCCTGTCTTGGTCCTTCACCCTTAGTGGCAAGTACCGCTTTTCTGGGGGCAAGAACCCCCTGACCCCTTCTCTCCATGTCTGTACCCCTTCTCTGCTTTTCTGGAAGGCAAGAACCCCCCAACCCCTTCTCTCCGTGTCTCTACCCCTTGTCCACTTTTCTGGAGAGCAAAAACCCCCTGACCCCTTCTCTCTGTGTGTCTACCCCTTGCCCGCTTTTCTGGAGGGCAAGAACCCCCTGACCCCTTCTCTCCGTGTCTCTACCCCTCGTCTGCTTTTCTGGAGGGCAAGAACCCCCCACCCCACCCCTTCTCTCCGTGTCTCTACCCCTTCTCTGCTTTTCTGGAGGGCAAGAACCCCCTGACCCCTGCTCTCTGCGTCCCTACCCCTTCTCCACTTTTCTGGAGGGCAAGAACCCCCCACCCCACCCCTTCTCTCCATGTCTCTACCCCTTCTCCACTTTTCTGGAGGGCAAGAAACCCCCAACCCCTTCTCTGCATGTCTCTACTCTCTCTTTTTCCTGGGCTTGCCTCCTTCACTATGGGCAACCTTCCACCCTTCCTTCCTCCCTCTTCTCCCTTAGTGTGTGTTCTCAAAAACTTAAAACCTCTTCAACTCACACCTGACCTAAAACCTAAATGCCTTATTTTCTTCTGCAACACTGCTTGGCCCCAATACAAACTTGACAATGGCTCTAAATGGCCAGAAAATGGCACTTTCGATTTCTCCATCCTACAAGACCTAAATAATTTTTGTCGAAAAATGGGCAAATGGTCTGAGGTGCCTTACATCCAGGCATTTTTCACACTTCATTCCCTCCCTAGTCTCTGTTCCTAATGTGATTCCTCCCAAATCCTCCTCCTTTCCCTCCTGCCTGTCCCCTCAGTCCCAACCCCAAGCGTCACTGAGTCTTTCCAGTCTTCTTTTTTTACAGACCCATCTGACCTCTCCCCTTCTCCCCAGGCTGCTCATTGCCAGGCTGAGCTAAGTCCCAATTCCTCTTCAGCCTCCGCTCCTCCACCCTATAATCCTTCTATCACCTCCCCTCCTCACATCCGGTCGGGCTTACAGTTTAGTTCCATGACTAGCTCTTCCCCACCTGCCCAACAATTTCCTCTTAGAGAAGTGGCTGGAGCTGAATGCAGAGTCAGGGTACATGTACCTTTTTCTCTATCAGACCTCTCTCAGATCAGTCAGCGTTTAGGCTCTTTCTCATCAGACCCCACTAAATATACACAGGAATTCTAATATCTAACTCTGTCCTGCAACTTAACCTGGAGTGACTTAAATGTCATCCTGACTTCTAGCCTCTCCCCAGATGAATGGGAAAGAGTTTTTTCTCTAGCCCAATCTTATGCTGATAACCGCTGGCTTCACAAGCCAGACCTCCAGGAACACATTAGAGCTGTTCCCCGAGAGGATCCCCAATGAAACTATCAGGCAGATTCCCCAGGTATAGCCAGGCGAGATTAAATGATTTCCTGCCTAGTTGAAGGGCTTAAAAAGGCAGCTTACAAGGCTGTTAATTATGACAAGCTTAAAGAAACTACCCAAGGTGAAGACGAAAACCCAGCCCAGTTCATGGCCAGCTTAGCAGCAACCCTTAGACGCTTTACCACCCTAGACACAGAGGGGCCAGAAGGCCGCCTTATTCTTAATATGCATTTTACCACCCAATCCACTCAAACTTCAAAATTTAAATTCTGGCCCTCAAACCCCACAACAGGACTTAATTAACCTTGCCTTCAAGGTGTACAATAATAGAGTAGAGGCAGCCAAGTAGCAACATATTTCTGAGTTGCAATTCCTTGCCTCCACTGTGAGAGAAACCCCAGCTACATCTCCCAGCACACAAGAACTCCAAACGCCTGAACCGCAGCTGCCAGAGGTTCCTTCAGAACCTCCTCCCCCAAGAGCTTGCTACAAGTGCCGGAAATCTGGCCGCTGGGCCAAGAAATGCCCACAGCCCAGGATTCCTCCTGAGCCGTGTCCCATCTGTGCGAGACCCCACTGAAAATCGGACTGTTCAACTCACCTGGCAGCCAGTTCCAGCACCCCTGGAACTCTGGCCCAAGGCTCTCTGACTCCTTCCCAGATTTTCTTGGCTTAGCAGCTGAAGACTGACACTGCCCGATTGCCTCGGAAGCCTACAGGACCATCACAGGTGCTCTGGGTAACTCTCACAGTGAAGGGTAAGTCCATCCCCTTCTTAATCAATAAGGAGGCTACCCACTCCACATTACCTTCTTTTCAAGGGCCTGTTTCCCTTGCCTCCATAACTGTTGTGGGTATTGATGGCCAGGCTTCTAAACCTCTTAAAACTCCCCAACTCTGGTGCCAACTTACACAATACTCTTTTAAGCATTCCTTTTTAGTTATCCCCACCTGCCCAGCTCCCTTATCAGGCCAAGACATTTTAATTAAATTATCTGCTTCCCTGTCTATTCTTGGACCACATCTCATTGCTGCCCTTCTTCCCAACCCAAAGCCTCCTTTGCATCTTCCTCTCGTATCCCCCAACCTTAACCCACAAGTATAGGACATCTCTACTCCCTCCCTGGCAACCGATCACATGCCCATTACCATCTTATTAAAATCTAATCACCCTTACCCCACGCAACGCCAATATCCCATCCCACAGCACGCTTTAAAAGGATTAAAGCCTGTTATCACTCGCCTGCTACAGCATGGCCTTTTAAAGCCTATAAATTCTCCTTACAATTCCCCCATTTTACCTGTTCTAGAACCAGACAAGCCTTGCAGGTTAGTTCAGGATCTGCGCCTTATCAACCAAATTGTTTTGCCTATCCACCCCATGGTGCCAAACACATATACTCTCTTATCCTCAATACTTCCCTCCACAACCCATTATTCTGTTCTGGATCTCAAACATGCTTTCTTTACTATCCCTTTGCACCTTTCATCCCAGCCTCTCTTCACTTTCACTTAGACTGACCCTGACACCCAACAGGCTTAGCAAATTACCTAGGCTGTGCTGCCACAGGGCTTCACAGATAGCCATTAGTTCAGTCAAGCCCAAATTTCATCCTCATCTGTTACCTATCTCGGCATAATTCTCATAAAAACACACGTGCTTTCCCTGCTGATCGTGTCCAACTAATCTCCCAAACCTCAATCCCTCCTACAAAACAACAACTCCTTTCCTTCCTAGGCATGGTTAGTGTGGTCAGAATTCTTACACAAGAGCTGGGACCAGGCCCTGTAGCCCAAACAACTTAACCTTACTGTTTTAGCCTAGCCCTCATGTCTGCATGCAGCGGCTGCCACTGCCTTAATACTTTTAGAGGCCCTCAAAATCACAAACTATGCTGAACTCACTCTCTACAGTTCTTATAACTTCCAAAATCTATTTTCTGCCTCATACCTGACGCATATACTTTCTGCTTCCCAGCTCCTTCAGCTATACTCACTCTTTGTTGAGTCTCCCACAATTACCATTGTTCCTGGCCTGGACTTCAATCCGGCCTCCCACATTATTCCTGATACCACACCTGACCCTCATGACTGTATCTGTCTGATCCACCTGACATTCACCCCATTTCCCCATATTTCCTTCTTCCCTGTTCCTCACCCTGATCACATTTGGTTTATTGATGATAGTTCCACCAGGCCTAATTGCCACACACCAGCAAAGGCAGGCTATGCTATAGTACAAGCCACCAGCCCACCTCTTAGAACCTCTCATTTCCTTTCCATCTGTCCTCAAGGAAATAACTTCTCTGTGTTCCATCTGCTATTCTACTACTCCTCAGGGATTATTCAGGCCCCCTCCCTTCCCTACACATCAAGCTCGGGGATTTGCCCCACCCAGGACTGGCAACTCTTAACTCTCTCTTAGAGTGGATAGATGATCTTTGCTGGCCAGAGGACCCTCCAATACTTTCACCCTGAAGTTCTGTTCTTTACTTTTATACTCACTCTTATTCTCATACCCATTCTTATGCCACCCTCTACCTCTCCCCAGCTATCTCCACCACACTATCAACCTTACTCATTCTCTCCTAGCTGTTTCTAATCCCTCCTTAGCGAACAACCACTGGCTTTGCATTTCCCTTTCTTCCAGCGCCTACACAGCTGTCCCCGCCTTACATGCAGACTAGGCAACATCTCCTGTCTCCCTACACCTCTGAACTTCCTTTAACAGCCCTCACCTTTACCCTCCTGAAGAACTCATTTACTTTCTAGACAGGTCCAGCAAGACCTCCCCAGACATTTCACATCAGCAAGCTGCCACCCTCCTCCACACTTACTTAAAAAACCTTTCTCCTTATATCAACTCTACTCCCCCCATATTTAGACCTCTCACAACACAAACTACTATTCCTGTGGCTGCTTCTTTATATATCTCTCCACAAAGACCCACTGGAATTCCTTTAGGTAACCTTTCACCTTCTTGATATTCCTTTACTCTTCAGCTCCAAAGCCCAACTACACACATCACTGAAACAACTGGAGCCTTCCAGCTCCATATTACAGACAAGCCCTCTATCAATACTGGCAAACTTAAAAACATTAGCAGTAATTATTGCTTAGGAAGACACTTACCCTGTATTTCACTCCATCCTTGGCTACCTTCCCCTTGCTTGTCAGACTCTCCTCCCAGGCCCTCTTCTTGTTTACTTATACCCAACCCTGAAAATAACAGTGAAAGGTTACTGATAGGTACTCGACGTTTTCTCATATACCATGAAAATCGAACCTCCCCCTCTACACAGTTACCTCATTAGTCCCCATTACAACCTCTGACGGCTGCCGCCCTAGCTGGATCCCTAGGAGTCTAAGAACAAGACACCCCTTTCAGTACTCCTTCTCATCTTTTTACTTTGCATCTCCAGTTTTGTCTCGCACACAGTCTTTTCTTCCTCTGTGGATCCTCTACCTACATGTGTCTACCTGCTAATTGGACAGGCACATGCACACTATTTTTCCTTACTCCCAAAATTCAATTTGCAAATAGGACTGAAGAACTCCCTGTTCCCCTCATGACACCGACACGACAAAAAAGAGTTATTCCACTAATTCCCTTGCTTGTCAGTTTAAGACTTGCTGCCTCCACTATTGCTCTTGGTACTGGAATAGCAGGCATTTCAACCTCTGTTACGACCTTCTGTAGCCTTTCTAATGACTTCTCTGCTAGCATCACAGACATATCACAAACTTTATCAGTCCTCCAGGCCCAAGTTGACTCTTTAGCTGCAGTTGGCCTCCAAAACCGCCGAGGCCTTGACTTACTCACTGCTGAAAAAGGAGGACTCTGTATATTCTCAAATGAAGAGTGTTGTTTTTACCTAAATCAATCTGGCCTGGTGTATGACAACATAAAAAAACTCAAGGATAGAGCGCAAAAACTTGCCAACCAAGCAAGTAATTATGCTGAACCCCCTTAGGCACTCTCTAATTAGATGCCCTGGGTCCTCCCAATTCTTAGTCCTTTAATACCTGTTTTTCTCCTTCTCTTATTCCATTTAGTCTTTCAATTCATACAAAATCATATCCAGGCCATCACCAATAATTCTACATGAAAATGTCTCTTCTAACAACCCCACAATATCACCCCTTACCACAAAATCTTCCTTCAGCTTAATCTCTCCCACTCTAGGTTCCCACTCCACCCCTAATCCCACTCGAAGCAGCCCTGAGAAACATCGCCCATTATCTTTCCATACCACCCCCAAAATTTTCACCACCCCAACACTTTACCACTATTTCATTTTATTTTTCTTATTAATATCAGAAGACAGGAATGTCAGGCCTCTGAGCCCAAGCTAAGCCATCATATCCCCTGTGACCTGCACATACACATCCAGATGGCCGGTTCCTGCCTTAACTGATGAATTCTACCACGAAAGAAGTGAAAATGGCCTGTTCCTGCCTTAACTGATGACACTGTCTTGTGAAATTCCTTCTTTTGGCTCATCCTGGCTCAAAAGCTCCCCTACTGAGCACCTTGTGACCCCCACCCCTGCCAGCCAGAGAACAACCATCCCCCCTTTGACTGTAATTTTCCTTTACCTACCCAAATCTTATAAAACGGCCCCACGCCTATCTCCCTTCGCTGACTCTCTTTTCGGACTCAGCCCGCCTGCGCCCAGCTGAAATAAACAGCCTTGTTGCTCACACAAAGACTGTTTGGTGATCTCTTCACACGGACACGAGTGAAAGTCATGATCCCAGATGTTGCAAGTTTGGCTTGAGGACTTGAGGGTAGCCTGCTGAGCAGCGGTTCTCAAGAGACTGGTACTTTCCTCCAGGATATGGTTGCTAGATTTAGCAAGTAAAAATACAAGACATCTAGCTAAAAAGGAATGTCAGAGGCAATATTTTTTTTTTTAAGTAAAGCTAGATCCCAAATATTGTGTGGGATCTATTTATAGTGAAAAAATTATTTGTGTCTCTGAAATTCAAATTTAAGCATCCTGGACTTAATCTGGCAACCCTATTCTAGGGAGCTTTTTCATAATTTGTGGGGAGTTTTTGTCATCACAGTGATGGAGGGATGAGGGATGCTAGATATTGTGCATGTGTTGAACAATCTTACACGACAGAGAATTGTCCCGGAGCCACATGACTTTGCATATCCCCATGGACATTCTTGAAAACAAAGTATTTTGGGTTGGTTTTAATGTACAATGAATTTAACATACAATGGAATCTTAAGAATCAGAATGCAACAACTGTGTAAATTAAGGGATGATTTGACTTTTTGTTTTAGTCATTTCAGCTATTCCTTGTTCCAGAAAATCGTTTCACCTACGGCAACAATGCTTGAGGTATTTCAGTTGCCAGTACACAACAGCTGAATCATTTCTAGCTATCACCATCATAATGATTCTATGTGTATGTGCAGGCACCCAGTTGTTCATTACTCTTGTAGTATTATTGAGCCCAACTTCTTACTTACTGAAATATTTGATTATAAATTACTTTTAGTTTATTTCCTTTTTACATTAAAATTAGGGCACTATATATTTAGCTCATATTATTTGTATAGATGTCACCTGTGAATTTCATTTCAGGAAAGTAAGGGGGTCTTGGGTCTGCTACAGTTGATATCCAATGGTAGGGGGTCCTGATACCTCAGATTTGTCTACTATTTCACATGGGTGAAGTCCAGTAGTGGGGGAAACACTTTGATTGAAAATGGTTCTAAAATATTGGAGGAAAAATCAAAATGGCATGACTATGCAAACATATTGCAACCTCTTCATCTCTTCCTTTCTCACCTCTCTAAATCTCTCAGAGAAGCATAGAAATCAAATCTTCATTCTGCTTTGTTTTAAAAATGCTGTTTTTCCCCCTAAGCTTTTGGACACTAATTACATCATTGAATATCAAACTTATTTCTTTGCTTTAATCAAAGTTGTGTTTTATAAGTCCTGACATTTCTAAATGGAAAAGAAGTTTAAGCCCTGAGGCTGTTTAGGGTTTACTAATACTGATACTTCTATCAGAATAAGTAATGATAATGTTGATTAGGGCTTTACAAAAATTTATTTCTGAGGGAATACATTGTCTCACTAAGTAGAGGACAGACCCAGATCTTGAAGATATCCAAACATAAAGATTACAGTTCACATTTAGGCTATTAAGCAAATTGTCTGACAATTAAATTTCTATATGGTTCCTTGAACCACCATTATCATAATAAATGTCATTTGGGTAAAATTGGTATTGGAGATGCTATGAGGCTGTCTTGGAGAGAAGAAGGGGAAAAAATGGATGCTAGTGACAAGAGAGGTGACTAGGAAGGACAGCAATAAGCTTGGATGGTCTGGTTACCAACTACTATGTAATAAACTCTCCCCAAAATTAGTGGCTTAAAACAATAGCTAATTTAATTATATCTCATAATATTAAGGATCAGGAATTCAGACACCTTAGCAATTCTGCTCCATGTGGTGCCCACTAGTCACTCTGCAGGGATATTCACCTGGTGGATAGTCTGGTCTGGAAGGTCCAAGACAGCCTCATGTGCATGTCCAATATCTTAACAAGGAGAGTTAGAGACAAGGTTTGTCTGGGCTCCTTGTCATCTCCATGTGATCTTCTCTGCAGGGTAATTGGTCTGGTTACCTAGTGTCTCAGGGTTGCAAGAGTGATCATTCCTTGAGATGTGAAGCGGAAGCAGCTGGTCTTTTGGCCTAGAAGCTAGTGCAGCATCATTTGTGCTATATTCTACTGGCCAAAACAGTCACAGATTCAGAGGAAGAAAAATGGACCTCACCTTTCAAGAGGAAAAGGATCAAAGAATTTGTGGCCATCCTTAATTAATCCTCCAGATTTGAAGGAAAAAAAGATAAGCCGGTTGATGGACACACACGAGACTACCCCAGGATGCAAAGAACCATGTTCATGCAGGAAAGAGATTGTGAAAAGAGACAGAGGGAAATGGCCCAGTGCAAGATGAAATGAAGTGTGGTGGATGGACAGAAGTACTGCTACCATGGTCCTGAAGAAGTCTGAAAATGGGTTAAATTCACAACATCATGTAGTATGACAGTATCATGCTTGTTAAAACGAAAAGGTACAGCAGGCTAATATTTTCAAATATTATACCGTGCATATTTTATTTCTGGAAGATTACTTCTCCAAAGCCCTCTTGAAAGTGAGGAAAGAACATAGCAGACAAAAGATTAAATGGTTCCATCTGGACTTCCAAGTTCACTTATAAAGTCCATTTCGCCAAAGAGTGTGAAAGTGTCAAGTTGTTTAAAATGAGCCTAAACATCAAGGAATCAAAGAATAGAGGTTATAAAATGGCCCCCAAAATAGGAAGGATACAGCTATAATTGCTTTGTCGAGAACTGGGAGATACAACTCCGCTTGAAAAGCTATGTACTTTTTATATGTGAACAATGCAGAGCCATGAGGCATGTGGGTCAGGGAGGAGTTCATTACCAATATAAGCAGATCAACAGCCAGAATAACATTGCAGCACCAGTTCCCCACACCTAGCCCTACAGGAGATAAGAGCCATGAAATCTTTTTATGTGGGTGCCAGGGGACAGGAAACAATGGATTTTCTCCATTTACATACAGTAAAAAACCAACTGCCTCCCACTTCTCTCCCAAAATAAGAGAGGAAGGAAAAAAAAAAAAACCTTTTGCTGCTTTCTGGTGGGGATGCAAAGGATCCTGGTTTCTCAACTTAACCATTTGGATTACAAATGAAATGTCTCCAGGAGTGTGTTCCCACCTGGAGAGGTCCTGATCCACTCTTTTAATATGTAAATTCCTAGGAGCTAACCTAGACAACTATCTCAGGACAACTGACTTTAGGGGAGATAAGAGAAGTTTTATTATCCTTTTATATCAGAGCTATTAGCTCCATCATTGAGGGAAACATTGGCTGCAGATCTAATCTTCATGGTGGGTGAAAATGTTTCCATGGGAAGTGAGAGCCAAATTTTTTTTCCTCTTTCTGTCAGTTACATTTCCAAGTTTCAGGAGGCTAGTGCATTTTACAAGAGCACTGATGAATTGAGGAAAGTTTCATATCCCCACAATGATACAACAGTAGTTTCCCAAAATGTATGATGACAATAAAAAAAAACTTGCTACTCTGGGAGGTAGAGATGGGATTTAAGAGGCCACATATACTTAGAGGCCAGAAGACTAGGATAAATATGGTGCCCAAACTGATCATTTTTTAATGCTTTTAGCTGCATGTACAAGTGGCCAGATCATAGTGGTATAAGTAAATAGGCATTTGTTTTTTTCTCCCCTAAAGAAGTCTGAAGGTCTGTATTCAGAGAAGTAATCATCAGTGCAGATTCTTCCTAGCTTCCTTCTGCCCTCTTAGTATGTAGCTTGCTGGTTGCAAAGTGGCTGCTCTACCTCCTTCCATCACGTTTGTATTACAATCACTAAAAAGGGAAAAGAGCAAAGGCAAAAGGTACATGCCAGCTTTTTCTTTTTTTAAAGTCCTTCTGAAAAGACTATCAAGTAATATCCATTTATATCTTATTACCCATCTCCAGCAAAAGGAAGTTCAAAAAGGTAAATATTGGTACTAATCACATTGGTACCATGAAGAAAAATGGGTTTCTTTCAGCAAAGAGAAGAGAAAGAGCTATTAGAAAGGCAACCAGTGATGTCCATCACCTGGGCCTCAACTGAGAAAGCAGTACGAGGCTATAAAAATCCCATATAGTTTAGGAGTAGGCTGACCACCCCACTTCCTATCTGGAACTGTAGGAGGAGGCTTCCTCTCAGTGTACTGGCATTGTCACCATGTGATGAAGTTGGGTAGAAAGGTGGAGGGGTATGTTTAGGCAGAGAGGGGCCTGAGCACACTATGAGGTGTTGTCCAGAAGTTCACTTCCCCAGTAGGGTACTCAGAAGGAAGGTAAGGGCAGTGGACTAAAAGATGCCCCAGTCAGGGGTGAAGAGGATGCAGAAGACATGGACCTTGTCACTAGAGGCTCTGGCAGTGACCACAAACATCAGCATTATATTTCTGTTCAAGCCGCCAAACCAGGTGTGACCAGATATATCAGCAGCATGGAGCAACAGAGGCCAATATCTAAACAGCCCAGTGAGGAAGACAACAGCAGAGGCCAGGGAAGACCTGCAGCAGGTCTGTAGACCAGACACACTACCCCAACACTATAATGGGATGTAAGCTCCCCTGCCCACAACTGTAATACTGATGCAGGGGTGGGTGGTAGGAAAAGCTATAATTTTTGAATTGTGTAATGATGAATCCTGACCTGAACCTAATAAATGAGAGGCTAAATTTCAAACTGAATGTGATTAAATTACCTTTAATTTGCAAAATCAAGGTATTTTTCCCAACATCTGCAGAAATGATGAGTGGGGATGGGGTGGGAACTTGAATTAGTTGAATTTAATTGTGAGATGTAAAAAGTTAACATTTTTGCACACCTGAGCAGTATATAAACTTAAAATTGATGGTCACGGATAAAATTAGGATTACGGTGTAGAAGTTATTAAAAGTTAGAAATAAGTGTGTGACTATTTGTGATATCTAAGTAAAGTTATGAGCTGATTTAGCTAATTGATTTGTCAATGAAAAGAGCCAAACTCTGTAAAATATTTGAAGAGATTTATTCTGAGACAAATATGAATGACCATGGCAAGAGGCACAGTCACAAGACGTCCTGAGAACATGTGTCCAATGTGTTTGGGATACAGTTTGATTTTATACATTTTAGGGGGCATAAGACATCAATAAATACATTGGTTTGGTCCGGAAAGGTGGAACAACTTGAGGGGCAGTGGGGTCGGAGGCATACATTGGTTTAGTCCAGAAAGGTGGAACAACTTGAGGGGCAGTGGGGTCAGAGGCTGTGGGATGGTGATAGGTCATAGGTAAATCTAAAGATTTTCTGATTGGCAATTGGTTGAAAGAGTTACATAATTACTTAAAGACCTGGAATTAATAGAAAGAAGTGTCTGGGGTAAGATAAGGGATTGTAGAGACCAAGGTTCTTATGAAGTCTTACAGGTGGCTGCCCCTAGAGATAATAGATGGTGAATGTTTCCTATTCAGAACTTTAAAAGGTGCTAGAGTCTCAGTTAATCTCTTCAGGATTGGTGATGGTGGTGGGGTGGGGGCTGCAAGGGGAAAGATCTAGTTTTGTTAATAGAGACGCTTTACAGATGCAAATTCTCTCCTACAAAAGGCTTTGCAGGGCCATTTTAAAATATGTCAAAGAAATATATTGTGGAGTAAAATACTTTGATTTCCTTCAGGGTCCTGCTATCTGTCATGTGATACTATACTAGAGTCAAGTTGGAATTTGGTAACTTACTGCTAGGGAGAATCTGTTCTGTCAGTCTTAGGATCTCTATTTTAATGTTAATGCTGGTCAATTGTGTTCCTGAACTCCAATGGAAAGAAAGTATAATGTGGCATGTCTGATCCCCGCCTGCCCTCTCCTGTAATGACCTGAACTAGTTTTCAGGTTTCTTTGGAATCCCTGTGGCCAAGAGGGGGTCCATTCAGTCAGTCTAGGGGCTTAGAGTTTTATTTTTGGTTTACACCTTTATTCAGGGCACAAACATTGATTGAGCCTCCTATGAACAGAAGCAGTCCTTCATGCTGATGGCCTGATCTTAACTGGTAAAGTGGAGTTGCAGAAAGTCTCTGGGGCTCTCTGAGCATAAGGAGGAGAACCCCACAAAGAGGAGTGAAGCAAGACAGCTTCTGCATGTTCAGGTTCTGAGTCCAAGGAGACTCTTGTGGGTTGTTCAGCAGGCTGAGGAATTTTGGGGTAAGTTTGGGAGGAGATTGTGAAAGTTATTTCTGCCTCTTAAGACCTAGTTCCACCCAAAGAGAAAAGAAGAGATAGAATGTCCCTCTGTACTTAGTTGTCACTGGAGAATTTGTAAGGAATTCTCAGGAGAAAGTGATAGGAGAGGGTAAGGAGAAGATAATACTAGTAATAATTATAAGTTAACTATTATCGGTTATGAATTTCTACCCTGTGGAAAACATTAAAATAATTATTTATCTTCAATTTTCACAATAATTTTTGCAAGGTAGATATTTTGATTCCCACTGTAGCATATGAGGAAACAGACTCAGGGAGATTAAAGAACTTTCCCAGGGTCATGAATCTAGTAATGGTCAGGGGTTCAAACCCAGTCCAGGGAGTTTGATGCCAGAGCAGAGCTTGTTTTACTGTGCTGTGTGACCCCAGTACATGTGCCTATTTCACAGGCCTACTGTGAACACTTCTTGGACACTTGCACAAATTCTCTCATTCTGAGAGTAAGGAGAGATTATTAGAGAAAAGGAGTAGAGTTTTACCCCTTGTTCCTAGACTCCCTACTTCCCATTCTGCCAAAAAAGCAGTGGCTGTGGGCCCTTACACTAAGGTCTGGTTCCTAACCTCTAAAATCTGGCTCCATGAGTAGGAGGAACAGGATTGTGAACAGACAGTTTTGTGGTAACAGCAAAAGACTCTCCTGATTCCTACGAGATGTAGTCAGTCTTCTGGGTATAAACACAGTGATCTTCCTGGATTCATAACCAACTGCATTTGCATTTGGGATTTTTCCATTACATTATTTGAACTACTCCCTCTCAATTTCATAACAAGTGATGTCACCCCTGAGGCCACCAGGGAGCACAGGGATTTTATGTCTTAAATCTGTGTGCAGATTACAATAGTGTAGCTAAGTCACATTACAGTAATTGCAAATATGCAACTCATTATTTTCTTTAGATCACTGGAGTACAGCACTAAAAATTCTAAATTTCAATTTTTGGTTTATTTCTCAATATAGAACTCATTACATCCAGAGTTTTATGAGTCTCTTTAGGAAGATAAGGACAGATTTCACCCTATCACCATGAAGAAAATAATCCCTGAAGGTACTCTGTGGCCTGCATCTCCCATACCTAACTTCCTTCTTTTGCCCAAATTCATAAAGGTTTGATGGTATGATCTTGGATGAAAAGAGGAGGATAAAAATGCAAGACAGGAAAGTTTATGTCACCAGCTGGCTTAATGAAAGATGCTTGGGAATTGATCCTCTAAATATTTTTGAGTTTTTAATATGTAACAAAAAATAATGTGGTATTTATTGGCATGTTTCATGAGTTAAATTTAAAACTTTATTGTCGACTGGCTTCCAGGGACAACCCTTAGAAAGTCAGGCTTAACTCTCTCCCTCTCCGTCTCCCTCTCCCTCTCCCCCTCCCCCTCCCCCTCCTTCTCCCCTCTTTCCACGGTCTCCCTCTGATGCCGAGCTGAAGCTGGACTGTACTGCTGCCATCTCGGCTCACTGCAACCTCCCTGCCTGATTCTCCTGCCTCAGCCTGCGGAGTGCCTGCGATTGCAGGCACGCGCCGCCACGACTGACTGGTTTTCGTATTTTTTGGGTGGAGACGGGATTTCGCTGTGTTGGCCGGGCTGGTCTCCAGCTCCTAACCGCGAGTGATCCGCCAGCCTCGGCCTCCCGAGGTGCCGGGATTGCAGACGGAGTCTCCTTCACTCAGTGCTCAATGGTGCCC
Source organism: Homo sapiens (assembly GCF_000001405.40). Taxonomy (NCBI): domain Eukaryota; kingdom Metazoa; phylum Chordata; class Mammalia; order Primates; family Hominidae; genus Homo; species Homo sapiens. Next base: position 108,559,832 of record NC_000005.10, on the reverse strand, counting down.
AGGCTGGAGTGCAGTGGCATGATCTCGGCTCGCTACAACATCCACCTCCCAGCAGCCTGCCTTGGCCTCCCAAAGTGCCGAGATTGCAGCCTCTGCCCGGCTGCCACCCTGTCTGGGAAGTGAGGAGCGTCTCTGCCTGGCCACCCATCGTCTGGGATGTGAGGAGCCCCTCTGCCTGGCTGCCCAGTCAGGAAAGTGAGGAGCATCTCTGCCCAGCCGCCATCCCATCTAGGAAGTGAGGAGCGCCTCTTCCCGGCCGCCATCCCATCTAGGAAGTGAGGAGCGTCTCTGCCCGGCCGCCCATCGTCTGAGATGTGGGGAGCGCCTCTGCCCTGTCGCCCCGTCCGGGATGTGAGGAGCGTCTCTGCCCAGCCGCCCTGTCTGAGAAGTGAGGAGACCCTCTGCCTGGCAACCGCCCTGTCTGAGAAGTGAGGAGCCCCTCCGCCCGGCAGCCACCCCGTCTGGGAAGTGAGGAGCGTCTCCGCCCGGCAGCCACCCCGTCCGGGAGGGAGATGGGGGGGTCAGCCCCCCGCCTGGCCAGCCGCCCCGTCCAGGAGGGAGGTGGGGGGATCAGCCCCCCCCCCCGGCCAGCCGCCCCCTCCGGGAGGTGAGGGGCGCCTCTGCCCAGCCGCCCCTACTGGGAAGTGAGGATCCCCTCTGCCCGGCCAGCCGCCCCGTCCGGGAGGGAGGTGGGGGGGTCAGACCCCGCCCGGCCAGCCACCCCGTCTGAGAGGTGAGGGGCGCCTCTGCCCGGCCGCCCCTACTGGGAAGTGAAGAGCCCCTCTGCCCGGCCAGCCGCCCCGTCCAGGAGGGAGGTGGGGGGGTCAGCCCCCTGCCCGGCCAGCCACCCCATCCGGGAGGTGAGGGTCGCCTCTGCCCGGCCGCCCCTACTGGGAAGTGAGGAGCCCCTCTGCCCGGCCACCACCCCGTCTGGGAGGTGTACCCAACAGCTCATTGAGAACGGGCCATGATGACAATGGCAGTTTTGTGGAATAGAAAGGGGGGAAAGGTGGGGAAAAGATTGAGAAATCGGATGGTTGCCGTGTCTGTGTAGAAAGAGGTAGACATGGGAGACTTTTCATTTTGTTCTGTACTAAGAAAAATTCTTCTGCCTTGGGATCCTGTTGATCTGTGACCTTACCCCCAACCCTGTGCTCTCTGAAACATGTGCTGTGTCCACTCAGGGTTAAATGGATTAAGGGCGGTGCAAGATGTGCTTTGTTAAACAGACGCTTGAAGGCAGCATGCTCATTAAGAGTCATCACCACTCCCTAATCTCAAGTACCCAGGGACACAAACGCTGCGGAAGGCCGCAGGGTCCTCTGCCTAGGAAAACCAGAGACCTTTGTTCACTTGTTTATCTGCTGACCTTCCCTCCACTATTGTCCTATGACCCTGCCAAATCCCCCTCTGTGAGAAACACCCAAGAATGATCAATAAAAAAAATAAATAAATAAATAAATAAATAAATAAATAAACAAAAAAAAAACTTTATTGTCAGAGGCTCTTAACTGAAGTAATTTAAAACCTGGCCCACACTTGATGTGGATTTATAATGGGAAAGTGTTGTCTTTTGTGTTGCCCACTAGACCCTCAAAAGTGACCCTGCATGAAGAAGGGAATAAGCCCAAAATGGTAGGATCAATGCTGAGTATCAAATCGCAGCAGGACAAGTCACAGCGTTTTAGGAGGCTGAGCATGGGCTTAATCTGAATTGACTCTGACAGGTGAAGTTTGTCAGCAATGGCTGGGTGCAGTGGCTTATGCCTGGAATCCTGGTATTTTGGGAGACCAAGATAGAGGATCACTTGAGACCAGGAGTTCAAGACCAGACTGGGCAACATAGTGAGGCTCTGTCTCTGCAAAAAAAAAAATTAAAACATCAGCCAGGTGCAGAGGCACGTGCCTATAGTTCCAGCTACTCAGGAGGCCGATGTGGGTAGATCACTTGAGTCCAGGAGTTTTAGAATGCTGTGAGCCATGATTGCAACATCTACTTCAGCCTGGTGACAAAGCAAGAACCTGTCTCAGGAAAATTTTAAAAAAAGTTTGCCAGCAAGAGTTTCTGGAGCAGAGTGAGGCAAACTATACTTTGCTAGACAAGACTCTAGCCAAATGTGGGGGTAGAGTAGGATGGGTTCAGGGGACAGATTCCAGTCCCCTGAGAAGGAAATGTAAGACTACATAGAGATTGGGGTAGAGTTCTAGTACCAGAAAGACAAACTACATTAAGAAACCGAAGCAAAAGCCAAGTCATAAGCAATGTATACCATTGGCTGAAGGGGAAAGTCTGAAGCCAGATAAGCCTGAGAATGGCTGGAGGCCTACCAAAGGTACCACAGACCCTTGCCACAGATGGGAAAGGGGTATTTAATAAGGATATGAGGTTGGTTCATGGAGGTATGAGCAACAAGGCTGCCGCATTCTACAACTCTAAGGGCATTTGAAGGTCAGCCCTTGCCACTACCCAGTAGGCACCCGTACAGGGACTCACAGGGAATATCGTGTGGAGTTGTCCCATGCATTGACCCTGAGTGGGAGATATTTAGTTTGCACATTTAAAGTCTTTGGAACCTTTAGTCTGGTGCAGATGGAACAGAGATCACTGACAGCAAATTTCTATGTATTTGTGCATATTTGAAACTTAGATTTAGAAATAATTCTAAAATGTCTTGCTGCAAGTTGAGCATAGCATATTGCTGAATGTGAAGGGTGAGGGAAGCATTTCACCTGAAAGCAAATTTTACTTGTCAGAGGCAAGAATCATGGATTTTTTGATACCTAAGTGCTTTGATTCTCATCTTCAGATTTATTTGTACACGTTTCTCACATGAGCCTGGAAAATGTTACACAGGGAGATCAACAACCATCTAAACCGTGAGGCCAAGCAGGGCCTGAAAATGTGAACCCACAGCATTTCCTTGCCAGAGATTGCAATGTCTGGCTAACGGAACACATTTATTTCCCTCCACTGCTGCATCTTCAAGGTATACCTGTCAGTCACTCCTCACAACAATAAACTACTGTTTTATTCTGGTGTCTGCCCTCCCCTTCCCTCAGATGAGAATGATAAACTATAATCTGAAGAGTTGCAAAGGTGCACAGAAAATAATTCTCACTCATTTTCTTCTAGCAGCTTGTTTGGCCCAGCTATGATTGATTGAGTTTGGTCATGATGACACAAAGCTGGAGCTGTGATCACTCAATGTCCCTTCATCAGAGAAAATAAATCAAAGGGAACAGCGCCATGTGGCAGGGAAGTGAGATATCCCAGAACAATTACTGTGGCAGGCTGGGAGAGCAAGAGTCTCCCACAGAGGCTGAGTCTCTCAATTTTATTTTCATGATCAGGTTAGCTACTTTTCAAAGACGTACTATGACACTCACAAGGGGAGAGCCCGTGTTACCTGGCTTAGTTAAATATACTGACAGTGAAAGGGTTAGGAACAGACCTTCCCCTCTTCTTTCCCTGAGTGAATTGAAAAGCACTTTGAAAATATATTTAGTGTCTTTGAACATTTCTGGGCTCACTGCTGGGTAGTGTTTCTAGAAGCCAAGTAGGGATATAGAAGACTTACTCTCAAAAGCAAGATGAATTGAGTAAAACTCATGATCTAAATATTCTGTCCTAGGTTGGGTGATGAGGCAGGGTGGGATGACAGTGTATCCTAGTTACCAGAAACCTTGGACTCTCCTTTGAGGCCTTCCTCTCCCTCTGTACCCCCTCCAATCCATCACCACACCCTAACAATATTACCTTCTAAATGTTTCTAGTCCATACACTTGTTTACATCTCAGTCACTAGCACTTGATCTTCATCTCTCACCAGGATCCCCTACCACCACCACCATGCTGTCCTTGCTCCCATTCCTGTGCTCTCATAGTCCTTTCCCCACTTGGCAGCCAGAGAGGTGTTTTCATAACACCAATTAAGTTATACCACTGTCTTAATAAAATACCTTCATTGGCTCACTTTTGCTCTTCAAATGATAACCTAATTCTTGACTATGGCCTTCAAGGTCCTATATTATACGACTTTTCTCTCCCTCTGTTTTCACTTCCTGCAACTCATCATTCATGATCCTCCAAAACACACTGACTTCCATCTTGTTCCTTCTACTTTGCACTTGCTGCACTCTCTTCCTAGAAGGTGCTTCCTTCCAACCTTGGCTTCTTTGTACCATTCAGGTAATCAGATTTATGTCCACTCCACAGAGCATCCTTCCCAGCCACCATTAGATTTTCACTCTCTGCCAAATCAGACACATTTTATAGATTAAACATTCATCCATCATCCATTAATTGTTCATCTTCAACAGACTGACGGATCTAAGAGAATAAGTATCTCACCCTTGTGTCTAGTAATAACTGGCACCTAGTAGGTAGGCACTCAGTAGTGAAGGAATAACATTCTGGCTCTAATTTCCAGCCCCAAGTTGCTGAGTTGCTATTAGGCTACCCTTCTCCCAGTGTTACATTATCTGGATTTCCTCCAGTTCAAGGCACTACAAGAGATAGTTTGATATTATACTCACCTTCTGACCTATTCTGCTTTGACTGAGTTCTGCTTATGAGAGTGGACTTAGCCCATGTCTGACCAGGAATACCAATGATATCTAAGTTCACTAGCAAACAGTGGGAAGGGATGATATGATAGATTAAGAACACCACAAACTCACTAGCTCTCTTCTCCAGTATATTTCTGAGAATATTTATCCACTTGAATCTGGGTCTGCGAATGCTTTGGCTGATGGAATACACTGAGAATAACACTGTTCCAGACCTGAGTCTAGGACTTACGACACTAGTTGCTTTCATGCGCGTCCGTGTGAAGAGACCACTAAACAGGCTTTGTGTGAGCAACATGGCTGTTTATTTCACCTGGGTGCAGGCGGGCTGAGTCCGAAAAGAGAGTCAGCGAAGGGAGATAAGGGTGGGGCCACTTTATAGGATTTGGGTAGGTAAAGGAAAATTACAGTCAAAGGGGGTTTTTTCTCTGGCGGGCAGGAGTGGGGGTTGCAAGGTGCTCAGTGGGGGTGCTTTTTGAGCCAGGATGAGCCAGGAAAAGGACTTTCACAAGGTAATGTCATCAGTTAAGGCAAGGACCGGCCATTTACACTTCTTTTGTGGTGGAATGTCATCAGTTAAGGTGGGGCAGGGCATATTCACTTCTTTTGTGATTCTTCAGTCACTTCAGGCCATCTGGGTGTATACGTGCAAGTCACAGGGGATGCGATGGCTTGGCTTGGGCTCAGAGGCCTGACATTCCTGCCTTCTTATATTAATAAGAAAAATAAAATAGTGTTGAAGTGTTGGGGTGGCAAAAATTTTTGGGGGGTGGTATGGAGAGAGAATGGGCGATGTTTCTCAGGGCTGCTTCAAGCGGGATTAGGGGCGGCGTGGGAACCTAGAGTGGGAGAGATTAAGCTGAAGGGAGGTCTTGTGGTAAGGGGTGATATTGTGGGGATGTTAGAAGAAACATTTGTCGTATAGAATGATTGGTGATGGCCTGGATATGGTTTTGGATGAATTGAGAAACTAAATGGAATAACAGAAGGAGAAAAACAAGTATAAAAGGTCTAAGAATTGGGACGACTCAGGATATCTGATTAGAGAGTGCCTAAGGAGATTCAGCAGTCCTGCCCGCAAAGATTATTTATTTACTTCAAGAGTTAAGACTGGCAGTTTGGGGATAGCACCAGGAGATATCAGCTTTGATGGCTTGGAAAAACAGTGTGAACCGGCAGTGTAAACAAGAGCAGGGCAAGTATGAATAGTTGAGAACGAATAGGAGTATGACTAGACAGAAGATAGTAGGTATGACAAGTTTTTTGGGGCACAGTCTAACTTGGTCTAGTGTCTGGAATGAGAAGTGTCTATACAGGAGCTTAAATGGGCTGTACCCTGTAGCATTCTGAGGACCGGCCTGAATTCTGAGAAGGGAAAGTGGTAAAAGTATTGTCCAGTCCTTTTTAAGTTGGTGGCTGAGCTTGGTGAGGTGTGTTTTTAAAAGACCTTTAGTCCATTCTACTTTTCTTGAAGATGGAGGACCGTAAGGGATATAAAGGTTTCACTGAATACTAAGAGCCTGAAAAACTGCTTGGCTGATTTGACTAATAAAGGCTCATCTGTTATCAGACTGTATTGAGTTGGCAAGGCTTAACTTAGGAATTATGTCTGACAGAACGGAAGAAATGACTGCGGTGGCCTTCTCAGACCCTGTAGGAAAGGCCTCTACCTAACCAGTGAAAGTATCTACCTATCCAGTGAAAGTATCTACCTAGTCTAAGAGGTATTTTAGTTATCTGACTCAGGGCATATTGAGTAAAGCTAATTTGCCAGTCCTGGGTGGGGCAAATCCTCAAGCTTGATGTGTAGGGAAGGGAGGAGGCCTGAATAATCCCTGAGGAGTAGTAGAATAGCAGATGGAACACTGAGAAGTTATTTCCTTGAGGATAGATTTCCACGATGGAAAGGAAATGAGAGGTTCTAAGAGGCAGGCTAGTGGCTTGTACTATAGTATAACCTGCCTTTGCTGGTGTGTGGCGATTAGGCCTGGTGGAACCGCCATCAATAAATCAAGAGTGATCAGGGTGAGGAACAGGAAAGAAGGAAATTTGGGGAAATGGGGTGAATGTCAGGTGGATCAGAGAGATACAGTCATGGGGGTCAGGTGTGGTATCAGGAATAATGTGGGAGGCCGGATTGAAGTCCGGGCCAGGAACAATGGTAATTGTGGGAGACTCAACAAAGAGTGAGTATAGCTGAAGGAGCCAGGAAGCAGAAAGTATATGCGTCAGGTATGAGGAAGAAAATAGATTTTGGAAGTTATGAGAACTGTAGAGAGTGAGTTCAGCATAGTTTGTGATTTTGAGGGCCTCTAAAAGTATTAAAGCTGCGGCAGCCGCTGCACGCAGACATGAGGGCTAGGCTAAAACAGTAAGGTCAAGTTGTTTGGACAGAAAGGCTACAGGGTGTGGTCCTGGCTCTTATGTAAGAATTCTGACCACGCTAACCATGCCTAAGAAGGAAAGGAGTTGTTGTTTTGTAGAAGGTGCTGGGGTTTGAGAGATCAGTCAGACACGATTGGCAGGGAGAGCACATGTGTTTTTATGGGAATTATGCCAAGATAGGTAACAGATGAGGAAGAAATTTGGGCTTGATTGAAGTAATGGGGGCTGTCTGTGAAGCTTTGCAGCAGTACAGCCTTGGTAATTTGCTGCGCCTAAATGGGTGTCAGGGTCAGTCTAAGTGAAAGCAAAGAGAGGCTGGGACGAGGGGTGCAGGGGAATAGTGAAAAAAGCATCTTTAAGGTCAAGCACGGAATAGTGGGTTGTGGAGGAAGGTATTGAGGACAAAAGAGTGTACGGGTTGGGCACCACGGGGTGTATAGGCAAAACAATTTGGTTGATAAGGTGCAGATCCTGAACTAACTTGTAAGGCTTGTCTGGTTTTAGGACAGGTAAAGTGGGGGAATTGTAAGGAGAGTTTATAGGGTTTAAAAGGCCATGCTGTAGCAGGCGAGTGATAACAGGCTTTAATCTTTTTAAAGCGTGCTGTGGGATGGGATATTGGCGTTGAATGGGGTAAGGGTGATTAGGTTTTAATGAGATGGTAAGGGGTGCATGATAGGTCGCCAAGGAGGGAGTAGAGGTATCTTATACTTGTGGGTTAAGGTGGGGGGATACAAGAGGAGAACGCAAAGGAGGCTTTGGATTGGGAAGAAGGGTGGCAATGAGATATAGCTGTAGTCCGGGAATAGTCAGGGAAGCAGATAATTTAGTTAAAAGTGTCTCAGCCTAATAAGGGAACTGGGCGGGTGGGGATAACTAAAAAGGAGTGCTTAAAAGAGTATTGTCTAAGTTGGCACCAGAGTTGGGGAGTTTTAAGAGGTTTAGAAGCCTGGCCATCAATACCCACAACAGTTATGGAGGCAAGGGAAACAGGCCCTTGAAAAGAAGGTAATGTGGAGTGGGTAGCCTCCTTATTGATTAAGAAGGGGACGGGCTTACCTTCCACTGTGAGAGTTACCGGACAGTTGCTTCTATTTTTAGCCTCTGGAAACACACTCTCTTAGAGCCCTGAGCCACATGGAAGAAGTTCAGCTATCTTGCAAAGAAGCCATGTGGAGAAGCCCTGAAACCACAGGAGAGGAAGAAGGCCCTGGCTGAGCCTAGGCATCAGCCAACCCAACTAAGCTGCTAGACACATTAAAGAATGCTTCTTGGACCACCACAAATCCGAACAGCCACCAGCTGAAGATAACTTGAACATTGTATTCATTGATTGAGTGGCCCCAGTCAATGCCATGAAGCAGAAGAATTGGCAAGCTAAGCCCTGGCCAAAATTCTAACCTATAGACTTTGAACTTAATGAATTGACTATTGTTTTAAGACATTACATTTTGGGTGGTTTGTTAAATGACAATACATGACAGGACAAGCATGTAGACTGACTTTTGTACTTCAAAGAAGGTATGACTATCTACTCCCTTCCTACTTTGAAAGAATGGTTGCAATTGCCCAGCAATAAGATATACAACAAAACCATAATCAATACTTGGGAATGAAGGGTGGGTGATGAAGGTGGCTTCACAGGTGGGGAGCAGATTCCTGTTTTTTAGGATGGTTGATCTAAACCACAATAATATCAAGAATATCTCATCAGGACAGCACATATACGAGAAATACCATTATAATATTCAGTTTAATTCCAATCCAATTTTCCTCCAGACCTAGCTGATAAGCCTATCCAGACAGCGTGTGAGGTGGTAATCATAGGTGTACTTTATCAGGTGCTAATAACAGAATCTGACCATGATTTCTAAGTTTATTTGAGGGCGTGCAACATTCTCAGAGATTAGTCCTAAAAGGCCTTTTGGCACCCTCTACCAACCCATCCACCAAATCCACTAACAGCAAAAAAGAGAAAATCTCGGCAATTTCTTTCCTGCAGAGTCGTCTTTCTTGATATTATCTAAACCTAAAATGCACTAGAATATATTTCTGTTTGTTTTCATCACTGCTGTGTTCTCAGTGCCTAGAACAGGGCCTGGGACATAGTAGACTCAATAAATATTGCTGATAAAATAAATTGTTGCATTAGAAAAAAATAAGATGCAATTCTGGGCAGAGGTGGTCACTCTCTAGAGGTATCAGACTACCAGCATCTCTTCAAGGCCTCAGGCATGTCCAAGTATGGTTCAGAGGAGTATCAGAAAATATTTTATTTAAAAAGTATTAAGTATATTTTATAACATTTAAGAAAAAAGAATGAAGAATAACATAACTAATATCCATGTACTACCACCTGGCTTAAGAGCTAATATATTGCCAACAATGTTCAATTCACCTAGTGTGGCCCTCCCTGGGTGCCTTTTCCATCCTGCCCCTGAAATATAATGACTAGACTTAATTTGGTGTTTATCAATCTCATATATTTCTTTATAGTTTTATTATATGTATATGTATCTTTAAGCACCAATAGTGTTGTGTTGCATGCTCTAAATTGTATGTGTTATCTTACTGTGTAAGTTCTTCTGTAATCTGCTCTAGTTATATTTAAGTGCACATCTTTCAGAAATTCTATACACATACATGTGCACACGCATATGCAGACATACTGTATATGGTGTTTTGTAACTTCATTTTTTCTTTACAGTTTTTCATCCTAAGACATCTTGCAAATACAAAAAGTAATACAAAAAACCCAAGTTGGACAAAACTTAAGAAATTAAACACTGCACCCTATGTATTCCCTTCCTCCACTGCATTCAGGTCCTCCCCACATAGACATATATATTTTCCATCCCCCCAAAATATCTAATATTAGTTTATATTTTTTAAACTTCATATTGCATTCTGTTCTGAAACGAAGAGGTGAAATTGTGACTTTTGAGGTTCTGGGCTTCCCGTAGGGGCAACAGTTCCATCTCCCCACCTGGTGAGTGCCACTGCACCATTACCTGGTCTCAGGTCTGCTCCCACCACCTTCCACTCACTCCCCACCATCCCACAGCCCCATTACACCACTATCCTAGTCTCTTCATTCTTCAGATTCCTTCAGAGCACACTATGGGTATCACCACCACACAGATTTTTCTCCTCTCTTCATTTTTGACACTTATGGATTTCCCTATTTTATTGTGAAATCATCTATGCCTTTTTTTTTTTTTTTTTTTTTTTTTTTTTGAGACAGGGTCTCACTTTGTTTCCCAGGCTGAAGTGTGAGGTGCAATCATGACTCACTGCAGCCTTCAACTCCCAGGCTCAAGCTATCCTTCCACCTCAGCTCTGGAGTAGCTGGGACTACAGGCACACATCACCACAGCTAGCTAACTTTTTTGTTTTTTGTAGAGACAGGGTCTCCATATGTTTCCCAGGCTGGCCTCCTACCTCAGACTCCCAAAGTGCTAGTGTATAGAGCGCCCTTGACATAAGTAACTCCATCTTAGAAAAATACTCCATCTTACATTTCAAAAGGCACTTTGCCAACAGGGAGCAGATGTTTTGCGTGATCAATAAAGACTGCATCCAGCCAGGTAACAACGTAACCAAGCACACTCTTCCACTATCAGTCCTCACCAGAGGATTCTGTGGCCATAAAAAGAGCAGGACTTCTGCATCTCCTAACACCCATCATTGCTGTCACTTGTGATAAGCACCTGGCATATGCCGCCGAAGGCTCTGCCCACAACAAAGACTCCTCTCTGCAAGAACAACAGATCACCTGGGCCAGACCAGGATATTCTTTTTGTCTCATCACTCATGCTCGACTGGTTCACTAATCCTTTTTCCTATCCCCTTTCTCTTAATGTTAAATGTTTGTTGTGGAACATTTAGTCTATAATATTTATACATTGAATAAGTATACTGTTATGTATGGTTTGCAAAATTGACTGACTTGTGGAGTGACTTGAGCCCGTGTGCCTGTGGCTCTGACTACCGAGTGAACAGGAAGTACTAAGGAGAACTGCCTCCTTGGGCACTCCATGGAGCTCTTGGCTTTTGTAATTGAAATAGCATTAATAAAAGTCTGACATTGTGGAAAGACACAAATGTGCACGGACTTGGTTATCTCTGACTTGCATCCTTCACAATAGCTGGGATTACAGGCATGAGCCACCGCACCTGGCCTCATCTATGCATTTTAAAAGATGTTTATTCTACCATATGCAGTTTTTCTAGGGGTAGCAGGGGAGTTTTTCAGGATAAGAAACCTGCCAAATTTCTGGAAGTGAAAGTCTTGAAAGTTTCCTAAGTATTCTAAATATGTATTGTAGTCAGCACAAATAGTAATTTCCCATAAGAATCTCACAATTTAAATAGCTGACAGATATTTATAAAACATCTGCTAGATTTTATTAGGGGTATGTCAATTTAATCTAAACAACTCACTTTGTTTCAGTGTTAATGTGTTTATATAATAATTTTTGTTTTCATAGATACATTTTACAGTTATTAAATAGAGAAAAACAATACATGTCTAATAGTTTAAGAAAAAAAGTAACAGAGTTTTCCTTTATTAGAACAAAAATGAAAGGAATTCTTTCATAGGCATTAGAATAAAAATGAAGGGAATTCTTTCATAGCAGTGTAGTAAAGAAAAGGGGAGGAAGGTTGTGCGGGGACAATCTTCAAACTGGTTAAGACAAGTTTAGTTAGAAAGAACATTCTGAGTTGGACTGACTAACCCAGATGTGAGGGGGCACCCATTGTTTGGTAAAAAAAGGTTTTGGTATGACCATACAAGCAAGTATACCCATTAGTTATGACCAGTGGAAAAATGGAACTCTGAAAATTTGGGAAGTTCTGTTCTAGAACTACACACTGAAGATCAAGTAGATATTATTTCATCTGAGGTTCATATTTTGTGGTCATGACTGCTCAGATATTTTTATTTTGCATTTATTCTCTTTTTATATTTGAAATTTCACCCTGACTTAGTAGGTATCCTAGCTAGCTTCTGACTGCTCCTCCCCCATGTTCTAGCCTCTTCCTGCTTCAGCTCCTGGAGGCTCATGCATTTCCACGGTAGTCTCTTGCCCCTGACTTACAGTTGAGTTCAGTCAATGACAGGCACTAGGATGGGTAGAAGGAGAATGAGTTGCACATGAGATGAATGCGTATGAGTACTTATTTCCACAGCATGCTCCCTGACAGGTCATCATGGGTTATCTGTGTTTCCCTACCCAAGGTCATGGCTCCTGCCAGGCAATATTTCCATACAGTTACCATCTCCTGGTTATGGTAACTCTTGCCCCTTCAGGTTTTGAATGGTCCCCGTACCTCCTTGCTACTAGCTCCACATGCCATTGACACTGCCCACCTCTTTATTAAACTCCCTTCAAATTATCTAACTTGATTGTTCCATCCAATTCTTGCTGACTGATACAGTGGATAATTTTGGTGTGAAATGAGGCTGAGGATATTGGAAGGGAACAACCCTGCTGATATGGTCAGATACGTTTTTAAAAGATTACTCTGGCTATAATAAAAAACAATTGTAAGAAAGCCAGAATGGATGTGGGTAGACCTATTAGGAAATTTTATCAGTTGCCCTGGAGAGACTAATACTATTTGTCGTGGATTTAGATGAGGAGATGATGATGATTACTCCCAGGTTTCCAGCTTGCGTAACTGGATAGCATAGCAGCCGTAACATGGAGAACACTGGAACGAACCAGGTTTTCCAAGTATAGGCAAGCAAGCACAGGGAGCAGCTCATTTATTTTGATTCTGAATGTTTAGTGGAAGGGGCCTTCAGGACACCCAAGATGAGGGCAAGTGGCCAGCTGGACGTATGGGTCTGGGGAGCTTGGAAGATGTAAATTTGTGAGACATGTAGAGAGATCGGATGGCCTGAGAACAGAGTAAAGAGTGAAAAGAGGAGAGGGCTAGGAATGAAACTTGAGGAATCCCATCATATAATGACTAGTGAGAGGCAAAGTGTACAAATGAAACTGAGAAGGACTAGCCAGAGAGCAAAGAGGAATTCAGCTATCAAAATAGGTCTGAGTCCAACACAAATATCTGATAGTCTGGTGTGAGTTTTTCCAACATTCAGATTCATCCCACCTGATGATGACAGCCAGTGGTTGCAAAGTCTCACCAGGTTTCTCTCAAACCTTGGAAAGCCACAGAGACAGGTGCGTAGGTCACAGTTTAGGAATACTGGCTCAGAGCCAGATAACCTGGGTTTGCATCGTAATTTCATCTTCTATCAGCTATATGACCTTGGGCAAGTTGCTTAACCTGTATCATTCCTAAAATGGAGATAAATTTATTACTTCCATCTTAGGCACTATGAAAAGTAGACAAAAATAATGTGTACAAAGTCTATAGCACAGTGCATGACACATAGTAAATTTTGGATGTTATTCTCATTTTTCATGAAAAGATTAGGGAATCCAAGGAAAGCAAAACAAAACAAAAGGTAAAAGAAAGAGAGATAAAACATAATGATAGAAAGCCCAGATCACATCTCAGTAGGTTAGAGAGACTGGGGAATGAGGAAAAGCAGGATGAGAACGGCAAGTAGCCCCAGTCTACTGGAATCAACAGGTCCCCTTCCAGCTTCCATACCCTCTAGTGCTTCTGCAAAAAAGCAGAGAAGTACCCGAAAAGGCATGTGGAAGAGGAGTGGGTAAGTGAAGGACTCAGGCCTTGTACCAATTGAATAATTAGGTTTCAAATGATCGAAAGCATATAATAAGTGTTTTTTTTTCATCATATGCAAATAAGCTCAAAAATGCATTTCTGCAACATCTGTGGAAAATATTGTGTATGTGGCTGACAATTGAAGTTTCTGATTCCAAACATTTTAGGAACCTACAGAGCTATTTCAGTTTCTGAAGTGACGGCTCTGTGAAGGTGACCAACTTGTCATGGTTTGCCTAGGATTTTCCTGGTTTTAGTATGGTTAAGTCCCGACAAACCCCTCAATCTGGGGAAACTTGAGATAGTTGGTTACTCTACTGGTATCTCCCTCTGATACTGAAGAAAAAAAAAACCAAAAAACACTTCCCCCAACTAGTCTGACACCAGGAATTATAACTAACTTGCTGTTTACGAACAGAGAAGAGTGGATCCCTAAAGGGTATGATTTAAGAGGGTACCAAAAAATTTTGTCTCCAAGCCAAATTGTTCCTCATTTTTAGCACACTTTCTGCTCCCATTCCATTGATTGACCCTGACTGAAATTCTGAACTGGCTGACCCTTGGGCTGGGGCCACCTGACACTTCCTTGCAATGTCAATGCGGCCTTGGAGAAGCAAGAAAGCTCTTAGCAGGCATTAACATTTTACCTCAATATAATTTATCAAATTTGTCAGTTCCCTGGCAGACACTGGTGGAAATGGATTAAAATGATGTAAGTTTTAGGGGAGTATGTAGCAGGTCAAGAAAGAGTCAGATCATGGAGGAAATTCCACATGCATTGATTTAGATAGTGTACCATTGTAGAAACCTCTAGACTTCTAGACAAAAATTTCCAAATCTTTTTTCCTTGGAACACCTGTCCCAAGTTTCTCTCTGTAAAAGGGCTCCTTGGCAAATCATCTTTGGAAAACCTGACATGCCATCTCTCCTTTTTTAAGAGATTCAATATGCAGAGTAGCACAGTAAGAGCTCTGAGAAGCTCAGCATTAGATAATGCTTTTAAATTTTCTTTAACTCATCATTTTTCCATTTTATTTTATCATTAAGCTTTTTGCAATAGTATCTCTCAGAACTAGTATGCTGCAGAACAGTTTTTAGGAAAAATGCTATAATTTTTGAAGAGAAAAAAAATTCCCTCTGCACACTAGAGGTAAACCGATACTAAAGAAATAAAATAACCAGACAGAAGGGTTAAAAAAAAACTCATCTGCTTCACAATAGGGCCAAGCATGTATTCATTCATTCACTTCACAAATCTTTACGATAACTAAATGTGACCACTGACTATGGGGCAGGCAGAGTTTCACATGCTGTAGATACGGGAAAGAGCCAGACAAAGACTGCCTTCATAGAGGTTTCATCCTATAGGGAGACTATACAATTGAACCTAGGCTTTTAATCCTCTTTGAACATGTATGTAAAATAAACCTTCAGACCATAAGGTGAGTTAAAAGTCCCTACTGGGGTCTGGACAATTACCTTGATAACTCCTGACCTTGTGGACCTAGATCTGAATCCCTAGTTCTGTCAGCCCCCGCTTCAACTCCTCTCAATGTCCTTGAACCTCAGCTTTCCTCCATGGAATTATCACTCTAGATGTCAGTATGCTGAGGCATCTTCAGCAGAGTAACCAGTTCCAGCCCATGACTGACAAATGCTAATCCTGACGTCCCAGATGGATGGATGAGCCCTAGATCTTCAGGGGGCAGGGTGGTGTTAAAGTGGTAGTGCTGAGGGAGGTATTCAGCAGCAATGATATATATTGAATATTTGAAATGTCACATAAATTCACATAAATTGATAAAACATTCCATTTTATTAAACAGCAGGAGGGAGAATTACTCTAAAACTCAAACATATACTTGTTTCAAAAAGCAAGGGTTCAAGCCATGTCTATCCTAGTTCTTTTCAGATATTTCACATTTACTCCTTTCAAGGTAGCACATCTAAAGTATTTTAATTATTTAGTTATATAAATCTAAACAAAGGCAAGAGGAGATAGAAAATTAATGTTCTAATATGCACTGGGATTTGTAAGATGAAATCATTATATAAGACTCCTGGCTAGTGGCCAAAATAATATGTCAGTTGCAAAAATCAGAGTAAAACCATCTTCAATAGCTATTCGAAAGCTAAACCAAGTTAACAGATAAAGCACTTGACATTTAGTGACATTTTTAAAACGAAATAAATTTTACTCTTTAATTTCCTATAAGCAAAATTTCAATTAAAAGTAAGTACAATGTTAATAACTTCCAAAAATGACAACAGGCTCCTTCATTTTAAATTACTAAAATATTTTTCATTTTTCATTTTATAACTTTAGGCAGTAGTGTCCTCATGGAAGTTTAAAAACTGGCTCTTTGGGTGGGGAGGAGGAGTTCTGATTTGTAGCATTTGCCAGTTTCCATGATGTTAAATACACCCATTCACTGTGGTTGGTTTCAACCTACCAGTGTGATAGCATTTTGGAGCTGAAAGCTGCATATAATTAGCTTTCCTGAGTCAATGCAAGCCAATGAGAGTGGCCTACTGCACATCCGGACTAGATTTTCATATTCTGTGTACAGCTTTACTCAAATCCTTTTCTTAAAATTAAGGGAACTGCCACCAGGTGATGAGAAATGCATGGTTCCTATGTTTCCAGAAATACAAAGAAATTCATGTCATGAATCTTGAATTTTCAAAGTCTACATTAAAGAAAACCCACATCCCAAACTACAGCTCTTTATTAGAGTTGCTAAATTATGTAGAGACACTTAACATTTTTTTCTTAACAGGCAGTATAGCATGGTAGGTAAGAGAGTCGGAGTCCTGATATTGAGTTCAGACTCTGCCCCTCTCTACCTCTGTGATTTGGGGCTAGTTATTTTATTTTTATCTCTTTGTACTATTGTTTCATTACCTGTGAATAATAGAGCTAATTATCACATTAGCTAATAGAGTTATTGTGAGGATCAAATGAGATAGTCTATATAAAGGGATTTGCAACTGTGCATAGCACAGTGAGAATTTAATTGTATTAATAGTATTAATGTCATTGGCTAATTCTAATGAAATACATTCATCAAGTTGTTGATTGAGGGTTGGCTCAGCTGCAAAATATGCTGGGACTTTGGCACTCTAGGGTCAGTGAAAAGGAGTGAATCTGGAGACATGCAGAGACTTGCCTGCTGAACAACCAGGGATGGTCTCCCAAGTCCACCACTTAGTGACTTTACCCCTCTATGTCTGAGTTCTCTTACATGTAAAACAGGCATAATAATAGCACATGGCCGGGCGCGGTGACTCATTCCCATAATCCCAGCACTTTGGGAGGCTGAGGCGGGTGGATCACGAGGTCAGGAGTTCAAGACCAGCATGGCCGATATGGTGAAACCCCGTCTCTACTAAAAATACAAAAATTAGCCGGATGTGGTGGCGCGTGCTTGTAATCCCAGCTACTCAGAAGGCTGAGGCAGAGAATTGCTTGAACCTGGGAGGTGGAGGTTGCAGTGAGCTGAGATCTTGCCACTGCACTCCAGCCTGGGCGACAGAGCGAGACTCCGTCTAAAAAAAAAAAAAAAAAAGCACCTAATTCATAGCATTGTAATGAAGGTTAGTATATATATATATATATATATATATATATAGCACTTAGAATAGCATATTGGCGTACAGTAAGCACTCGATAAACATTAGTTATTATTTTTTAAGGCATAGACTGTTGAACAGGAAGTGTACTAAAGTTGTGACTTGGCCAAAAGTACAAATGTCATCAAGTGATAGCAGTAGGCTCTAAATATTGTTACTGCTTCCTTGGTATGGATTCAGGAAATGGGGCAGAACAGTATATAAGGACAATTGCTTGAATAACTCATAGGAAAAAAGAAAAACAGAAATAAAGAAATGAGTCAGTGACTGAAAAAGATAATTTGATACCTTTTTCAATAATTTATACTAAATTGTTGTGATACCATAGCTTAATATTTCTCTAGCTTATTCTTCACATTGTATTAATAATTGTCTTCCAACTTGTCTTAAATCATCTCTGGGGATATGCTGCTCCTAGAAACTGCACGGTGCATTACAACCATATGGAGTCATTATGAAACATACTAATGCTTAGAAACTGGCTTAGTTATTCTAGGGTAGGACCTGGACATCTGCATTGTTTTCAAGTGGCCCAGATTATTTAAGTGTGCAGCTGGGCTGAGGACTTCTATCTTAGAAGAAGATGGTTTCAGAATTCAAATCAGTGGCCATTAAAAACCTTCTCACAGCTGCTAGCTTTGAGTATTGCAGCATGATGAATAATTCCTGTGACTATCCCTTTTTCTAACACTCTACTGAAATCAGATTTTAATTTCTCTTTCTTTCATTAAGCAATGGGGGAAAAAAGGAGTAAGAAAGAAGAAAAAATTTTTCAACCAACATTTTTGTCTTTATTCAACCAGTATTTATTGAACATCTGCTATAGGTCAAACATGGTGTTGACTTCTAATGAATAATGTGGATTTCATAGCCTGTTAAAGGAATTTGTGGCCTGAAGTTCAAAGAGTACCTCCTACCTGGTTAAAATTAATTCGCAGTTTCTTTCGGTGAAACTTTTTTCTTCGATATTTTTTATTGTGGTAAAATGCACCTATCATAAGATTTACCATCTTAATTATTTTAAGCGTATAGTGCAGTGGTATTAAGTACATTCATATTGTTGTGCAACCATTAACACTATCTATCTCCAGAGCTCTTTTTTTTTTTCTTTTTTTCCGAGACTGAGTCTCGCTCTGTGGCTCAGGCTGGAGTGCAGTGGCCCGAACTCCGCTCACTGCAAGCTCCGCCTCCCGGGTTCACGCCATTCTCCTGCCTCAGCCTTCCGAGTAGCTGGGACTATAGGTATGCGCCACCATGCCCTACTAATTTTTGTATTTTTTAGTAGAGACAAGGTTTCGGCATGTTGGCTAGGCTGGTCTCGAATGCCTGACCGCAGGTGATCCGCCCACCTCGGCCTCCCACAGTGCTGGGATTACAGGCGTGAGCCACCACACCCAGCCTACAGAGCTCTTTTCATCTGGCAAAACTGAAACCCTATACCCATTAAATAACAATGCAATCACTCACCTCCACTGCCAGCCCCAGGCAGTCACCATTCTACCTTCTGTGTCTATCAGTTTGACTCCCCTAGGTACCTCATATAAGTAAAATCATATAGTATTTGTCTTTTTGTGACTGGCCTATTCCCCTTAGCATAATGTCCTCAAGGTTCAACCATGTTGTAGCATATATCAGAATTCCTTTCCTTTTTAAGGCTGAATAATACTTCCTTGTATGTATATATCACATTTTGCTTATCCATTCATCTGTTGATGGTCACTTGAGTTGCTTTCCTGTTTTAGCAGTTGTGAATAATATTTCTATGAACGTGAATGTACAAATATCCCTTTCAGACCTTTCCTTCTGTTTTTGAAATTTTGTTTAGAGTTGGGTCTTGATCTGTTTCACAGGCTGGAGTGATCATGGCTCACTGCAGCTCCAACTCTTGGGCCCAAGGGATCCTCCCGCCTCAGCCTCTGAGTACCTGGGGCTACAGATGCATGGCCACCACACCCAGGTAAGTTTATTTATTTTTTAGAGATGGGGTCTTGCTATGTTGCCCAGGCTGGTCTTGAACTCCTGACCCCAGGTAATCCTTCCACCTCAGCCTCCCAAGTTTGCTGGGATTACAGGCATGAGCCACTATACCTGGCTGAAACCCTACTTTCAATTCTTTTGGATATATACTCAGAAGTAGAATTACTGGATCATACTGTCATTCTATTTTTAATTTTTTGAGGAAACACCATACTGGTTTCCACATTGACTGTGCCATTTTACATTCCCATGGGCTGTGCACAGTGTTCTAATTTCTCCACATCCTCACCAAACCTTGTTATTTTCTGTTTTATTGGTAGTAGTCATCCAAATGGGTGTGAGATGGTATCACATTGTGGTTTTGATTTCTATTTCCCTAGCGATTAGTGACATTGAGCATCTTTTCATGTGCTTGTTGATCAGTTATATATATTCTTTTGAGAAATGTCTATTCAAGTCCCTTGTCCATTTTGAATCTGGTTGTTTGTTTTTTTGCTGTTGAGCTTTAGGAGTTTTTTCTATATATTCTGAATATTGATCCCTTATTAGATATATGATTTGCAATATATTCTCCTATTCAGTAGGTTGCCTTTTCACTCTGTTAATGACATCCATCAATGCACAAAAGTTTTTAATTTTAATGAAGCCTAATGTCTATTTTTTTCTTTTGTTGATTGCATCCTTGGTGTCATATCCAAGAAATCATTGACAAATCCAATGTGGTGAGGAGTTTGCCCTATAGTTTCTTTTGAGTTTTGTAGTTTTAGATTTTATGTTTAACTTCTTGATCCATTTTGAGTTAATTTTTGCATATGGAATTAGATAAGGATCTAGCTTCATTCTTTTGCATGTGGATATCCAGTTATTCTAGCACCATTTGTTGAAAAGACTTTCCTTTCCCTCATTGAATGGTCTTGGCACCCTTGCTGAAAATCATTTGACTATGTGTATGAGGGTTTATTTCTGAGCTCTCTATTCTATTCCAGTGGTCTATACGTCTGTCTTTATGCCAGTTATTTGGGTGAAATTTTGATAGGTGGAAGATTACTATTAGTATCAGTAGAGGATCAAAAGAAATATCAGAGCTATAGAAATTTGGGCCAATAAAATATTTTTAGACTGGCAACATGTAAGCCATATATTTATATAACCCAGCCTCTAGCCGCCTCCAGTTTGTACCGGCATCTTTAGAAGGAGCAGCAGCAACAGAAATAGCCCAATACAGTCTCTGATGTCCTCTTTTCAACATTTCTCTTTCTGCATGCCTCTGTGGTTCCTCCTTGCTTGATCTTCCCTTCTAACAATTCCAACAAGCAGGCTGATAAGAAGGGAAGATTTCTTTTTTCAGGTTTTGAGCTTACATTGGGAGGGATGAAGTAGCCAGTTTGATTATTAGTCATTTATACTTTAGTGTAAAATACAGAATGCTGATGATCTGGGGTACTTAGAGACCACTGAGACAGAAATAGCAGGGAGAAACATCTACTTTGACATCTACTTTGCTTCAGAGTCAGGACTATAAAAACCTAGATATCTGTTCAGCATTTCTTCCACCCTATTCCTTCTTCATGGTGGAGCCAAGAGCAGGTGTTTTCGTAGAAGTTTGGCCAAGGGTTCTCAGTGCTTTGGGCTGGATTGTGAGTGCAAACAATGTGGCAAAGGATGCAAAACAGGATGATACTGATGAAAAGCATTGCCTGCCTTTGTATTTTGCAAACACGTAGCCCTTGATCAAATTCGACTAAGAGAGATGAATTGGGTATTTGGAAATACTGAACTAGTTTCAAAAGAGTTGGTGTTTGTCCCATTCTTACTGAAGTTTGCAAGATGCTCTCAGCTATTCAGAGCACTCACACGGAGTACATATTTGAATATCAACACAGGATAATGCTATTCTTGTCCTGGGGATGATCAGAGGGTTTCAGGCTCCCGCTATTTCACATTCTGCTTGCTACAAAAAGAGAGAGGTGAAAATCTCTCACAGCAGGAGAAGCTCTTTCCTTGTCAGAAATTCTCACATACGTTGTTTCTAGTTATTCTCTTAATCACTGTACCCTTGGTTTTCCGATTTCATCATATTTTTGGAAAGTCTTATTATACAAAGGGCATGGCAGTTTAACAATAATGCTGGGCAAGAAGGAAGTCTTTGGTGTGTTTGCTATGTAAAGCAGCAAAAAAAAATCCCAGCTAAATTTACAGAATTAATACATTTTCTTCATGATTCTCCAGGGTTTCCACCTAAGGCAAAAATCAGTACTGAACAAATTTAGGCCAGAAGATATTGTACTTGGATAGCTTACTTGAATTGCCTGACTTGGGAGCTTTTTTGTTCCTCATTTGTGATTTTCATGGGCTACCAATATGCTATAAAGTTAGGTATTTCTCAACTGAGTTGGGTGTGGGATTTCTTATTAAAAATGAAGTTATAACAGGAAGAAAAAATGTAATTGTACCAATCTGAGATTATGGCTGGAGTACATTTATTCAAAGAAGAGTTCTTCTTTTAACAGCTATTAGTTATGGTCTAGGGTCAAAATTTCTGTATGCATGCCTTTTAAATCAAGATATTTGAAAGAGGCCTTTTTGATGCTGTGTTGAGTCTTGAAATTGTTTGAGTGCTGCTGCCAAAGACTCTCAGTGCTGAACTTGAAAAGATGTTTCAATGGACAATCATTTAGAACAGTTAGAGGAAATAAGCATTTGAATGAATCATTGACCCAAACAAGAAAATCTTCCATATTATTTAAAATGCATCAGAAACCCTCAAGTAATCATCAGCAAATGTGAGTTCAATAGAACATCCCTAGATCTTTGCTCCAAGAGCAAAATGGTGAATTATCCTTCTAGGGTCCATCAAAAATGAACATTCTTCAAGGCTCCTTTCATAGCACTTACTTTAGGGTGTGTTTTACCTTATCAGAGAATATGAGTAGGCGAGTGTTAAAATATGCAATCTAGCCAGAAACGTCATTATTCCCTACAATTTTCTGCTCCTGTACAAAATACAACTTTTTAATATTACTATCCAAACAATCCTACTAAATAAATAATGAGAATTAATCAAAATTAAAATGTTAATTGTCTATAGTCTCTAATCTGTCCAAAATGATTCACCTATTTGAAAGATTTATTGTTGAACTTCTTGCAATTAAAAATATGTCTATGAATGCTGAAAATATGATTATATTTCTTATCTGGGTGATGGATACATGGGAGTCTTCACTTTGTATGTATATTACACCTCAATAAAATATAAAAATAGGTAATATAAGACATGTTCCATAATAATAAACTTGGAAAAAATATTTGCAGCTCATATCATAGACTAAGGGTTAATTGTCCTAATCTATATATAACTATATATAATTATATAGGCTATATATAAACCTCCTAAAATCAAAATGAAAAAGATCTATAACCCAAGAAAAAAATGTGCAAAGGATATGAACTTATAGTTCACAGAAAAAAGAAGTACAAGAGGGTCTTAAATATATACGATAATGTGCAATCCCATTTCAAGAGAAATATAAATAAAACTTTATTGAAACAGAACTTTTTGTCTATCAGATTGTTCAAGGTCAGAAAGATTGTTAACACTATGTGGCAAAATCAAGGAGATCTTCAAGATTTTCTATATTACAGAGAGATGTGAATTGGCACCACTTTTATGGAGGATAATTTGATGATATCTATCACATTTACAAATGGATTTTCTTTGACCCAGCAATTCTACTTGTAAAAATTTAATCTTTAGACATGTTCAAGCATTTGTAAGTTGACACATACACAAGGATATGTGTGGCAGCATTGCTTGCATGAGCAAAAGATGAAAAGCAACCTAAATGTCTACCAGTAGTGGACTGGTAAAATAATACTAAAGTCAAACAACAAGATACCCTTAGCCCCAGAAAAGAATGGGGATATTCTTTATGAGCTGATGAAACAGGAAATTTTCCCTGACCACTTCACGGGACTCATGAAAGAGGTGGCTGGTTTACTCAGCCTGCAGTTCTCAACCCCTCACAGGTGGGGAAGCATGCAGGCTAGTGGTGCAGGGGCCGGGACAAGTGCTTCTGGGCGCTGGCAAGAACAGAACTCTTTGCGGCCCTGCGGCAGCACCTAGGGGGATACCCGCGACCCCTGGACCCCCAGAGTGCGTGTGTTACAATGTGCGCTTTAGCTTTGCTGTTTGTGGACAGCTTAAGTGTTTAACATCTCAGTGTAACAGCCGTCTGTATCCTGAGCTCTTGCTTGGTGTCAGGAAGAATCAAGTCACACAAACGAATTGAAGATGGTAAACGCAGGAGATTTTATTGCTGATGAAAGTGGCTCTCAGTGGGATGGAGAGCTGGAAAGAGGATGGAGCCGGAAGGTGGTCTTCCCCTGGAGTTTGGCCGTCCCTGGCCCAACTCTTCTCTGAGGTCCCACCGTCAAGCTGTCCCTCTCAAGTCAAGCTGTTTCTCTCTGATATCCAGCTGCTTCTCTTCTCTCCTCTGCTGCACCACTGCCAAGTGGAGGCTGGGTTTTTATAGGTATAGGATGTGGGATGGGGCAGTCCAGGGTGGTTTTGGAAAAGGCAACATTTGAGCAGGAAAAGGAGGATGTAAAGTTCTCATTTTGGGCTGCGGGTCCAGGCTTGAGGGTGGGTCTCTCACCGGGGACCGCCCTCCTCTACCCAGTATTTCCCTGCCTCCTGTCCGTATCACTGACATGGAACGATCTCCAAGATATATTGCTGGGTGAAAAATAAAAACAGGGTACAGGACAGTGTATATAGTACATTATTATTCACAGAAGAGGGGGATATTATATATTAATATCTGCTTGTATATGCACAAAATACGCCTAGAGAAATAGATCAGAAATTAGGTTGGAGGACAGAGAGATATTAGCACTGCTTTGTTCGGTACACCAATTAGAGAACGTGTTACACAGAGAAGATTAATACTTATTGAATATCAGCACTCAAACAGAAAAACCCAAACACACAAAAACAGGTTTTACACAAACCTCAACATAAGTCAACAGATACATGATTTTCAACAAATGAACTGAGAAACTCATATCATTGATTGCTCTACAGATGGTAACTGGGTGGCTTGGGAACTGAGGTTCAAAGAAGACTTTTCATTACATATCTTTCTGTACCTTTTGAATATTGAACTAAGTGAATATATTATTTCCAAAATAAAAGGATAAAAATTTAAAAATATGCCCATGAATTTCTGTCCTTCCAAGTAAACCTGAGATATCTTGCAAATAGAAATAGGTCAGAAGCATGGTGGGTACACAAGGGATCTTCTCCAGCCTTAAGGGGTCGGCAGGTCAGAGAAGTCAATGCATGTAGTATATTTTAGTTAAAAAAAATCCAGGGATTCTGTTCTGTTTTGTGTTGTGCTGATTTTTAGTGATTGTTCATGTTCCTAGTGAGTTATCATTGTTACTAACAAGGCAAATTATGGCCGGCTGCAGTGGCTCATGCCTGTAATCCTAGCACTTTGGGAGGCTGAGGAGAGTGGATCACCTGAGGTCAGGAGTTCGAGACCAGCCTAGCCAACATGGCAAAACCCCGTCTCCACTAAAATACAAAAAATTAGCCAGGTATGGTGGCATGTGCCTATGGTCCCAGCTACTCAGGAACTCAGAAGGCAGAGGCTTCAGTGAGCCGAAATCCCACCACTGCACTCCAGGGTGGGGGACAGAGTGAGACTCTGTCTCAAAAAATAAAATAAAAGGCAAATTACTAAAAAGCAAAAATTTTGGTAGGGAATTATACAGTCTCTTTCAATACTAGTTCCATTACTCTAAGAAATCCTAGCAATCATTAAAGATTGTGGTTATTCAAATTCTAATTCAATCCTATATTTTTTGAAATATTGCTGTCTTTCTGAAGAATGGCCTTTATAGAATGCCCCAAAGAGAATTTATAGGACACAAGAAAAGACAGTCTTGGCATTAAGACAACCAGCTTGCTGGATTGGTGTCATGTCTTATTTGGTCTTCAGCAGGTGTCTAACACTCTGTAAAAAATCAAAACTGTTTTTGGCAGTTAATTAGCCAATGGGGGTGCCGTACAGCCAATCTGGTTAAATCGTTAAAGTAGCTGAGAAAAATTAGACCACATGTAGCAATGGCCTTAATTTCTCATGATGGCAAGATATATGCTTAGTGAAATTGTTTAATTGTTTCATACTATTGATATGAACAGGAGACAGGGAAATACTAGGTAGAAGAGGGCAGTCCCCAGCAAGGGCCCCACCCTCAAGCCTGGACCTGCAGCCCAAAGTAAGAACTTTACATCCCCCTTTTCCCACTCAAATGTTGCCTTTTCCAAAACCACCTGGCCTGCCCTGCCCCTATACTGTACCCATAAAAACCCCAGGCTCCACTGGCAGCAGCGTGGCAGAGAAGGAGAGAAGAGAAGAAACAGCCAGAAGTTGGAGAGAAGCAGCTTGACTTCAGAGGGATGGCTTGATGGCAGGATCTCAGAGAAGAGGTCCCTCTGAAGTCAAGCTGCTTTTCCAGGGGAAGACCACCTTCCTGCTCATCCCCTTTCTAGCTCTCCATCCCACCGAGGGCCACTTTCATCGGCAATAAAATCCCCCACATTTACCATCTTCAATTCATTTGTGTGACCTGATTCTTCCTGGATGCTGAACAAGAGTTCAGGATACAGAAGGCTGTCACACTGAGCTGCTAAACCCTTAAGCCATCTGTGGACAGCAAAGCTAAAAGAATGCACTGTAACACATGTCCTCTGGGGCTCTGAGGGTCATGGGTACTCCCCTAGATGCTGCCATGGGGCTGCATGAAGTTCTGCTCCTGCGTGTTCCCAGAAGCACTTATCCTGGTCCCTGCACCTGCTCACCTGTGTGCTGCCCCTCCTGCAAGGGATTGAGAGCTGCAGGCTGAGTCAATGAGCCACATTTTTAATAAGTCCCACGAAGGAATCAGGGAAAATTTTGTTTCACTATTAGGATGGAGAGATCATTTTCAGTGATCACATTTGGTTTTTGACATGGAAAACCTGCACTGTCAGCTTCCCTACTTTTGAGATTTTGGGACTCAGACTGGCTTCTTTGCTCCTCAGCTGGCAGATGGCCTATTGTGGGACTTCACCTTGTGATTGTGTGAGTCAACACTCCTTAATAAACTCGCTTTCATATATACTTCTATCCTGTTACTCCTGTCCCTCTAGAGAACCCTGACTAATACAGACGTTGGTACTGGGTAGTGGGGCACTCCTGTAAGGATACCCAAAAATGTGGAGGCAACTTTGGAACTGGGTATCAGGCAGAGGTTGGAACAGTTGGAGGGTTCAGAAGAAGACAGGAAAATGTGGGAAAGTTTGGAACTTCCTAGAGAATTGTTGAATGGCTTTGACCAAAATGCTGATAGTGATATGGACAATGAAGTCCAGGCTGAAGTAGTCTCAGATAGAGATGAGGAACTTGTTGAAAACTGGAGCAAAGGTGACTCTTGTTGTGCTTTAGCAAAGGCACTGGTGCCTTCTTGCCCCTGCCCTAGAGGACACATAGAAATATGTGGAACTTTGAACTTGAAAGAGATGATTTGGGGTATCTGGTGAAAGAAATTTCTAAGTGACAAAGCATTCAAGAGGAAGCAGAGCATAAGAGTTTGGAAAATTTGCAGCCTGACAATGCAGTAGAAAAGAAAACCCCATTTTCTGGGGAGAAATTTAAGCTGACTACAGAAATTTGCATAAGTGATGAAGAGCCAAATGCTAATTGCCAAGACAATGGGGAAAATGTCTCTAGGGCACATGAGAGACCTTCAGGGCAGCCCTTCCCATCACAGACCTGGAGGCCTAGGAGGGAAAAATTGTTTTGTGGGCCGGGTCCAGGGCCCTCATGCTCTATGCAACCTCAGGACATGGTGCCCTTCATCCCAGCTGTGGCTAAAAGGGGCCAACACAGAGCTCAGGCCTTTGCTTCAGAGAATGCAAGCCCCAAGACTTGGTGGCTTATATGTGGTGTTGGGCCTGTGGGTGCACAGAAGTCAAGAACTGAGGTTTGGGAACTTCTGTCTAGATTTCAGAGGATGTATGGAAATGTCTGGATGTCTAAGCAGAAGTTTGCTGCAGAATCATGAGGTTCCCCTCATGAAGAAGCTCTGCTAGGGTAGTATGGAAGGGAAATGTGGGATCGGAACCCCCACAGAGTCCCCAGTGGGGAACTGCCTAGTGGAGCTTTGAGAAGAGGACCACTGTCCTCCAGACCCCAGAATGGTAGATCCACTGACAGCTTGCACTGTGCACAGACATTCAACACCAGCCCATGAAAGCAGCCAGGAGGGGGCTGTACCCTGCAAAGCCACAGGGGTGGAGCTTCCCAAGGCTGTGGGAGCCCACCTCTTCCATCAGCATGTCCTGAATGTGAGACATGAAGTCAAAGGAGATCCTTTTGGAGTTTTAAGATTTTGAAATGGCCTCATTACCTGAGGTACCACCTGTAGTTCTTTGTCTCATGAACAAGGAAATCAAGGAACATGAACTCCAAGGGAGAGGTCAGAGTAGACATTTAGTAAGTGAAAGAAAGAGAGAAAGCTCTCTGCTGCAGAAAGGGATCCCGATAAAGGGTTGCCGTTTTACAGTTGAATACAAAGGCTTTTATAAACAAGCTAGTGGGGAAAATGTTTCATTTGCATAAGGTGCAAAAAACCGGTTAGGACTAGGTATGTCATTTGCGTAAGGTGTGAATTTCTGACCGCCCCCACCCTGCCCTCCTAGTGCGCATGTGGGCTCTTGGCCAGAGTTACTCCATGTTGTTCAACCTCCCTTACTGCACAAATGTTAGGGGGCAGAATTCTTCATTGCAGACATGCCTAGCCCAGTGTAGCTCCTCTTATCTTTGCAGCTGCAGACATGTTCCAAGTAAACCTCTCCCAGTGTAAGCTTCTTTATCTGGGTACATCCAAAAAAGGAAAGGAATGTGCTCACTGAGGCCCCACTGTATATATGTGAAATGTGCTGATTACACAGAAGGCATGCTTTTATGCTGGACCTTGCTTCCTTATCTGTGTGTGAAGTTTAATCTTTCAGGCTGCTTCTTTCATCAGAAAGGAAATTCAACTGAGGACTTTGCTATCTGCCTAACTGGTTCCTTCCTTTCTTCCTTCTCAATTTGACCGCCCTGCTGGATTTCGAACTTGCATGGGGCTGGTAGCCCCTTTGTTTTGGCCGATTTCTCTCATTTGGGATGGATGTATTTATCCAATGCCTGTACCCCTATTGTATCTAGGAAGTAACTAACTTGCTTTTGATTTTACATGCTCACAGGCGGAAGGGACTTGCTTTGTCTCAGATGAGACTTTGGATTGTGGACTGTGGAGTTAAGGCTGAAATGAGTTAAGACTTTGGGGGACTGTTGGGAAGAACTGATTGGTTTTGAAATGTGAGGACATGAGATTTGGGAGGGGCCAAGAGCAGAATTACATGGTTTGGCTGTGTTCGCACCAAATCTCATCTCGAATTGTAGCTTTCATAATCCCCACATGTCATGGGAGGGACCCGGTGGGTGGTAACTGATTCATGGGGGTGGGTTTTTCCTGTGCTGTTCTCATGACAGTGAATAAGTCTCATGAGATCTGATGGTTTTATAAAGGGTAGTTCCCCTACACACACCCACTTGCCTGCTACCATGTAAGATGTGCCTTTGCTCCTCCTTTGCCTTCTGCCACGATTGTGAGACCTCCCCAGCCATGGGGAACTATGAGTCCTTTAAACCTCCTTTTCTTTAAAAATTACCCAGTCGGGTATTTCTTCAGAGCAGTATGAAAATGGGCTAATACAGTAAATATTACCTGGAAGCACACAATGTGCATCTGTCCCTCATGGATGATGCTAATTTTAATCACCTGGTCAAAGTGTTGTCCAGTTTCTCCACTCTATGGTTACTGGGGTTTTCCCTCAGTTGCAATCAATAAGAAGGCAGTAGAGAGGTATTATAATGCTATGCAAATATCTTGCTCCTCACTAAATTTCCTCCTAAGTTTGGCATGCATTGTTGATTCTTGTATAAACCAGTCTTTACCACCATGGTTGCAAATGATGATCTCCCAAATCCAGTATTCCCTTGACATTTATCAGGAAGTCCTTGTCATTCTGTGTTAAGCAAGAGAAGTCACTTATATTCTATTATCTATCTATCCACCTATTTACCAATCATCTATCTATCATTAGTAAACATTCATGAGTTCATATTTTTCAATGATTTATAACTCATTATTTTACTTAGTGATTTTGGTATTCAAATTTTCCCATATTTGGCCAGTGGGAACCTATTCAGCTGGCCTCTGTGCCTTTGTGACATGCCCCTATCATGTTTTTGAATAGTTCTTTACTTTCTGGAATAACAAGATGTTCCTGTATTACCTTGTACCTACCCTGCCCCTGCCCATGCCCAAACACTGGAAGCCATTTCTCTGAAAAGTCTTTGTTGTTTTCTGTGGGGACTGATATTAGAGACTAAAATCTGGATGCTCAGTATACTGATTGCTACTGGTATGTCTTTGCTTCTTAGCCCTTTCAGCAGTTAGGAAATATATGCATGTATACCCCTACATACATACAGATATGTACAAATAAATACAAACACATAAATATATACATGTACCTGTATACTGGCATTATGACAGCCAGCCTCCAAGATGATCCCCAGTGATCCTTGACTCTGCATATTCATAGTCTTAGGTACATACAACATTGGATGAGGTCTGGTCTGTGTGACCAACAGAACATGGCAGAAGTGATGGTGTGTCACTTCTGAGATTCAGTTGTAAAATACATTGGCTTCCATCTTGGTTTCTCTTTCTCTCTCTCTCATTATTTTCTCTGGGAGAAGCCAGCTGCCTTGTTATGATAGCTATGGAGAGGCTCACATAAGGAAGAAATGAAGCTTTCTACCAATGACCATATCAGTGAGCTTGGAAGTGGATCCTTCAGCATCTATCAGCCTTTTAAGATGACTTCAGTCTTAGTCAATAGCCTGGTTGTAACCTCATGAGAGACAGTGAGTCAGAACTATCCAGCTAAGCTATTCCTGGATTCCTGACCCACAGAAATTGTGAGATAATAAGTATTTTAAGCTGCTAAATTTTAGGGTAATTGTTATGCATCAGTAAGAAACTACTACCGCTACTACTACTACTACTACAACTACACACACACACACATTTTGGAAATCGTCAGTACATACCACAAGAAACAATCCTATGGGAAGGGATTGATATCTAATCCATTTTATGGAACTGACCTACTGTGACCACCCCCACAACTGTACAAGTAAAATGTCAAGGTTAGGAGACCTGCCCAAGCATTACCAAAGTACTTAATGCCAAGGTTCTAATTAGAACCAAAGTCTTTTGGTTCCTAGCACTCCCCTTATCCTAAGGATTCATTGAATTTGTTCCACTGGTATGTATTCAATAACTAACTTAAAATTCAGAATGCTTTAAATAGGTTAATCATTTCTCAAGGCATTTATGTTTAAAACTTAAAAAATAAATTGAATCCTTTCCCCTTCTTTTTATCTTGAAATCAAATGCTACAGGGCAGATTTTTATTCATAGTTCCTCTATTAAGACAAGGTATAATTTATCACATTTTAGTAACATTTTGATGTATTGCTTTCGAAGAAAACCATTTGCTAAGAGATTAGTAACATGATATCTGGATAAACAGTTGCCTGAAGTTGAAAAGCAAAGGTTCTTCTCAATTAACTTATATCACATTAGGCATTTATGTCAAGTGGGTACTTCATGGAATTTGACATCAGGACAAACATTATTAATAATAAATCTATCTTTCAAGTACATTATAAAGTATAATTAGTTACTATCTGAAGACTGCTTTGTATGTAGAAACTGCTTTAAAAATTCCAAGTACTATTTCTCATTAATAACCTTGAATGCATTTGACATTAATCAAATGTGAGTTAATTTGACATGAATCAAAATTGGTCATGACCTAGGAGTGGTATAAAAGATGTAATTATAAAACTTGATGGTTCTAGCCAAGTAGGAAGGAATGAAAAATGGAAATAGATATAAACATTTGACAAAAAATTAAACACTAATTCAAAATAATAAAAAAGCAGCTCAGGGCTCAAGAAAAATAATAAAATTGTGGGGCGGGAACAAAATAAGACAACCATTTGACTATTGCTTTGGATTAAAGTGATATTCTTCTCTTGCAGAATTGATCATTTGACTTCATATGAAAACCTGAAAGGAATCAAGGCAGGAAAATAATTACCCTGATAAATCCTTGCAGTATTTCAAGTATTGCAAAATTCAAATAAAATTTTATTTTATTTCAAATAAAAATTCAAGAAATTTTTATTTCAAAAATTTCCAAAGGGTTATAGATGGGCATCTTTTATTTCACTGGGGTTAAGATGAGCTCCTTTTTAAAAGGTTGCCCGGTAGCTTAAAGTTAAAACTATTGCTTGTAAACTCTTACAGTTCAACAATAAAAAGTCTAATAAACCAATTAAAAATGAGCAAAGGAACTGAACAGACATTATTCCAAACAAGACACAGTTAAGACCTCATTTAATGTGTTTGTTAGGTTCTTGGAAACTGTGACTTTAGGAAAAATGGCATAAAACAAAACCATGGGCTAATTGATATGAGCAAGAGTTTAAGTTTTTATGGTATATTTCTGGTCACAAAAACATCACCAAAATTCTAAATAAAGTCCAAGACACTTCTTATATTATACATGGAAATAAATGTGAGCTCTACACACATTTAGAAAAGATTAATAAAAACAAGATCATTATTTACCCACTCATTCCAGTTCAGGATCACAGGGGGCCAGAGCCTCTCCCAGTAGCTCAGGGAACAAGGCAGGAACCTGCCCTGGCCAGGATGCCATTCCATTGCAGGACACACTCATACACACACCCCCACTCACTCAGACTGAAACGATGCAGACACCCCAATTCACTCAATGGGCACAGCTATGGGATGTGGGAGGAAACCAGAGTAGCCAGAGAAAACCCATGTAGACATGGGGAGAATGTACAAACTCCAGGCAGACAGTGGCCCTGGCTGGGAATTGATTTTGTTTTTCTTATCAACATTATAATGAAATGACATTGAATGAAAGAATGTTATTTGAGGATCTGTTATATACAAATGGCCAATAAACACATGGAGAGACATTCATTAGTCGTTAAGGAAATGCAAGTTAAAACCACAATGAAATACCACTTTATACTCACTAGGATGGTTAGACCTGAAAAGTCAGGTAATAATAAGTGTTGGCAAAGATATGGAGAAATCAAAATCCTCACACACTGTTAATGGGAATGCAAAATGATATAGCCATTTTGGAAAATAGCCTAGCATTTTTTCCAAAAGTTAGAGATAAAATACTACTCCACACCTACTAGGATGGTTATAAATTTTTTAAATGAAATTAACAAGTATTGGTGAGTTTAGAGAGAAATTGGAACCCTCATATATTGTTGATGGGAATGTAGAAAGGTTCAGCCACTGTGGAAAACAGTTTAGTCATTCCTCAAAAAGTTATAGAATTACCATATGACCCAGAAATTTCACTCCTAGGTGTCTACTCAAAACATTGAAAGCAGGGACTTAAGCAGATACTTGTACAGCAATGTTTAATTGCAGCATTATTCACAGTAGCCAAAATGTGGAAACAACCCAAGTGTCCATCAACAGATTAACTGATAAACAAAATGTATTACATAGACACACAATGGAATATTATTCAGCTATGAAAAGGAATGACATTTTGCTACATGCTACAACATAATGAACCTTGAACACATTATCTAAGTGAAATGAGCCAGACATAAAAGGACAAATATTATACGATTCTACTAATATGAGGTACCCAGGACAGGCATATTCATAGAGATAGAAGGTAGAATAGAGGTTACCAGGGGTTGAGGGAAGCAGGAATGAGTATCGGGGAAAATTCAGCCAGATATTGGGCAAAATTGACCCCCGATATTTCAGGTAGGTTCTTTTCTATTTTCTCTAAGCATCGGCCGAGTTGAGAAATAAAGGGACAGAGTACAAAAGAGAGAAATTTTAAAGCTGGGCATCCGGGGGAGACATCACATGTCGGTCGGTTCCGTGATGTCCCATGAGCCATAAAACCAGCAAGATTTTATTAGGGATTTTCAAAAGGGGAGGGAGTGTATGAATAGGGTCTGGGTCACAGAAATCACATGCTTCACAAGGTAATAGAATATCACAAGGCAAATGGAGGCAGGGCAAGATCACAAGACCACAGGACTGGAGCGAAATTAAAATTGCTAATGAAGTTTCGGGCACCATTGTTATTGATAACGTCTTATAAGGAGACAGGGTTTCAGAGCAACTGATCTGACCAAAATTTATTAGGCGGGAATTTCCTCTTCCTAATAAGCCTGGGAGTGCTATGGGAGACTGGGGTTTATTTCATCCCTACAGTTTCGACCACAGAAGACGACCACACTCAAGGGGGCCACTTTAGAGACCCACCCTCGGGGTGCATTCTCTTTCTCAGGGATGTTCCTTGCTGAGAAAAAGAATTCAGCGATATTTCTCCCATTTGCTTTTGAAAGAAGAGAAATATGGCTCTGTTCCACCTGGCTCACAGGTGGTCAGAGTTTAAGGTTATCTCTCTTATTCCGTGAATAATTCCTGTTATCCTGTTCTTCTTTCAAGGTGCCCAGATTTCATATTGTTCAAACACACGTGCTCTACAATTTGTGCAGGTAACGCAATTATCACAGGGTCCTGAGGCAAACATACATCCTCCTCAGCTGACAGGATTAAGAGATTAAAGTAAAGACAGGCCTAGGAAATCACAAGGGTATTGATTGGGGAAGTGATAAGTGTCCATGAAATCTTCACAATTTGTGTTTAGAGATTACAGTAAAGACAGGCATAAGAAATTATAAAAGTATTAATTTGGGGAACTAATAAATGTCCATGAAATCTTCACAATCCATGTTCTTCTGCCATGGCTTCAGCCGGTCCCTCCGTTCGGGGTCCCTGACTTCCCGCAACAGAGGAGTTATTGTTTAATGAGTATAGAGATTCAGTTTGGGGTGATGAAATGGTTGCATAATATTGTGAGTGTAATTAATGGCACTGAATTGTACACTTAAGAATAGTTAAAATTCCATTTTTTTCACATAACCACATTTTGGTCAAATTTTTTAATGCCAAATTTTATGTTATATACATTTTACCATAATTTTTAAAAATTAATAATATAATACGCCAAAGCCATTAAATTGTACATTTAAAATTGGTGAATATTATATGTGGAGTATATCTCAGTAAAACTATTACTAAAAAACACACACACAAACAACTATGGCTGCTGAAACCAAAAATGTCTCTTAAATGTTACTTACACACATGCACACAAATAAATAGATTTGTATATTTCATCTCTAATCTCAAGCAAGCTTTCCTAAACCCCTCTAGTCCCATTAGAGTTAATCCTATCCATGCATTTCCTTCATAGCATTACCACAGTTGGAATTACCATGGTTGAAACTAGATGTCTAGCTCCATGAGAACAAGGGCTGTTAATTCATTACTTTTAATTCACTACTGCTTCCAAGTGGGTAGCATAGTGTCTGGAATAAAATTGTTGTTGAATGGATGGATGGATGGATGGATGGATGGATGGATGGATGGATGACTTATTGGGCTTAAAGTCTGCATGAATAGCTGTGAGTCTTGTTGGTTGATAATTTAACACTTGCAGAATTTATGGGTTAAACAGGACAAAGAGAGTTCAAATAAGGAAGTGAATATCACCTGATTCTTAAAATTGCCTTAAGAACTTACCCCAAGAGACATACTTATAAGCATACTGAATACAGTGTGAAACATTATTAAAGAAAGAGTCACCCAAATCTGATTTGAAAAGTAAGGCAAGAGGTTTCTGATGGTGCTATTTTGTAGTTGGATAAAAGATTCACTTATACATTATAAGAAAAATGAGTTTGGGAGATAAAATATTAAGAGGAACTTTAAACTCTAGAAACAAACAAAGATAAGCTATTGATATGAGAGGGAAACTACAGAAAGAGGTCAAGAGATCTGATTTATTTAAAGAAACAACATTTCAAGTAGAAAAACTCTAAAAAAAAAATCTAACTTGAGAGGAAAACAGACTTTAGATTGAAGAGGTCTGAAGAATAGTAAGGCAAGAGCAGAGGGCAAACTCAAACTGAAAATTGGAAAAATATTCCTGGAGCTAATTACAGTCATAAAGTGGAACCATTTCCCTAAAGAGGTAATTATAGTAAACTCAGTAGCGACGTTCAAATGGAAATTAAATGTTTATGGAAGACGTGGTGTTCATTTTTCTGATAGAGGAAGTTCTTCTGGCTGACTCATGAGTTCATTACCCTCTTCATTTTCTTCTATTTTTTTGCCTCTTATGAAGTTTTCCATTGTATCTGAGACTGGGTCTGACAAGTGTTTTACAATTGTGCGCTTGGTCAGTATTTTACATTTTATAGGAGACATTAGTTTAAATACCATATGTAAAACTTCACCAAAAAAACTAGGTCAGTGAAGGTATGCAATATCATTTCTCGGCTTCAATTCAGTGCAAGAAACTACCTCAGGCCAAAGCTTCCCAATCTAAAGGACATTGAAGACTAGTGAAA
The DNA here is from genome assembly GCF_000001405.40 of Homo sapiens. Classification (NCBI taxonomy): domain Eukaryota; kingdom Metazoa; phylum Chordata; class Mammalia; order Primates; family Hominidae; genus Homo; species Homo sapiens. The sequence continues at coordinate 108,523,888 of NC_000005.10, read as the reverse complement.
TACTCAAAATCTCTTATTCAGATAGTTCTACATTCTATATTCCGTAGAAAAGTACTACATTTTTATACTTCAAGATACAAATTGTGATTTCTGGTTCAAATAGCAAATTTAGAACTAATGCTTATCTCTTCTCTCTCCCTAGACCTCAGTGAAATGATAGTAAAGAATTAAACCCATATCATATCAGTGGAGGAGAGATTCTGAGACATTTCTAGAAAATGAAAAAGAAAGAAAGTCTGTTGACAGATTGAATAAAGCAAAGACAAGACAACTCTGAGCTGTGCATGTGAAATCAGAATGCTGATATTCTGCAGAAGCTTGGGGAAGCAGGTACTATGAGAAAGTCAGATGGAAAGGGGAACCAAAAAGAGTGAGGGGGTGATGGACCTTGTGCCTCTGAATAGCTCCTCTCCCAGGTTCTTCTCTCTAGGATACCAAGAATTTCATTCCCAGGCAAAAAATCAGGGGGCTCTTCTCTTAGGAATTTAGTCAACTGTCAGAGGAGAATTAGAGTTATTAGAGTACATGTGTGCAGCCACTACCATTCTGACATTTGGAGGCCACTCCTGCGTTATGGCCAGCTCCCTGTCTGCCCCCACTCCCCATGGATGTAGAGCTCCTGGTCAGCCATCCTGATGATGCTAAAGAACCAATGAGAAAAACAGCAAAGGCACTCCAGGCCAGCTCTTTGGAAATCAACACTGTCAGACAAAATCACAGACAGATTAGGAAACCATCACCATTGAGGGGAAAAAAAGGTATTATACAGATGAAACAAAAATCCTATGAAAACGGAAGAATCAGAAGTGGTCCTTGAGAAAAACAGAACGGATCCAAGACAACAAATAGCAAAAGTAAGGGGAATAGATGTTCTGACATTATTAAAAAAAAAAAAAAAAAAGAACAAAAGTAGGCCAGGCGCAGTGGCTCACACCTGTAATCCCAGCACTTTGGGAGGCTGAGGCGGGCAGATCATGAGGTCATGAGTTTGAGACCACCCTGGCCAACATGGTGAAACCCCGTCTCTACTAAAAATAAAAAAATTAGCTGGGCATGGTGGTGGGCGCCTGTAATCCCAGGTACTTGAGAGGCTGAGGTAGGAGATTGTTTGAACCTGAGAGGCAGAGGTTGCAGTGAGCCGAGATCACGTCATTGCACTCCAGCCTGGGCGACAGGGCGAGACTCTGTCTCAAAAAAACAAAAACAAACAATAACAACAACAACAAAACGAAAGTAAATTATTCTTCTATCAAGAAGAATAAATTAGAACTTCAGGGGGAAAAAACTTTGTAATAAAGCAAATTGAACTATGGCAAGATTTGGATGGAAAATATGAAGATAATTCAGGTAGACATATTCATTATAGGAATATTAGTCTTTGAGTGACCCAGGACATGGGTTCTAATTGTTCCATTATTGAAGAGGTTTTGTCTTATAGTCTTCAGGTCAATAGGCTCTATAGTTTGATCATTACTAGACTGTTCTGACTGGCTTGGAACCAAGCACTTTGCCTAGGTACTACAGTGTTCAGGAACTCCCAACTGCATGTATATGCAAAGTGGTGGAGACTGATGTGTGCCTTATACCTATACACCCCCACAATAATGAGTGTGTCACATCACTCTTCAGGTGGCCTCCACCACTCCCAGACTTTACTAGTTTCAGAGAATGTTGTCTTGAGCAGTCCAGAGAAGTAGGGAAACGAATTGCTGTGCCCCATAAAGGATTCTGCGCAATGGAATTTGACCTTTGGCTTTTCCATTCCCAGTTTTCTGTGCCATATAGCCCTATCTTCAAGTATAATTACAAGAGAGGTAGGGCCACATGCCTTTAAGTCTTTATAAATGGTGACCTCTCCTGGCTACTAACGGTATGGCACATATACATAAAGCCTCTCTTCTGGAAAAGGAGTATCTTAACCCCATACAAAATGTCTTAAGGATCTAGAGGACAAGTGGACAAATCAACAGAAGTATTTATTGATTTTACTCTAGTGTTGGTACATCACGCAAAGCTATTAAAAATACTTTTAAGAATTCTGAAAGATTCCTGCTGCATGATTTCTTGGAATAAACTATTATTATGACATAAACTATTATTATGAAAACCATTCATCTGTGCTTCATAAATGACAGGGAAAAAAGTCCACACTACTTATATCAAGCAAGATCTGACAATTAGGACTTTGTTAGACCAAAAGAATGAAAATGTAGTTTATAGGCTCTGGAGCTGGCAGTTCAGGCTTCGAACTTGATTCTGCCATTTACTGTCTGAGTGACCTTGGACATGTTACTATACCTGTCTGAGTTTCAATTCCGTAAAATGAGATCACATACACTACTGTGGGAAACCAAAATAGGCCACCCCAAAATACACTTCTTTGGCATATTTCGAGATGGCTGTTCAGAGGGACTGCAGACACAGGAATAGATCTGAAAGCTGTCCTTTTGTGAGGGAGATTTGCATCTGTAGAGGAAATCTGCACTCATGAAGTAAACAGCAGATGCAAACATCCTTTCTCTGAGGCTCCCTTATCTGCCTTATCTGGTTTTAGAAAAGAAAACGCACAGGAAAAAGACTGTAAAGGTCTGGCACTTTAAAAGTTCAGATACAGAAACTTTTACTCCAGCCAGCCTGAGGGCTGCTCCCCAAGGAAATGCATCCGTATAACAGATAACCTTGGTATTTCCTCCCCTCATCTCCCCATAACCCCTGTAACCTGCGGCCACTTCACCCAGGAGCTCCAAGGCTCTATTTCTCTCTGTACAGTGTAAAAACTTCAGTCATGTGACCCTTCGTTGAGTCTCATATTTTGTGTGGCTCCCATGCACATGTGCACATTAATAAATTTGTATGCCCTGTCTCCTGTTAATCTGTCTATTGTCAGTTGTTTTATAGACAGAAATTATCAAACCTTCAGAAGCAGAGGGAGAAAATTTCCTTTTGCCTCTACACTATTTACTGCATAGATTGTGTGGGTTAAATGAAATAACATCGTTACGTAAAAAAACTTAACATAGTCCCAGGCACTTTTTTTTTTTTTTTTTTTTTTTGGAGATAGGGTCTTGCTCTGTCACTCAGGCTAGAGTACAGTGGGGTGATCATGGCTCACTGCAGCCTTAAACTCCTGGGCTCAAATGATTCTCCCATCTCAGCCTCCCAATTAGCTGGGGCCACCAGCATGAGCAGCCATGCCCGCTAATTTTTTTATTTTGTAGAGATGGGGTCTCCCTGTGTTGCCCCGGCTGGTCTCAAACTCCTGGGCTCAAGCAATCCTCCCGCCTCGGCCTTTCAAAGTGCTGGGATTACAGATGTGAGCCATCACACCTGACCTGACCATTCACTTCTATCAGAAAATAAAATTGGATACCGTATCCCCAAAATATTTATATTTCTTTAAAATTATATCCATGTAGCCCAATTTGTTACACACAATCCAAAAAATTAAAACAGAACTGTTTAAAGGATACAATACAGAATAAATATAAATAAAAGTTTTATTACTTTCTTTCTACATCCCAATGAGTTATCTTATGCAAATCCTTGCATACATGTACCCTACTATGGAGACTACTACAATAAAGGCACAAAATGAGAGGCATTTCCCAAAAGATCTAGGTTTGAATCCAAGCCCATAATTCTCCTCTGTAATCTCCTACTCTCCCTCTCTAAACTTACCTTTCACTGCTACAAAAGGTAAATCCCATAGCATAAGGAGCTTTCTTTCTGCAATCCTGGTAAGCCACACTCACTGCAATTGAAGGCTCAGCTCCTTGGCTCAGGAGCCCTCCAGGAGGCCCCTTAGTGACCTCCCCAACACATGGGGTCCCATGTTAGTCTTGTCCTGCCTATAGCCAGGCCCACGTGAGTATATGCTATCTTGGACTCTGTGATGGTTAACATTGAGTGTCGACTTGATTGGATGGAAGGATGCAAAGTATTGTTCCTAGGTGTGTCTGTGAGGGTGTTGCCAAAAGAGATTAACATTTGAGTCAGTGGACTGGCAAAGGCAGACCTACTCTCAGTCTGGGTGGGCACCATCTAATCAGCTGCCAGTGTGTCTAGAATAAAGCAGGCAGAAGAAGTTGGAAAGAGCAGAGTTGCCGAGTCTTCTGGCCTTCATCTTTCTCCCATGCTGGATGCTTCCTGCCCTCAAACATTGGACTCCAAGTTCTTCAGCTTTTGGACTCTTGGATTTACACCAGGGTTTTCCAGGGGCTGTCGGACCTTCAGCCACAAACTGAAGGCTACACAGTCAGCTTCCCTACTTTTGAGGTTTTTGGACTCAAACTGGCTTCCTTGCTCCTCAGCTTGCAGAAGACCTACTGTGGGACTTCAACTTGTGATTGTGTGAGTCAATACTCCTTAATAAAGTCCCCTTCATAAACACATATGTCCTATTGAAGCGGCGTCATTCATCTGGGGTAATACCCGAGGTTTGCTGCCTCATGCCAAGGAAATCAAGGACACGGACACATGTGGAATGAGGTTAACAGCAGAGGTTTAATAGGCAAAGGAAAGAGAAAAGAGAATAGCTCTCTTTCCTGCAGAGAGAGGGGCTCCTGAGTGGGTCTTCTGGTTCTGTGGTGAAATGCGTGGGGTTTAATAGACTAGCTTGATGAGGCAGTGTCTGATTTACACAGCGCTCAAAGATTGGTTGGACCAGGTGTGACATTTACACAGTACGTGAAGAAGCTGGCTACTCCATGCTAATCTTTTATTATGCAAATGTATTTTTACCTGGCTGGTACCATGTTGTCTGCTCCTTACTGTACACATGGTTGATAAGGAAAAGGGAAGATGGAGCCACCATGTTGAACATGCCTGTAGCCCCAGGTAGACTTTTCCTGTTGTCACAGCTGCTGACATTCACCCACGCAAGCTTCCAGCTTCCTCATCTATGTTTGCAGCTCAATTTTACAGGCTGCTTTTTGTTAGAAAATAAATGATTTGGGGGCTGCTTTTTAATAGAAGGGAAACCTTACCAAGGACTTCCTTTACCCTCACTATCTGCCTAATTTCTTTTTAACTCCTATATCACTATTAGTTCTGTCCCTCTAGTTCTGTCCATGACTAATACAGACTCTTTGGCTTGTATGTCTACATATCTTGTCTCTCCAGCAAGGCTATTGTTACCAAATGCAGGTTCAACCACTCGCAGCTTACAAAACCAACTAGCAAGGTTGAGGTATGGTAGGAGAGTGACTTTATTATAAACCAAAGCTAGCAGTGGGGAAAATGATCCAGGCTCTTGCCTTAATGGAACCGCTTCAAGTTTCCAGGTGAAATGCAAGGGTTTATGAAGGGAAAGTTTTGGCATAGAGGGTATGTAGGGGTGAGGCAGTGCAGGTCTACGTGATTTGTTCCAATGACTTTTCTTGAGTTATTGCCCCATATGGTGAATGGGTTGGCATCATCTCAGGCTCGGTTGGGTTGTAAGTTAACTGTAGCCTTGAAGCAATCCCTTGGTGGGGGAGATTTCCACAGGTGCCTGTGTCAGAGGTGTTTGAACCAGAGCACCTCCGTCTTAAATAGGGGCTGCGTAAAATAAGGCTGAGACATATGGGGCTGCATTCCCAGAAGGTTAGGCATTCTAAGTCACAGGATGAGTTAGGAAGTCAACAGAAGATATGGGTCATAAAGATCTTGCTGATAAAACAGGTTGCAGTAAAGAAGCCAGCTAAACCCCACCAAAACCAAAAAGAGTGACTTCTGATCGTCCTCACAGCTACACTCCCAGCAGTGCCAATGACAGTTTACAAATGCCATGGCAATGTCAGAAAGTTACCCTATATGGTCTGAAAGGGGAGGCATGAATAATCCACCTCTTGTTTCACATATAATCAAGAAATAACCATAAAAATGGGCAATCAGCAGCCCTCAAGGCTGCTCTGCCTATGGAGTAGCCATTCTTTTATTCCTTTACTTTCCTAGTAAACTTACTTTCATTTTATGGACTCGCCTGGAATTCTTTCTTGCGTGAGATCGAAGAACCCTCTCTTGGGGTCTGGATCAGGACCTCTTTCCAGTAACACCTGTAGTGTTTTAAGATAATTAGATACACTAACAATGTGAGGGGGCACCCAGTGGTTAAGTAAACAAAAAGAAAAAAAAGAGTAAAACTTTAAAAGCAGGGTACTCAGTTGCACTATCAGGCCTGAAGACGAGACCATGTTAGGTTTCTGGTGATCTCTGGCACCCAGATAGTCTGGATACCGAGGAATACGAGATCTTCAGAAAATATCTGTTGAAAACATTCATATGCAATTTATTTGTTTTTAAAAAGTATCCTGATGACTTCCTTGTCTAAAAACTTGTTCCACCACACAAACTAACCATAAAAGTAGAAGTTTCTTGCTACATGTTATCTACTTCTTAAAATCAAAACAATCTAAGAGGTAAAGAAAAACTTTATTTTTCAGATGTAGGAACCAGAATTTTGGGATATTACGTGAATTTACATGTTTTAAAAATTCCAAAAGAAATGTTCAGAGTTCAAGATAATTCTTGATCAGAATAAAAATGGTTGGAGGGCATAGAGAGAGAATTTGGATATTTTCAATTGAGACTCATTAGGACAGGATAGCCTCCTTCTGTCTTCTTTGTCTCTGCACCTAATTTGTCTATAACTCTAGGTATTATTTTATGTTCTGCAAAAACACTAGGCTTTTAAAATCTGTCAAAAAAGAAAAAGAAAAGTCAACTGCCCTTGTTATATAAGGTACCCTGAGAATTGAACATAAGCAGTGCTAGGCTGTTAGATGACCTAAGTATAAGATGATGACTATCAGATAGAAAAAAATCAATTGCCTCTTTTTCCACACCCCAGAAAGTGCTCTTTAGGGGATAGATAAGTGCAGGCTGTAAATAGTTTATTACTTGGTAGTTCTTTCTAATGGCAGGCAGCACCAAGGCTGACAAGGTAACAAGTAGTCACTCATCCAAAGGTCACTTGCTCTGGCCCAGCAGCCTTTTCACTTGGAAATACAATCTGAGTCTAATGTTGATTCTAAAAGAGAGGTCATTATACCCACAGCTCCAGGCATCAACTTTCATAAGATTTTTAAATTGTGCTTCTTTTAAAAAATAAGCTCAGACTTGTGGTATTTGTGCTTTATTGCTGGCGGAAAGAACTGATTACCATGGTTAGCGCAACTGCTTTTGTTGAGAAGTAGAAGCCAGGTAGTGGAAAATAAATCTTGTGGCTGTGTGTAGGAAGCCTAAAATAAAATTCATTGCTTTAGTTCGCTTTTAGAAAGAAAAGAGATGGGGATGGGGCTCTGGTTCCTTTGGATTTCTATTGTCCATGCAAGTGGATAGGGAGACATGGTGGGGTCTGAAGGGTGCTGCTGGGGAGAGGGTCACTGGGGATCACTAAGCAAAAGGGAAGGACCCCCAGATGGCTGCAGGCACTCTAGACCAGCTGGAAGCCCTTGTATAGTAGAAAAAGACTAGTTCTGAGCTACCCTGCACTTGGGCAGAAAGGCTAGAACCCCAAAGAATAAGATTTATACTTATAGTTTTCAAAAAAACTCTATCCTCGAGAGTAAACCCAAGCAATTCTACTGGGATGGAGGAAATAAGAACTTACGTTAAAGATGTGATTTTCCTCCTAATCAAGGAAGACACTCTTCTATTTCTGGCTTTAGTAGTAATGTTAGCAACGCTGCACACAGCCAGTTAAATTTCAGTTATTTGGCATTGATTTAGTTTTGACTCTTTGGGACCCAATTAGTTAAAAACTGAATGATGCTGATTATTACATATGGTAAGTTTTTCCTGGTTATGTCCCCTGTTTAATTTCATACATTATTTGTTTACACATTTTGTAATGTCTGCTTGACTATATCTCCCATAACAGTCTTCAGAATCACTCTTAAAATGGAGCTAGACTGGCTGCATATTTCATAATTCAGCCCATATTACTTGCAGAGGGAAAATGACTCAGTCCAATATATTTCCATGGCTTATGATTTGCTTCCATGGCTTATGTTTTGAAACCTAACTATTGGCAAATTATTCTGAATGTTCAGTAATTCCTTTGGGAAGTTTTCTTGATTATGTAAATACACTTCAGAAATAGGTTATTCAAGCCAGCTGGGATTTGTGTGCTGTCTTTGTAATAACTCCATAATATATTACCCATAATTCTTTCCACTGGACAGCCCCCTACTTATGTCACACTGGAGTAATGCAGCTTTATCTTGGGGCCATCACCACTAAAATCTCTACTTCTCAGAGGTACAGTATTACAAGTCGTTTTGAATCACACCATGCTGAAATCAGAACTGCAGTTTCTGCATCTCCCTGAAGAAAATGTGTTCCTTAGTTTTAAGCTGACTAAAATGAACAAAGGGTCAGTTTGCTTCAAGGAAAAAAATGGAAATTTCGTGTGCCCTTTCTGTTATATCTGCCTTTTGTCACTTGATTTTCAGGAAGCTTCAGAGGGCAAAGGAAAAGTTTTCCTCTAACCCCTATGTAGACTATATATGACCAAAAGAAAAGTATTAAATTGAGTGACATGCAGGGCACAGTGGCTCACGCCTGTAATCCCAGCACTTTGCGGGGCCGAGGCGGGCGGATCACGAGGTCAGGAGATTGAGACCATCCTGGCTAACATGGTCAAACCCCGTCTCCGCTAAAAATACAAAAGATTAGCCGGGCATGGTGGTGGGCGCCTGTAGTCCCAGCTACTCGGGAGGCTGAGGCAGGAGAATGGCGTGAACCCGGGAGGTGGAGCTTGCAGTCAGCCGAGATCAGGCCACTGCACTCCAGCCTGGGCGACAGTCAGACTCTCATCTCAAAAATAAATACATAAATAAATTGAGTGACAGAGCTAGCAAATCATGAGAATTCCAAAGCAAGATAAAGAAATAGAAAATATGAATGAGATATTAAGGGACATTGGGGATAGAAAAATCAGGTCCTATATATATCTAATTAAAGTTCCAGAGAAGGAGGAGATGCAATATTTAAATAAAAAATGGCTTAGATTCTCCAAGAGAATCACCTTGTCTATAAAGAAACATGAGGTATTAAATGAAGGGAGCATGCCAGTTACTGAGGAGAGTAGGTGAAATCAATGCACATCTGACAGCATTGTACTGAAACTGAGAATATTAAGATCACAGAGAAAATCCTAACAGTTACCAGAGAGAAAAGTCAGATTATAGGCTTAGATAACTCATCTCTGATGTGTATCCATATGATAAAGAAAAAAACCCAAAGATGTTACTGGAAATGCTGAGTCCTCTACCAGTAGTTGAGGTTCACAGCATTGTCTGCATATATGAGGGAAATTTATTTCTATATAATTTTGTACTCTACTATTTCACTGAATTATCTCAGTGTTTACATAGTTTTCCAGTTGATTCTCTTGTGTTTTCCACATAGAGAATCACATCACCTACAAATGACAGTACTTTTACTTCCCTTTTTCCAGTGTTTATTCATTTGTCTTCTTTATCTTTTCTAATTGTATTAACCAGGACTTCTAGAAGAATGTTAAATAGCAGTAGGCATCCTTGTCTTGCTCATTAGCTTATGTGACCATTTCCAGGGTTTCCAGGGTACAATTTTAAAGTAACATGATGTCCCTTTAAGGTGAAGATGTGTTCTTCTTCAACATGATAAAATGTATCTACTAATTCCTATCTTGTGTATGGATTGTTTATGAAGAATGGATATTGCATATTATTAAATACATTTTCAGCATCTTTGAACATGATCATATACTTTTACATTTTGTTTTATTAATGTGATAAATTATTTTAATAGTTTTTTTCTGATGTTAAACTATCCCTGTACTTCTAGATAAAATGCCACTTGGTCATAATTTATTATCCTTTTAAAGTGCTGCTGAATTTTGTTTGTTGATGTTTTATTTAGATTATATCATCATAAGAAAGATTAATCTGCCATTTTCTTTCTTTCTTTATTTTTGCTGTCATATTTAGGTTCCGATATCAATGTTTTCTCATTTTATGAAAATTATTTGGAAGCTTTACTTCTTTTCCTATGTTCTAGGGCAATTTAGGTAACAATGGAACTATCCTTTAGGAGCTAAGTAGGATTTTATTGTGAGAGCATATGGACTTGATAATGGTTTGGGGGTTGTTTTTTGACAACATTCCATATTTCTCCTCTGATAATTCCTGATTATATTTTCAAATCTTTTCTGAGGTCACTTTTGGTAATTAAACTTTTTCCCATGAAGTCAATCATTTATCAAGAGAGTTTGCACACACACACACACACACACGGCTTAAAGCAATCTCAAACTTACAAAAAGTTGCAAATCAATACAAAGAAATTTGGTTTTCCTGAATCCTTTGAGAGTAACTTGTTGACCTGTTGCACCATCATCCCCAAATATTAGTGTGATTTTCCTACAAACAAGGAAAGTATCCCTTATAATCACAATACAAGGATCAAATTCAGGAACCTAACATTGATATATTACTACTATCTAATCCTCAAACCCATTTAAGTTTTACCAGTTGTACTGAGAATGTCCTTTATAGCAAATAGATCTAATTCAGAATCATGTGTTCCATTTAGTTATCACATCCCTTCAATCTCCTCCAGCGTGGAAGGAGATGTTCTATCAGTGACATTCATAATCTTGGCACTTTAAAACATTATAGGGCAGTTATTTTGTAAAATTCTCCTCAGTTTAGATTTGTCTAATATTTCCTTATGATTAGATCCTGATTGTCTTGGCAGGAATATCACAGAAGTTATAAAAAAAGGTTTTGATTTTATGTAGTTAAATTTATCACTTTTCTTTTAATTGTCTCTGGATTTTGAGTTATAGTTAGGAAGTCTTTCCCACCCTAATATTAAAGAGGTATTCACTCCCGTTTTCTGTTGACATTTAAGTTACTATAATTTTACATTTAGTTCTCTGAGGAATCTGGAGTTTATTCTTTGGTGTATTGTGGAATCTAATTTCCTTTCCCCAAATGGCTACTCAGGTACATCTTTGACTCAGTGATTTGAGATGCCATTCTTATCATACAGTGAATTTCTGTATGAACTTGGATATCTATCTGGGTTTTCTATTCTGTTTCACTTGCCTTTCTGTCTATTCATGCAACAGTACCACACTGCTTTAATTATAGAAGCTTTCTAATACGTTTTAATGCTTCATAAAAGTAGTCCTCCTTCATGCTTATCTTTTTTAGTGCTGTTTCTTTCTTCTTGGCAATTCTTTCATGCTTGTTTTTATATGAAAACTTTAGTATCAACTTATCTGACTCCATAGCAAAGCTTGTTAGTATTTTTATTGGGATTACATTAAATTAATAAATTCATTTAGGGTACATGTCATGAGTTTTCCTATTGAAGAATAGTGGGTGTACTTTTCATTTCTTCAAGTCTATGTTTGTGTACTTGAGGAGTGTTTTAATGCTTATGTCATATGGGTTTTAGATATTTCTAAATGTTTGCCTCATATGGATTTTAGATATTTCTTGTTAACTTTATTCCTAAATATTTGTTACTGTTATAAATGTGGTTTCTTCTCTCTGCCATTATGTAGAGGACTTTATTTTGAAATGGGACCCAAACTTGCCTCACCTCCACAGCTTCCCCACTTTCTTCTTCTATGTAACATGTTATCTACCCCAAAAACCATCCCACTACATGAACATCCATTCATCCATTCTTTCAGCAAGTTGAGAGGCAGCACGTGCTAGGCACAGGGCCACCATGTATGGTCTATGTAGGTGGTACACTGCCTGACTTCAAAGCACACCATGCACAGTGTGGGCTATGGCCCTTTAGAGGCCTGGTCAGGAAGCCCAAAGCATCATCTTTGATATCCATACAGAAAGGACATAAAAAGTTCTGTAGAGAGTGATTTGTTATAGAATTACATCTGGAAATATCTGACAAACTTTAGATACTTTGTTCTCTGAGGAGCTTCTATATTACTTACCATAAGCAGTTATCACCATGTAGTATGATTATTTGATTATGTGTCCATCTTACCCCATCTGAGTCCCTCTTTGAAAGGAACGAAGTCTCAATTAATTATTTATGGATTAACTGTTTGTGGCATATAATAATAGGTACTCAATAAATGTTTATTGAATGAATGAATGAATGAATGAATGAATTGTATTAATCACTAAAAGTCTATACTCTGAATAAAACATGGGTTGCCTCTTCTCGTGGCATTTTCCATCTCCAGAAAATTCAAAATGGAGAATTTTTTTTCCTCAGAGTAAGAAGAGAATGTAGTGTTTTAGGCTTACTATATTAAAAGGTACCATTAAAGTGAGATTTTCCCCTAAAGTAGTACAGAGTATGACCACTCTTCATGGACTGTTAGATCCTCCCAGAACCTCTCTTTAGCAGATGTTTCAAGATACCAAAACCACTGGATTCCTTATGAGCCCTCGGCATGTTTTCAGATGTCACAGGATGTGGACTTGTCACTATCAAAATTCCTCTAGCTAGGAAAGAAGGATTTCTCTCTAGATATAAAAACCAAAGTTGTTTTTTATTTTTATTTTTTAAAGAGTAACCTTTAGCTGAAACCCACTGTACTGAGCATAACTGCATTATCTCACTCTAGCTTTGCCCCTTCTAACACCTTAAATTGAACTCACAGTGAATTTTTAAGGCTTCAGAAGAATAGAGTATTTTCAGACATTTTTCTGGCTTTCTTTTCCAGGTAGAGTTGTTCACTTTTATTCTAAGAGTCATTCAATTTGGTAAATCTCTTAACAAATACCAAAAAATGTTTCATACCTTTTAGAAGCACAAAGCACTTTTCTTCCAAGAATCCTCAGGTAGTAGGCAAACAGCAGCAATATTCTTAGAAATGATTGTGAGGAAGTAAATGCTACTGTTACATCTCTTCTCTCTCAGAGAAAATGAGACATCAGAAGGTAAAGCAAAAAATGGCATAGGTAAAGGAAAGCTCCATGGAATGATCTAATGAAATCTAATCTCTCAAGTAAGTGCCATCAACCTTGCAGAAGCAATATCCTAAAGGTCATTCATCTTCCGAAGGGCTTACATTTTCAGAGTGTGGGGTTGGGAAATGTGAGGGAGAGGGGATTGTGTGATGACTAAGACCAACTCATTCTTGAAGAGTGAAGCAGGTGGCGAACTTTCAGCTCTCTTAGTTGGTAGAGAAAGCCATTGCTTCTCATGAAGCACAAGGAAAGGATATTACCATGGCAACTCTTGAGAGGGAAAGAGGGGACAGTATTCTACCTTTGTGCTTTGAGAAAATGCACTTGAACTGATGAGATGGGCAACTCCTACACAAAAACAGCAGAAGACTTGCACTGGTGGCTAAAGCCAGGCTGAAGACAACTAAAAAGTGACCCCTCTGTCACTCTTGGCTCTAAAAAGTATAGATTCTTCATTTTTGTCCTATTTTGAAAAAGAAGTTTAAGAAATGTCACTTGCCAAAGTTTGTGGGGATGAACCTTCATCTTCATAATTTGGAAGAGAATTATTACATTTCAGCTCTCTAGAATCAATTTTATCTCTATTCATATGATAAGAACAATTAAATCATGACAATTATCTCCAAATATTAGGGACTAGCTTTTCTATTATTTCAGAAAAAAAGTCAACAAGTTAACAGGTGATCCTAACACAAACAACACGTGTTTAGGTATACAATTATTTCCACAGTACTGTTTGAACCAAATATACATTTTTAGTTCAAAATGCATAGTGTTAAGATGAAAAAAGATTATTTTCAGTCTAAGATATTTTAAAACTGTCTGTGTTTCAAAATGTAAAAACTAAAACTTTTCTTCAGATCTAGGCCATTATACTAATTCTTGAAAAACACACTTCATGAGACTCATTTAATTCCAAGAGAGAGCTGCACAGTCTGAGATCACTAGAGGTTTAAATACATGTAGAGTTGTTGTTTTTTAATTGCCTGCAAATTTAAATTAAGCCTTGATCCTGAGATTAAAGATTATTATAACCTTAATATTAAAATCAGTATTTTTAATGTTGTTTTCATTAATACTTTTTTCTTAGCTGAAAATAATTCATCTAGTTGTCTTTTAAATTATTGCAGTCATTCTTTTGACTTTGAACTTATGGTATCAGTGGGTGGTGGATCACAGAAAAAATTACCATTTTCTCTGCTGAGATCAATTTTTAAAAACTGCATAACAATAATATGAATGAGTCTACTTTAATATAAATAAAAGTAACACAATCTTAAAATAAGCTTCATAAGGGATCCATAACTACCCCCTTATAATTTGAAAATAAGCAGAATATGCGAGACAACCAAAGAAATTCTAGATTCAAAACCCTTGTTATAACTATTGATTAGCAAAAATTGAACAGGGTATCTATAGCTAAATTCATGTGATTATGGTAAACAACCCTGATATTAGATTGTTTAGATTGTTTCTGTTCACCACTACATAGTCAATATTCTTTGTTGTGAAAAAACAGCTAAACCACCTTTGCCAACTTTAGAAATTCAACTTGTAACTTAAGTTCAATTCATGTCACAGCCAGCATCTCTATGATCAACAGCAAAAAACACGCATGTTCTCTGGTAATAAATATTAGCAAAGGGTGTGCATATTTCTGTTCTTCAGACAACTGTGTCAGTTTAATCTAATTTTAGTTCAAAGATTTATTCATCTCTAGTTCTGCATCAGAGACAAAAATTACTTTATTTGATTAACCGTGAGGACTGGGAAGAAGTCTTCCATATATCTTAATATTCAATTCTAATGCATTCATTAGAAAGAAACAATTCCATAACCTCAAGTAAATTGTCTCAAATTGGAATGGTCAAAACAAAAATGTTAATACCCAAATAGAATTTAGTGTGTTACATAAGCATGTGCAATCATCTAAAATTAAAACTAATCACTTTGTACCAGAAGCGGTAATAAAAGCCAAAGTTCTACCTCATTGTTCTCCAGTGAAGCATGAATAATTCATGATTCAGGTAAGCTTTCCGTCTCCCTTGCGTCTTCCACAAGATTTTACCAATGTCATTATTCAAATTGTATCTCTTTAGAGCACTTTCACCATGCTAGAACTGAAATGATGCTAGACATCCAGCCCTCTGATATTATTTGTAGATCTGTCACTCTTGTAAAGCAGAGTATGACCAGGTCTTATGTTTCCCAGTCATCCTGAATCTGGCCTGGTTCTTTTCCATACTCTTTAATACTCTCCCTGAATTCAAATCTTCTCTTTCTTTCTTTTTCTTTCTTTCTTTCCTTTCTTTCTCTCTGTCTCTCTTTCTTTCTTTCTTTTTTTTTTTTTTTTTGGACAGGGTCTTACTTTGTTGCCAAGGCTGGAGTGCAGTGGCATGATCACTGCTCACTGCAGCCTCAATCTCCTGGGCTCAAGCAATCCTCCCACCTCAGCCTCCTGAGTAGCTGGGACTACAGGAGTGCACCACTATGCCTGGCTAATATATGTGTGTGTGTGTGTGTGTGTGTGTGTGTGTGCGTGCATGTGGTGTTTTTGTTTGTTTATTTGTTTTGTAGAGACAGATTTTTGCCATGTTGCCCAGGCTGGTCTCAAACTCGTGAGCTCTAGCGATCTGCCCTCCTTGGCCTCCCCGTCATGACTACTTCTCTTTTATAGTCAAATGTTCCTCTGCCTCCCTCTTACAGGGAGGCTGGACACAGCCTCAAATCTTTTCTCATTCAAAAGTATGTGGTCCCCTCTCTTCTTTCTAGAAAGCTGCTATATGGGAAAATAAAAATTATCCTCTTTTTTATAGCTGAAATCTCTTCTTTTAATAGCATTTTAATAGTGTTTTTTAACTTCATAATAAACACCCATATCTGTAGTGTCACTGGTTTCATCCATCACATATATTTATTCAGCAAACATCTATTGAATTCCCACTGTGGGTGATGTGCTAATGATAGAAGACTCTAACTCTGCCTTCAAGGAGGTGACAGATGAAGTGAACCAAACATTAACATACAGGTGTTGAGAGCTACTATTCCACACAGACAGGAGATGTGGAGAAAGTTTCCCAGACAGGGAGAACTTTCACTTGTTCTTGAAGGATGAGTAGGCGTATCCAGGTGATTGCAGAGGAAGGAGAATGAGAAAAAGAACTCTAGGAGGAGGAGATGAACATCTATGAAGGTGGAGACTTGCAAAAAGGCACAAAAATTTTAGCACAAGGCTCACACACTCCAATGTCTCCAGGCACCAGGCAGACAGTGTGGATGAGAAAATGCAGCTGAATGCGGGGCAGTAGGAACTGATGGGTACTAAGCCAAATGCAGGCCACTTTGAAGGCATGGGCCTATCATAGCCATGTAGATGGGTTGCAGGTCCAGAGAGGTCAGATCTTCCTGGCTTCTCAAAATAAGCCAGAAATGCGAATTTTCATATAGTATCTTAAAATTTTTCATTCTTAGCAAGTTTTTTTTTTGTTTTTTGTTTTTTTTTTTAAATTACCACTCTGTAGACAAAGTAAAACATGTCTTCTGTGGCAGGCTGAATAATGGTCCTGGAAGATATCCAGGTCTTAATTTCTGGAACCTGTGAATATGTTATCTTAAGTGACAAAAGGGATTTTGCAAATATGATTAAGGAGAAGAATCTTGAGATGGGGTGATTATCTTGGATTATCTGAAAGGGTCCCAAATGTAACAACACTTCAAGTGTCCTTGGAAGAGGGAGGCAGAGGAAGATTTGACTATAAAAGAGAAGTAGACGTGACATGGAGGCAAGAGATGGGAATTATGCGAAGAAGGGTTCACAAGCCAAAGAATGCAGCCAGGCTTTGTAAACTAGAAAAAAAACCAAAAAACAAAAAACTTTCCCCTGATCCTTTAGAAGAAACCAGCCCTTCTAATAACACCTTGAGCTTAGCCCGGTGAAACTGATTTTGAACTTGTGTGGCCTTCAGAACTATAGAAGGATAAATTTGTGTTTTTTTAAGACACCAAATTTGTCATAATTTGTTATAGCAGCCATAAAAAAGTAATATATTTTCTGATATGATTCAGCTCCTGAGTTTTTAGTTTGTAATCTTTGCTTTAAGGCCACAGTTAGAGTTGTGTTTGTGTTTGTGTGCCTATGTGGAGAATGGCTGAAATTAGACTAGAGAGGTGAGCCTAGACTAGACTCCTGGTGTTATTCCTGTTTCCCTATTTTGTAAAAAAACATTTGTTTACATGTCATTCTCCTCTGCTAGACTATGAGTTTCTTTGGGACAGGAACTGTCTTATTCTCTTTGCATCTTAATTGCCTAGCAGAGTGCTCAGCACATGTTCTTTGCTTAATAAATGAATGAAATGCAAGCTTTAAAGGGAATCTGGAGCCAAACCACCAAGTGCTTGTTATTGCCATATCAAGGAATTTGAATTTTATCCTGAAAGAGATGAGGAACAAATGAAATGTTTTAAGTATAATGGGAAAATGAGCAGTTTTGCTTTCTAGAAACTGACAGTGACTTACAGAATAGTTTAGAAAAGCACAAATGAAACCAGTAGATTGGTTAGAAAGCTGTTGTAATATAGGAATCCTATAAACTAAGACCAGGTTAGTGGCAGTGAGGACACAAAGAAGACTGATCAGATAATGGAGTTTAAAATGACAAGACTTAGAGACTCCAAAATTGGGAGAGCAGGCAAAGGAAAAGTCTTGGATGATTCTCAGATTTGGGGTGGTCAAAGTAGGATGGAAAAAAAGGAAGTTTGGGAAAAAAGATGAGTTCATTTTTTGACAGGTTGAATTTGTAGTTCTTGCGGGATGCCAAAATGGAGGTGTTCCATTGATTACGTTTTCTTTGGCTTAACAGAGAAGTTTGGGGTAGAGATAGAGATTTTGTCAACCATCATTGTAGTCAAAGCCATGGATTTTGATAATATACACAGAAAGTACATAGATTGAGAAAAGAAAAGAAGAGGAAATAGAGGAGAGGAGGAGAGAGGAGGGGAAAGGGAAGGGAGGGTTAGGAAAGGAAGGGGATGGGGGAGAGGAAAGGTGAGCCTCAAGGACTAGTGGAATTTATGAAGAGAATAAAGACGAGGAGCTCCTAAAGTAAACACAGAACAAATACAGAGAAAGAAAGAAAAGTCAAGGGAAGGGCATATCACAGAAACCAGAGACACAAAAAAAAATACTAAAAGCAGGGACACAGTTATCAGTGTCAAACACTGGAGAATAGTTGAGATAACAAAGATTGAAATTTGTCCAAGAAATTTGGCAATTACAAAGATATAAGTACTCTTAGCAAGACAAGTTTCAGTAATGAGGCACGGTATGTAAGGGTCAAGCAGAAATCACATTACAATTGACTGAGCAGTGAATTCAAGGTGGAAATTTGAAAACAATGAGCAGAGGTGGAGAAATTCGCTCTGGACATAGATTGTAAAATGGAACTGGAAGTTATCTTGGGGGAAATTGAAGAGGTTCCTGCCTGATTAATTCTATTTATCTGTTAAGTGGAAGTTGAAATTCTTTCTTGAGAGTAATGGTGGGTTAGAAGACATGAGGAGAGTAGTGAAGGCTTGGAATACACCAAAGTGAGATGGAGAAAGTGAGCTGACTAGGAGAATGAGGATAAATTACAGGCAGTGTGAAAGACCAGCGTATATTGCAGGCCATGAATCTGTGGAGGTTCCATATCAACCCAGTTGTATGATTTTTCTCCATGGCTGATACATGGCTGGTACAGTCAAAACAAGAGGCCAAAAGAGTTGAGGGTATTTATGTGTCATGGATCTGTGCCAGAAAGAAGGAAGTGAAGCCAGGACAAGACTGATGGCCTAAGAGATGATGATGAGATTAAGGGTCAGGGTGCTAGGAAATAGGCAGATGAGAACCAAAATGATAGGATGCTCTAGTCATATAACAACTTGTAAAGGTCTAATATTTCAGAATTGGAACCAATCTGGTTGAAGGAGCAGCTTTGAAGTAGGTGACTAAATGGGAGTAGGCAAAAATCCTTAGAGCTGAGGAGAGTAGAAATCCTAAGGCAAGTGTGATGCTAGAAGAGTATGTGTAGATATTGAGGTAACCCAGAAGGACTTCAGGTGGAGAAGAAGGCAACAATTTAATGAACTTTTGTGCAGATCCACTTGTATCAGGTACTGCATTAAGGTATGAGACAGACTCGATATGAACTAAAAGAGCACACGGCGTTGATCAGAGAAAACTGGTAAATACACATATCCCACTTAGTATATGGTAGATAGTAATTGACATGAAATACCCAACTATAGTTGGCATACAAAGGAGAAAGTATAGTCAACAACTTGACAATTTCAGAGATTTCACCGAGGAGGTAACGGGTGCCAGAGTTACTGGGGAAATTAGTTAGGAAATAGATAGATAGATTTAAGACAGCCAGTCCCTATGACATGCAAATGATGGATGCAGGCACCAAAAGTGTACAGGAGGAAAATGACATCCTCCTCCAACATCTCTGGCTATACTAAATCCAGGCTGTCTCCACCTAACCCATTAAGCACAACATCACCAGTCTTACTGGCCTTAAATGTCACTTTCAACACATCAGTTTCCTTATCAAATCCTTCCATTTTTTTTCCAGTTCCTACACCATTATGCCTAAACTCCTACATCACAGAGAGATAAATGTTGTGTAGGCTGTTTTACTTGTGCCACATTCCCTGTCCAACAATACTTCCCACCACTTATCTATCATGTACTCCTACAATATGTCATCTGCTTCCCTTCTCCTTGACTCATAAGCACTTATGCTCATTCCCACATTTTCTCCATGTAGTCTCCTCACTTGTAATATTTCTCTCAAACTTCTCTTCCAAATGAAGTCATCCTTCACGGTCTGGCTGAAGTTCCATGGCTCCCGTGGAATCTTTCCTTGAGTATCTCTGAATCACTTTATTGCATATCACTATCTTTAGAACTGTGGTATCTCCTGGTATTCTCTAATGGTTCATGTGTGTTAGACTTGTTTTCTCAAATGATATCTCCTCAGAGACAGACAGATACATTGTTTTATACCCCTAGACTCTGACAATGGTTTGTATTAAGCTGAACACACAGTAGATATTTGAGAGACAAATTAATATGATAGAAAGTATGTGAGTCAGGAGATCATTTTTCAAGTTCAAACTTTGCCTTTCAGGCTGAATTCTCTTTATTTGGGAATTGAAGAGCCTGGATGCATATCACTCAGACCACTTTTACCTCCTGAAACCTGATTCTACTAGATTCTAATTATTTTAGTTATTTGCCCAGAAGCCATGATAGTGAAAATAATGCACATCCTATTGATTTGATTCTAAAATTCTATCACATCCCATGCACTGTATTTAATAGATGAAAAACTAGATATTCAATGTCTTTTTAATTGTAAGAGTTAAGCTCAGTGAAAGGTCTTATGTAGATATGCAATAAATATTTATTAAATTCATTCATTCATTCATTAAGCAAATATTTAATGAGCCCCTATTATGAGTCAGCAAGTTTAGACTGTAGGACACCATAACAAACATGACAAACAAGCTATTTGCTCTTTTGGAGTTTATATTCTAGTGAAAGCAGACAGATATAATATATCTGTATAATATAATGTCAGGTGTCAGTAAGTGGTATGAAGAAAAATAAAGCATGGAAAAAGTATAGAGAATCATCAGGGTGGTTTTAGCTAGGACAGTCATCCTTATTTCAATTTCATACAGTGAAGACATGGATATTCTTGTGGTCCTGGGCATAGACAAGTGCAGATAAAAACATATAAATAGGTATAGATATGCAGGTAAATATAGATCTAAACAGTCTAGATATAGCATTAATTATATTCCATGTACTGAGCTAAGGTGCTTCATAGTCACTAATTTGTCTTATCTTTTCAACAATATTTTGAGATGGGTATTACTTCACATTACCAATGAAAAACCTGAGGTTTAGAGGCTTAAAATAACTTGCCCAAAGTTACTTAGCTATAAAGCGTCAGTAGTTGAAACCACACTGCATTTGCCTGTTATCTGCATAAGCAAACATATTAAGTTGATTTTCTTGCCCAAAAATATTCAAAATTAGTATAGGAAGGTAAATTGTTATGTATTCTGATTATGAGAAAGGAAATCTATCTTCATTTTAAATATGTCTTAAAAGAAAGCCATATCTAACATCATACTGAGTGGGCAAAAGCTGGAAGAATTCCCTCTAACAATTGGAACAAGACAAGGATGTTCAGTCACCATTCCTATTCAACATAGTATTGGAAGTCCTAGCCACAGCAATCAGGCAACAGAAAGCAATAGAAGGAAGGAAATGAGGAAGTCAAATTATCTCTCTTCAATGATGATATGATTCTACACCTAGCAAACCCTAAAGGCTCCTAAACCAGATAAATGACTTCAGCAAAGTCTCAAGATACAAAATTAAAGTACAAAAATCAATAGGATTCCTATACACCAATAGCATACAAGCTGAGAACCAAATCAAGAGTGCAATCTCATTTGCAATAGCCACATAAAAAATAAAATATTTAGAAATATATCTAACCAGGGAGGTGAAAGATCTCCACACAGAGAACTACAAAACACTGCCGAAAGAAATCATAGACAACACAAAGAAATGGAAAAACATCCCAAGCTCATGGGTTGGAAGAGTCAATATTGTTAAAGTGTCTGTACTGCCCAAAGCAATCTACAGATTCAACTGTATTCCTATCAAATTATCAATGTCATTTTTCACAGAATTAGAAAAAACTATTCTAAAGTTCATATGGAACAAAAAAGAGCCCAAATAGCCAAAGCAATCCTAAGCAAAAAGAACAAATCTGGAGGCATCACATTACCCAACTTCAAACTAGACTATAAGGCTGCAATAACCAAAACAGCATGGTATTGGTACAAAAATAGGTACATAGACCAATGGGACAGAATAGATAATCCAGAAATATAGCTGTACACCTACAAAAACTCATCTTCAAAAAAGTCAACAAAAATAAACTATAGGGAAAAGACTTTCTATTCCATAAATGATACTGCAAACCATATGCAGAAGAATGAAACTGGACTCCTATTTCTGACCATATGCAAAAATCAACTCAAGATGGATTAAAGACTTAAATGTAAAACCTCAAACTATAAAAATCCTAAAATAAAGCCTAGGCAACACCATTATGGACATCGGTCTTGGGGAATAATTTATGACTAAGTCCTTGCATTAGGCCATTCTTGCACTGCTATAAAGAAATAACTGAGATTGGGTAATTTATAAGAAAAGATATTTAATTGGCTGACAGTTTTGCCGGCTTTACAGGAAGCACAGTGCTGGCATCTGCTTGGCTTCTAGGGAGGCCACAGGAAGCTTACAATCACGGTGGAAGGCAAAGTGGGAGCAGGCACATCACATGGTGAAAGCAGGAGAGAGAGAGAGTAGGGAGAAGGTGCCACACACTCTTAAATGACCAGGTCTTGCAAGAACTCATGATCACAAAGACAGCAGCAAGCTATGAGGGATCCACCCCCATAATCCAAAACCTCCCACCAGATCTCACCTCCAGGATTGGGGATTATGATTCAACATGAGATTTGAGCAGGGACAAATATCCAAACTATATCATCCAGCCTCTGGCCCCTCCCAAATCTCATGTCCTTCTCACACTGCAAAATACAATCATGCCTTCCCAACAGTCCCCCGAACTCTTAGCTCTTCCCAGCATTAACTGAAAAGTCCAAAGTCTCATCTGAGACAAGGCAAATCCTTTCCACCTGCAAGCCGTAAAATAAAAAACTAGTTAGTTATTTCCAAAGACACAATGAGGGTATGGGCATTGGGTAAACATTCCTCTTCGAAAAGGGAGAAACCAGCCAAAAAACTGGAGCTATAGGGCCCATGCAAGCTCAAAACCCAGCAGGGCAGTCATTAAATCTTAAAGTTCCAAAATAATTCCCTTTGACTCCTTGTCCCACATCTAGGGGACACTGGTGCAAAGGGTGGGCTCCTAAGGCCTTGGGCAGCTCTGCCCCTGTGGCTTTGTAGAGTGCAGCCACCAAATCTGCTCTCACAGGCTTGAGTTGAGTGCCTGCAGCTTTTCCAGGCACAGGGTGCAGGATGCTTGTGGATCTACCATTCTGGAATCTGGAGAATTGTGGCACCCTTCTCACAGCTCTGGGAGCTCTGTGTGGGGGCTCCAACTCCATACTTCCCCTTGGCACTGCCCTAGTAGAGGTTCTCTGTGAGGGCTCTGCCCCTGCATCATGTTTCTGCCAGGGCACCCAGGTTTTCTCATAAATCCTCTGAAATCTAGGCAGAGGCTGCCAAGCCTCATTCATTCTTGCATTCTGTGCACCTGCAGGTTTAACAGCACATGGAAGTCACCAAGCCTTATAGGTTATGTTGTCCAGAGCAGCAGCCTGAGCTCTACCTGGGCCCCTTTGAGCTGAGGCTTGAGCTGTAGTGGTCAGGATTCAGAGAGGAGTGTCTCAAGGCTGTGTAGGGCAGTGGGGTCCTGGGCCTGGCCCATGAAACCATTCAGTCCTCCTAGGTCTCAGGGCCTGTGAGGTTAGGGGCATACTGAGAGATTTCTGAAATGCCATTGAGGCCTTTTTCCCATGTTTTGGCTATTAGCACTTGGCTCTTTTTTACTTATGCAAATCTCTCTAGAAAGTTGTTGCTCAACAGCCTGCTTAAATTCCTGTCCCAAAAAAGTTTTTTCTTTCCTTGCCACATGGCTATGGTGCAAATTTTCCAAGCTTTTACATTCATCTTCCCCTTTAAATATGAGTTCCAACTTATTTCTTTGCTCCTACATCTGAGTATAGGTTGTTAGAAGCAGCCAGGCCATATCTTGAATGCTTTGCTCCTTAGAAATTTCTTCTGTCAGATACCCTAGGTAATCATGCTCAAGTTCAAACTTCCACAGATCTCTAGGGCATGAACCCAATACAGCCACTTTCTTTGCTAAGGCATAACAAGGGTGACCTTTCAATTCCCAATAAGTTCCACTTCCCAATAAGTTCCTCATTTCCATCTGAGACCTTGGCAGCCTGCATTTCACTGTGTATTACTGTCAGCATTTTGGTCATAATCATTTAACCAGTCTCTAAGAAGTTCTAAACTTTCCCTCATCTTCCTATCTTCTTCTGAGCCCTCCAAACTCTTCCAATCTCTGCATGTTACCCAGTTCTAGAGTTGGTTCCACATTTTCAGGTGTCTTTACAGCAATGCCCCACACCTCGTACCAATTTTCTGTATTAGGCCATTCTTGCACTTCTCTAAAGAAATACCTGAGACTGAATTATTTATAAGAAGAGAGATTTAATCGGCTCACGGTTCTACAGGCTATTCAAGAAAGCATAGTGGCATCTGCATCTAGGGAGGCCTCAGGAGTCATCCAATCATGGCAGAAGGCAAATAGGGTGCAGGCACATCACAAGGCAAGAATGGAGCAATAGAGACAGTTGGGGGGTGTTCATATACTAAACAACCAGATCTCTCAAGAATTCACTCATTATCACGTGGATAGCACCAAGGGGATGGTGTTAAATCATTCATAAGAAATCCACCCCCATGAGTCAATCCCTCCCACCGAGCCCCATCTTCAGTACTGGATATTACAATTCAACATGAGATTTGGGCAGGGATAAACATACAAACTCTATCAGTTCTCAAAAGCAAATGCAACAAAAAACAAAAACTGACAAGTGGGATATAATTAACTAAAGAGCTTCCACACAGGAAAAGAAAGTGTCAACAGAGTAAACAGGCACCTAAAAAATGAGAGACAATATTCACAAACTATGCATCTAACAAAGGATTAATATCCAGAATCTATTAGGAACTTTAACAAATCAACAAACATAAAACAAATAACCCTATTAAAAGGTGGGCAAAGGACATCAACGGTTCTCAGAAGAAGACATATAAATGGCCAACAAGCATATGAAAAAATGTTCAACATTACTAATCATCAGAGAAAGGCAAATCAAAACCACAATGGGATACCAACAGCAGAATGACTACTAATAAAGTCAAAAATAATAGATGTTGGCAAGGCTGCAGAGAAAAGGGAACATGTACACAGTTCAGCCCCTGTAGAAAGCAGTTTTGTGATTTCTCAAAGAACTAAAACAGAACTACCATTTGACCCAGGAATCCCATTAGCGAGCATATTCCCAATGGAAAATAAAATGTTCTACCAAAAAGATACCTGCACTTGTATGCTTATCACAGCACTATTCACAATAGCAAAAACAGGAAACCTATGTGCCCATCACTGGTAGAATGGATAAAGAAAAATGTATATATACACCATGGAATACTACACATTCACAAAACAGAACAAAATTATGTCCTTTGCAACAACATGGATGCAGCTGGAGGCCATTATCCTAAGCAAATGAACAGAAACGGTAAACCAAATATCACATGTTCTCTCTTGTAAGTGGGATCTAAACCCTGGGTACACATGGATATAAAGATGGGAACAATAGACACTGAGGTCTCCAAAAGGAGAGATGGAGGGAATGGGGCAAGGGCTGAAAAACTTCCTATTGAATACTACTATGTTTACTATATGGGTGATAGGATCAATAGAAGCCCAAACCTCAGCATCATGCAACATATCCTTGTAACAAACCAGCTCATGTATCCCCTGTATCTAGAATTAGAAATTAAAAGAAAAAGTCTTAAGGGATCAGAGACCCTTTGTGTATTCAAGAATTATGATGGAATATAATACAGCCATAAAAACCAATAAAACTGAATATGAAAAGCTCTATCTCCAAGATACATTATTATATGAAAAAGCAAAGTAAAAAATCGTTATATGTCATGCTGTTACTTGTGTTTAAAAGCGGATGGATTTTTTTACATTCTGGCATATGCATAGGATATCTCTAGAAGACTACGAAAAATGCTGGTAAGAGTGGTTGTTCTAGAGATGAATAAAAGAGAGGCTTACTTTTCGCTACGCATACTTTTCATAATTCTTGAAACCTTTCCTATGTGTATGTATTGTTTATTAAAAATAAATCTAAAATTAAAAATGTAAAATTGGAATAATTAATGTCAGTGAGACACCCAAATTGTTGATAGAATAATCTTGTGCAAGTAGATACTTTTCTTAACAAGTCATACAAATTTTCAATAAGAGAGCTTTCATTAATGTGTGACGACACTGAAAATTGATGTTACAATAAACTTGGCCTTCTTCAATAATTGTGGAACAATAATTCCATCACAAACAAAAGATTAACGGACAAGTGGATGATAACTGAAGAGTCGGAAGTGAGCACACAATCTGAGCACTATGGTTAATGTATAGGCAGTAATTCTCCAGCAGACATCGAAAAAATGACAGGATCTCAAAAGTTGCTTTAAGTATTAATATAATAGAATAAAAAGTTGATTTTTTTAAAAGAATCTGAACTTTCCTACTATATAGCATTTTCCCTTGAAAGTTTCAAATCTCTGCTGAGAATCTATAAGGTAACGTATTATTCACAAAAAGTGGTGGGAAATAAATGAGAAAATACCAGAAATCTCTTTATATAAAGTTATAAGAATGCCAAATGCAAGTATGATCTTTCATTTAATGTATTTTAAATAAGAAACACAGTTTATACTAATCATTTGCCCTTATGAGTCATAAAATGTAAGTTTTTACATGTAATAGGTATGTCATCTAAAAAAATTTTAATTGACTCAAATTCATACCTCTCATTAATAGAAGGTAGAAAGCAGAGTACAACCTCTGTGTAATCCCCTGGAAATCAGACCTGTTATTAGCCATCTTTGGGTATCACCATTTGCTGTTCAATAAAACAGCAGCTGAGAAAGCATTTATCTGGCAATAAAAAGCTTTTTATATATTAAATGTGTCAGCTTTGTGTAGTTAGTCATATCTGCAATTAACTTTTCTTTACAATAAGCTTTGTGGAAAGATGTGGGAGTAAAGGTAACAAAATCAGAACAGGTTGATGTTCTGTGTCATTTTGTAGGCTAGTTTGGCCCCAGGAAGAGAAAGGTGCTGGGTTAACATGAAATTGAACATAGCATCATCTTTAATTTCTGAGACATTTACAAATAAATAACTGGTTTGATATTCACCAGTTCTGCATCCATGGAAATGTGAGCCCTTCACTTTGAAACTTCACTCACAGTGATGAGGCTACATTCAGTTTTCTCACTTCCTGATGAAGCAGATGGATCATTGATATGTCTAACTGCACTCAATAGTATACCCATTTATAGCAGAAATTTTCTTAACATAAAACTAATCTACTTGGCCTAAAATGAGGGCTCTGTCATACTTACCATTATTAGCATCCTGTTGTAACCAAACAACCCATATACCATTTAATCTCTTCTCTCTCTTTTTTTAATTAATTAATTAATTTTTTATTATACTTAAATTCTAGGGTACATGTGCACAACGTGCAGGTTTGTTACATGTGTATACATGTGCCATGTTGCTGTGCTGCACCCATTAACTCATCATTTACTTAGGTATATCTCCTAATGCTATCTCTCCCCCTCCCCCCACCCCATGACAGGCCCCAGTGTGTGATGTTCCCCTTCCTGTGTCCAAGTGTTCTCATTATTCAGTTCCCACCTATGAGTGAGAACACTCAGTGTTTGGTTTTCTGTCCTTGCGATAGTTTGCTAAAAATGATGGTTTCCAGCTACATCCATGTCCCTACAAAGGACATGAACTCATCATCTATTATGGTTGCATAGTATTCCATGGTGTATATGTGCCATATTTTCTTAATCCAGTCTATCATTGTTGGACATTTGGGTTGGTTCCAAGTCTTTGCTATTGTGAATAATGCCGCAATAAACATACGTGTGCATGTGTCTTTATAGCAGCATGATTTATAATCCTTTGGGTATATGCCCAGTAATGAGATGACTGGGTCAAATGATATTTCTAGTTCTAGATCCTTGAGGAATCACCACACTGTCTTCCACAATGGTTGAACTAGTTTACAGTCCCACCAACAGTGTAAAAGTGTTCCTATTTCTCCACATCCTCTCCAGCACCTGTTGTTTCCTGACTTTTTAATGATCGCCATTCTAACTGGTGTGAGATGGTATCTCACTCTGGTTTTGATTTGCATTTCTCTGATGGCCAGTGATGATGAGCATTTTTCCATGTGTCTTTTGGCTGCATAAATGTCTTCTTTTGAGAAGTGTCTGTTCATATCCTTCGCCCACCTGTTGATGGGGTTGTTTGTTTTTTTCTTGTAAATTTGTTTAAGTTCTTTGTAGATTCTGGATAGTAGCCCTTTTTCAGATGAGTAGATTGCAAAAATTTTCTCCCGTTCTGCAGGCTGCCTGTTCACTCTGATGGTAGTTTCTTTTGCTGTGCAGAAGCTCTTTAGTTTAATTAGATCCCATTTGTCAATTTTGGCTTTTGTTACCATTGCTTTTGGTGTTTTAGATGTGAAGTCCTTGCCCATGCCTATGTCCTGAATGGTATTGCCTGGTTTTCTTCTAGGGTTTTTATGGTTTTAGTTTAACATTTAAGTCTTTAATCCATCTTGAATTAATTTTTGTATAAGGTATAAGGAAGGGATCCAGTTTCAGCTTTCTACATATGGCTAGCCAGTTTTCCCAGCACCATTTATTAAATAGGGAATCCTTTCCCCACTGCTTGTTTTTCTCAGGTTTGGCAAAGATCAGATGGTTGTAGATGTGTGGTATTACTTCTGAGGGCTCTGTTCTGTTCCATTTGTCTATATCTCTGTTTTGGTACCAGTACCATGCTGTTTTCATTACTATAGCCTTGTAGTATAGTTTGAAGTCAGGTAGTGTGATGCCTCCAGCTTTGTTCTTTTGGCTTAGGATTGTCTTGGCGATGTGGGCTCTTTTTTGGTTTCATATGAACTTTAAAGTAGCTTTTTCCAATTCTGTGAAGAAAGTCATTGGTAGCTTGATGGGGATGGCATTGAATCTATAAATTACCTTGGGCAGTATGGCAATTTTCACAATGTTGATTCTTCCTATCCATGAGTATGGAATGTTCTTCCATTTGTTTGTGTCCTCTTTTATTTCATTGAGCAGTGGTTTGTAGTTCTCCTTGAAGAGGTCCTTCACATCCCTTGCAAGTTGGATTCCTAGGTATTTTATTCTCTTTGAAGCAACTGTGAATGGGAGTTCACTCATGATTTGGCTCTCTGTTTGTCTGTTATTGGTGTATAAGAATGCTTGTGATTTTTGCACATTGATTTTGTATCCTGAGACTTTGCTGAAGCTGCCTATCAGCTTAAGGAGATTTTGGGCTGAAATGGTGGGGTTTTCTAAATAAACAATCATGTCATCTGCAAACAGGGACAATTTGACTTCCTCTTTTCCTAACTGAATACCCTTTATTTCTTTCTCCCGCCTGATTGCCCTGGCCAGAACTTCCAACACTATGTTGAATAGGAGGGGTGAGAGAGGGCATCCCTGTCTTGTGCCCGTTTTCAAAGGGAATGCTTCCAGTTTTTACCCATTCAGTATGATATTGGCTGTGGGTTTTTCATAAATAGCTCTTATTATTTTGAGATATGTCCCATCAGTACCTAATTTATTGAGAGTTTTTAGCATGAAGGGCTGTTGAATTTTGTCAAAGGCCTTTTCTGCATCTATTGAGATAATCATGTGGTTTTTGTCTTTGGTTCTGTTTACATGCTGGATTACGTTTATTGATTTTCGTATGTTGAATCAGACTTGCATCCCAGGGATGAAGCCTACTCATTCATGGTGGATAAGCCTTTTGATGTGCTGCTGGATTCGGTTTGCCAGGATTTTATTGAGGATTTTTGCATCAATGTTCATCAGGGATATTGGTCTAAAATTCTCTTTTTTGTGTGTGTCTCTGTCAGGCTTTGGTATCAGGATGATGCTGGCTTCATAAAATGAGTTAGGGAGGATTCCCTCTTTTTCTATTGATTGGAATAGTTTCAGATGGAATGGTACCAGCTCCTCCTTGTACGTCTGCTAGAATTCGGCTGTGAATCCATCTGATCCTGGACTTTTTTTGATTGGTAGGCTATTAATTATTGCCTCAATTTCAGAGCCTGTTATTTGTCTTTTCAGAGATTCAACTTCTTCCTGGTTTAGTCTTGGGAGGGTGTATGTGTCCACGAATATCTCCATTTCTTCTAGACTTTCTAGTTTATTTGCATAGAGGTGTTTATAGTATTCTCTGATGGTAGTTTGTATTTCTGTGGGATTGGTGGTGATATCCCCTTTATCATTTTTAATGCGTCTATTTGATTCTTCTCTCTTTTCTTCTTTATTAATCTTGCTAGCGGTCTATCAATTTTGTTGATCTTTTCAAAAAACCAGCTCCTGGATTCATTGATTTTTTTGTGTCTCTATCTCCTTTAGTTCGGCTCTGATCTTAGTTGTTTCTTGCCTTCTGCTACCTTTTGAATGTGTTTGCTCTTGTTTCTCTAGTTCTTTTAATTGTGATGTTAGGGTGTCAGTTTTAGATCTTTCCTGCTTTCTCTTGTGGGCATTTAGTACTATAAATTTCCCTCTACACACTGCTTTAAATGTGTCTCAGAGATTCTGGTATGTTGTGTCTTTGTTCCCATTGATTTCAAAGAACATCTTTATTTCTGCCTTCATTTTGTTATGTACCCAGTAGTCATTCAGAGGCAGGTTGTTCAGTTTCCATGTAGTTGAGCAGTTTTGAGTGAGTTTCTTAATCCTGAGTTCTAGTTTGATTGCACTGTGGTCTGAGAGACAGTTTGTTATAATTTCTGTTCTTTTACATTTGCTGAGGAGTGCTTTACTTCCAACTATGTGGTCAATTTTGGAATAAGTGTGATGTGGTGCTGAAAAGAATGTATATTCTGTTGATTTGGGGTGGAGAGTTCTGTAGATGTCTATCAGGTCCTCTTGGTGCAGAGCTGAGTTCAATTCCTGGATATCCTTGTTAACTTTCTGTCTTGTTGATCTGTCTAATGTTGACAGTGGGGTGTTAAAGTCTCCCATTATTATTGTGTGGGAGTCTAAGTCTCTTTGTAGGTCCCTAGGGACTTGTTTTGTGCATCTGGGTGCTCCTGTATTGGGTGCATATATGTTTAGGATAGTTAGCTCTTCTTGTTGAATTGATCCCTTTACCATTATGTAATGGCCTTCTTTGTCTCTTTTGATCTTTGTTGGTTTAAAGTCTCTTTTATCAGAGACTAGGATTGCAACTCCTGCCTTTTTTTGTTTTCCATTTGCTTGGTAGATCTTCCTCCATCCCTTTATTTTGAGCCTATCTTTGTCTCTGCATATGAGATGGGCCTCCTGAATACAGCACACTGATAGGTCTTGACTCTTTATCCAATTTGCCAGTCTGTGTCTTTTAATTGGACATTTAGCCCATTTCCATTTAAGGTTAATATTGTTATGTGTGAATTTGAACCTGTCATTATGATGTTAGCTGGTTATTTTGCTCATTAGTTGATGCAGTTTCTTCCTAGCATTGATGGTCTTTACAATTTGTCATGTTTTTGCAGTGGCTGGTACTGGTTGTTCCTTTCCATGCTTAGTGCTTCCTTCATGAGCTCTTTTAGGGCAGACCTGGTGGTGGTGATATCTCTCAGCATTTGCTTGTCTGTAAAGGATTTTATTTCTCCTTCACTTATGAAGCTTAGTTTGGTTGGCCATGAAATTGTGGGTTGAAAATTCTTTTCTTTAAGAATGTTGAATATTGGCCCCCACTCTCCTCTGGCTTGTAGAGTTTCTGCTGAGAGATCTGCTGTTAGTCTGATGGGCTTCCCTTTGTGGGTAACCCAACCTTTCTCTCTGGCTGCCTTTAACATTTTTTCCTTCACTTCAACTTTGGTGAATCTGACAATTATGTGTCTTGGAGTTGCTCTTCTCGAGGAGTATCTTTGTGGCATTCTCTGTATTTCCTGAATTTGAATGTTGGCCTGCCTTGCTAGGTTGGGGAAGTTCTCCTGGATAATATCCTGCGGAGTGTTTTCCAACTTGGTCCCATTCTTCCCGTCACTTTCAGGTACACCAATGAGACGTAGATTTGGTCTTTTCACATAGTCCCATATTTCTTGGAGGCTTTGTTCATTTCTTTTTACTCTTTTTTCTCTAAACTTCTCACTTCATTTCATTCATTTGGTCTTCAATCACTTATACCCTTTCTTCCAGTTGATCAAATCGGCTACTGAAGCTTGTGTATTCGTCATGTAGTTCTTGTGCCATGGTTTTCAGCTCCTTCAGGTCATTTAAGGACTTCTCTCCATTGGTTATTCTAGTTAGGCATTCGTCTAACCTTTTTTCAAGGTTTTTAGCTTCTTTGCGATGGGTTTGAACTTCCTCCTTTAGCTCAGAGAAGCTTGATAGTATGAAGCCTTCTTCTCTCAACTTGTCAAAGTCATTCTCCATACAGCTATGTTCCATTGCTGGCGAGGAGCTGCGTTCCTTTGGAGGGGGAGAGGCGCTCTGATTTTTAGAATTTTCAGCTTTTCTGCTCTGTTTTTTCCCCATCTTTGTGGTTTTATCTACCTTTGGTCTTTGATGATGGTGATGTACAGATCGGGTTTCACTCTATCGCCCAGGCTGGAGTGCAGTGGCGTGATCTCGGCTTACCGCAACCTCCGCCTCCCAGGTTCAAGCGATTCTCCTGCCTCAGCCTCCTGAGTAGCTGGGATTACAGGCAAGTGCCACCATGCCTGGTTAATTTTTGTATTTTCAGTAGAGATGGGGTTTCACCATGTTGGTCAGGCTGGTCTCGAACTCCTGACCATGTTATCTCCCTGCCTCAGCCTCACAAAATGCTGGGATTACAGGTGTAAGCCACTGCGCCTGGCCTACCTTTGAATATTTTACTGCATTCTATGAACTAGTAAGTCGGGACGCTCATGGTTTACTCAATTAATGATATACATTTTACTTTCAGGAAGGATTTTTTGTCAGTCTGCTACTTTTTTATTGATACATAATCATTGTACATATTTATGGGGAACATGTGATTTTTGATACATGAATAATGTGTAATGATCAAATGAGGGTAATTGACGTATCCATCACCTTAAACATTTATCATTTATTTGTGCTGAAAATATTCTAAATCTTCTATTTTGAAATATAAATTATTGATAACTAAAATCACCCTACTATGCTTTTGAACACTAGAAACTTTCCTTCTAACAGTATTTTTGTATCCATTAACCAAACCCCTCTCAGCCTCTAATAACCACCATTCTACTATCTACCTCCATGAGATCAACTTTCATTTTAGATTCCAGAAAAGTTTTGTTCTTTATGCTAAAAAAAAAAAAAAAAAAAGTGTGAACATGTGATATTTGTCTTTCTGTGCCTGGCTAATTACAAATAACATGATGCATCCAGGCTCATCCATGTTGTTGCAAATGATAGAATTTCATTTTTTTGTATGGCTCAATGGTAATCTACTTTATACGTATACCACATGTTCTTTATCCATTCACCCACTGATAGACACTTAGGTAAATTCCATATTTTGGCTAACATGAACACTGCTATGATAATCATGGGAATGCAGATATCTCTTCAAAATACTAATTTCCTTTCTTTTGGATATATACCCAGTAGCAGGTTTGCTGGATCATATGGTTGTTCTAGTTTTAGTTTTTTGAGGAACCACCATACGATTTTCCATAGTGGCTGTACTAATTTACATTCCTACCAACATTGCACAGGCATTCCCCTTTCTCCACATCCTTGCCAACATCTATTTCTTGTCTTTATGATAATAGCCACTTTAACTAGAGTGAGATATCTCACTATGGTTTTCATGTCCCTGATGATTAATGATGTGTTGAGCATTTCTTTTTCATATACCAGTTGCACATTTGTCTGTCCCGTTTTGTGAAATGTCTATTTAGATCAATTGCCCATTTTTAAATTGGACTATTTGATTTTTCCTGCTTTTGAGTTGTTTGCCTTCCCTATATATTCTGCTTATTAATCCCTTGTTGGAAGAGTAGTTTTCAAGCATTTTCTTCCATTTGTAGATTGTCTCTTCACTGTTTTGATTGTTTCCTTTGCTGTGCAGAAGCATCTTAGCTTAATGTGATCCTGTTTTTCTACTTTTGCTTTTGTAGCCTTTGCTTTTGAGGTCTTACCCCAAAAAATCATTGCCCAGAGCAATGTGCTAAGTGTTTCCCCTATGTTTTCTTCTAATAATAGTTTCATAGTTCTGAGTCTTACATTTAGGACTTCAATCCATTTTGATTTGATTTTTGTATATGGTGAGAGATAGGGATCTAGTTTTATTCTTCTGCATATGGATATCCAGTTTTCCCAGCACCATTTATTGAAGAAACTGTCCTTTCCCAAGTGTATGTTCTTGGTGTCTTTGTTTAAAATGAATTGGCTGTAAACACATGGAGTTATTTCTGGGCTCTCTATTTTATTCCATTGGTCTGTGTGTCTGTTTTTATGCCAGTACCATGCTGTTTTGATTACTATATCTTTGTAGTATATTTTGAAGTCAGGTAGTCTGATGCTTCTAGCTTTGTTCATTTTGCTCAAGATTGCTTTAACTATTCAGCTATTTTGTGGTTCCAAACACATTTTGAAATTGTTTTCTCTATTTTTGTGAAAAATGTCATTAGTATTTGGATAGGAATTGCATTGAAACTGTAGATAGATTACTTTGGGTAGTATGGATGTTTTAACAATATTAATTATTCCAATCCATGAAGCTGAGATATCTTTTCATTTTTGTTGTGTCTTCTTTGATTTCTTTCATCAGTGTTTTATAGTTTTCAATGTAGAAATCTTTCACTTCTTTGGTTAAGTTTATTCTTAGTTATTTTATTTTTTGTAGCTATTATAAATGGGATTGCTTTCTTGATTTCCTTTTCGGATTGTTCACTGTTGGCAGATAGAAATACTACTGATTTTTGTATGTTGATTTTCTATTCTGCATCTTTACTGATTCAAGTATCAGTTTCTAAGCGTTTATTGGTAGAGATTTTAGGTTCTTCTAAATATAAGATCGTGTCATCTGCAAATAAGGATAATCTGACTTTTTCCTTTCCAATTTGGATTCCCTTTCTTTCTCTGGCTAAGACTTCCAAAATGATGTTCAATAAAAGTGGTAAAAGTATGCATCTTTGTCTTGTTCTATGTCTTAGGGGAAAGGCTTTCAAATTTTCCCTCAGTATGATGTTAGCTGTGGGTTTGTCATATATGACCTTTATTATCTTGAGCCATGTTTCTTCTATAGTCAGTTTGTTGAGAGTTTTTATCATGAAGGGATATTGAATTCTTCAAATGCTTTTTTTGTTTCTATTGAGATGATCATATGATTTTTGTCTTTTATTTTGTTGATGCTGTGGTTCCCTATGCTTTGGGGGCAGCCTCCTTGATGTGCTCAACCACCTGTTTCTCAGGGTGTAGGATGTAGCAGGGGCTCAGATGCCAAGGACACAGCTGTACTACTGGGTCCAGACAGCGTCATGATGCTGCAACCCTCTGGGTGGATATGGGGGGATCTTGGTGGGGTCCCAAGGATGGGGAGGTACAGGGACTATTGGGCCCCAGGGCAGGATGAAGTCTAGTGTTGGCTATTCTTTCATAATGGCACCATCTTGCAGCAGCTTAGGGACCAGAGGTGGTACTCTTCACACGTACTCTGTCTGGAGCAATGTGCAGTCACATGGACTCCAGGCAGCTCTCTATACTAGGCTCAGGGCTTGGAAGAACTGAGGGGTTTCACAAAAATTTTATTCATCTCTAATAAATTGTTAACCATGTTGTGAGATTTTTTTTTATAAGACTTGAAATTTAGGTCAAGAAAACCCAAGGGATTTACGTGACTCATTAACAAATGGTTAGAATAAAAATAAACTTCTTCTGAAAGATAACAAAAAAATACACCATTTTTTTTCCATCACAGTGGTTTCAAAACAGGAAAGAAACTATTGGAAATTATTCCCTTTGACAAAACGTAAAGATTGAGAGGGGGAGAAACAGAATTATGGAAAGATGTTCTTTTAAAGTTGAAATTATAAAGGATTCACAATTAGAGAGCTATATTAGTCATATATCTAGACCACATGTCTGAGACAAGAAATTCTGTGAAAAAAGTGCTTGAGCTAATCTAAAATCTATAGGTGGACCTGTTACTTTAACTATCATGTATGAAACTGAATCCTTTGAGCTCAAGTTGCCTTTGAAGCCCTGCACAGATGTACATTAGTAGTAAAGGAATTGCTTTTTCCTACCCACTCCTATGTAATGTGACAATTTCCAGACATCTTTATACAAAGAAGGCTTGTTTGAGGAGAAACAAAGATATGTACAAAGGACAAACATTTTTTCTCAAATCACTAGCCATCCTGTCTGCTGTTCTTTCATCCTTGACTGAATAGATGTCATCTATTTTCTACCAGACATAAGACGAGTTGATTAAGATAATATAAAGGGTGTTAATAACGTCCTTCTCTTTTCTGTGCTGCATAAAGAAGGTACATTTACCCAGAGCAGATACTAGCATACTTAGAGATGCTAAGCATATATACCCCCAAGTAGAGAACAATAAGTAATAGTATTTGATCAGCCCCCTCTCCCTCAATGCATGAGAAAGTAGTTACAGGTAATTAGAATGGTAAGTGATCCATGTGGTCCAGGCTTTGAGTCATGGAAACACTAGAATGTGAGATGGCTTAGAAAGCATGAGAACATTAAGAGAGGTAGGAAAAAGTGCTTCACCTCAAAGCAACAGTTTAAAAGATTGCATATGGGCAAGAGTAAGCAAGGTATATTCAGAGAACAATGATGAGGCCAATGATTGTATTGGATTGGTTGGGGGGGATGAGTATTAATTTGGAAGAGCAACCAATACAAAACATAGAATCTAGATTTATTTCTTGTTGACATTAAACACCCCCATTGGAAGATCATGAACAAAGGAAAATAAATTATGCATAGGTATAAAGCTTAGCTACATAGAAATTCCCTGAAAATTTAAATTTGTTACAAAAGCACTTCACTTAACCAAAGGTCATATCCTCATCTAGACATGGCTGAGAAAACCAGAAGTAAGCAAAAAGCAGCCTTGAGTATTCAGTGGGGAAAAAAAATCACAAAACCACACACTAAGGTCACCCAACTAACCATTAGAAAACTCTCAGACTTTCACTTAAAGCTTATTTACTCTAGTTTTAGGGAAAATCTAATTTCCCTCTTCACTGCAGATTAGAAGCAAGAAATTAAAATGGGTAGCTTCTAGACACAGGCATCTGACAGTTGTAATATGTGATAGCTGACAGAATGACAATAAAAAAGGAGGCAGAAAAAGTATTCAATGCAGCCTTAAATTGGGAGATGTGGGTAACTATTTACTTGAAACTGAGATCAATTATCTCAGTAAAAAAATCTTCATTACATTATTATAATGCACCATTTTCACTCTCTAATAACTTTGTTCCTGTAACAGAAATTCATATTGTACTATACTATCTAAAGGAGATAGCTTAAAAATATGCCAAAAAGGGCAACCTTTCTCTGATTTTCTCACCAATTTCAAATGTTACATCCTTTTTCTTATAATAGTTCCCCATTATAACATGTGGTTTTACTTACACTAGACATGTTTAATATTTGCTTCAAGAGAGCTGAATGAAGGCTATTGTACAGCTACAATGTCTTCCTTGTAATGTTATAATCACATATTTGCAGGGAAATAAAAAATTCTAAATAAAAATGTTTAAAGGCATATGTAGTTTAAGAAAACATCTCTTTGTTTCTTCCCTCCCTCCCTCCCGCCCTCCCTCCTTCCTTCCTTTCTTTCTTTCTTTCTTTCTTTCTTTCTTTCTTTCTTTCTTTCTTTCTTTCTTTCCTTCTTTCTTTCTTTTTTTCTTTCTTTCTTTCATTCATTCACCAGGCACATTTCTTGCCAACACAATTCTCTTCTCATTGATTTCGCAGCATACAAACTGGTCTAAGTGAACATATAAAAATAGAAATTGCTTCAAGGCTGAATATAATCCTGATATAGCAGTCATACTTTGTTGTTTTTCTATATTAACTACTAACCCACAAAAAACTGACAACCTTCTAAGGTCTAGTATAGAATCTTGCATTTGTACCTTAGGCTGCCAGATCCATGTCCAAATGTGGCTGGAGAAACAGATGGGGATGGTGTCATGGTGTGAGAATCCTGGGTTCCTCTCTGGGGCAATGTCGTGATGTCTAAAATTAATGAGAAATAATATAATCAATGCATTTTGAGTACTTATTATGCCCAGACATTGTTCTAAGCTCGTTCCCCAAATCAACCTGTTTAATTTTTTTTAAAGCCCTATTAGGCAGGACTATTATTATTCCTACTTTAAATATGAGGCAACCATGGCTGAAATGTTAAGTAACTTGGCCACAATCACAAAGCTAGAAAGCAGAGCCTAAATTCAAAAGTATGTCCATCACATGAGAGCAATTTCATACCTCACCTGGGATTTCCCCATCTATTTATTAATTATGGTACCTGTCAACCAACTAGTAAGATTTGCTTTAAGACTAGAGCCGACATCATGATGTAGCATGAGCATTTCCCCTAATCAGCACTCTCCACTACTCCAGTTTTATGAAAAGGTTAAAGGACAGAAATGTAGAACTCCAAAATACAGCACCAGCAATCTGCATTTCACTTTCTGATCTTCAGGGATATGCCAGCAATTGATTTCATGGCCCACTCTTCATTATTAACAGAGGTATTCAATATGACTATTTACTATACTATATTTCAATGTGACTATTTACCTATACATGGG
Organism: Homo sapiens; assembly: GCF_000001405.40. Classification (NCBI taxonomy): domain Eukaryota; kingdom Metazoa; phylum Chordata; class Mammalia; order Primates; family Hominidae; genus Homo; species Homo sapiens. The sequence goes on along the minus strand of NC_000005.10, from coordinate 108,485,189 downwards.
AAGGCATGTATAGGTACATAACTGCCCTTGAGATTTAGTTTGTGGTCATGCCTACTGAATTATTCAAGATTCTTTTGGTTGCAAAGGATATAACCCTATCCAATTAACTTAAACTAATCTAAAAAGTGAGGGGTTTATTGCTGGCCTCAAGTGAAGCTAGATCTAGGTGCTCAAACAATGTAGTTTGTATGTTCTTCACTTCCCAGCTTGGCTTTCCGCCATGTTGCCTTCATTCTTAGGCTAACCTCAAGTGGTGTCAAAATGTCTACCAGCAAGTCTAGGCTTAGCTACCACAAAAAACAAAAGACAGTTTTCTTTCCCAGTGGTTCCAGCAGAAAGTCTTAAAGTTATGTTCATGGCTGTAACTGCCCTGCTTAGGTCACAGGCCTACTCTTTAACTAGTCTTTATACTCAAGGCATACATTATACTCAACTGTCATGTACCAGTCACTGGCTCCAGAGCGTGGTTTAGCCCCAGTAGTATCATGGGCCTCAACTGAATCAGCGGAGGAGGGTCAATCCCCAAAGGAGTTGATTTTACCTCGATGTAAGGAAACAGATGCTAAGCAGGGGTAAACCACAGATGACCATTATATCCATTTTGGCATGCCAGAAGAAGAAGTTGCCACCTTGTCATGTGACTTTGAGGAGATTTGGGGAATCTCCATCACCATGACTTCCCTATGGTGAACTAATCTGTGGTGCGTCAAGGCAAGAGTAAGCCAAAGAATACTAACAAGGTCTCACTGAATCATATCAGTGCAGATTGTATAGACACAATAATAGCAGCAGAAAACTTAGAGGCTATGGCAATAAGAGATGATGTGGCTATTTGGGCAAAGACAACCTTTAACACAGAGGGTAGAGATATTGCTGCCAAACAACTTTGTCACACAACAATCCACAGACCGAATTCACATGGATAATGCTTATTGTGAAAGTAACTGCAAGTCACGCATGCATCAGCCTTTGTAGCCTTGCAAATACTCAGAAAGCAATACTGTCATCAGTAGTATCTTTAAATGCAAAGAATGCTGCATGAAGATAAGACATGAAAGAGCTCCAGCAGTCTCCTGCACACGTTGTTCTTATTTGATTCAATTTCTCATGCTGCATAGGTTTTCATTCATTGAAATTTGCAGTCACTCAGTTCAGACAGTTCTCTACTTATAAACACATTGTGTTAAGATACTTCATTTGTAAGTCAGTGCTTTTAAAATTGGAGCTCATTTTTACATTGAAAATTTATTATAAATTATAACTGGATTCTCAGACTAACCTATGAGTATTAATCAAGTAATTTGAATGTGCTTAGTACAATGCCTATCACATTGTAAACTCTTAATAGATTAAAGCTATTATTAGTTATATGATAAGCATGAACAAAATCATCAAAATAATTTTTTAAAATAAAAAATACAAATTAAGGTAATAGCACTTAGAAAAATGACAGATAGGAACACTCAGTAAGGTAATATGAAAAATTAAGTCCTCAATTCCACTTTGAAGAAGGTATTTAATATATTTCAGCTTAAAGATTGTTTATTGTTACTAAAGAAGAATTTACAAAATTATTCTACTATCTTTTAGAATATAATATTACTTAAATTATTATGTTTTAATTTTGGGATTCTATGTAGTTACAAAACTGAAATATTGCGAGTATAACTAGATCCATACAGATGGGAATAGTATTTAATAAATTGCTTTTTATTTACAAGAAATTTTCAGAACTTCTTTTTCCACATACTTATATCTGGATGCAATTCCACTTATAAATTGAGGACACAGTATACTGCTGTTACCATAAAAAGAACTGTAATGGGGACACAGCCATAATTGAATTTACATGTTAATTATTTACACTCTTCTCTGTGCAGCCTGAATATTCTATGCTTCAGAATTGTTTTGCAGGCAAAATATTATCCATGATTAGCAAGGCAAACAACTCTTTTGATACAGGTGACAAGTTCTTTTTGGTAACTTACTTCTCAGTAAAATATACTTTATTTAAGAATTAGTTCCACAAATCTATATAGAATAATCTGATGCTGATTTCAATGTGTTTTCAATTACATAAATGCTAAAGATATGTAATCTCTAACATTTATCTCGCCACTTTTGTTTCAGTGACAACTTTGGGGAGACTTTTAAAAATTAAGTGTCTGTTTAAGAAATAAAAGTATAGGATCATGGGTATCTGAGAAATTTAATGAGCTAGCATCAATAAGACCACTTAATCAGGGCTGGGCTGCTATTTTCCAAGTATCTGCCATACAGCATGTCAAAAGAGATGGTATAGACACATTAGGACTGAACTTTGCTTCATTCTTTCATTCATTCAACAACTTATTGAGTACCTACTCAATAAGTATCAGGCATTTTATTGAGTATTATTGAGTATCAGGCATTTTTTTTTTTTAGTTCTGGGGAGGTAAGAATAAACAATATGAATTCCAGTCCTCCATGGAATTTATGTACTTCTTGACAAAGACACACAATCAATTATTAGATACTTCTATTCTTCTGAGGGAGAAAAAAGCAGGGTGAGGATAAGGTTGGGAGAGGGGGCAGTGATCAGGGAAGGCCTCTCCAAAGAAGTGACACCTGAGAAGAGACTTTAATGAGGACACAAACTATGCAAAAATCAGAGAGACAATAGAGACGTGCAAAGGTCCCAGGTGGGACATGCTCATTGTGTTAAAAAAACATCAAGACCATGGTGGCTAGAACCAAGTAAGCAGAGAAGAGGGAGTATGGTAGAAGATGAGGTCAGGGAAGTGGAGAGGGCCAGATCCTATAGGGCCTTGCAGATCGTTTTATGGAGGTTGGGTTTACTTTAGTGGTGATGAGAAGGCATAGGCTGGGAATAGGAGAGTGACATGATATGCACTTTGGAGAAGAGGCTCTACAGAGGCAAGAAGTAGGACATTTCAGCAATTTAGGCAAGGGCCAATGTTATTACAATTTATTTATTTATTTATTTTTTTGAGATGGAGTCTTGCTCTGCTGCCCAGGCTGGAGTGCAGTGGTGTGATCTCAGCTCACTGCAACCTCTGCCTCGTGGGTTCAAGTGATTCTCCTGCCTCAGCCTCCCAGGTAGCTGGGACTACAGGTGCGTGCCACCACACCTGGCTACTTTTTGTATTTTCAGTAGAGAAGAGGTTTCACCATGTTGGTCAGGATGGTCTCAAACTCCTGACCTTGTGATCCGCCCACCTTAGCCCCCAAAGTGCTGGGATTATAGGCGTGAGCCACTGCGCCCGGCCATGTTATTGCAATTTTGTAACATTGACTCTTTACTACCTAATTTTCAGGATGAAAAACAAAAATTGTTTTTGTGCAAATGGTATGTCAGGAAGACAAAAATCAGCTGTTTAATTTTTGTGGGGTGGTACAAAGGCAGCTGGAATAAAATGCCTGTTTTTATATTGACTGTAGGGAAAGTGCTTACCTCAACTGCCAATTTACGGAGGATCTCTGTGGATGGTAAATCAGAGAAGAGTGTGAAAGGTAAGAATATCTTGAAACACATCTACCACCTTGTCTCCCGTCCCCTCCGCCTGTTGACAGCCTGACTCAGGTGCCGTTATGAATTAAAAAGCAGGAGATGAACTGCAAGCACTGAACATCTTCCAAAGTAAAATGCTGCCATCTGGAGGCTTCTAGAGTACAAAAATGAGGAAAAAAAAAATCTACCCCCACAAACACTCTGTTTCTGTTTGATGTTTCTATACGCAAAGGATTTTGTTTGGAAAAAAATTTAAAAGGTCATTAATTCGAAAGAAACAAGAATGAAATTGCCCAGTCTCACTCCCTTGCTTTGCCTGGCCCAATCTATTAAGTGGAACCTGTTTATGTTGGTTTTGAAACCTATTTAGTAGGCTGTAAATTTACTGTAGGTTGAAAGTTTGTATTCATTTCTTTTCCCTCTATAGCAAATAAGACTAGGCCTGGTCCCTCTGCAAATGGTCTATCTTCTCCATTTCTTCCATGATTACTGATCTATTCAGGTTTTCTATTTATTCCATTTTGATAATTTATATTTTTCTAGGAAAGCATCCATTTCTTCCAGATTTTTTAATATATTGTCATAGAGTTGCAAATAATATACTTCTATAAAATTTTTATTCTCTTATCTACCCACAGTTCCATATAATTTTTATCTTTAATATTATATCCTTTTACTTTCCTCTTTTATTGTAGGATTATGAGCAGGAGAATGACATATTTGGACTATGTCCCAGAGAGACAACACTGATGATAATGAATATAATCGGCTGAAAGAGAACACCAGAACACTGTTTAGAAGGCAACTATAACATCTCAAATTAGTGACGACTGACATCTGAACCATGGAGAAGATTTTCTAAAATAAAACTAGTAGGAATTTGTGACTACTGATGTGTTTATAAGACAAATATAAAAGGTTAGCATGATGCTACAGTTTCTTACCTAGGACGATTGGATAATCATAACCAAAGGGGAGAGAAAAATAATTTTTTGAGGGGACATTTGACTTTGAGGTGTTAGAAGGATAATCATATGTAAATGTCCCATCAGTCTGGAGTTAGAAATACAAGTCAAAGCTAGAAGTGGCAGATAAAGTTGTGAGATCGGTTGGAAAAAAAATGTAGAGCAAAAAAAAAATTTGTATTAAGATGTCAATAACTGAAATGTTTTTGTAAAGTCTTAGATTTTGGGGCAGCTGAACAAAATCTGGGTGCATATTACAGAAGCCAAAGGAGAAGAAAATTTTAAGAAGGAGAAGGTTTAGGAAAATCATAGCACAAAACAAGTAATACATTAAAATGATGATGATTTATGCAACAGAAAGAATAATTTTTATATGAAACAAAGTAACATAAATTGGAAAAATATTTCCAATACATCTGACAGTCATAGAACTAATTTCCTCAATATATGAGCATTTAAAAGTCAATAAAACCCTAAAGGAAAATTTGATAAACTTCATTTTATCAAAAATTAAAACTTTTGCTCTGTGAAAGCCCTGTTAAGAAGATGAAAGAACAGTGTTCAGACTAGAGAAAACAGTTGCAAACCACATACCCAACAAGGAATTTTATCTAGAATATAAAGAACTCTCAAATCACAAAAGCAAAATAAACAAATGATCCAATTAGAAAATGGGCAAAAGATATGAAGAGACATTTTACCAAGAATGAAATAGGAATAACAAATAAGCACATGAAAACAAGTTCAACAACATTAGCTATTAGGAAAATGCAAATTAAAACCACAATGATAGATCATTACACATCTATCAGAATGGCTAAAATAAAAAAAGGTGATAATACCAAATACTGGGTAAGATGAGGAGAAACTTTATCACTCATACACTACTGGTAGAATGTAAAATGGTACAACCACTCTGGAAAATAACTTAGCAGTTTCTCTTAAAAGTAAACATGCATTTGCCATATGACCCAGCTGTCACACTCTTTGGCATTCATCTGACATGAAAATTTATGTTCACACAAAAACCTGTTCATGAATGTTCACAGCAGTTTTATTTGCAGCTGCCGAGATTGAAAACAACCCAATATCCTTCAATGGGTGAATAGTTAAACTCTGATACATTCATACAATGGAATACCACTCAGCAATAAAAAGAATAAACTTGTATAATAAACAACCTGGATAGATCTCCAGGCTATTTTGCTTAGTGAAAATGCCAACCTCAAATGGTTAAATACTGTAAGGTTAAATTTATATACCATTCTCCAAATGATACAACTATAGAGATAGAGAAAAGATCAGTGGATGCTAGCTGACAGGGATGGGATGGATACTAATATAAAGTAGCATGAGTCTCCAATGTCCATTATCCCACTCTTTATGCCTTTGCATACCCATAGCTTAGCTCCCACTTATAAGAAATACTGTATTTAGTTTTCTATCCCCGAGTTACTTCACTTAGAATAATGGCCTCTAGCTCCATCCAAACTGTTGCAAAGGACATTATTTCATTCTTTTTTATGGTTAAGTAGTATTCCATGGTTTATATATACCACATTTTCTTTATCCACTCATCAGTTGATGGGCACTTAGGCTGGTTCCATATTATTACAACTATGAATTGTGCTGTGACAAACAGACACAGGCATGTGTCTTTTTAATATAGCAACTTCTTTCTCTGTGGGTAGATACCCAACAGTGGGATTGATGGATTAAATGGTAGATCTACTTTTAGTTCTTTGAAAAATCTCCACACTGTTTACCATAGAGATTGTACTAATTTACATTTCCATCAGCAGTGTATAAGTATTCCCTTTTCACCACATCCATACCAATATCTGTTGTTTTTTGATTTTTTAATAATGGTCATTCTGGCTGGGGTAAGGAGGCATCTCATTGTGGCTTTAATTTGCATTTCCTTGGTGATATGTGATGTTGAGTATTTTCCTTCACATGTTTATTGGCCATTTGGATGTCTTCTTTTGAGAAATGTCTATTCATGTCATTTACTCACATTTTGATGAATTATTTGTGTTTTTCCTTGCTGATTTGTTTGAGTTCCTTATAGATTCTGGATGTTAGTCCTTTGTTGAAAGCATACTTTGCAAATATTTTGTCCCATTCTGTGGGGTGTGTGTTTACTCTGATGATTATTTCTTTTGTTGTGCAGAAGGTTTTTTCATTTAATTAGGTCCCATTTATTGATTTTTATTTTTATTGCATTTGCTTTTGGGATATTAGTTATAATTTCTTTGCCTAGGCCAATATCCAGAAGAGTTTTTCCTAGGTTTTCTTCTAGAATTTTTATGGTTTCAGGTCTTAAGATTTAAATCTTAATCCATTTTGAATTAATTTTTGGTATGGTGAGAGACAGCAATCCAGTTTCATTCTTCTACATGTCGCTATCCAGTTTTCCCAGCACCATTTACTGAATAGGGTGTCCTTTCCCCAACTTATGTTTCTGTATGCTTTGTCAAAGATCAATTGGTTTTAAGTATTTGGCTTTCTTTCTAGGTTCTCTATTCTGTTCTGATCTATGTAACTATTTTTATTTTTATTTATTTACTTATTTATATTTATTTTTTTGAGACGGAGTCTCGCTCTGTCACCAGGCTGGAGTGCTGTGGCGTGATCTTGGCTCACTGCAACCTCTGACTCCCTGGTTCAAGGGATTCTCCTGCCTCAGCTTCCTGAGTAGCTGGTATTACAGAGCTGGGATTATTGGCACATGCCACCATGCCCAGCTAATTTTTGTATTTTAGTAGAGATGGAGTTTCACTATGTTAGTCAGGATGGTCTCGATCTCCTGACCTCATGATCCGCCCACCTCGGCCTCCCAAAGTGCTGGGATTACAGGTGTGAGCCACTGCACCCGGCCCTATGTAACTACTTTTATACCAGTATCATGCTGTTTTGGTTACTATAGCCTTATAGTATGAAGTCAGGTAATGTGATGCCTCCAGATTTGTCCTTTTTGCTTAAGATGACTTTGGATATTCAGGCTCTTTTGTGTTTCTATATGAATTTTAGGATTTTTTTCTAATTGTTTGAAAAATGATGTTGGTATTTTGATACGAATTGCATTGAATCTGTAGATTGCTTTGGGCAGTATGATCATTTTCATGAAATTGATTCTTTCAATCCATGAGCACACGATGTATTTCCATTTGTTTGTATCATCTATGATTTCTTTCAGTAGCGTTTTGTACTTCTCCTTGTAGAGATCTTTCATCTCCTTGTTTAATTATGTTCCTAGGTATTTTGTTTTTTTATTGCTGTTGTAAAAGGGATTGAGTTCTTTATTTGATTCTCAGCTTGGTTGTTGGTGGTGTATAGCAGTACTGCTAATTTGTGTGCATTGATTTTGTAACTTAAGACTTTAATGAATTCATTTATCAAATATAGCAGCCTTTTGGAGGAGACTTTAGGGTTTTCTAGGTATACGATCATAACATTGGCAAACAGAGATGGTTTGACTTCTCGTTTTCCAATTTGGATGCCCTTTATTTCTTTCTCTTGCCTAACTGCTCTGGCTAGGACTTCCAGATTATGTTGAATACAAGTGGTGAAAGTGGGCATCATTGTGTTGTTCCAGTTCTTAGAGGGGATGCTTTTAGCTTTTCCCTATTCAGTATGATGTTGGCTGTGAGTTTGTCATAGATGGCTTTCATTATTTTGAGGTATATTCCTTCTATACCTAGTTTGTTGAGGGTTTTTATCATAAAGTAATGCTGAATTTCACTGAATGTTTTTCTCCATCTGTTGAGATGATCATGTGGGTTTTGTTTTTAATTCTGTTTATGCGATGAATTACATTTATTGACTTGCATATGTTGAACCATCCCTGCATCCCTGGGGCGAAACCCACTTGATCATGGTGAATTACTATTATTATTATTGTTGTTAGTTGTTGAGAAAGGGTCTTGCTCTGTCACCTAGGCTGGAGTACAGTGGCACAATCATGGATCACTGCAGCCTTGACCTCTTGGGCTCAAGCAATCTTCCCACCTCAGCCTCCTGAGTAACTGGGACTGTAGGTGAGCACCACCACATGCATCTAATTTTTATATTTTTTTTTGTAGAGATGGGGTTTCACCATGTTGCTCAGGCTAGTTTTGAACTCCTGAGCTCAAGCAATCCTCCTGCCTTGGCCTTCCAAAGTGCTGGGGTTACAGGTGTGAGCCACTGCACCTGACTTGAATTATCTTTTTGATGTGCTGTTTGATTTGGCTTGCTAGTATTTTGTTGAGGATTTTTGCATCTATGTTCATCAGGAACATCGGTCTGTAGTTTTCCTTTTCTTTGTTATGTACTTTCCTGGCTTTGGTATCTGGGTGATACTGGTTTGATAGAATGTGTTAGGGAGGATTCCCTCTTTCTCAACCTTTTGGAATAGTTTCAGTAGGATTAGTACCAATTCTTCTTTGGTAGAATTCACTGTGAATCCATTTGCACTGGGCTTGTTTTGTTGCTGGAAATTGTTTTATTACCGATTCAATCTCACTGTTTGCTATTGGTCTGTTCAGGATTTCTATTTCTTCCTGATTCAAGCTAGGAGGGTTGTATGTTTCCAGGAATTTATCCATTTCCTCTAGATTTTTTAGTTTGTGTGCATAGAAGTATTTATAGCAGCCTCAAATCTTCTGTATTTCTTTTGATCTTTTGTACTTCTGTGGTGTCATTGTAATGTCTCCATTTTCATTTCTAACGGCTTGTTTAAATCTTCTCTCTTCTTGATTAATCTAGCTAATGGTCTATTGATTTTTTTTATCTTTTCAAAGAACCAACTTTTTGTTTCATTGATCTTTTATATTGTTTTTATGTTTAATTGCATTTAGTTTTTCTCTGTTCTTTGTTATTTGTTTCTACTAGCTTTGGGTTTGGTTTGTTCTTATTTCTCTAGTTCCTTGAGGTGTGTGTTAGGTGGTCAATTTGTGACTTTGCAGACTTTTTGATCTAGGCATTTAGCACTATAAATTTTCCTCTTACATTGCTTTTGCTGTTTCCCAGAGGTTTTGATAACTTATGGCACTATTATTCATTTCAAAGAATTTTTAAATTTTCATCTTGATCTCATTGTTAACCCCAAAATCATTCCGGAGCAGATTAATTTCCATGTATTTGTATTGTTTTGACTATTCCTTTTGGAGTTGGTTTCTAGTTTTATTCCACTGTGTTCTGAGAATATACTTGATATAATTTGGATTTTTAAAAATTTATTGACTTTATTTTGAGACCTATGATATGTCTATCTTGCAGACTGTTTCATGTACTAATGAGAACGTATATTTTGCAGTTCTTGGGTAGAATGTTCTGTAAATATCATTAGGTCCATTTGTTCTAGAGTGCAGTTTAAGTGCAATGTTTCTTTATTGACTTTCTGCCTTGATGATCTCTGTTTAGTGCTGTCAGTGGAGTGTTGAAGTCCCCCACTATTATTGTGTTGCTGTCTATCTCTTTTCTTAGGTCTAGTAGTAATTGTTTTATGAATCTGGGAATGCCAGAGTTAAATGCATACATATTTAGGACTGTAATATCTTCTTGTTGGATTTATACTTTTATCATTACATAGTGACTTTGTCTTTTTTTACTGTTGTTGCTTTAAACTCTGTTTTATCTGGTATAAGAATAGTATATGCCTTCTCACTTTTGGTTTCCATTTGCATAGACTATCTTTTTTTTTAACTCCTTTACCTTGAGTCGATAAGAATCCTTATATGTTAGATGAGTCTCTTGAAGATGGCAGATATTTGGTTTGTGACTTTTTAATCTGTTCTGCCAATTTGTATCTTTTGAGTGGAGCATTTAGACCATATATATTCAATGTTTAATATTGAGATGTGAGGTACTGTTCCAGTCATCATGTTGTTACCTAGACACTCTGTTTTTTCATTATTATTGTTTTACAGGCCCTGTGAGTCTTTATGCTTTCAAGAGGTTCTATTATGGTGCATATCCAGCTTTTGTTTCAAGATTTAGAACTCCTTTCAGCATTTTTTTGTAGGGATAATCTGGTAGTGACAAATTCCCTCAGAATTTTTCTTGTCTGAAAAAGACTTTATTTCTTCTTCATTTATGAAACATAGTTTTTCTGGATACAAAATTCTTGGCTGACAGTTACTCCATTTAAGGAGGCTAAAGATAGGACCCCAGTGCCTTCTGGCTTGTAAGGTTTCTGCTGAGAAGTCTGCTGTTAGTCTGATAGGTTTTCCCTTATAGGTTACTTGAAACTTTTGTCTAACTGCTCTTAGGATTCTTTTCTGCATGTTAAGTTTACATAGCCTGATGACTCTATATGCCTTGGTGAAGTCCTTTTTCCAGTGAATCTTTCAGGCGTTCTTTGAGCTTCTTATATTTGGGTGTCTAAATCTCTAGCAAGGCCAGGGAAGCTTTCCTCAATTATTCCCTCAAATAAGTTGCCCAAACATTTTGTTTTGTCTTCATCCTCAGGAACACCAGTGATTCTTAGGTTTGGCCATTTTATATAATTACATATTTCTTGGAGATTTAGTTAACTTCTTTTGAGTTTTTTTTTCTTTATTTTTTTCTGATTGGGTGAGTTCAAAAGGCTCATCTTCAAGCTTTGAAATTCTTTCTTCTAGTTGTTCGAATCTATTGTTAAAACTTTCCCACTGCATTTTGTAATTCCCTAAAATGGGTCTTTCATTTCCAGATGTTCTAATTGGTTTTCCTTTAAAATATCTAACTCTTTAGAAAATTTTTCATTCACATCCTGAATTATTTTAAAAAGTTTTTATGTTAGTTTTCACCTTTCTCTTGTATCTCCTCCAGTAATTTAATAAGTAACCTTTTGAATTATTTATCGGGTATTTCAAAGAATTTCATCTTGGTTGGGATCCATTGCTAGAAAGCTACAGTGATCTTTGTAGTGGAGGGGGGCCAGTTATAGAACCCTGTTTTGTCATATTACCAGAATTATTTTTTTCTGATTCCTCCTCATTTGGATAGAGTATTTCTTCTAATTATTTTAGAATTTCTTTTTTATTCAACTGTGTTTATTTTTAAATTTCTTTTTCTTTTTTCCCCTTAAGGATGTGACTTTAATGATTATAGTTTATTGTAACCTAATTCAGCTCTGGGTGCTTTCAAGGGTGAAGACTCTGCATGAGTTTCCTGTTTATAGAGAGTCTTTATGATGGCTTTATCAAATGTTGGTTGTAGTAACAATATGCTCAGTGTGTGAGCAGATTCGCTGTCTCCTGTGGGGTAGAATGGCAGAGATCTCTTGAAGTTTATCTCATTCCTCAGTGTGTGCAGTTATTTATTTATTATTTTTCCCCCAGTAGTTTATTTACTGGGTTAAACAGTTCAGGATTCAGGCCAGTAGAAATGGGGTCCATGGGTATGAATCAGCTGTGGCTAAAGCAAGTGGGTAAATGCAATACCCAATGGTGGGCTGAGGTCCCAGTCTTGACAGAGATGGCTGAGGGAGCTCTCAGTGAAACACACTGAGGTGTTTTCACAAGGGAGGTAGCCACCTCAGCTCTCCTGCAGGCCAGCAGGAAAGCAGTCTGCCTCCCAGTCACACTCCTGACCCAGTGTTCCAGCTATTTAGATCAGACAGGCACCTCTCTACATCTGTAGGAATGCTGATGTTCCATGTAGAGAGGGATCGTGACTCTATCACTTGTGGAAGCCTGAACTGAAGAGCAGTCCTCCTGTGCGGATGCAGTCACCCTTAAGTGCTCCAGAAAGTCTGTCTACAAGTGCACCCACACCATGCTCCCACGGGAGAAGCCCCAGCTGTGTCCGCAGTGGTGGGCAAGGGTAAGAAGTTTCTTCTCCAAGACCCTTCATTAGCACCAGGGCTGCCTAACTGTTGGGGTAGAGCTGCAGACTTTCCCCACTGAGCCCAGTACCGCACCTGTGCCTCCGCTGAAAGAAACTTCCCACAAGCAGAAAGTTCTGGGACTCAATTCCAGTCATCTGGATTCTTTTGTCCCATGGAGTGCTCCCTTGGTGTGGTATACTCCCGCTTCTGGAATAGGAGTCCCTGAGGCCCAATTCTGCTGTTCCTTTGGGTCTAGCCACCCAGTGGGACCACAATAATCCACACTGGTGCCGGGAAATGTCTGCAAAGGATCCAGACGTGTGAACTCTCCTCAAGTCTCCTAGCAGCAGGTACCAGCACCAGCTCTGATAGGGACAGCAGGGGAGTGATATAGACTCTGTGAGATTCCTTGGTTATAAATAACCTTACAGTGTTGGCTCTCAAATTCCAGCTATAGTAGTAATGAACTGGTCATGTGACAGACTTAGGACCTTCTGGTTATCTAGCCAGGGTGATTCAGGCAATGGTGATAGCTGAGGTCACATACAAGGTTTCTCCTTCCTGGGCACTGTGGTCTTCTGCAGTTTTCCACGTGGCTCATGGTGTAGGCTGTAGTCTGTCACTTCATTCAAAGGATCTGTGGTTTCTTTCAGTTTTCTTGTTAAGTTTGTGTGTTGCTTCTTGGAATAAAGTTCACACTGTGAATCTCTATATACTATTTTGTCTTTCTAAGTGGGACAGGCATGCTAACAATGCCTCCAATCCACCATCTTGAGGGGAAAAAAAGGGAAGTCTTTACCACCAAATTGAGTAGACTATTCTCCTTCCCTCTCCAACTTATGTTACTAGGAGGTAATCAGAATGCCCCTAGAGAGATTCCTAGATCCTATACAGGTGAAAGCTGACTCTTCTCTCTACTGATGGAAGGAAGAATAAAGGAAATGCCTGGTATAAGGAAACACCCCTTTCCTCTGCTTCAGTTGTTCTCCTCTATCCAGAGTGGCCTGGAGTGGCAGCCTAAAGAAGCTCCAGTCCACTGGGCTGAGCTCAGCAGAAATGGAGAGAGAAACTACTAGTAGCCATGGCCCCCGTGTACCCCCTCATCCATCCCAGCCTCCCAGGAATTGAAAAAGGGTGGGTGTGAGGTTCTTCTGCTGTGCATGAAGGGAAAGAGACAGATCTGGAGAAGGGGCCACAAGTCTCAGATGATAGTAAAGACCATCACAGAGACAGGATTCTGGCAGATCTAGGGGAGGCAGGGTCCCCAGGGATATCCCAAGGCCCTGTGGTACCTGATTTCAAAGCAGGAAGGCCCATAATGCTCTGTACTTCTCCTTCCCTTGCAGCAGGTACAGCCCAGCATTCAGAACGAATAATACTGCCTCAGCCGAGTATATTTGAACCCTATAGGGATGGGAGGATGAGTGCAACTCTGGAAGAGAAAGAAGGATCCCCAGGAACTCTGGGATCCTGATGGGAGAAAAAAGAACTTCATGGGAAAGGGATTTTCCCCTGAGCTCTTTACATACCTTGCTCCTTTCTCTCAGGCCACAGCTCATAGGTCACCTCCTCACTGGGGCCCTCTATACTCCCTGATGAGAACACCCTCCTCCAATTCTTCCAGAATCCTGGCTATTGCCTTCTTTGGGTTCTGATCCCAAATTATCTTGTATATTTATTTCCTTTACTTATTTATTGTCTCTCTCTCTCTGAGGTGATACATATGTTCCATGAGAACAAGGACCTTATCTGCCTTGTTCCCTGCTGTCTTAGCTTGGTTTACCCCAAAACAGATGCAGATTTGATTTTTTGAGAGGTAATCCTAGAAGTGAGACAAGAAGGAAGGAAAGCAAAGACAGTGTTGATGAGCAGATTACCACTGGGGGCGAACTAGGCCTCAATCCTTCTGGAGATCCTCTCAGAAATTATGGGAGATGCTTCAGAATTGTCCTATTGAGGGATAAGGAAGCTGGGGTATATCCAACATCTCCCATCCTCATTGGTTGAAGATCAACCTTATTCATTTCTGGTTGAGGATCCTTTCAGAGGTGTTAATGCACACACAGGCCTAGAGAACACCCTCAGCAGAGACACCTGAGAATCCATTGGCATGAAAAGGGACCATGTGCGGGAAATCTCTAGAGAAGGCTGAATGGATACGGACCAGGCAAGAACAAGTTATTCCTGTCATAACCTCAGCACCAAGATCAAGCTCTGGAATATGGTACATGCTCCATAAACACGAGCCAAACAAAAAGGAAGATTGAGAAATGAATGAGTAAAAGAAAGGCTGAATGGGAGTCTAGTAATTCTATTACCTGAGAGGACTGGTTTTTCTTTCTTGGTGTTGGCCTTAATTTTGACGGAAGTTTTTGACTTTTACATCCTCCCTGTATGTATACTGGGAAGGGTCCATCCTAGTTTTCCTGGCAAATACTCCTCTTCCTCTTCACCTCTGCAACTGCTGCTTCATATTCCTCCTTCATCAGCGAAAGGTGTTTCCTTGTGCTCACCCGCCTCTGAAAAAAATCACTTTCAGATTGACTTCATTCCTACTCATTTTTCAGTGAGAAAAACATTGCCAGATTTCTTGGAAATAAATATCGCATTACTTACTGATCCAGTTTTTTTCTGGTATGTAAGCTATTGCCTGTAAATTAGCTGGCCTACTTTTTAGAAGTTGCATTAATTCTTTCGGGATGATGAGTGCCCTTTAGTGCACAAACAGCAATAGAAGTTAAATTTACAGCATGGCTGACTGGAACCATTACTCTAGATTAATGCATTCTAGGGACCACTTTCTTCTTTCCTCCTTTTTATATAGTTTTCATCTGAGTTATGGATAGGACATCTTGTCCTAAGCAAATAAGTATTATATATTTGGGACATTTAAATTCTTGATTAATAATACTAAAAATCTTTTAACCTTAAATGAATATTGCCGGTGTGCACATTCTTTTTGTTTGTCACCCAGAGCTCTTGGTTCACATAAGCTTGGCTTAATTTTATTACATTGCAAATACTCGGTGAGAATGAACTTTAGCCATGAAAAAAAATAATAACCCAAATATTGAAGGTGAGGCCTGGTGGGAGGTGATTAGATAATGGGGGTGTATTCTACCGGTTTAGCACCATCCCCTTGAAAGATCTGATGGTTTGGAAGTATGTAGCACCTCCTCCTTTGCCCTCTCTTCTTCCTGCTCTGGCCATGTGATGACATGCCTTGCTTCCCCTTTGCCTTCCACCCTCATAGTAAGTTTCCTGAGGCCTCATCAGCCATGCAGAACTTTGAGCCAATTAAATCTATTTTCTTCATAAATTACCCAGTCTCAGGTAGTTCTTTATAGCAATGTAGGAATAGACTAATACAACTATTAAATAAACTTGTTTCTATTTAAGGGTCCTGGGATGGCTAATTTTATGTGTCAAATGGCTAGGCCATGGTACCCCAGTTTTTGGTCAAACAGCAGTATAGATGTTGCTGGGAAGGTATTTTTTAGATGTGATTAACATTTAAAACTATAGATTTTGAGTAAAGCAGATTAGTGTTCAAAACGTGGTTTGGTCTTATTCAATCAGTCAAAGGCCTTAAGAGAAAGCTAAGGTTTCCCAAAAAAGAAGGAATTCTGCCACCACATAGTCTTCAGATTTGAGACTGCAACATCAACTCTTCCCTGAGTCTCAAGCCAACTTGACTGCCCCTAAGATTTCAGACTTATCAACCTCCAAACTGGTGTGAGCCATATCCTTAAAATAAATCTGTGTGTGTGTGCCTGTGTGTGTGTGTAGGCATATTTTGCTTTATTGCATTTTGCAGATATTGTGTTCTTTCACAAATTGAAGGTTTGTGGCACCCCTGCACTGAGCAAGTCTATCAGTGCTATTTTTCCAATTGGATTGACTCAGATTTTGAAAGAAGTTCAGCTGTGGCTAAGATGCTATCAAACAGCATTGCAGACTACAGAGAAATCTCTCATAAAAGGAAAAGTGGGCCAGACGCGGTGTGGGCTAGACAAGGCGGTGGCTCACGCCTGTAATCCCAGCACTTTGGGAGGCTGGAGCGGGCAGATCACAAGGTCAGGAGATCGAGATCATCCTGGATAACACAGTGAAACCCCATCTCTACTAAAAATACAAAAAATTAGCTGGGCATGGTGGTGCACGCCTGTAGTCCCAGCTACTCGGGAGGCTGAGGCAGGAGAATTGCTTGAACCTGGGAGGTGGAGGTTGCAGTGAGCCGAGATGGTGCCACTGCACTCCAGCCTGGGCGACAGAGTGAGACTCTGTCTCAAAAAAAAAGGAAAAGTGAATTGACACAGCAGACTTCACTGTGGTCTTATTTTAAGAAATTACCAGCTGGGCACGGTGGCTAATGCCTGTAATCCCAGTACTTTGGGAGGCTGTGGCGGGCCGATCACGAGCTCAGGAGTTCGAGACCAGCCTGGCCAACATAGTGAAACCCTGTCTCTACTAAAAATACAAAAAATTAGTCAGGCATGGTGGCATGCCTGTAATCCCAGCTACTTGGGAGGCTGAGGCAGGAGAACCGCTTGAACCTGGGAGGCGGAGGTTGCAGTGAGCCGAGATTGCACCATTGCACTCCAGCCTGGGTGACAGTGTGAGACTCTGACTCAAAAAACAAAAAAAAAAAAAAAAAAAAAAAAGAAAGAAAGAAAAGAAATTACCATAGCTACACCAACCTTTAGCAACTACTGCCTTGATTAGTCAACAGCCATCAACACTGAGGCAAGACCCTCTACCAGCAAAAAGATTACAACTCACCAAAGGCTCAGATGATTGTTAGCATTTTTAGCAACAAAGTATTTTTAATTAAAGTATATAGATTATGTTTTTAAACATAATGCTACTGCACATTTAATAGACCAGTACAGTATAAATATAACTTTTATATGCACTGGGGAACCAAAAAAATTTTTGTGACTCGCTTTATTGCAGTGATTTGGAATAGAACCCGTGACATCTCTGAAGTATGCCTGTGAGTGTATACACACACACACAAAGTTGAGCATCACTAATCCAAAATCTGAAAAGCTCCAAAGTCCAAAACTCTTTGATTGCCAACATGATGCCACATATAGAAAATTCCAAATATAACCTC
Source organism: Homo sapiens (assembly GCF_000001405.40). NCBI lineage: Eukaryota > Metazoa > Chordata > Mammalia > Primates > Hominidae > Homo > Homo sapiens. Next base: position 108,467,799 of record NC_000005.10, on the reverse strand, counting down.
AGGATGGGTCACAGTCAAAACACAGGCCCACACCACCGTTTATACAGCATCTCCAAGGAAAAAAGATCCTTTCAGCCCCATTCTTCATTAAATGGAACCAGATGTCTGACTCCTTACATACGCAAAAAATGTATATCTCATAGTCCATCAGTAAACTGAATGAAGTGGATATTGAAGAAGTTTTTGACATTGATAATGATGCTCCAGGCCGGGCATGGTGGCTCATGTCTGTAATCTCAGCACCTTGGGAGGCTGAGGTGGGTGGATCACGTGAGGTCAGGAGTTCAAGACCAGCCTGACCAACATGGTGAAACCCTATCTCTACTAAATACAAAAAATTAGCCAGGAGTGGTGGGGCATACCTGTAATTCCAGCCACCTGGGAGGCCGAGGCAGGAGAATCATTTGAATCTGGGAGGCGGAGGCTGCAGTAGGCTGAGATCACGCCACTGCACTCCAGCCTGGACGACAAGAGCGAAACTCCGTCTAAAAAAAAAAAAGTAAGAAAATGAAGCTCCAGTTGTTTGTTCTTCGACTGATGGTGAAATAGAAATGGTTCTGAATCAAGGTGATCGTGATAACACTGATAATGACGATGACATTTGTTAATGCTGCAGAAAAAGTGTCAATAGACAGCATGGTGAAAATATGTGATGGGCTTACTGAAGGACTAGAGCAGTCTGCATTCATAACAGAGCAAGAAATAATGTCAGTTTGTAAAACCAAAGAGACAGCCAGACATAGTGGCTCACTCCTGTGATCCTAGCACTTCGGAAGGCTGAGGTGGAAAAATCACTTGAGTTCAGGAGTTTGAGACCAGCCTAGGCAACATAGTGAGACCTCATTTCTACAAAAAATTAAAAAATTATCCAGGCATGGTAGCATGCACCTGTCGTTCCAGCTACTTGGGAGGCTGATGTGGGAGGATCAATTGAGCTTGGGAGGTTGAGGCTGCAGTAAGCCATGATCACACCACTGCACTGCAGCCTGGTGACAGAGCAAGACCCTGTCCAAAAAAAAAAAAAAAAAAAATCAAAACCGAAAATAAAATAAAAGCCTTCTAAGCCAACAAAAGAACAAAAGTTGTTAATGAGGCAGATGACTGGAGGAAACATTTTAAAAAGCCATCCAGCAGAATGCCTCCTCCTTCCTAAGGGACCCACTTTCTCATCCCTCAACTGCTTCTGATTGTTTCTTCTCATCTTAAAAAATCATTTTAACTAAAAACACAGCATTCGAGCTGGGTGCGATAGTTCTAGCCTATGGTCCCAGCTACTCAAGAGGCTGAGGCAGGAAGATAGCTTGAACCCAGGAGTTCAAACCCAACCTGAGCAACATAGAGTGATCCCATTTCTAAAAAAACAAACAACAAACAAAAACCCCACAGCATTGTAGGTGGAGACTGACTGAAAGCCTGCTGTTGTTTGTTGTTTGCGTTAACAGCTGATACAGGTATTCTGGTAGTGCTACTGTGCTGCTTAGTTACCCTGATCTTATTATTTTTTCTCTGTATTAATGTTATGTCATTTATTTTGCTGTTAAGTGCTTAGGTGTGAATAACTGTAAGAAAATGATTGCTTATCCATAGCATATTAATTCAGAGTCAAGAATGGTGGTGAGGCCAAACAACCACAGATTATTTACAGGGATGGCTGAGATAATGACATCTTTGCTTTCTGATGGTTCAATGTACACAAATTGTTTCATACACAAATATATTAAAATATTGTATAAAATTACCTTCAGCTATGTGTATAAGGTATATATGAAACATAAAAGAATTTTGTGTTTAGACTTGGGTACCCTTCCCAAAATATCTTATTATGTATATGTAAATATTCCAAAATCTGAAAAAGTCTGAAATCTAGAACACCTCCAGTCCCAAGCCTTTTGGATAAGGAATCCTCACCCCATATATACCCTATTCGTTTTATTTCTTTGGAGAACCCTTGTTCCTAAATTTCAAAGAAAGTAAATCTTTAGAGGAAAGTCTAATGTGAATTTTTATGTTTAGGAGGATTTCTTCCTTGATCATCCTCCATCGTTTCAGATACCATATTGGGTATTAAGAACACAAAGGAGAAAAATCATGGGCATTGCTCTGACATTTCAACATGATGAGACAACAGCAAAGGTACATGCAAGGGAGGAAAGGAGGCTGGGAAGGCTTGACAGAAAAGCCACATTTGAGCTGGATCTTGAGAGATTACTAGGAGTTGGCTAACTGGCAAAGGAAGCAGGGATCTTCTAGACAGGTAGATCATTTGGGTCAAAAATATAGCAGCGATCTCTGATATTCATACATTTATTTAACAAATATTTAATGAATGTATGTTTTGTGTCAGAGATGGGTTTTGTCCCTAATTTTGACCCATGTTTTTATATCCCCTTCCTCAGACTGGGGAGGATGGATCATATTTATCCTTCTAGATGGCTGCCTCTCATAGTTCTGTTCCCTTCAGAACAGAACATATCCGCAGGGATAAAATGGTGAGCAAAAACAAATAGAAAGGAGATGTTTAGAATTAGTTTTGTCAGCTAATGACAGAAGAACTAAAATAACAGTGGCTTATTAGACAGAATTTTATTGTTCTCTCATCTAAATGTCCATATCAATGATCTAGAATGAAGAGATAGCAATGTGCTTTATTTTTATCTTATTGTTCCATCAACCTCATTAGGCAGCTATTGCTTAGTGATCCAAGATGGCAGCTTCAGCTCTAGTTCTCTTGTCTATAGTATTGTAGCCAAAAGAGGGGGAAAAGGAAAAGAAGATGAGCATTCATCTTCTCTTTAAAGACACTTCTTGGAAGTTCCATACATCACTTTATCAATATCCCATTTTAAATAACTTAGTTCTATAACTAAAACTAGTTTTCATTCCCACCAAACATATGCCCAGCTAAAAATTGAAGAAGGAGAGACAAATATTAAGAGTCAATGGACTGCATTGCAGAAAGAAGAGAATCAGGTTGAATAACTCTGAAGACCACTCAAACTGAAAAACAGAGTTGATAAGTAGAAGCTAATTGTTGTTTTATACCTTCTAAAGTCTTTACTACATAATTACATTGTCTTAATGATAGCCATTTAGAGTTAGTTGTTTAGAAGCAAAGTATACTTGATTTAAAAAAAAAAAGGTAGCCAATTTTTGTCTACATGAGTTAATTGACCCATGGTTATGGCAATTGGTTTTTAAAAGATGAATTTATGCCCAATGTTTATATCTTCATTTTTTAATGTTTTGAATCCTTCATATGATACATGTGAAGGGAAAACACAGGCACTGAAAACACAAAATAAAAGCCAATAATAAGGTTTTGCTATTAGTTTTTCACTAATAGCAAAAGTCAAAAATGTTTTTAATTATTGTATTCAAACATATCTATGTGGTGGCCCTGGAGAAGCAGCACTCAGACCTCCTTTCAAAGTACTTGCTGTGAGGAACATTATTGACTGTCATATCTCCACAAGCTTCACACGGAGGCCACACACTCTCCCCCTGCTCCCAGCCCATGACTAAGAAAATAGTGGAGATACTAGAAAAGTAACCTGTGAGATTTCCAAGCCTAGTCCTCAAAAGATCTCATAGCTTCTGTTCTCAGTCTTCATGTGCCAACACCACAGGAAGAAGCCCAGGCAGCCTCCTCAAGAATAAGAGACTAAACAGAATAACTCAGTCAATAGCTGACACCAACCACCAGACCTAGAAGAACATCTTGAACCATCTAACTATAGTGAAATTACCAGGTGACTTGTAACCACCTGAGCAATCCCAGGCAAGGCTGCAGAAGAACTATGTGGCTCAATTCCACCCATATTGCTGACTCACAGAATCATGAGCAAATTAAATTGTTGCTGTAGTAAGCTAGTAAATTTTTGAGCATCATCTTAAGCAGCAATAGATAACTAATATGTACAATAAGTAGAAGGTATAGGGTGATTAAAGATTTAAAAAATATACATGACAAATACTAACAAGGTGAAAGTTCAGCTGTATATTAATATCAAATAAAATCGATTTTAATACAAAAGTTACTATTAAAAGGTCAATATAATTCTAAATTATGTAAACATTATAAAAATTTCTCAAAATATATAAAGCAGAAAAAAGGAAATGATGCAACTATAAGAAGGAGATAAATTCAAAATCAACACAACTGTTTTAGTGATTAAAATAAGTCAAGTAGACAAAAAAATAAGCATAAAGATGTAAGACCCTATACCCTGCGGTGCGCAGAATTCTAAGATGGTCCCCAATATAGCCCTCTGATATACACAACCCATATAATCTCCTCCACTTGAATATGTGCAGGACCTATGAATATGATGTGATAGTCACTTCCTTAATTACATTATATTATATCCAACTCCATCTTGCCAGACTAGAGAGATTCTCCTGCTGGCTTTTGGTAAAGTAACCTGTCATCAGGGAGAGGATCCTTTGGCTAGGACCAGAGTGGGCTCTAATTGCTGAGAGCAACCCTTGGCCAACAACCAGCAAGGAAATGAAGACATCAGTTCTACAACCACAGGAACTGAATACAGTCGACAGCGTGAATGAGCTTGGAAGAAGATCTTGAGCTGCAGATGAGAACATTGCTGGTGGATACTTTCATTTCAGTCTTGTTTCCCATGAGCCCATGCCCAGACTTCTGACTTACAGAAGCTGTGAGTTAATCAATGGGTGTTGTTTTAAGCCTCCAAGTTTGTATTAATTTGTTATACAGGAATAGAAAACTAATGCAATAGTGCCTCCTTCTGAGGGGAATACATTCAACAACCCCCCGTTAATGCCTGAAACTACAGATAGTACTGAACCCTATATAGACTATGTTTTCCCTATAAAAACATAGCATGCTAAAGTTTATAAATTAGGCACAGTAAGAGATTAGCAACAATAACTAATAATAAAATTATTATAATATATTGCAATAAGTTATGCAAATATGGTCTGTCTCTCCTAGAATATCTTATTGTACTGTAGTCTGTTACAATGACTACGTGATGAGATGAAGTGTGGTGAATGACATAGGCATTGTGATGGAGCATTAGGCTACTACTGACTTTCTGTATTCCTGACTCTGTGTAACCATCCCTTACTTGCAGTAAATGGCTTGGTGTCACTCATTTCAGAGGATCATTTGCTGAAGTCTCCATATAGGTTCAATGCTTTCTGGTGCAAACCACATTGCTGTTGATTGGAACACATTTTCTGTTCATGTCTTCTATTCACAAATTTAATGGCTCTTCCTTCTTAGCTAAGCACTTATTATGGACTGGGGCTGTAACTTTTTTTTTTTTTTTTTTTTTTTTGAGAGGGTTCTCGCCCTGTTGCCCAGGCTGGAGTGCAGTGGCATGATTTCGGCTTACTGCAACTTCTGCCTCCCAGGTTCAAGTGATTCTCCTGCCTCAGCCTCCTGAGTAGCTGGGGTTACAGGCATCTGCCACCATGCCCGGCTAATTTTTTGTATTTTTAGTAGAGATGGGGTTTCACCATGTTAGCCAGGCTGGTCTTGAACTCCTGACCTCAGGTGATCCACCCTGGGGCTGTAACTTTTACAGTTTAAGTTGCAACAGCAAAACTAACAGGAATTTATTTTTCCTTCTTCATGATTTCACAGATAGAAAATTCATTCTTACTGTATCTTTTAGCAATCTCAGCAATTTTTTTCTTTCTTTATTAAGTTGAGAACTGTCACCTTTTTATTTCAAGGAAGCACTTTATGGCTTCTCTGTAGCACATCTGAATTACCAGCATCACTGCTCTTGCAATTTGGGGGCATTAATAATTAAAATAAGAGTTACTTGAACACAAGCACTGTAATACTGTGACTGTTGATCTGATATCTGAAAGGGTTACTAACTAATTGGTGGGTAGTACATACAGCATGGCTACACTGGATGAAGGAATGACTCACATCCCTAGTGGGACAGCAGGAGATTTCATCACTGCTCAGAATAGCATGCAATTTAAAACTTATGAATTATTTCTGGAAGTTTCCATTTAATATTTTCTGACTGTGGTTGACTGTGGGTACCTAAAACAATGGAAAATGAAACCACAGACTACTGTACACATTCAACAATTAGAGAAGCATATTCTCAACCATGCATGGAATATTTAAAAAATGATCACAAACAAAGTCTTAGGGCAAGTTTCAGCAAATTTCAAATTATTGATGTCATACAGATTATGTTCTCTGATACAGTATGATTAATACTACAATCTATACATCAGTTTCAGGGCATCCAGAAGTTTTCAGTGCTCCAGGGTAGACTAAAAGTGCTAAGAATGCTGTACATGAGCAAAATCCTGACCTCAACAGAAAGAGGCCACCATGAGTGAAAATACTGGAGACAAATAACTGATGAACTCTGCGATGACGCCTGTGCCTGGAGAGTTCACAACATGGCAGGCACTAGCTGTACTTCCAAGTTGCTGGTCCAGGGTCCACAGCAGGAACAGCAATGACTGCAAGGACACTTTTCTCCCCAACATCCCTAGAAATGAGAAAGCCCCTTCCCTGCCACATCTAAAAGTTTCTGGAGAAAAGCAGGTAGGAGGGAAGAGACAAATACTGGTAGTGACCCAAAAGGGAATGAGTATCCCTAAAAGACTACTTAAATGGAAATAAATTGAGATACTATTGATAAGCAAAGTTTAAATATCGCTTAGTTTCCCTATTATGCAACTTAGGTGGCTTGTGAGACATTTTTTTCCACAGCTGAGAGGAGTGTGAGTGACAATATTTTAACACACCACACAATTACACAATTTTCTTTTAAATGAGTTTTAAAGATGTGTGTGTGTGTGTGTGTGTGTGTGTGTGTGTGTGTGTGTGTGTTTGAGACAGTCTTGCTCTGTCACCCAGGCTGGAATGCAGTGGGTTGATCACACCTCGCTGCAACCTTGACTTCCCGGGCTCAAGTGATCCTCCCACATCAGCCTCCTGAGTAGCTGGGACTACAGGTACATACCACTACACACAGTTAATTTTTTTTTTTTTTTTTTTTTTTTTAGTAGAGATGGGGTCTTGCTGTTTCCTAGGCTGGTTCTTGAGCTCAAGCAATCCTCCTGCCTCAGCCTACCAAAGTGCTGGGATTACAGGCATGAAGCACCATGCCCAGCCTACAAGAACAGTTTTTAAAATCAGTTCATAATATAGCATCTCATGGTAGGTATTTGCTTGTTAGACTTATCTCTATACCAGGACCTCAAACTCAACTGCTTAACAAAGACCAGGCAGGTAACATACATAAATGAAGCAGATTAAGTTTGACAGAATAGGATATGGTGGAGTCTTTGACAAACTGAGGAACACAAGCCCAAAATAAAACATCCCAAATTCTGTGGACTGGTTCTAGTCAATGAGCCACCATTTTTCATCTTCCATAATATGGAATACATACATATAGTTGCTATCTCTATAACAGCTTGATCAAATTGTATCATAATTAAATATTTTTTATATCTGTTTCTCCCATAGTGACAGCCTCCAAATGCTGGAACCTTGTCCTATTCATGTTTACATCCCCAGGATATATATCCTGGCATATAATAAGCCTGCAATAAATGTTTGTGGTGGGAATGGTGAATGAAATAATAAACGCACAAGGGCCCATAGCAGCAAAAAAAAAAAAGCAAATGCATTAACTGAATGATAGTAAGAGTAATCAAATCAGGGACATGAACATGAAACAACTCACAAAAGTCTGCCTCTCTGTGATGTGACATGCAAACAGCTGACAGCTCTCTGCTTAATGACAGTCCGTGACCTGAGATTCTAGAAGCTTAGTGTTTGAAAAAGGCCCTCATTTCTTTCATTTTTAATTAGGTGACCAGTGATTAGATTATTATTGCTAGAGACAGGCTGATTAAGAAGTCACTGACAGTCATTTGTCCTCCTCAGAGAGCTGTCACATGGGTACATTTACATAATGACAGCTTCCCAGCTGGGAGCTCTACTCTGCTTGTGTCACTTCTGGCGATAAATGCTGGTCCCTCACTGTTTAGGACTTCAGTAAATTTCTCCAAGCAGGCAGTCTTTTAGAGGAAACTTTGAATGAAAAATCTTAGAAATGGAAATACACCCTAAGGGAATTTACTAAGGCTTCTACATTTCTTTTTTTCCCTAGGAAGTTTCCTAAGGTAGTGGTTGTAGGGGAGGGTTCATCATTTCCATTTAAATGCTTGGAGGAATTGTTTAAAAGTATATCACCTTAAAGGCGATGGAGTTATAGGTGAGTGTGTGTATATATGTGTGTGTGGGGGGGTGGGGGGGTGGCGTATGGGGAAGGGGTTGAAAAGTGGGGGATGGGTGGAAAGTTCTCACCTAAATATTGTATCTGAAAAGCAGAGAAAGGCCTTTTCACTTAATAAACATTTAAAACTGACCTTCCCAAGCCCCTAGACTGCCTTATTTTAATTTTTTCTTATTTTTAATTTTCAGAAATGTTTCAAGGATCATTGTGTTTCTCCATTTTTACATAAACAGTTGATTACATTCACAAAATAAAACATTCAATGATATAAGACAAAATGGAAGGGGAAAGGAAAAGGGAGAGAAAGCAGGAGGTAGAAAGGAAGAGGGAGAGAAGGAAAGAGGGGAGAGAGAATTCCTCTTCTGGTTATTTCATATTAGTGAAGCTGGGGTTATTTTCTAAATGGAATTTCATTAATCAAGTCCCCATGTTGAATCATAAAAAAGACAAATGGAAAAACAGAACTTCAAATACAGCCTTCAAAACAGCTCAAAAATATGAAATACTAGCTCATTTGGATTAAGTGTTCTAAATTAAAGAAAAATCCAATTATGCAAAATAAGAAAAACTGGTTGACAATGTTGCCAGCTAGGAGTACTTTTGGACTAATAATGGTATTCTACCTATGTGTCTGAAATTCTCAGAAATAGGAGAAACATTTTTCATGTATTGTATTTACATTATTAATTTGGTAAACCTATTTTTCCATGGGTGTGCTCAGTACAGTATCCAAATTATAGTACATCTAGATTAAAAAGGGCTTATTCCAAGAACACAAGGAGTTCAGCATCAGAAAATCTACAAATGTAATTTATCATAGAAACAGACTCAAAAAAAAGCATATTATTTTGCTGGTAATTGGGTAATTTGGGGAGGACTTGGTAGAGATAGTTCATCTCTGCTACACACAGCTTCAGTTGGGGTGGTTCAACTGCAGCTGGGCAGATCAACTTACTTGCTCACTTACCTGGCAAGGAAGTTGGTACTAGTTGTCATCTAGAAGCCAAGATGAAATTTTTAGGGAGCCTCAGCTCCTCTCCAAAGGGCTACTTGGGCTTCTTTCCAGCATGGCCACTGATTTCCAAGAGCAAGTGGTCCAAGAGACTTGGGTGGAAGCTGCAAGGCTTCTTATGGTTTAGTCTTGGAAGTCCCAGAACATCACATCCATTGCATTCTCTAGAGTAAAGCAAGTCTCTAAAGCCAAACTAGATTTAAGGGGAGGGGACTACCTAATCTGATTTATGAGTGCCAGCCTTTATAGGAGTTATATGAGAACACTAGCTGCTTACACCTGGAGATCTGGGGGGGTCTGTGGGATGGTATAGCACCTCCTCTGTCAGGGGGCAGAAGTCATTGATCCCATGGGAAGCTAAATCTGGATGTAGCTTCTCCAATCAATGGAGGAGGTAAGCTGAGTCTCAGTTAGCTTGTTGACAAGACAACCCATAGTGAGCACCACAATGAGTACGTTAGCCAATCCTCTCATAGCATTCAAGGTTTATTTGTCTACTTTCATCCATTATGCTGGACACTTCCTGGGCCTCTTCAATATTTCCCACCATCAGGTGTCTCTGTTCTCTCTCTCTCTTGGAATTCCTATTATTTGGACCTTGAATTCCCTAGACTAGTCTTCTAATTTTCTTGTTTTTTTCATTCTTATTTTCCATCTCACGTCTTTGTTCTGCTTATTGAGGGATTTCCCCCATTTTATCTTCCAATATTCTATTGAGTATCTTCCCCTGCTATGTGTTTTTAACTTCGAAAACTTTGTTTTATTTCTTTAAAAATGGTTTAGCATCCAGAGGTATAAAGAGGAGCTGGTACCATTCCTTCTGAAACTATTCCAAACAATAGAAAACGAGGGACTCGTCCTAACTCATTTTATGAAGCCAGCATCATCCTGATACCAAAACTTGGCAGAGACGCAACAATAAAAGAATATTTCAGGCCAATATCCCTGATGAACATCGATGCGAAAATCCTCAATAAAATACTGGCAAACCAAATCCAACAGCACATCAAAAAGCTTATCCACCATGATCAAGTTGGCTTAATCCCTGGGATGCAAGGCTTGTTCAACACATGCAAATCGATAAACGTAATCCATCACATAAACAGAACCAATGACAAAACTACATGATTATCTCAATAGATGCAGAAAAGGCCTTCGACAAAATTGAACAGCCCTTCATGCTAAAAACTCTAAATAAACTAGGTATTGATGAAATGTAACTCAAAATGATAAGAGCTATTTATGATAAACCCACTGCCAAGATCATACTGAATGGGCAAAAGCTGGAAGCATTCCCTTTGAAAACCGGCACGAGACAAAGATGTCCTCTCTCAGTACTCCTATTCAACATAGTATTGGAAGTTCTGGCCAGGGCAATCAGGCAAGAGAAAGAAATAAATGGTATTCAAATAGGAAGAGTGGAAGTCAAATTGTCTCTGTTTGCAGATGACATGATTGTATATTTAGAAAACCTCATCATCTCAGCCCAAAATCTCCTTAAGCTGATAAGCAACTTCAGCAAAGTCTCAAGATACAAAATCAATTTGCGAAAATCACAAGCATTCCTGTACACTAATAATACACAAACAGAGAGCCAAATCATGAGTGAACTCCCATTCACAATTGCTACAAAGAGAATAAAATACCTATAAATACAACAGACAAGGGATGTGAAGAACCTCTTCAAGGACAACTAAAACCATTGCTAAAGGAAATAAGAGAGGACACAAACAAATAAAAAAATGTTCCATGCTCATGGATAGGAAGAATCAATATCATAAAAAATGGCCATAGTGCCCAAAGTAATTTATAGATTCAGTGCTATCCCTACCAAGCTACCATTGACTTTCTTCACAGATTTAGAAAAAACTACTTTAAATTTCATATGGTATTGAAAAAAAGCCCCTATAGCCAAGACAATCTTAAGCAAAAAGAACAAGGCTAGAGACATCATGCTACCTGACTTCAAACTATACTACAAGGCTACAGTAGCCAAAACAGCAAGGTACTGCTACCAAAACAGATATATAGACCAATGGAACAGAACAGAGACTTCAGAAATAATGCCACACATCTAAAACCATTTGATCTTTGACAAACCTGACAAAAACAAGCAATGGGGAAAAGATTCCCTACTTAATAAATGGTGTTGGGAAAACTGGCTAGTCATATGCAGAAAACTGAAACTGGATCCCTTCCTTATACCTTATACAAAAATTAACTCAAGATGGATTAAAGACTTAAATGTAAGACCTAAAACCATAAAAATCCTATAAGAAATCCTAGGCAATACCTTTCAAGATACAGGCATGGGCAAAGAATTCAGGACTAAAACACCAAAAACAATGGCAACAAATCCAAAATCGACAAATGGGATCTAATTAAACTAAAGAGCTTCTGCTCAGCAAAATAGACTATCATCAGAATGAACAGGCAACCTACAGAATGGGAGAAAATTTTTGCAATCTATCCATCTGACAAAGGGCTAATATCCAGAATCTACAAAGAATTTAAACAAATTTACAAGAAAAAAACAAACAACACCTTCAAAAAGTGGGCAAAAAATATGAACAGACACTTCTCAAAAGAAGACATTTATGCAGTCAACAAACATATGAGAAAAACTTCATCATCACTGGTCATCAGAGAAATGCAAATCAAAACCACAACGAGATACCATCTCATGCCAGTTAGAATGGTGATCATTAAAAAGTCAGGAAACAACAGATGCTGGAGAGGATATGGAGAAATAGAAACACTTTTACACTGTTGGTGGGAGGGTAAATTAGTTCAACCATTGTGGAAGACAGTATGGTGATTCCTCAAGGATCTAGAACCAGAAATACCATTTGACCCAGCAATCCCATTACTGGGTATATACTTAAAGGATTGTAAATCTTTCTACTATAAAGACACATGCAGATATATGTTTATTGCAGCAGTATTCACAATAGCAAAGACTTGGAACCAATCCAAATGTCCATCAATGATAGACTGGATAAAGAAAATATGACATATATACAGAATGGAATACTATGCAGTCATAAAAAAGGATGAGTTCATGTCTTTTGCAGGGACATGGATGAAGCTGGAAACCATCATTCTTAGCAAACTAACACAGGCAGAAAACCAAACACCACACGTTCTCACTCATAAGTGGGAGTTAAACAATGAGAACACATGGACACAGTGAGGGCAACATCATGCGCTGGAGCCTGTCAGGAGGTGAGGGGCTAGGGGAGGGATAGCATTAGGAGAAATACCTAATGTAGATGATGGGTGGATGGGTGCAGCAAACCACCATGGCATGTGTATACCTATGTAACAAACCTGCACATTCTGCACATGTATTCCAGAACTTAAAGTATAATTTTAAAAAATGGCTTAGCATCCTTGTCTTCTTTTACAGTTGCAACATTTTATCACTCAGAGGATATTTTACAGATCATTTTTTGTTTTACATTTTCTTTTACCTGGTGTATTATTCCATTTTTGGGCAGCTGATAAAGACATAATCAAGACTACAATTTACAAAAGAAAGAGGTTTATTGAACTTACAGTTCCATGTGGCTGGGGAGGCCTCACAATCATGGCAGAAGGTGAAGAGCACATCTCACATGGTGGCAGACAAGAGAAGAGAGCTTGTTCAGGAAAACTCCCCTTTATAAGACCCTCATATCTCATGAGACTTATTCAGTATCATGAGACTAGCATGGGAAAGACCTGCCCCCATGATTCAGTTACCTCCCACAAGATCCCTCCCATAACACGTGGGAATTGTGTGAGTTACAATTCGAGATGAGATTTGGGTGGGGACATGGCCAAACCATATCATTCCACCCTTGGCCCCTCCCAAATGTCATGTCCTCACATTTCAAAACCAATCGTGCCTCCCCAACAAGTCCCCGTAAGTCTTAACTCATTTCAGCATTAACTCAAAAGTCCACAGTCCAAATGGTCATCTGAGACAAGACAAGTCCCTTCTGCCTATGGGCCTGTAAAATCAAAAGCAAGTTAATTACTTCCTAGATGCAATGGGGTTACAGGCATTGGGTAAATACAGCCATTCCAAATGGGAGAAGTTGGCCAAAATAAAGGGGCTACAGGGCCCATGCAAGTCCAAAATCCAGTGAGGCAGTCAAATCTTAAAGCTCCAAATGATCTTCTTTGACTCCAGGTCTCATATCTAGGTCATGCTGATGCAAGAGGTGGGCTCCCACTGCCTTGGGCAGCTCTGCCCCTGTGGCTTTGCAGGGTATAGGCCCCCTCCTGGCTGCTTTCACGGGCTGGTGTTGAGTGTCTGCAGCTTTTCCAGGTGCACGGTGCAAGCTGTCAGTGGATCTACCATTCTGGGGTCTGGAGGATAGTGGCTCTCTTCTCACAGCTCCACTAGGCAGTGCCCCAGTAGGGACTCTGTGTGGGGGCTCTGATCCCACATTTCCCTTCTGCACTGCCCTAGCAGAGGTTCTCCATCCGGGCCCCATCCCTGCAGCAAACTTCTGCCTGGACATCCAGGAGTTTCCATACACCCTTTGAAATCTAGGCAGAGGTTCCCAAACCTCAATTCTTGACTTCTGTGCACTTAAAGGCTCAATATCATGTGGAAGCTGCCAAGGCTGGGGGCTTCCTCCCTCTGAAGCAACAGCCCAAGCTGTACCTTGGCCCCTTTTAGTCATGGCTGGAGCAGCTGGAACACAGCACCAAGTCCCTAGACTGCACACACCACCAGGGCCCTGGGCCTGGCTCACAAAACCATTTTTTCCTCCTAAATCTCTGGGCCTGTGATGGGAGGGGTTGCTGAAAAGACCTCTGACATCTCCTGGAGACATTTTCCCCATTGTCTTGGTGATTAACATTTGACTCCTCGTTACTTATGCAAGTTTCTGCAGCTGGCTTGAATTTCTGCTCAGAAAATGGATTTTTCTTTTCTACTGCATCATCAGGCTACACATTTTCTGAATTTTTATGCTCCGTTTCCCTTTTAAAACTGAATGCCTTTAACAGCACCCAAGTCACCTCTTGAATGCTTTGCTGCTTAGACATTTCTTCTGCCAGATACCCTAAATAATCTCTCTCAAGTTCAAAGTTCCACAAATCTCTAGGGCAGGGGCAAAATGCCACCAGTCTGTTTGCTAAAACATAACAAGAGTCATCTTTGCTCCAGTTCCCAACAAATTCCTTATCTCCATCTGAGACCACCTTATCCTGGATTTCATTGTCCATATCATTATCAGCATTTTGGTCAAAGCCACTCCACAAGTCCCTAGGAAGTTCCAAACTTTCCCACATTTTCCTGTCTTCTTCTGAGCCCTCCAACCTATTCCACCCTCTGTCTGTTACCCAGTTCCAAAGTTGCTTCTACATTTTCAGGTGTCTTTTCAGCAGTGCCACACTCTACTGGTACTAATTTACTGTATTAGTCTATTTTCACACTGCTCATAAAGACATACCAGAATGTGGACAATTTACAAAAGAGGTTTAATGAACTTACAGTTCTACATCACTGGGGAGGCCTCACAATCATGGCAGAAGGCAACAAGGAGCAAGACACATCTTACATGGATGGCAGCAGGCAAAGAGAGAGAGCTTGTACAGGGAAACTTCCCTTTATAAAACCATCAGATCTCATGAGACTTATTCACTATCACAAGAATAGCATAGGAAAGATCCAGCCTATGATTCAATTACCTCCCACTAGGTCCCTCCCACAACACGTGGGAATTGTGGGAGTTACAATTCAAGATGAGATATAGGTGGGGACACAGCCAAACCTTATCACCTGGATAGTTTCTGTTCCCTCCAAGTTGCTGTTTTCTGCTAGCTTCTGTCCTCGTTTTCTGCTGGCTTCTGTCCTCATTTTCTATGGTAGCTTTCCTCCTATACCTGGCAATACTTGACTCATGTCCTTGACTGATTAAGAATTGGGGACTAAAAAGCTAACTAGAAGCTTTGGGCATGTGAATGAGGTCTGTCAAAACTTCTTTATAAGTTTATCTGGATAAGCCATTTTGGGAGAAAGATCTGGTGTTGATATCTTTAGGTATTCCCTTCTGGCCTGGTCATATTTCCAAGAGTCCTCTGATACTCTGACTGGAGGGTGAACATCTGACTGTCATTGTTCTAGAAGCCAGATAAGGGATGAAGCTATGGAGTCTGCACTCAGCATTCAGTTAACTATATGGTCACTCATTCCCCCTGTTTTTGGCAAAGAACCTATGTATTCTCAACTGTTAATTCCCTTCCCCACCAGTCCCTATGCTTTCTGATCTATAATCAAGTTTATATAACAAACCTAAAATTGCTAAAGTACCATATATCTATGGTAGTTTAACTTCTACAGTTTTTTTAAAGTTCATTGGTGGCATAGCGCTGGGTCCTGGAAACACATTTCATGGATTTGGAAACCTGACTTTGAGTTTTCAAGGTCTCCTTGGCTCAAGCAATCCACCCACCTTGGCCTCCCAAAGTGCTGGGATTACAGGCATAAGCTACTGTACCCAGCCTCAAGTACAAATCCTTAAGATAACTTTTGCACAATATTTATGAAAATTGATCATCATATATATCATTCAAAAGAAAGACCTTCAAAAAAGTTAACACCTGCACTTTCTTTAGTAGGAAAATTCAAACTCATTTATAACAATTTCTAATTCGTCCTTACTGACCTTAAACTTCATCAGTTTTACCAAAACTCAGAGAAAATGATACTTTAAATTTTCATTATAATTTTAATAACATCAATTAAAACCACAAAATAACCATTGCATATGTCAATTTAATAAAGCTAGTATGTTATTAACAGCAAGCTAAGCCGCGTGGGATAATTTCTTCATTCTTTTGGTGACAGGTGAGTGTTTCAAAGAATTACCTCTTTCTTTTGGTAATTAAAGCCAATCAATATTTTTGCATTTCTACTATGAAAATGAACTTCTTTTTATGTCTTATTGCTTAATTGAAGGATATAAGTCTTCCCTGCTGATAAAAATGTTTTGCCACTGAAAAACCAGAATTGCAGTATCTCTTTTTCATTTTCTGGTTGAAATTTGTCTTTATATAGCATGAAGCAAGAGTGACATCTGGTGATCAATAAGTTTATCACATACTACTATGCCCTTGGAACCATTTCATTTGTGTTTTAAGGCTTCTATAGAAATAAAAACTTTTAAGTGTGTACTTTTATATTTCATGAACTTCAAAAGTTGCTTTTAGGTAAAACATGTAGAAGATTACAAAAGTAGTAAGAGATGGGCTATATAATGAAAATCAATCAAGGGATATTTTCGATTTCACAAGAACCAAAAATGGCAACTGGATTTATCTTGTTTGATTGGTAGGAAAGATGAAAGCTGCTTTTTATGCTAAAAAAGTATATTGATTCTTCTGAAAATATGGGGATTTTGCAGAAGATTCCTCCCACAATTGTTTTAATCCAACAATAAACAAAGCAAAGTAAAATGACAATATTATCAGCTCTGAACTAAGAGACTGTGTCTAATCTTGTCTAAAAACTCCACAGGTCATCAATAAAGGATAATTCAATTTTGATCAAGGTAAATGTAAATACCAGGGTCAAAAGAGCTTCCTTTCTGGAAAGATCAACGTGTATAGCAAGACACTGAAAAAAAAAAACAAACTTCTTTCAGTCTGAGCATCATAAGAAAACTTGTCACTATAAAAAGAATTTTTAAATTGTCTAGGCATGGTGGTGCACACCTGTGGTCCCACATACTCAGGAGGCTGAGGTGAAAGGATTGCTTGCTTGAGCCCAGAAAGTCAAGGCTGCAGCGAACCATGATTGCGCCATTGCACTCCAGCCTAAACGACAGAGTGAGACCCTGTCTCAAAAAAAAAACAAAAAAAAAACCAGAAAAAAAAACCACAAAAAAAACCCAGCAATTACTTTGATGCTCTCCAGTTTGGAAGTACCACATCTGATGACAGGAGCACACTACGAAAAAAGACATGGAATATATTCTTTGGATCCTTAGCCAACATTCTAAGGCAGGAGCTAGAAGAGATACCAAGCCACAGAGGTTTTCTCCTTGACCCACCACAAAGTGGGAGAGAGATGAGGATAATTCCGGGGGACCACTATCTTGTTCTTCAGTGAGAGTGTCAAGAAAAGGCAGATTAGTTCAGGGATGTAGGAACACATACACATATACACACACAAATGACAAAAAATCTGGTGAATATTCACCAATGTGGTTCACTCATCTTGAAGAGAAGAACAAAACACACTGAAGATAGTATGCCCTCCCATTTGGTTAGGAAATACTACATCACTGGCTCAACTCAGCTAGCCTCTGGTTCAGGGATTTCAGCAGAATTATGAAAGAAAAAGACAACAAAGATAAATTTCCCTTCATACAGTTGCCCATAGGCATAGATTTCTTTTCATTCATCTCATATAGCTTCATAATTGGATAGAGAATACAAACCAACAATGTGTAGTCTTCTAGTTCGAGCTCTCAGTGAAGACTCAGTGCACAGGGAAATAGGAAAAGTCGTAAGAATTCATATATAGTATTTTTGGGCAAATAATAATCCTGCATAAACTATCCTGATTCAAAGTTGAGAATAAAAAAACAAATTTTAATAGAATCTATGCAAAAGTTTAGCAAAAGGAAAAAAGAAAGTGAACACCAGCATCCCAAGAGCATACACTGGAAGAAGTTTACTCCAGAAAATAGAAAAAAAATATACAAAACATGGCTTAATAATGTCAGAGGATAAAATGAAAATAGAATAGATAGAATTAAGTATTTTAGGAGGAAGATACCTCAACTTAATCTGGAGCAAAATTTACCCTACAGAAAAAGTGAACTTATGACATTCAGACATGTTTAGGATTTCCACACAATGCAGAGGAAAAGGACAAAAGGATAAACATAGTGTAGGAGAAAAAAAGATAATAGAAAGATAACAGAAAGCCAAAATATAAATATTTGTTATAAATAGAAGGACAAGCCTGATGGAACAAAAACAATGAAACTTTCATAAAATGGAAGCATACATACCCGAGTCTACAGATCTAAGGGGATCACTGCATTACAGATAAAAATTAATGTAACCAGAATAAGCTACTCCACAAAAATCATCTATATATATGTTTAGTATCCTATTTCTTTCATTTAATTATTGAGTTCCCTAATTGCTTTATTAAAAGGAAGTTCAGTATCTCCCTCTTGATGCTCCATTCTCTCACAGATCTACCGATGAATTCTCATGGTCATTACAATGCCCTAAAATTCAGAAGAAGGATACTCCAGCTTCCACATGTATGCAGGAATAGAATTGCATTATGATCAGCCCATCCTTGTAATTAGTGCAAACCAACAGGTTATTGAAAAGCAGCCCATTAGGCAAATACACAGTAATAACGTGGCAGGCAAGAATCATAAATGGGTGTTAAAATTAGTGGGCAAAATGTAATGAGAAATAAGACAGTCTCAAAGACTCTCCTTCCAAGATATTTATTAATTGAAAATAGAAAAATAGAAAGTGTACATGGAAAAACCCTGCAGACACCATGTTAATCAGGTGATGAAAGGTAATGTCGTCCCTGGTAATATGATACACTAACATCATGTACCTCCTGATATGATTCACTGAAAACAGCACAAATTCATTTCTGTGGTTTTTGGCCAAAAATGCATAACTCCAAAGTAATCATACATAATGAAATACTGGACTAATCCACGCTGAGGGACATTGTTAAAAAAAACAAAAACACTGACCTATAAGAACTCTTCAAAAGTGTCAAAGTCATGAAAGACAAAGGAAGACTGAGGAAATGTCACAGATGAAGGAAACTTGACAACTAATTGCAATATGTATCCTAGACTAGAAAAAGAACACTGGTGAGAAAATGACAAAATTATAATAGGATTGCAGTTTAGTTGATATTGTTCCAATGTTAATTCCCTGGTTTTGATAATTTTATTATTATTATGTATATAACATCACTGAGACCCAGTTGCCCACAGTAGTTACAGACTCTATAATGTATTCTTTTTTGACTTTCTAGCTTGCCTGTCTCACTTTTACCATTTATTCACTTGTACCTATATATTATGCAGGATGTTGTTAACATTAGTGGAAGCTGTGTAAACAGTATATGGAAATTTTCTGAACTATTTTTGCAACTTTTCTGTAAGTCTAAAATTATCTCAGAATAAAAGGGCTGCAGCTCATGCTTGTCATCCCTGCACTTTGGGAGACTGAAACAGCAGGATCACCTGAGGCCAGGAATTCAAGACCAGCCTGGGCAACATAGCAAGACCTCATATCTACAAAAAAAAATTTTTTTAATTAGCAAGGCTACTTGGGAGGCTGATGTAGGAGGATCACTTGAGCCCAGGTTTTGGAGACTGCAGTGAGCTATGATTGTACCACTGCACTCCAGTGCCTGGACAACACAGCAAGACCCGGTTTCTAAAAAAATTATAATAAATTAAAATTTAAAATTAATTTAAAATAAAAGGGTTTTTAAAATTAATGCAATTCATTAGTCTTGAAACAGATCCCTGACCAGGGCACATTGTCTTTTGAATGGGAATGATCCATTCCCTCAATGCTAACCAGCTAAGTTTCTTTTACCCTTGGGCTCCTTGGAGAGAAGCTTTTTGTGCTAGCCCCTTTCATTTCTCATACACAGACACATCCCAGGGTTTCTGTTAAGCCAGGAGTGCTGGGATGGGATTGGTTTCTGGTTTAGGCCTTTCTCACAACATCAAAACCATGTCTGCCTTTTCCCCGCAGAGAATAATCCAAAAGGCAAGCAGCATTTTTTCTTTTTAATTATTATTATTATTTTTTTGAGACAGAGTCTCACTATGTTGTCCAGGCTGTCCTTGAACTCCTGGGCTCAAGCAATCTTCCTGTCTCAGCCACCAGAATAGCTGGAACAAAATTTTAATAGGATTGCAGTTTAGTTGATATTGTTCCAACGTGCACCACCACATGGCCAGCTATTTGTGATTCTTAAAATATAAAGGATCTGATGATTTCCCTTTCTCTGAGTTATTCTCCCATTACTTCAGTCATCCTAGATGTACTAGACATGGCTGCTTTCCTAGCCCATATCCCCTCAATCCAGTGAGTTCACTTGCACTTACTGTAGACAGCTTCTAGCATGCTGAGGTTTTGTATTAACTTTGTATCCTGCAACCCTGCTATAATTGCTTATTAGTTCCTGGAGCTTTTTGTCAATTCTTTCAGGTTTTCTACATTGACAATCATATCATCTGCTAGGCCTTTTATTTTAATTCATATTACACATTCTATATACTCTTCTTTATGTCCTTATTTTATTTTACCAATAATTTATAAAAAGAAAATACAGGGGTGAAATTACAAAATTTGTTTCTCCAGTCAATTTCTTCACAAAATAGAGTACATAGTCAAACCTTTATTTTATTTTATTTTATTTTATTTTATTTTATTTTATTTTATTTTATTTTTTGAGACAGAGTCTCGCTCTGTCACCACGCTGGAGTGCAGTGGCACAATCTTGGGTCACTGAAACCTCCGCCTCCCAGGTTCAACGGATTCTCCTGCCTCACTCTCCCGAGTAACTGGGACCAAAGGTGCATGCCACCATGCCCAGCTAATTTTTGTATTTTTAGTAGAGAAGGGGTTTCACCATGTTGGCCAGGATGGTCTCAATCTCTTGACATCATGATCCACCTGCCTCGACCTCCCTCCTCAGCCTCCCAAAGTGCTGGGATTACAGGTGTGAGCCACTGTGCCCGGCCAAACCTTTTGTTTTATAATTGACGAAACCCTGCTTTGTTTCTCCTGAGAATAATCATCTTTAACTGATAATTGATTAGAAATTTTGTTTCTCTAGTGGCCTGTTCTCAAGGAGCTTCCATCTGGGGCAGGAATTTAGTTGCAGGTATAAACAGAAAAGTGAACATGATATCCCTTCAGGAAGGCTTGCTGATCACGCCTGGTCACCATACTCTAGGGTTTTCCCTCACCTTGCCAGGTGTAACCTGACTCTTGCTAACTAACTCTCTAGCTGCTATGATGTGTCCAACAAAGCCAGTTGGAGCTATATGCAGACCAGGTCATGTTCAAAATGTCTGGGACAACTTGGCACAATACTAGGGGCCATAAAGGAAAACTTCACAGAGTTTCCCCAAAGCCCCTCTGTGGGGATGACCTCAGCTGCTGCCAACATTGAATCTGCCAGGAGAGCCAACAAAGTCTACTGCTGTACATGATTATGTCAGTTTAACCCTACATTGGAGTCTGGCTGGTGTTCTCTGCTGTCTAGCAACCACAAGTGAAAATGTAGGCCCCCAAACTCCCTGAAAGACCTCAGGACAATGGTTTGGTTCCTGGTTAGAGATGGTCAAAAGAGAAATATGAGAGGGATTTGGAAAGTTGTGAACTTAGAATCAACAGTCAAGAAGAGGGAATAGCTATTCCTAGATGTTGACACCAGCTCCGTAGGATCCCACTCTAGCAGCTGGATGTGCCTGGCTTCCCCCAAGGTCTGACTTGTCCATATGTGTCAGTGCTTTAGAGCAAATGGTCTTTTCATAATCCTCCAACTCCTTTATTTTCCCCAGAACTTTACTGCCTAGCACTTCTCCCAATTGCGTACTGTCCAATTCCTAAAATAAATCCTTATTCTATATGTTCATAGTTGTTCTGTTTTCCTGAATGAGCTTCATGGAAACACCTTCTCTGCAATAATCCATGACAGCAAAATGGGTGCTATGTACCCACTTGTTTCCCTGCATAACTCAGCTCCAAATAAATATTGCAGGAGTCTATATCTGATTAGCGGAATTTAATTCATGTTGGCATTCATGCAAATGAGGAAATCAGAAGTGTGTGGGTTTTGTTTTGCTTTTAAGTATTAAAATATGGAGATGGTATCTGTATCAGTCCTGTTTGGAATAGATGACACCCTTAAACTGGGTAATTTGAGGCTAGTTTAAGGTGTGGGTAGGGTTTGGGAAAGTAACAAGGGATCATTTCCTATACCAGGGATAGTAACCATAGAGATTGGTTATAATCTCTAGGCCTGAGGGGTAAATCCAGGAGATAGATAACATAGACAGTAGATGGGGCCTTCCACAGAGGGACACAGCTAATCCACTGTGACCAGTCAGAGGTAAATATATTGACCATTTTCTCTTCCTGCCTTTTGGACCACCTCTGGTGTCTTCTATGGCTATGCACTCTCCTACTTCAGGGCCTTTGCCCATGCTATGGTCCTCACCCCTCAGTGTAGTTAATTCCTGACTACACTTCTGATATCACATCAACTATTACTTGGATCCGTAATACTTTTTATGGTAGTTGGATGCAGTGGCTCACACCTGTAATCCTAGCGCTTTGGGAGGCTGAGGTGGGTGGATTGCTTGAGCCCAGGACTTTGAGAACAGCCTGCGCAACATGGCAAAACCCCATCTCGGCAAAAAAATACAAAAATTAGCTGGGCATGGTGGTGCATGCCTGTAGTCCCAACTACTCGGGAAGCTGAGGTAGGAGGATCACCTGAGCCCAGGGAGTTCAAGGCTGCAGTGAGCTGTGATTGTAACACAGCACTCCAGCCTGGGTGACAGAGTGAGACCCTGTCTCAAAAAAAGTAATAATTTGTAAATAATATTAAAAATAATGTTTCTTTCTGCCACAAAAAGACTTTGCAGCATAACCTTCGAAATAAATGTTGAAGACACTTCAGACACTGTGAAATTATTTACAATAGTAATTTTTAATTTTAAAATTCTACTTCATCATACAACAATGTTTATAAGATACAAGTGAATAAAAAATACATAAAAATAAAATAAAATGCAAGCTGAAATATTTTACTATTCAACAGTAAATTTTTTTGTTAAAATGAGTTTCTTTTTCTTTCTTTATTATACTTTAAGTTCTGGGGTACATGTGCAGAACATGCAGTTTTGTTATATAGGTATACATGTGCCATGGTGGTTTGCTGCACCCATCAACCCATCATCTACATTAGGTATTTCTCCTAATGTTATACCTCCCTTGATCCCCCACCTCCCGACAGGCCCTGGTGTGTGATGTTCACCTCCCTGTGTCCATGTGTTCTCATTGATCAACTCCTACTTATGAGTGAGAACATGCGGTGTTTGGTTTTCTTGTGATAGTTTGCTGAGAATGATGGTTTCCAGCTTCATCCATGTCCCTGCAAAAGACAGGAACTCATCCTTTTTTATGGCTGCATAGTATTCCATGGTGTATATGTGCCATATTTTCTTTATCCAGTCTATTGTCGATGGACATTTGGATTGGTTCCAAGTCTTTACTATTGTGAATAGTGCTGCAATAAACATACATGTGAATGTGTCTTTATAGTAGAATGATTTATAATCCTTTGGGTATATACCCAGTAATGGGATTGCTGGTTCAAACGGTATTTCTAGTTCTAGATCTGTGAGGAATCGCCATATTGTCTTCCACAATGGATGGACTAATTTACCCTCCCACCAACAGTGTAAAAGTGTTTCTATTTCACCACATCCTCTCCAGCATCTGTTGTTTCCTGACTTTTTAATGATAGCCATTCTAACTGGTGTGAGAAGGTATCTCATTGTGGTTTTGATTTGCATTTCTCTAATGACCAGTGATGATGAGCATTTTCTCCTATGTCTGTTGGCTGCATAAATGTCTTCTTTTGAGAAGTGTCTGTTCATATCCTTTGCCCATTTTTTGACGGGTTTTTTTTTTCTTGTAAATTTGTTTAAGTTCTTTGTAGATTCTGGATATTAGCCTTTTGTCAGATGGATAGATTGCAACAATTTTCTCCCATTCTGTAGGTTGCTTGTTCACTCTGATGATAGTTTCTTTTGCTGAGCAGAAGCTCTTTAGTTTAATTAGATCCCATTTGTCAATTTTGGCTTTTGTTGCCATTGCTTTTGGTGTTTTAGACCTGAAATCTTTGTCCATAACTATGTCCTGAATGGTATTGCACAAATTTTCTTCTAGGATTTTTACGGTCGTACATCTTACATTTAAATCTTTGATCCATCTTGAGTTGATTTTTGTATAAGGTGTGAGGAAGGGGTCCAGTCTCAGCTTTCTGTATATGGCTGGCCAGTTTTCCCAACACCATTTATTAAGTAGGGAATCTTTTCCCCATTGCTTGCTTTTGTCAGGTTTGTCAAAGATCAGATGGTTGTAGATGTGTGGTGTTATTTCTGAGGTCTCTGTTCTGTTCCATTGGTCTATATATCTGTTTTGGTACCAGTACCATGCTCTTTTGGTTACTGTAGGCTTGTAGTATTGTTTGAAGTCAGGTAGCATGATGCCTCCATCTTTGTTCTTCTTGCCCAGGATTGTCTTGGCTATGCACGCTCTTTTTTGGTTCCATATGAAGTTTAAAGTAGTTTTTTTTTCCAATTTTGTGAAGAAAGTCAGTGGTAGCTTGATGGTGATAGCACTGAATCTATAAATTACTTTGGTAGTATGGCTATTTTCACAATATTGATTCTTCATATCCATAAGCATGGAATGTTTTTCCATTTCTTTGTGTTCTCTTTTATTTCCTTGAGCAATGGCTTTTAGTTCTCCTTGAAGAGGTCCTTCACATCCCTTGTAAGTTGTATTCATAGGTATTTTATTCTCTTAGTAGCAATTGTGAATGGGAGTTCACTCATGATTTGTCTCTCTTTGTCTGTTATTGGTGTATAGGAATGCTTGTGATTTTTGCACATTGATTTTGTATCCTGAAACATTGCTAAAGTTGCTTATCAGCATAAGGAGATTGTGGACTGACACCATGGGGCTTTCTAAATATACAGTCATGTCATCTGCAGATAGACACAATTTGACTTTCTCTCTTACTATTTGAATACCCTTTATTTCTTTCTCTTGCCTGATTGCCCTGGCCAGAACTTCCTATACTAAGTTGAATAGCAGTAGTGATGAGAGGTGACAGCGTGCTGGCAGCCCTCACAGCCCTTGCTCACTCTCGGTGCCTCCTCGGCCTTGGCACCCATTCTGGCCATGCTTGAGGAGCCCTTCAGCCCACCGCTGCACTGTGGGAGCCCTTCTCTGGGCTGGCTGAGGGTGGAGCTGGCTCCCTCGGCTTGTGGGGAGGTGTGGAGGGAGAGGCGTGGGCGGGAACCGGGGCTGCGCATGGCCCTTGCAGGCCAGCATGAGTTCTGGGTGGGCGTGGGCTTGGCGGGCCCTGCACTCAGAGTGGCCAGCCGGCCCGCAAGCCCCGGGCAGTGAAGGGCTTAGCACCTGGGCCAGCAGCTGCTGTGCTCAATTTCTCGCCGGGCCTTAGCTGCCTCCCTGCAGGGCAGGGCTCGGGACCTGCAGCCCGCCATGCCTGAGCCTCCCCTTGCCCCACTGTGGGCTCCTGCATGGCCCGAGCCTCCCCAGTGACGCTGCCCCCCGCTCCACAGCGCCCAGTCCCATCAACCACCCAAGGGCTGAGAAGTGCGGGTGCACAGTGCGGGACTGGCAGGCAGCTCCACCTGTGGCCCCGGTATGGGATCCACTGGGTGAAGCCACCTGGGCTCCTGAGTCTGGCGGGGACTTGGAGAACCTTTATGTCTAGCTAAGGGATTGTAAATACACCAATTGGCACTCTGTATCTAGCTCAAGGTTTGTAAACACACCAATCAGCACCCTGTGTCTAGCTCAGGGTTTGTGAATGCACCAGTTGACACTCTGTATCTAGCTACTCTGGTGGTGACTTGGAGAACCTTTGTGTCAACACTCTGTAACTAGCTAATCTAGTGGGGATGTATAGAACTTCTGTGTCTAGCTCAGGGATTGTAAATGCACCAATCAGTACCCTGTCAAAACGGACCAATCAGCTCTCTGTGAAACAGACCAATCGGCTCTCTGTAAAATAGACCAATCAGCAGGATGTGGGTTGGGCCAGATAAGAGAATAAAAGCAGGCTGCCCGAGCCAGCAGTGGCAACCCGCTTGGGTCCCCTTCCACAGTGTGGAAGCTTTGTTCTTTTGGTCTTTGCAATAAATCTTGCTACTGCTCACTCTTTGGGTCCACACTGCCTTTATGAGCTGTAACACTCACGTGAAGGTCTGCAGTTTCACTCCTGAAGCCAGCGAGACCACGAACCCACCAGAAGGAAGAAACTCTGAACACATCCGAACATCAGAAGGAACAAACTCCAGGCACACCACCCTTAAGAATTGTATGTAACACTCACCGTGAGGGTCCACGGCTTCATTCTTGAAGTCAGTGAGACCAAGAACCCACCAATTCCAGACACAGTGAGAGAGAGCAACCTTGTCTCGTGCTGGTTTTCAAAGAGAATGCTTACAGTTTTTGCTCATTCAGAATGATATTGGCTATGGGTTTGTCATAAATAGCTCTTACTATTTTCAAATACATTCCATCAATACCTAGTTCATTGAGAATTTTTAGCATGAAGGGCTGTTGAATTTTGTCAAAGGCCTTTTCTGCATCTATTGAGATAATCATGTGGTTTTTGTCATTGGTTCTGTTTATGTGATGGATTACATTTATTGATTTGCGTATGTTGAACCAGCCTTGCATCCCAGGGATGAAGCCTACTTCATTGTGGTGGTTAAGCTTTTTGATGTGCTGCTGGATTCAGTTTCCTGATATTTTATGGAGGATTTTCTCATCAATGTTCCTCAGGGATATTGGCCTGATTTGTTGTTGTTGTTGTATCTGTACCAGGTGTTGGTATCAGGATAATGCTGGCCTCATAAAATGAGTTAGGGAGCATTCTCTCTTTATCTATTGTTTGGAATAATTTCAGAAGGAATGGTACCAGCTCCTCTTTGTACCTCTGGTAGAATTCAACTGTGAATCCGTCTGGTCCTTGAATTTTTTTCGTTGGTAGGCTATTAATTACTGCCTCAATTTCAGAACTTGTTATTGGTTTATTTAGGGATTCGACTTCTTCCTGGTTTAGATTTGGGAGGGTGTATGTGTCCAGGAATTTATCCATTTCTTCTAGATTTTCTAGTTTATTTGTGCAGAGGTGTTTATAGTATGCTCTGATGGTAGTTTCTATTTCTATGGGATCAGTGGTATTATTCACTATATTATTTTTTATTGCATCTATTTGATTCTTCTCTCTCTTCTTTATTAGCCTGGCAAGTGGTTGATCTATTTTGTTGATCTTTAAAAAAAAAAACCAGCTCCTGGATTCATTGATATTTTGAAGGGTTTTTCATGTCTCTATTTCCTTCACTTCTGCTCTGATCTTAGTTATTTCTTGTCTTCTGCTAGCTTTTGAATTTGTTTGCTGTTGCTTCTCTAGTTCTTTCAATTTTAATGTTAGGGTGCCAATTTTAGATCCTTCCTGCTTTCTCTTGTGGGCATTTACTGCTATAATTTTCCCTCTACATGCTGTTTTAAACGTGTCAGAGATTCTGGTATGTTGTGTCTTTGTTCTCATTGGTTTCAAAGAACATCTTTATTTCTGCCTTCGCCCAGTAGTCATTCAGGCACAGGTTGTTCAGTTTCCATGTAGTTGTGTGGTTTTGAGTGAATTTCTTAATCCTGAGTTCTAATTTGATTGCACTGTGGTCTGAGAGACTGTTTGTTGTGATTTCCGTTCTTTTGCATTTGCTGAGTGTTTTACTTCCAATTATGTGGTCAATTTTAGAATAAGTGTGATGAGGTGCTGAGAAAAAATATATATTCGGTTGATCTGGCATGGGGAGTTCTGTAGATGTCCATTACATCCACTTGGTCCAGAGCTGAGTTCAAGTCCTGAATATCCTTGTTAATTTTCTGTCTTGTTGATCTGTCTAATATTGATAGTGTGATGTTAAAGTCTCCCACTATTATTATATGCGAGTCTCAGTCTCTTTGTGGGTTTCTAAGAACTTGCTTTGTGAATCTGGGTTCTCCTGTATTGGGTGCATATATACTTAGGATTGTTAGCTCTTTTTGTTGCATTGATCCCTTTACCATTATGCAATGTCCTTCTTTGTCTCTTTTGATCTTTTTGTTTTAAAGTCTGTTTTATCAGAGATTAGGATTGCAACTCCTGCTTTTTTTTTGCTTTCCATTTGCTTGGTAAATATTCCTCCATCCCTTTATTTTGAGCCTATGTGTGTCTGTGCACATGAGATGGGTCTCCTGAATACAGCATACTGATGGGTCTTGACTCTTTATCCAATTTGCCAGTCTCTCTCTTTTAATTGGGGCATCTAGCCCATTTACATTTAAGGTTAATATTGTTATGTGTGAATTTGATCCTGTCATTATGATGCTAGCTGGTTGTTTTGCCCATTATTTGATGCAGTTTCTTCATAGTGTCAATGTTCTTTACAATTTGGTATATTTTTGCAGTGGCTGGTACTGGTTGTTCCTTTCCAAGTTTAGTGCTTCTTTCAGGAGCTCTCATAAGGCAGGCCTGGTTGTGATAAAATCTCTCAGCATTTGCTTGTTTGTAAAGGATTTTATTTCTAGTTCACTTATGAATCTTAGTTTGGCTGGATATGAAATTCTGGGTTGAAAATTCTTTTCTTAAAGAATGCTGAATATTGGCGCCCACTCTCTTCTGGCTTGCAGGGTTTCTTCTGAGAAATCTGCTGTTAGTCTGATGGGCTTCCCTTTGTGGGTAACCCAACCTTTCTCTCTGGCTGCCCTTAACATTTTTTCCTTCATTTCAACCTTGGTGAATCTGATGATTATGTGTCTTGGGATTGCTCTTCTTGAGGAGTATCTTTATGGTGTTCTCTGTATTTCCTGAATTTGAATGTTGGCCTGTCTGGCTAGTTTGGGGAAGTTCTCCTGGATAATATCCTGAAGCTTGTTTTCCAACTTGGTTCCATTCTCCTCTTCACTTTCAGGTACACCAATCAAACGTAGATTTGGTCTTTTCATATAGTCCCATATTTCTTGGAGGCTTTGTTCATTCCTTTTTATTCTTTTTTCTCTAATCTTCTCTCTTTCTTTCATTAAGTTGATCTTCAATCACTGATATCCTTTCTTCATCTTGATCAATTTGGCTATTTATACTTGTGTATGCTTCACAAAGTTCCTGTGCTGTGTTTTTTAGCTCCATCAGGTCATGTATGTTCTTCTCTACACTGGTTATTCTAGTTAGCAATTCATCTAACCTTTTTTTCAAGGTTCTCAGCTTCCTTGCATTGGGTTAGAACATGCTCCTATAGCTCGGATGAGTTTGTTATTACCCCCCTTCTGAAGCCTACTTCTGTCAACTTGTCAAACTCATTCTCCATCCAGTTTTGTTCCCTTGTTGGCGAGGAGTTGTGATCCTTTGGAGGAGAAGAGGTGTTCTGGTTTTTGGTGTTTTCAGCCTTTTTGCACTGGTTTCTCCCCATCTTTGTGGATTCATCTACCTTTTGTCTTTGACGCTGGTGACCTTCGGATGGGGTCTTTGAGTGTATGTGCTATTCCTTTCTGTTTGTTAGTTTTCCTTCTAACAGCCAGGACCCTCTGCTGCCGGTCTGCTGGAGTTTGCTGGAGGTCCACTCCCGACCCTGTTTGCCTGGGTATCACCAGCGGAGGCTGCAGAAGGGCAAAGATTACTGCCTGTTCTTTCCTCTGGAAGCTTTGTCCCAGACGAGCACCTGCCAGATGCCAACCAGAGCTCTCCTGTACAAAGTGTCTGTCAGCCTCTAGTGGGAGGTGTCTCCCAGTCAGGATACACGGGGGTCAGGGACCCAGATGAGGAGGCAGTCTGACCCTTAGCAGAACTTGAACACTGTGCTGGGAGGTCTGCTGCTCTCTTCCGAGCCATCAGGCAGGGATGTTTAAGTCTGCTATAAATCCCAGACTGGGGCTGCTACCTTTTTTTCAGAGATGCCCTGCCCAGAGAGGAGGAATCTAGCAGTCTGGCTACAGCAGCCTGGCTGAGCTGCAGTGGGTGCAACCCAGTTCAAACTTCTGAGCAGCTCTGTTTACACTGTGAGCATAAAACCACCTACTCAAGCCTCAGCAATGGCTGATGCCCCTCCCCCCCACCAAGCTTGAGCATCTCAGGTTGACCTCAGACTGCTGCTGTGCTGGCAGCAAGAATTTCAAGCCAGTGGATTTTAGTTTCCTGGGCTCTGTGGAGGTGGGACCCACCAAGCCAGACCTCTTGGCTCCCTGGCTTCAGCACCCCTTTCCAGGGGAGTGAATGGTTTTGTCTCGCTGGCATTCCAGGCACCACTGGGGTATGGAAAAAAATATAACTCCTGCAGGTAGTTTGGTGTCTGCCCAAATGGCCGCCCAGTTTTTTTCTTGAAACCCAGGGCCCTAGTGGGGTAGGCACCGCAGGGAATCTCCTGGTTTGCAGATTGCAAAGATCTTGGGACAAGCACAGTATCTGTGCCAGAGTTCCTCAGGCTCAGTCACTCACGGCTTCCCTTGGGTAGGAGAGCAAATTCCCAAACCCCTTGTGCTAGCCGGGTGAGGTGACTACCCACTCAGCTTCAGCTCGCTCTCCATGGGCTGCACCCACTGTCCAACCAGTCCCAGTGAGATGAACTGGGTACCTTAGTTGGAAATGCAGAAATCATTCGCTTTCTGAATCGATCTCGCTGGAAGCTGCAGACTGGAGCTGTTCCTATTCAGCCATCTTGCCAGCAATCTCTCTTTTTTATTGACACATGGTCTTGCTTTGTCATCCAGGCTGGAGTGCAGTGGCACAATTACAGCTCACTGCAGCCTCAAGCTCTGGGGCTCAAGCAATTATCCCAACTCCGCCTCCTGAGTAGCTGGGACTGTAGGCATGCGCTACCATGTTGGACTTTTTTGTTGTTTTTTTTGTAAATAGAGGATGTCACTATGTTGCACAGGCTGGTCTCTAACTCCTGGCCTCAAACAATATTCCCACCTCAGCCTCCCAAGTTCTAGGATAATAGATGTGAGCCACTGTGCCCAGTTTAAAAGTTTCTTAATGCATGTCCTCAATTCTGTACTCAGTGAATTTCTACCCTGGCTACACACATGAGGGTAAATGTCAGCAGGGGATATTTTAAAATATACTACTAGATTCCTACCCCAGATCAATTACATCAAAATCTCTGGCCTGGAGTGAGTGTGTGTGTGTGCGTGTGTGTGCATTTTAAATTCCTTCATATGAGATCATAGTTGAAAATCAATTACCTACACTGATGAGTTAGCTAAATAAGAGAAATTGATTCTTCTTTTCCTCTAGTTACTTAGTCACAAAGCCCTAAAATTGATTTTTTAATACTAAATTAATGCATTTACAAAATCTTTACATTGAAAAAAACTCTTTTCTTGAGGCATTTAGATTTCAATACCACAGTACATTTAGAAAACCTGTAATTTTGATAGAGTAATTTATTTAATACTTCTTTTTCTTTCTCCAACATTTCTTTTTTACCCTCTGAAGTATTTTATCTTAATTATTGAAGGTACTTGGAAATGGTTTAGAAAATCTTGCATGAAGACCTTTCTTTCTCTCTACTTATTTACTGTAACTTCTCTGAACTTTTTTCTCGTGTTGTACCAGCTCTGAGGCCTGTTGCCCTTTCAGTAGCTTAGTTTAAAAGGTCAATGATGGGGCTCAGAACATCCTACCCCAAAATATGATGCCTTGGTATGATGTATATTTTAAACTGAAAGAATTTGAGAAAACTAAAGGATCACGAAAGTCTCTCTGACCTTTTCCCACCGCTCTCCCCTAAAGCACGTCATAAAACCTAGGAAGGATTTTCTGACCTTTTCCTGAAGCAGGTCATAAGACCCTCATGTGAGTGATGTCCTCCTATACCTGGAAGAAAGGAGCATCCAGGAGCCAATCATTATCTGGAATGACACAATCCTTAATGCCATAATCCCAAATGCTGAAATCCTAAGTGATTATAATCCTGAAAATATAAGTGTGGAAAAAATCATTTAAAAATTTCTTTAAGAGATATTTATTTACATTTTTAAAGGGAATTTATTTGAAAAATATATAAAAATGTAACAGAACCCTTCATAGGCCACTTGACACATTAAAATAGCCAATAATAATATACATATTTTTGTAAGCATAAACATTGAGGTACATTAACCACAGTTGCACAGGTATAACAGTTATGGGTAGATGAACCATATTCATAAAGAAATAGGTCAAAAAGGGAACTGTACAAACACATATTACTATGGTTGCTAGTTGTGTGCAAACTGCTTTGTAACTCCAGTTATTTGAAATACCATGACCAACAACCTAAGTCTTTTGACAAGATTGATCAAAAACTGTGATGGGGCCAGGTGCAGTTGCTCACACCTGTAGTCCTAACACTGGGAGTCTGAGGCAGCAGGATCCCTTGAGGCCAGGAGTTCAAGATCAGCATAGGCAACATAGTGAGACCCTGTATCTATGAAAAATTTAAAAATTAGCTGGGCATGGTAGCGCATTCCTGTAGTCCTAACCACTGGGGAGGCTGAAGTGCAAGGATCCCTTGAGCCCAGCAGTTCAAGGCTTTAGTGAGCTGTGATCTAGCCACTGCACTCCTGCTCTTCAGCCTGGGCAACAGAGTGAGACCACATTGCTAAAAAACAACAATGAACAAACAAAAAAACTACAATGGGTGACCAACACATATGCAGTTGCCCCAAAAGCCAACATCTCCAGAAATTTTATCTTTCACAAATGCATGTGTACAAAACAACATCTCTTCATTTATTAAGGAAGTTTCAACATTTTTATGTATATACAAGGTGCTTTCACACAAAGTGTTGTGATAATACACTTTCATGCAGTCAAATTTGTGAAAAAAAAAATGCATAAAACGAATGAGAACTCTCCAAAAGTCTCTACATACTTGATACCTCCAGTATTGGAAATGATGTTAAGATGATATACATAGCATAGCAAATTTCTTTGCTAGGTTTCCAGGTATTCCTTAATTCAGTCAAGTTGACGCCTAAAATTAAGTCCACAAGTCCACCTCTTCTCAACTTGGCACCCATATTCATCTCCTAAAACCGTACTTAATTTCAAAGACAATAAAAAGGTAATAGCTCTGCCTAACATGATGCAACTATCCTGTGATTGTGATTTTGGGGATTTTGGATGTCAGAGATTTTAAACTTCTGGGATTTTAACATTCAGAATTATGGTGTTCAGGATTGTGTCTTCCAAGATTATGATCCAAACCTGGAGCCCCCTTATCTCCAGAGACACAAAGATGCCAAGAAGAATTTAAACAAAGAGGCCTTGCTAAGTTTTCCGCAGTTTATTACCATTAGATTACACCCGTTTTGTCTCATCATATTTAACTTCATGAAATCTACTATAAAGAAACATTCAGGCCTGGCATGGTGGCTCATGCCTGTAATCCAAATGCTTTGCAGGGCTCAACGTGGGAGAATCACTTGAGGCAAGGAGTTGGAGGCCAGCCCAGGCAACATACCAAGACCTCATCTCTTCAAAAAAAATTTTAAATCAGCTGGGAGTGGTGGTACATGCCTGTAGCCCCAGCTACTTGGGAGGCTGAGACAGGAGAATCTCTGGAGCCAAGGATTTTGAGGCTGCAGTGAACTGTGATCACACCATTGCACTCCAGCCTGGGAGAAAGAGAGAGATTAAAAAAAAAAAAAAAGAGAGAGAAAGAGATTTAACTGTCTTTTTGGGTCTTCATTTCTTCATAAAGGCTCTCTTGTCACGTAAAACTTACTAAGTGAATTTGTATGCTTTCCTTCTACTAATGTCTCTTCATCAGTTTGTTTTTTTTAATTGTATTTTAAGTTTAATATGTTTAATATATTTATTAATATATTATATATAACATATAATGTTTTAAGTTTAATATATTTTATTATATTTTAAGCAGAATGTGCAGGTTTGTTACATAGGTATACACGTGACACAGTGGTTTGCTGCACCCATCAACCTGTGACCTACATTAGGTTCAGTTTGATTTTTAGACCTAGCCAGGGCACCTAAAATTGCTAAGCAAAACCTTTCCTCTTCTACGTCAGATTGATGTAATCCATATCCTCAAACATCTTAGGAAATTTTTACATAAATTTACTCTTTATTTCCACTAAAATTATTCTCTTTGTGTTGTCTTTCATTATTTTATTTATTTACCTGTAGTTTTTCTGGCTTTGTTTTTAAGATGTTTCATGGAGCTTCTCTAATCTCCCCAGGAGTATTTTTATTTCCTCCTACTCTTAAAGACCCAAGACACTATGCTTTGAAGTAAGTTCTACCATTTTATTCATTTTAGCTTTGCAGATCTTAAAGAGTCTTTGTGAAGAGTTTAGGGGTTCTGGAAAATTATTTAGGAGAATTTTAAGAAGAAATTATTCTTTCATTTGCCAGTTTTATAGTCTTAATTACCTTAGTTGGTTTTTTTTAAAATGAGAGGCTTCAAAGTAATTTGATTTTTCTTTTACTTCCTATTTTCTTTCTTGGCAGACTGACTGTAAAAATAGAAGCTGAAAATTTCAGATGAGGCTCTGAGGAATTCTTTAAGCTGCCCTTGAATCTACTTCTTTCTCTTCTATCTAATAGAGGTTTTCTTCCCACTCTGGGGTAGAAAGAGTTTTTAATGAAGTTTTCTCCCTCTCCTAGTAGCCTAGTTTTAAAATGAAGGGTGGGTTTCTTAAACATGAAAATTTTCCTGAGCACACTTCTTCTTCTTCACCTTTAATAGATGCTGGCTTCTTGTAAAAAATCTGCTTTAGCATCTTAAAGGCACTGGGGAATTAATTATTGAGGAAGTTCTGCATGGAGCTATAGTCTTCTTTTCCACTTCAAGTACCCTGTTCTTTCTGCAAGCCTGAGATGGTGTTCTCTGATGAGGAACAACATCATGTAATGAGAAGTGTTGACTGAACCTAGCTCTGCCTTGTGGTTGTGAAATTGAAGTGAGATGAAAGAACATGGGTTTTAGAGTCAGAATACAGAGTTTGAGTTTTCTATCACAATCACTTGTTAACTGCATATTTATAATAGATTCACTTAGTCTCTTTCCGCCTCATTTCCTTCATCTGTTGCTGAGGGAATCATATCTATTCCCACAGAGTTGTTGGGAGAATTAAATTTTATGATGATAGGGTTCAGGCTGAATATTTTTGGCTGAAGGAATTTGAGAAAACATCAGAAACAGGAAGGTCACTCTCACCTTCCCCTTGCCCTTCTCCCCTGAATCAGGTCATAAAACCTCCTTTGGGAGGTCTGACCTCCCAAAGACCCTCATGTGAGAGGTGTATTCCCTTGACCTGGAGGAAAGGATCATCCTTGTCTCTGAAGACAAAGAGATATAAAAAGTAATCTGAAAAAAAAAAAAAAAGGCCTTGCTAAGTTTCCCCCAGTGTACGACATAAGATTCACTCTCTTTACCCAGCATATTTCTCCATGACTCACCATTCTTCATTGAAACTACAATTTTAAAAACTCCGGTTTAACTGTTCCTTTTGGTCATTTCCTTACAAAGGCTCCCATGTCACATTTAATTTGTATTAAATAAAGTTGTATGCTTTTTTCTTGTTGCTTTGTCAGTTTTCCTTTCAGACCCAGCCAGGGACACATGCAGCTCCCTCAAGCTTTACTTTTGCATTCAAAAATGTTGGTTAATTTGGACAATTTGTGTTAAGCTACTTCCTCTTCATCTCCTTTCTTGCCCAATCTTAAAGGAATGAGGAAAGAAGTAGATTTAGTAAATAGCACTAGGGCTGTTCTTTGGAAAAATTGTAAAGTAGGTACTTGTGTTTAGGTTCTTCAGTGACTTTCTGTGCTGTCCCCCAAATTTCCCCATGCTTCCTGCCTCTCCCGGTTTCTTGCTCCCTCTCCAGGAACCAAGTGCCACACTTAGCTTTCTTTTTCAATTTTTAGATTCAGGAGGTACGTGTGCAGGTTTGTTACCTGGGTATATTGCATGATGCTGAGGTTCGGGGTATGACTGATTCCTTCACCCAGGTACTGAGCATAGTACCCAACAGTTAGTTTTTCAACCCTTGTGTCTCCTCCCTCCCTCTTGTAGTCCCCTGTGTCTGTTGTTCCATCTTTATATCCATGAGTACCTGATGTTTAGCACCTACTTTCAAGTTAGAATATGTGATATTTGGTTTTCTGTTTCTGTATTAACTTGCTTAGGATAATGGCCTCCAGCTGCATCCATGTTGCTGCAAAGGATATGATTTCATTCTTTTTATGACTGCATGCATTCCATGGTGAGTAGTACCACATTTTCTTTATCCAGTTCACCATTGATGGGCACCTAGGTTGATTCCATGTCTTTGCTATTGTGAATTGTGCTGCAATGAACATGTGAGTGTGTGTCTTTTTGGTAGAAATATTTGTTTTCTGTTGGATATATACTTAATAATGGGATTGCTGCGTCAAAACGTAGTTGTAAGTTCTTTGGGAAATCTCCAAACTACTTTTCCATAGTGGCTGAATTTAAATTCCTACCAACAGTGTGTAAGCATTCCCTTTTCTCTGCAGCCTTGCCAATATCTTTTGTTTTTAGACTTTTTAATCATAGCCATTCTGACTCTGACGTAGCTTTCTAGGACAATGATTCACAATGTTTTCAAACACTTTTGTTTACTTATTCATTAAAATAAATATGAAAATCTATGAACATTCTTGCTCATTTTTGACAACTAAAATTTTATCATGTATTTTTAAAAGTGTATTTATTGTTAATAGAAGATACAAAATCTTACATATTTTTTACATAAAATGGGATGATTGAGTAAAATTGAAATCAATCTTTCAAGATAGGATTTGATGAAATGATTCTAAACTACATTTTTGAATAAGTATATCCCATCTGAGGAAGTGATGTTAACTTTTTATCTGTGGGTTTTATTTCAAATACTTGATAGTGTCATGACACATTCTATTTGCATTTAAAGGAATAGGTATCATCATCTACACTACCTATCCTATTCTGAACTCAGAGCATTTCAACATAGGTCAAAACACCTTATTTCTCAGACCAAACTTTACCTTTAACAGACATATGCATAAGACATATGTGCGTTAATTAATCATTGCAAAAGGTTTTCTTGAACAAAATAAACTTTATATTTCTATTTTTGGTTCCTCAGAGATATTTAGGCTCCAGAGTCAACTGTTGTAGTGAGATTTGGGATGAGAGATGGGACATCAGTGTGCCCTTCTTATGGACTACTGGGAAGTCAGGCATTATAGGCAGATCAATTTTAGGAGAAGGTGCTTAGGAGGTTGATATCCCTTAAAACTATTCATTTAAGTGTACATATTGTCATTTTTTAAAACCTTACATTTATTTTAAGCTTTACTTATATATATGAAATAAAAGGATTCATTCTGTTTAAAGAAACTTCAAGTATCATCAAGCTGGTGAGTCAAAGAACTTTGGAAGGTACTAGAAGTTGTCCATTGCTGTGGAAATTACTCAGTGATGGCTGTCATCTACTGCACACAAGTAAGCTTTACCCTAGTTTTAGATTCTTTAGAAAATTCCACATTTAATAGCTTTATTTCTAGACAGACTTTCTATTTTATTTCTGAGCTATAAAAATTTAGATGTGTTTTTCAGATTTCTTATAAAAGTGATTTTTCTCTTTTCTGTTTTACATACACTCATATTTTTGACCTTAAAAATTATATACTTTTTTTTTGAGACAGAATCTTGCTCTGTCACCAAGACTGGAGTGCAGTGGCGTGATCATGGCTCAATGCAGCCTCAACCTCCTAGGCTCAAGCATCCTACTGCCTCAGTCTCCCAAGTAGCTGGGACTACAGGTGTGTACCACTGTGCCCAGCTAATTATTTTATTTTATTTTTTTGTAGAGACAAGGCCTTGATATGTTGGCCAGGCTGGTCACGAACTCCTGGCTCAAGTGATCTTCCTGCCTTGGCCTCCCAAAATGCTAGGATTACAGGCTTGAGCCACAATACCCAGCCAAAAATTATATTCACTTAAGAAGATGTCAGTACATTTTCTTGCATATTTTTGTTTTAAATATATAAGTGAATATGTTACTTAAGAGATTTCAAATGGCAGTAATTTTTTTCTTCTGCCACAAGTTATTATTTCTTCTTCCAGTAGCCTAAAAATAAAAACCCAGTATAATATTGTAACAAATTATGATTTAGACAGAGGATGGCAAACTACAACCTGTGGGTCCAATTCAGTCCAACCCAAGGCTTCTTCTTTTTTTTTATAAAGGGTCTCACTATGTTGCCAAGGCTGGTCTCAAACTCCTAGCTTCAAGCAATCCTCCCACCTCAGTCTCCTGAGTAGTTGTAGCTAAGATTACAGGCGAGAGCCATCACACCTGATCCAAGGCCTCTTTTTGTATGACCCATGAACTCAGAAAGGGTTTTACATTTTAAAATGGTTGGGAAAAAGGGTGGGGCCATGGTGGCTGACTAGAAACTGTCTTGTTCGGAGGCTCCCATCAGAAAAAAACATAATAAGTGTGTGAATCCTTCACTGGCAACCAAGATATCCAGGTTCTCTCATCAAAATTGGCTAGAAGGCTGATGTGACCCATGGAGAGAAGGAAGAGCAGTGTGGTACGGCAGCCCACCTGAGAGCCATATGGGGAAGGGGAACCCCCTCCTCCAGCAAACTGCTTTTTCCACAGAACTGTGCAACCCACGGAATCAGAAGACCCAATGCAACCAGGGCCTAGTGTCTCAACCCTGGAACTTGCAGATTCTTACAGCCTCTCAGCTGGAATCTGCTTAAGCCTACCGAACTCCTTGGAGGAGGGATGACCAGCACCGGCTGTCTGCTGTCTAAGCTGTTTGAGCTCTTTGGGGAAGGGGCAGCAGCCAGCACTGGGACTTGCAATTGCCTACCATGCTAAGCTCCCTGGATGGGGGAAGGGCGGCACCCATTTCTATAGCTCCAGGCTGTGCTTTTCCCCTGCTGAAACCAGGGAGGCTGGACAGCTTGGTCCCAAGACTTGTCCCCACAGTCCAACAGACCAGCTATGACAGTCTGCAGCCAGAGTGTCTCTTCAGGCCTAATCCTGACCCATCCTTCCTCAGTGGGTGGGGTTTCCCTGCAAGATCTCCAATAACTCCAGCCAGAGGCTCAGAGAGCTGGAGCCTCTAGGGGAGGGGGTGGCAACACTCTCAACACTCTCTGCAGACCAGCAGACTTAGCCTCTCCTACTGGTAGTTCTGAGGAATCCAGGTAGCCCAGTTGAGTGCACTTCCCCCCAGTGAAACACACCCTCTCAACCAAGGGAAAAAGTATTTTGTTAAATGGGTCCTGCTCCCCGTGCCACCCAACTGAATGAGACACTCCAACAGGGATTGTCAGACACTTTATACAGGAGCCATCCTACTGGCATCTGGTTGGTGCCCCTCCAGGTTAGAGGTACTAGAAGAAGGAGCAGGCACCCATCTTTGCTGCTCTCCAGCTTCCTTGAATGACCTCTCCAGGCACAGGAGTGAATCAGATGAATAGGGCCTGAAGTGAACTACCACCAAATTGCAGCAGCCCTACAAAAGAGGGACCAGACTATTGAAAGAAAAACAAACAAGCAGAAAGTGACAACAACAGCATCATCAACAACAACAACAACAAAAAGGCCCCCACAAAAACCCCATCCAAGGGTCAACAGCCTCAAAGACTGAAACTAGACAAACTCGTGAAGATGAGAAAAAAATCAATGAAAAAATGCTGAAAAACCCAAAAGTCCAGCATGCCTCTTCTCCTCCAAATGATCGAAATGTCTCTCTATCAAGGGCACAGAGCTGGACAGAGGATCTGATGAACGAATTGACAGAAATAGGTTTCAGAAGATGGGTAATAAAAAACTACAATGAGCTAAAGGAGCATGTTCTAACCCAAGGCAAAGAAGCTAAGAAACTTGATAAAAGGTTAGAGGAATTCCTAACGAGAATAACCAGTTTAGAGAGGAACATGAATGACCTGATGGAGCTGAAAAACACAGCATGAAAACTTCGCGAAGCATACACAAGTAGCAACAGCTGAGTTGACCAAGCGGAAGAAAGGATATCAGAATTTGAAGACCACTTTACTGAAATAAGACATACAGACAAGAATAAAGAAAAAAGAATGAAAAGGGATGAACAAAGCCTCCAAAAAATATGGGACTTCATAAAAAGACCAAACCTATGATTAATTGGAGTACCAGAAGAAGATGGAGAGAATGGAAATGAGCTGGAAAACACACTTCAGGATATTATCCGGGAGAAGTTCTCCAACTTAGCAAGACAAGCCAACATGCAAATTCAGGAAATACAGAGAACACTATTAAGATATTCCATGAGAAGATCAACCCCAAGACACACAATCATCAGCTTCTCCAAGGTTGAAATGAAGGAAAAACCGTTAAAGACAGCCAGAGAGAAAGGCTAGGTCACCAACAAACGAAAGCACATTAGACTAACAGCAGATCTCTCCTCAGAAACTCTACAAGCCAGAAGAGATTCTGGGCCAATATTCAACATTCTTAAAGAAAAGAATTTCAACCCAGAATTTCATATCCAGCCAAACTAAGCTTCATAAGCAAACTAGAAAGAAAACCCTTTACAGACAAGCAAATGCTGAGGGATTTCGTTACCACCAGGCCTGCTTTGCGAGAGATCCTGAAAGAAGCACTAAATATAGAAAGCAAAAACTGGTAACAGCCACTGCAAAAACACACCAAAATATAAAGACCAATGACACTATGAACAAACTGTGTCAACTAGTGTGCAAAATAACCAAATAGCCCCATGATGACAGGATCAAATTCACACATAACAATACTAACCTTAAATGTAAATGGACTAAATGCTCCAATTAAAAGACACAGACTGGCAAATTGAATAAGGAGTCAAGACCCATCAGTGTGCTGTATTCAGGAGACCCATCTTATGTGCAAAACACACACAGGCTCAAAATAAAGGGATGGAGGAAAATTTACCAAGCAAATGGAACACACAAAAAAGCAGGGGTTGCAAACCTAGTCTCTGATAAAAGAGACTTTAAATCAACAAAGATCAAGAAAGACAAAGAAGGGCATTACGTAATGGTAAAGG
The DNA here is from genome assembly GCF_000001405.40 of Homo sapiens. Lineage (NCBI taxonomy): Eukaryota > Metazoa > Chordata > Mammalia > Primates > Hominidae > Homo > Homo sapiens. Next base: position 108,426,587 of record NC_000005.10, on the reverse strand, counting down.
GAACAATTCAACAAGAAGTGCTAACTATTCTAAGCATATATACACCCTATACAGGAGCAGCCAGACTCATAAACAAGTTCTCAGAGATCTACAAAGAGATTTAGACTCCCACACAATACTAGTGGGAGACTTTAACGCCCCACTGTCAATATTAGACAGATCAACAAAACAGAAAATTAACAAGGATATTCAAGACTTTAACTCAGCTCCAGATCAAGTGGACCTAGTAGATGTATACAGAACTCTCTACCCCAAATCAACAGAATATACATTCTTCTCAGTGCCACATGGCACTTATTCTAAAATTGGCCACATAATTGGAAGTAAAACACTCCTCAGCAAATGCAAAAGAACTGAAATCATAACAAACAGTCCTTCAGACCACAGTACAATCAAATTAGAACTCAGGATTAAGAAACTCACGGAAAAACCACACAATTTCATGGAAATTGTACAACCTGCTCCTGAATGACTCCTGGGTAGATAATGAAATCAAGGCAGAAATCAAGAAGTTCTTTGAAACAAATGAGAACAAAGAGATGACATGTCAGAATTTCTGGGACACAGCTAAAGCAGTGTTAAGGGGGCAGTTTATAGCACTAAATGCCCACATCAGAAAGCTAGACAGATCTCAAATTGACACACTAACATCACAATTAAAAGTGTTAGAGAGTCAAGAGCAAACTAATCCAAAAGCTAGCAGAATACAAGAAATAACTAAGATCAGAGCAGAATTGAAGGAGATAGAGACACAAAAAAATCCTCCAAAAAATTAACAAATCCAGGATCTGGTTTTTTGAAAAAATTAACAAAATAGATAGACCACTAGCTAGACTAATAAAGAAAAACAGAGAGAAGAATCAAATAGACACAATAAAAAATGATAAAGGGGATATCACCACTGGCCCCACAGAAATACAAACTACCATCACAGAATACAATAAACACCTCTACACAAATAAACTAGAAAATCTAGAAGAAATGGATAAATTCCTGGACACATACACCCTATCAAGACCAAACCAGGAAGAAGTTGAATCCCTGAATAAACCAATAATAAGCTCTGAAATTTAGGCAGTAATTAATAGCCTACCAACCAAAAAAAGCCCAGGACCAGACAGATTCACAGTCGAATTCTACCAGAAATACAAAGAGAGGCTGGTATCATTCCTTCTGAAACTATTCCAAACAATTCAGAAGGAGGGCCTCCTCCTTAACTCATTTTATGAAGCCAGCATCATCCTGATACCAAAACCTGGTAGAGATATAACAACAACAAAAAAATTTCCGGCCAATATCCCTAATGAACATCGATGCAAAAATCCTCAATAAAATACTGGCAAACCAAATCCAGCAGCACATCAAAAAGCTTATCCACAATGATCAAGTGGTCTTCATCCCTGGGATGCGAGGCTGCTTCAACATATGCAAATCAATAAATGTACCATTACATAAATAGAACCAATGACAAAAACCACATGATTATCTCAATAGATGCAGAAAGGGCCTTTAATAAAATTCAACATCCCTTCATGTTAAAAACTCTCAATAAACTAGGTATCAATGGAACATATCTCAAAATAATAAAAGCTATTTATGACAAACCCACAGCCAATATCATATTGAATGGGCAAAAGCTGGAAGCATTCCCTTTGAAAACTGGTACCAGACAAGGATGCCCTCTCTCACCACTCCTTTTCAACAGAGTATTGGAAGTTCTGGCCAGCCCAATCAGGCAAGAGAAAGAAATAAACGGTATTCAAATTGGAAGAGAGAAAGTAAGTTGTCTCTGCAGATGACATGATTTTATATTTAGAAAGCCCCTTCATCTCAACTGAAAAATTTCTTGAACTGATAATCAACTTCAGCAAAGTCTCAGAATATAAAATCGATGTGCAAAAATCACAAGCATTCCTTTACACCAACAATAGGCAAGCAGAGAGCCAAATAATGAATGAACTCCCATTTATGACTGATACAAAGAGAATAAAATACCTAGGAATACAGCTAACAAGGGATGTGAAGGACCTCTTCAAGGAGAACTACAAACCACTGCTCAAGGAAATAAAAGAGAACACAAACAAATGGAAAAACATTCCATCCTGATGGATAGGAAGAATCAATATCATGAAAATGGCCATACTGCCCAAAGTAATTTATAGATTCAATGCTATTCCCATCAAACTACCATTGACATTCGTCACTATTTTAAATTTCATATGGAATCAAAGAAGACCCCGTATAGCCAAGATAATCCTAAGCAAAAAGAACAAACTGGAGGCATCATGTTACCTGACTTCAAACTATATTACAAGGCTACAGTAACCAAAACAGCATGGTACTGGTACCAAAACACACACATAGAACAATGAAGCAGAACAGAGACTTCAGAAATAACACCACACATCTACAACCATCTAATCCTCAACAAACCTGACAAAAACAAGCAATGGGGCAAATGATCTCCTGTTCAGTAAATGGTGTTGGGAAAACTGGCTAGCCATATGCAGAAAACTGAAATGGGACCCCTTTCTTATCCATTATACAAAAATTAACTCAAGATGGATTAAATACTTAAATGTAAAACCCAAAACCATAAAAACCTCAGAAGAAAACCTAGGCAATACCATTCAGGACATAGGCATGGGCAAAAACTTCATGAGAAAAAAGACAAAAGCAATTGCAACAAAAGCCAACATTGACAAATGGGATCTAACCAAACTAAAGAGCTTCTGCACAGCAAAAGAAACTATCATCAGAGTGAACAGACAACCTACAGAATGGGAGAAAATTTTTGCAATCTACCCATCTGACAAATGTGTAATATCCAGAATTTACAAGGAACTTAAACAGATTTACAAGAAAAAAACAACCCCATCAAAAAGTGGGCGAAGGATATGAACAGACACATCTCAAAAGAAGACATTTACGTGGCCAACAAACATGAAGAAAAGCTCCATATCACTGATCATCAGAGAAATGCAAATCAAAACCACAATAAGATACCATCTCACACCAGTCAGAATGGCGATTATTAAAAAGTCAAGAAACAATAGATGCTTGCGAGGCTGTGGAGAAACAGCAATGCTTTTACACTGCTATTGGGAGTGTAAATTAGTTCAAACATTGTGGAAGACAGTATGGCAATTCCTCAAAGATCTAGAACCAGAAATACCATTTGACCCAGCAATCTCATTACTGGGTATATACCCAGTAATATATAAATATACAAAGGAATATAAATCATTGTACTGTAAAGACACATGCACACATATGTTTATTGCAGCACTATTTACAATAGTAAAGACTTGGAACCAACCCAAATGCCCACTAATGATAGACTGGATAAAGAAAATGTGGCACATATACATCACGGAATACCATGCAGCCATAAAAAGGAATGACTTCATGTCCTTTGCAGGGACATGGATGAAGCTGGAAACCATCATCCTCAGCAAACTAACACAGGAACAGAAAACCAAACACTGCATGTTCTCATTCATAAGTGGTAGATGAACATTGAGAACACATGGACATAGGGAGGGGAAGAACACACACCAGGGTCTGTTGGAGGGTCGGGGGTGAGGGGAGGGAACTTAGAGGACAGATCAATAGGTGCAGCAAACCACCATGGCACACATATACCTATGTGACAAACTTGCAAGTTCTGCACATGTATCCCATTTTTTTTTTTTTTTTTTTTTGAGACGGAGTCTCGCTCTGTCGCCCAGGCTGGAGTGCAGTGGCGGGATCTCGGCTCACTGCAAGCTCCGCCTCCCGGGTTCACGCCATTCTCCTGCCTCAGCCTCCCAAGTAGCTGGGACTACAGGCGCCCGCCACTACGCCCGGCTAATTTTTTGTATTTTTAGTAGAGACAGGGTTTCACTGTTTTAGCCGGGATGGTCTCGATCTCCTGACCTCGTGATCCGCCTGCCTCGGCCTCCCAAAGTGCTGGGATTACAGGCGTGAGCCACCGCGCCCGGCCATCCCATTTTTTAAATAAAAGAAATAAAAAAAATGGTTGGGAAAAAAATAGTAATATTTCATGACATGAAAATTATATAAAATTTCCATTTCAGGGTCTATAAATAAAGTTTTATTGGAACATAGCTATGCTCCTTTGTTCACACATGTCTATGGCTATTTTTATACTACAGTGGCAGAGCTGAATAATTGTGACATAAATTGTATGAACCAAAATGTCTAACATATTTACATCTGGCTCTTTACAGAAAATGTTTGTTGAACTTTTATGTCAGCTAATTATTGTAAGATTAAGAGCATGCCTCAGGGTGGGCACAGTGGCTCATGGGTGTAATTCCAGCACTCTGGGAGGCCAACATAGGAGGATTTCTTGAGCTAGGAGTTTGAGACCAGCCTGGGCAACATGGTGAAACCCTGTCTCTACAAAAAAGTATGAAAATTAGCTGGGCATGGTGGCATGTGCCTGTGGTCCCAGCTACTTGAGAGGCTGAGGTGGGAGAACTGCTTGAGCCCAGGAGGTGGAGGTTGCAGTGAGCCAAGATTGTGCCACTGCACTCCAGCCTGGGTGACAGAGCAAGACTCCGCCTAAAAAAAAAAAGGAAAAGAAAAAAAAAGAGCATGCCTCAAGGCAGAAATAAAACGACGCATGCATGTGTCAGAGGCATTTGAACCAGAGTGACTCCATCTTGAATCGGGGCTGGGTAAAATGAGGTTGAGAAGTACTCAGCTGCATTCCCGAGGAGGTAAAGCACTCTTAGTCACAGGATATTTATGGTTAAGGGAACAGATTAATAATGTTTACCAAACAGACCCAGGACTTAACAGACCCAGGAAATGTCTTTATGTTCTGATATCTTAAGAACAAAAGCACTCTTAGTTTAAGAATAGGTTTTGCTTTAAAGATAATAATATAAATTCTTGTGGAAGACACAGTTACACAGAGACACCGCTGATAAGAACAGGATTTAGTAAAAAAGCTGGACAAAACGTGTCAAAACCAAGATGGTGATGAAAGTGACAGCTGCTCGTTATATGTTAATTATAATGCATTAGCATGCTGAAAGACGCCCCCACCGGCACCATGACAATTTACAAATGCCATGGCTAAGTCCAGAAGTTACCCTATATGGTCTAAAAGGAAGAGGAACCCCCAGTTCCCTGGGAATTCCCTTCCCCTTTTCCAGAAAACTCCTGAATAATCCACCCCTTGTTTAGCATATGATCAAGAAATAATGATAATAACAGCCAACCAGCAGCCTTCGAGGCTGCTCTGCCTATGCAGTAGCCATTATTTCTTTACTTCTCTAATAAATTTGCTTTCACTTTGCTCTGCGGCCTCACCCTGAATTCTTTCTTGTGTGAAATCTGAGAATCCTCTTTTCGGGCCTGGAAAGGGCCCCCTTTCTGGTAACACAAGGACTGAGTTGATTTTTAGCATTGGTCTTTTTAAAAGCAGGGCCCAGTTTGAAATGGTATTCCTTCTAGTGGTTTCCCACATCATTCAGAATGAATTCTGAAGACATTACTAGAGCTGAAGAAAGTCACTCTTGATGTTGCCTGTAGCTACCTCTCAGATTTCTACTATACTTTGCCCTTAGTCACTCTGCTCTAGCCACACTCCCTCCTTACTATTCTGGGAGTTGTACCTCAGGGCCTTTGCACTTACTGCCCTCTCCCCGGACCCCATCACCTTTCAGCATAATCTGCTCACTCATTGCATTCCTCAATCTGTCCAAATGTTACCTCATCAAGAGGCTTCTGTTACTTACCTTATCTAAGATAGCCCCAGTTCCCAAAACACATACTCTTGTTTTCTAAAATGTTAGCTCCCTCACCCAACCCTCCCACCCCTCACTGCTCACTGGCTGCCCCAAGAAACAGGCACTTTGACAGTTTTATTCAATACATCTTAGAAGTGTTTGGTTCAGAGTAGATGCTCAAAAATATGTGTTGAATGAATGAATTAATGAATAAATACATGATCCTATATGTGAGTTACTGCATCAAATAGTGATTCATATCTAAAATGCTGCAAGTTACATTGACAAAATAAATGCATGCACGTATGTACTACTCTGCTTTGTTGATGAAAAGATTTAAGGCAGAAAAAAAGGAGAGTAACCCACGTCAATCCAATTGTGGCTGAAATTGAACTACTATTGGCTAGACTGGTGGCATAACAGGTGATAGCTCTGTACAAGATGAAGCCAGTTTAGAAGGATCACGTGAGCATGATACAAAGCGGCCTGTGAGCTGTCTGGAGCAGAAGCAACAGTGATTGTGCACCTGCTGGTTGTGTGTTAGTGGTCCTCCCTTACAGGAGCTCATTAACCATGGAAGAGCTGCTGGGCTGGCCTTTTCACAGATATGGAAATTAGCTCTCAGACAGAAAATTTGCTTTAACTTTTTCTCATTTATGCAACTACAACTACCGGATTTGTAAATAATAAAATCGCCAAGTGGGAAAACAAAACATTGGTGGTGTTTTGCAAAAATAAAATTATGCTTGATTTATTGGAATTCTTCAAAGGAGAAAATGTGGATGAAGAGGACTAAGGGCTGAATTTTTTTTTGTTTTTTTCAAAATTCGTTATGGAAATAAGACAGGGAAGGAGGTGGGATTTTGTCCAAAACTGAAAGTTGGCCTGGAGATAGGAAATAAATAGAGTAGATAAATGAGAAGTTTGAAGGGTTGATTTAATAATTAATGGTAGAATCAGTCTTTTTAGCATCTTTATAAATGATGTGAAGAAAGCCTTATCAGAGAATCATTGGCTTTAATGACTTTTCCTTTGTATAGCTGGAAGGATTTAAGATAAGAAACTGCAGTCACTGAGTTGTTAATAAATTTTTCTCTACCTGAGGCATTTTGAATAGCTGACTCTGGACCAATCAAATGCATGTTAGCACCCAAAAGAGAAAAAGGAACTTTGTGTGTGTGTGTGTGTGTGTGTGTGTGTGTGTGTGTGTGTGTGTGAGAGAGAGAGAGAGAGAGAGAGAGAGAGACAGGCAGACAGGCAGACAGAATGGGATGGGGGTAGTGGGAGAAGTAACTGAAGGTGGAATTGAAATGGGAACTTTTGAAAAACAGGGCCAGAGTGTGTTTTAGCTTAGAAACACTACTGATATTTTTCTAAGTGATTACTGAATCCCCTCCCTAGGAAATTCTGACTCCAGTATCAAAGCAAGAAAACTCTTTTCCTACACTTTTGTAAAACCATATGTTAATACACTTGGAATATTGTGTATTTTTTATTGTTATTTGTGAATAATGGGAATGTTGAAGGGCAACTACCTAAACTCACTGGAAGGACATGGGTAAGAGGTGGCTGCTTATATGGCTTGAAAGAGCATGAAAACACTAGGTTGAGAAGAATAGAAGAATGTAGGACATAGGGTGAGGACAGCATAGTGGCTTTTGTCTAGTAATTTTTGCCAGTCAAGATCTGCTAAGGCTTACGTATCTGTTACTGGTTCCCTGGGTGTAATTCAAGACTTTACATAACCTGGATTTATTATAAATTGCCTTCTCAAAATCATCTCTCATTTCAGTCTCAGACCACCACCACACAGTATCAGAAGTGTATCTAATTAACAGAGGTTAATTGTTGTCATTATCATTATCATACTTAAAACACACAGTCAGCTGCTCCATTCTGTGAAGGCGTCCCAAAAGATCTCCCCCTCCCTCCACAGGATTCACTGATCCATTTTCTCTGGTTTTCCAAAGCACTTGTCTTTTTTTTTTTTTTTTTTTTTTTTTTAATTTTTAGGTTCAGGGGTACGTGTGAAGGTTTGTTAAATTGGTAAATTCATGTCACAGGGGTTTGTTGTATAGATTATTTCATTGCCCAGGAAGTTATGCCCAGTACCCAATAAGCTTAATTATATCACACTTGTCAATTTTTGCTTTTGTTGCAATTGCTTTTGGTGTCTTTGTCATGAAATCTTTGCGCGTTCCTACGTCCAGCATGGTATTGCCTAGATTGTCTTCCAGGATTTTTAGTTTTGGGTTTTACATTTAAGTCTTTAATTCACCTTGAATTGATTTTTGTATATGGTATAAGTGACACAGGATTCTTTTTTGGTGCTGCTTCCCAGTCGGAAATTTCCGTGGCTTGGCAGCACTCCTGTCTGGGCTTTGCTCAGCTCTGGGCTTGCCACTAGACTTGCGCTGCCGACTCGGCCCTGGCAGGCTGTACTTGGCTCGTGCTACCAGCCTGGATCTCATGCCCACTGAGAGTGAGCCAGGCATGCTGGCTGCTGCAGCAGGATGGGTGGCCCCAGGCACTGGCTCTGTGTGAGGCTATGGCTGGACCAGGCGTACCACAAGTAGCTTCTTCCCTGAGTGCTGGTGTCTGGACAAGCAGAACACGGTGGTTACCAAAAAACTTGGAGACACCAGCAACCATGGAACCCCAAAGGGGGTGTTAGTGTGTTACAGCTCTGGCTCAGGGAGTCCCGAGGTCTGGGCCCCAGAAGGGTCGCAGCTCATCCGTGCTACAGTTCCTTTTGTACCCACTGTTCCATGGTCCTGGGTTCTTGTCCCACATCCAAGGAGAATGAGGTTACACAGACAACCAGAGAGTGAGAAAGGTGGAGAAGTTTTATTGAGTGACAGAATAGCTCTCAGCAGAGATGGACCAGAAGTGGGTAGTCCCCAACCTGAAGGTGGATTGTCCCCACCCAAAGGCAGGTAGTATCCCCATGTGGCTGAGTGTGAGGTTTTTATAGGCTCAGAACTGGGGAGGTGTGGGCTGTAGGTAGCCTTGAAAAAGGCAACATTTGATTGATTTAAAAGCATTATTCAGAAATAACCAATTGGGAAAGAGCAGGCATGAAGTTCTCATTCTGGTCATGGACTCCATCTGGAACCAGCCACCTGCAAGAATCTGGAAATTTATAAGCAAAGAGCAGAGTGAGGGAGTCATTGAATGAAAATTACTAAGAGAATATATCAAGTTAGGGAGATTCTTGCTAAACTGATCAAATAGGATTCTTGCTAAAGACAGGCCAAAGACTTATACCTCAAACGTGAAGGATGGGTATCTTGGTCAGATCTCAAGCATGATCAAATATCAAGAGTGGGTGGGTGAGGATTCTTGCTAAACTGACTTAGCAGGATTCTTGCTAAAACTATGGGCTAGGCAGTCCAAAGACATAGTGGCGCCAAGATTAGGGCTTAGCTGAAAAGAGGACTCAGAGGAATTTGAGTAAAGTTTGCTCAAGGAGAGAGTCTTTGTCAAGATAAATATATCAATGAAAAGAGTCAAACTCCGTAAAATATTTGAAGAGATTTATTCTAAGTCACAATGGCCTGTGACCCAACCGCAGGAAATCTTCAGAACATGTGCCCAAGGTATTCAGGCTACAGCTGAACAATTTAGGGAGACATAAGACATCAATTTAGGGAGACGTAAGACATCAATCAATACATATAAGATGTACATTGGTTTGGTCCAGAAAGGTGGACAACTCAAAGCAGGAGCTTCTAGGTCATAGGTGGATTCAAGAATTTTCTAATTTACAGTTGGTTGAAAGGATCAAGTTACTGTCTAAAGACCTAGAATCAATAGAAGGGAATGTCCGAGTTAAAAGGTTGTGGAGACCAAGGTTCTCATCATGCAAACACAATCAACAGAAGGGAATGCTTCTTATAGAATTAGAGACTCTGTTCTACCAGTCTTAAGGTCTCTGTTTTAATGTTAATGCTGGTCAGCTGTGCCTGAATTCCAATAGGAGGAGGGTAAAATGAGTCATGTTCAACCTCTACTTTCCATCATGGCCTGGACTAGTTTTTTAGGTTAACTTTGGAATGCCCTTGGCCGAGAGGAGGGACCATTAGTCTGTTGAGGAGCTTAGAATTTTATTTTTGGTTTACAAATGCAAACTTTTATTGAATGCTTTCTCTCAATAATTGTAATAATGAGAACCTTTTCCAAGACACCATCTGTCATTACATCACTTCTTTCTTTTCTTGTACTTCATCAATCAATGAAAATCAATTGCAGTCATCCCGAAGCATCTGTGTGTGGGGGACTGGTTTCAGGACCTCCCACAGACAATGAAATCTAGGGGTGCTTAAGTCCCTGATATAAAATGGCATAGTATTTGCATGTAACCTATACATATCCTCCCACATACTTTAAATCATCTGTAGGTTACTTATAATATCCAATACAATGTAAATGAAATGAAATGGAAAGAGCTGTTATACTGTATTATCTAGGGAATAATGAAAAAAACCCTGACAGTACAGACGCAACCATCATTCCTTTTCTGAATATTTTTAATCCTCATTTGGTTGAACCCCTTAGTGTGGGACACACAGATATAGAGGGCCAACTGTATATCATTTTCTTCACAGAGTTTTTCTCAAAACCATGATTAGTGAGAGGATAACTTAAAGACAGACATGTGTAGCAAGTTTCAATAAACTCAAAAGTGCTAAATTGAGGAACATGTGAAAATAAAAATAAAGACCATAACATTGAAATTTTAAGTATTTTAACTCTTTTAAATAAAAATAGAAATATTTCTAAATTAAAATGATTTAAATCACTACATTAAAGTGACCTACTTTGTTTTAAGTAAATAAAAAGCTTCATAACAATTCTCCCACTTTCTACAAAGAGGGAAACATTACTCATAACATTTTGTTACCACAAGATGACTTATGTAAACAAAATGATTTTAAATGACCAGAACTCATTTACCCAATGACTACTGTCCCCATCAAAGAACAGATAATTACATATTTCTGTATGTGCAACTTTTAAAAAATAAACACCTATATGCTTGTCAACCTATGTAACATGCTTCTCTCAATAATTGTAATAATGATGGTTGCACCTGTGCTGTACATATACAGAGTTTTTTCATTATTCCCTAAACAATACAGTATAACAGCTATTTCCATTGCATTTACATTGTATTCGGTATTATAAGTAATCTAAAGATGATGTTCTCTAAAAGAAAAAATATTTGTTTGGGAATGGAGCATTGCAATGGGAATATTCATGCCATAGTAAACTATGTGCACATTCAGGGAGGTGAAGGAAGATAAAGATTTTTAAAGAAAAAAATGAGGAGGATTACATAATTGTTTGGAAAAAATTATCCTTGGCTACAATATCCTTGCCATTAGTAACAAGGGTGATGCCAGCCCAAGATCACTTATGGGACAGACAGTTGCTGGGCAGATATCCTTGTAGAAGTATTTTTTGTATAAGGATACGATGGCTTTCGTGCAAGGTTATGCTTTTTGCAGTCTTTTGTGATAGTTTTTGTTACCAGGCATACAAGCATGAGAACGCTTTCTTCATGGCCTTCCCTGGCTTGATTTGTCAGGGATTTCTTAATATTAGTGACTCTGTTTTGATTCTGATAACTTTTACACATCCCAACTGCTACTGACCCCACCTTTACTTCCCTGACTATTGAAACTCATGTGACTTTTGCTACAAGCTTTTCTATGAAGTCCAAAATTTGGAAGATCAAGAACAGCCACAGCTGGGCTGCCTAATATTTACCCAACATAAAAAACTTGTTCCCTGTAAGTTGTCTAAATGATTTTTGTTTACTTTGCTACCAACTAAAAAATACTTTCAATTAGAGATTTTATTTAGGATAATAAATATCATTACTATTATTGTTACTGTCAGCATATCCATACACTTGAGCAGATAAAATACATGGGGCTGATAGATTCTTCTTATGCATTACTTTACTCCTAGTGCTTTTTCTGAAAGTTAATGGAGAACAACTGCATTGGAGCCAATCGGCAAATGGGACGTGTGCTGAGGGAGGAGGATAGAGAAGTAAAGGGCAGGCTTTTGTGAGGTTGTTAGGACAGCTTGAGGGTAGTGGGAAAGAGGCACACTGAGAGGTGAAAGAAAATAGTGTCAGGAAAAACAGTGGAACAATTTTGTGGCTGAGTCCAAGCTTGTATGATTCACCACATGACAGTCAATAAGTTAAGAGAAGAGATGTTGGGGCAAGGAGAGCAACTTTATTCAGAGAGCAAGCAAACCAAGATGGTGGTGAACTAATGTCCTAACGAACCATCTTAAGTTAATACAGATTTGACTCCTTTTATGTTGGGGAAAGGGGAAAAGGGAGGGGGATGGGATCAGGAGGTCATCAATGACCACAAACATCGGCGTCAGCGAGAGTCCAAGGAGGTTGTGAAACTTCTTTGTCTTTGGTCAAGTCACAGTGCTCCTATAAATCTTAATAGGATAATTAATATTATCCTATTATTACTAATATTATCCTAAAAGTTACATAATATTGTAACTTGTGTGTACACCTTCGTTATCTCCTCAGGAGTTAGTTTAGGAAAGGGACTATTATCATCCTTACTTTAAGTTAACCTATAAACAATTCCTCCCATAGTTAGCTTGGCTCATGTGTAGACATAAGCAGAAGGAGTTAATCTAAAGGATATCACCAAGTGGGGGCAATTAAAAGCAAAATGGAGTCAGTCAGACTAGGCCTCCTTTTCACTGTTACACTTTGAAGATGATTGGGTGTTCTATGGAATGCTTGGTTTTTGTCTAGCCCAAGCTTCTTGTTTAGCTACATCTTTCATTGCCTCAGAGTTATCTTACCACTCTTAGTTGTTGTAAACAGATGGTAATACAAATAATTCTTGTCTATCGAAATGCAAATACATTTTTTGCTAGTGGGGATGCATTTATTTCCCTGTGGATACCCACCAGCTTTGCATCTATTAACAAATTCATTTCAGCCTATCTGACAGCCTATATCTTTGTTTGCTCCTTGGATTCTCCTTTGGCCTTGTTTTTAAAACCTTTCTGGTTCCCTTATTAATCAATGAGTTCTAAAAAATCTTTGACATGTTTTCATTTTACATTTGTTAAAAGCTCTGATTTTCTTTTTTAAAAATTTAAACTTGGCTGGGCGTGGTGGCTCACGCCTGTAATCCCAGCACTTTGGGAGGCCAAGATGGGTGGATCACGAGGTCAGGAGATCGAGACCATCCTGCCCAGCATGGTGAAACCCCGCCTCTACTAAAAATACAAAAATTAGCCGGGCGTGGTGGTGCGCCTGTAATCCTAGCTACTCAGGAGGCTGAGGCAGGAGAATCGCTTGAACCCGGGAGGCGGAGGTTTCAGTGAGCCGGAGATTGCGCCACTGCACTCCAGCCTGGATGACAGAGCAAGACTCTGTCTCTACAAAAAAAAAAAAATTTAAACTTTAACAGTTTAAGAGATCATCTTCCAAGATGTTCATAATGTTTAATAGAGCCAGGGGAGGCATATTGCTGGAGATGTACACTTTAAAGGAACCCCAGCACATGTTTTGTAGCTCCTGCAGATGAATATCAAGCAGTAACAGAACTTTAACACTCTTGAATTTCTGTTTCTCGACTTTTCCCCCCTCCACTGATTAAGTGTCTGTGTATTCTGAGCTCAAATCAATTAAGAATTTTGTGCTCATTTGCACAGAATATATATAGACCAGTGAGTTTTTGTGTTTTCTTTGTTTAATCTTAATCTTATAACTTCAGTTCTACAACTGAAGTTATATTCTTTGTGTCTGTGTATATGTGTTCGTAATTCAGAAAGCCTTTACTTCTTGTTTTGTAATTGTAAATTTTTTTTTATCTTTGGAGAATATTAATACACTAGTTAATAAGTTTCTTAAAATGTGTCAGGCCCCTGAAGCATAGAAATAAAGGAAAATCTTGAGATTCTTTAAGGGAAATTCCAGGCACCTACCTAGCCTTGAGCAGCAAATAAGCAACTTGATAAGCAAGAAGGTAATAGCAGCCTAAAAAAATAGCCAAGGATAAAATAATGGGATAGTTGGTTACCCTACAGAAACTAAAGATAACATCTTGGGGTGGGAACAGGGATTAACTGTAAATGATCATGAGGGATCTTTATTAGGAGGGTGAAAGTGTTATAAACTGGTTCACGGTGATGACTGTACCACTCGTAAGGTTACTAAAAATCATTGAATTGTACACTTAGAAGGGGTGAATTCGGCTAGACGCAGTGGCTCACACCTGTAATCCCAGCACTTTGAGAGGCCAAGGTGGGCAGAGCCCAGGAGTTCGAGACCAGCCTGGGCAACATGGCAAAACCCCATGTCTACAAAAAACACAAAATATTAGCTGGGCATGGTAGCACATGCCTGTAGTCCCAGCTACTGGAGGGTTGAGGTGGGAGGATCACCTGAGTCCAGGAGATCAAGGCTGCAGTGAGCCGAGATTGCACCACTGCACTCCAGCCTGGGTGACAGAGTGAAACTCTGTCTCAAAAAAAAAAAAAAAAAAAAAAGATGAATTCTATGAAATGTAAAAATATATCTCAATGAAGTCCCTTTAAATAGTTTTTTTTTTAAAAAAAAGATTACATCTTAACATATGTCCCCCACCAAATGGATCTGCCAGCTCGTAGACCTCAGGTAAGGGGAAAATAGGGACTAAACTTTGATCATTCTTTGTTCTGAATTTCTTTTTGAGTGACCTGGAGAAAGTCACACCCACAAGCTAGAGCCAACATTCTTTTTTGCTGACCCCAAATTTTTAAACAAAGCTTCTTTTCCTTAACCAATTGCAAATCAGAGAATCTCTGAATCTACCTATAACCTGTAAGCCCTGCTTCAAGATATCCTGCCCTTTCAGGTCAAAACCAATGTTTAACCTCAGTGTATTGATTTACAATTTTGCCTATAATTTCTGCTTTCTTGAAATTTACTCCTGCCTTTAAAAACCCTTACCTGCAAGCCACTGGAGAGGTCAGAATTTAAGCATTAGCTGTCGTATCATCCTTGCTTGGCACTGTGCAAATAAATGCCTCTCTCTCGCTGCTATCCTGATGTCAGCGTTTGATCTTGTTGTGCCTGGCAAGCAGAGCTCAGTTCAGTTCTGTAACAGTTCTTTCTGATTGATTTATAAAGAAGTAAGTGCCGATATAAATTGAATATCCCTAAATTCCCAGATAGTAAAGAAATCAAATGTTTAATACTTAAAAAGCATTGTACTTAAAAAAAAAATCCATCCTGTAGAAACAGCTAAATAAGGAACATTTAAGAATTCAAATTTATATAATTAAGTGAATCTTTGGTAAATGAGACTAGTTTAATAATTTTGGTTTTCCTCACTCATAAGTGGGAGTTGATCAATGAGAACACATGGACACAGGGAGGGGTACATCACACATCGGGGCCTGTCAGGGGGTGGGGAGGGGCTAGAGGAGTGATAGCATTAGGAGAAATACCTAATGTAGATGACGGGTTGATGGGTGCAGCAAACCACCATGGCACGTGTATACCTATGTAACAAACCTGCACGTTCTGCATGTGCAGAACTTTTTAAAGTACTTTAAATTAAAGTATAATTTAAAAAAATAAAAATAATTTTGGTTTTCACAAAAGAGCTATGTCTTCTCTCTGATTTATCAGTGTTAAGTATAATATATGTGTATGTAAGGGAGGAAAACTTTTCCTCTGCCTTCTTTGATTCAGTGATTTAGGGCTTGTGAATTAGAATGACAAAGACAGATTAACAGAAGAAAAGATATATTTTTATTCACATACATACATATGTGGAAGTTCACAGAAAAATGTGACACAAAGGGGCCATTAGATTTTGGGCCTTATATATCACCTTAATAGAGATGGGGTGGGGGATAAAGGACACTTACGGGAAAATAAATGACTTTTTGGAAAGACAAAGAAGCCCTTAGGAGAGTATATGAGAGACTTGATAGTTTTGTGACAATGTCTTTATATGAGTAGCATAGAAACTTCTCATCACCAGTGATGAGAGTCTATCTTCCCTGGTTGCTCCTGGGGAGGAGATTTATGTCAACTGAGCTTTTTTTTTTTTTTTTTTTTGCAATTCTTCTGGGAGGCTCTGTTTTTAGGTAGATAGATTTCAGGGACTCAAATGACTGCTCAAAATAATTTTTATGCTATAGTAGCATGTTCTGGACCCATTCATGTGCATTTTATTTGGAATTTTTTCCCTCAAGCTACAGGCTTACTGATAAAATAAGCTGACATTACTCCTATATAATGTTTAGGATTTCAAAAAATATAAATTTTCTTTAGCTAAATTTAGTCACTATTCTAAACAACTTATTATTTTAGTATGTCAGCTTTAAGATAATTTCCAAGATCTTTAGGTAACTTAAAACCTTGGACTGTTACTAAGTTGAGTTAATTAATAGATAATCACTGAGTCCTAGGACAATTTCTAAGTAAATAAGAACACTGAACCATTACTTAAACAGTTTAAAATTTATCTACTTTTGCTTCTGATTTTATATGCTACAGAAAGGCTATATTTTTCAGTCATGTGAATGAGTATGTTTATTTTTACCACCTTAAGAAGATGTAAAAGAGATGTGCAGCTGCTGTAGAATGTTGTGTTTTGTGTGTTCACATGCTAGTTTACTCAAATGCTTGTGCATGCCAGAAAGTTTGACAATCCACCCTCTTGGGATAAAAAGTTTTCCTCTACTCACTAAGGTTAGAACGGTTGGGGCCTGCAAATTAACTAACAATAGACAGACTGGCAGGAAAAAAGACAAGATTTATTTATGCCTACATATGGAAGTCATTCAATAATGAGCAACTTGCTGAACAGCCAGAGGTAAAGGTTTATATACAAAGTTAACCAAAAAGGGTAGATTTAGGACTTTAAAGGGAAAGTATCGAAGGTTCTATTGGGCTTTTTGATGCTAATGAGCAGCTGAATTCACATGTCTGGTGGTAAGTCTTTCTTTCAAACAAGAAACTTCCTCCAAGAAGGGGTGAATGGCTGCTGTATTTGGGGAGTATCTGCTTTAGTTTAGATAATGTTTCTCTCTGTGGCTGCAGATTGTTCATGTTTTTAGTTTAAAGTAATTTTAATCCCTTCACTCCCATACCATCATTTTTTTCTCTGTGAGTTAAAAGTCAGTAACTTTGTTAAAAATTAGAATTATTAGAGATGGTTGAGACCATAACAGGAGCAATAGTAACACAGAATTAAAATTGGGATTGTGCTTTTGTTTTTCAAAGAAAAAGAGTAGGTTTTTTCCCCCCTGAAGATAAAAAGGTTGTTTTCTTAAATCTTCAACTCCTTTACTCCAAAGAGTGTAAGAACTTTAGGGACTCCAAAGAGATTTGGTTTGTATGAGAAATGTAAAAAATATTTATTTTTTGAGTCATTGGACAGCAGCAATATCAATCATCTGCATCCATTGTACATTAAAACAAATAACAGTTTTTGTGAAAGATAACTATATATATGTTAAATATAAAAACTATGTTAGACATAAAAAAGATATATCTAGCTATCTATCTTTTTTTTTTTTTTTTTTTAGAGACAGGGTCTCACTGTCTTGCCCAGGCTGAAGTACAGTGGCTCAATCATGGCTCACTGCAGCCTTGAACTCCAGGGCTCAAGTGATCCTCCCACCTCAGCTTCCCAAGTAGTTGGGACTACAGGTGAGCACCACTATGCCCAACTAATTTTTAAAATTGTTTTAGAGATGGGGGTCTCAGTATGTTGCAGGCCTTGAACTCCTGGCCTCAAGTAGTCCTCCTGCCTCAGCCTCCCAAAGTGCTGGGATTACAGGCATGAGCCACAACACCCGGCTAAAATAACAAAATTTTCTAAAGCCACAATATATGAGAATGGCATTGTTTTACATTTTTGTAAATCTCTTAAATGTATGGCTTACTAGAAAATATCTGGATTCACATGTCTACATCTGCATTTAATCTGTTATAATATGATATATCATGTAGTCCCTGCACTGTACATGTGTGAGAATGAAAAAGGCAAATGCTATTTTAATATTATTATGAAAGTAGTTTTTACTTTGTGCATCCCCAAAAGGGTTTCAGGAACCTTAGAGCTCCCAAGACTGTACTCTATCTTTAAGAAAAGGGTGAGTTGATGCTAGAATATAAAAGTATAATGAAGGAGAAAACTTGAGAGTGATTTTTTTTCTCTTGATTTAAAATAACTGAGTATGAAAAGAGATTCTAAAATATGTTAAATTTTAGCAAAGATTACTCAGTTTTAATAACTTACTTCCTTGGTTTACAGAGTAATAACTGTCACCTATAATATGAAAGATTACTTTTTACCTTTCCTGTTATCTGCCTACCTAGCAGAGATTCTGTGGCTAATCAGAATTTTTTTGTGTTTGTGTTTGCTTTATTTTGATTTTACTATGTTCTTTACTATTTAAAGGAAAAAAAATCTCACTTTTGAAAGAGCTAAGGCTCTTTACAATCATCTCACCA
The DNA here is from genome assembly GCF_000001405.40 of Homo sapiens. Taxonomy (NCBI): domain Eukaryota; kingdom Metazoa; phylum Chordata; class Mammalia; order Primates; family Hominidae; genus Homo; species Homo sapiens. The sequence goes on along the minus strand of NC_000005.10, from coordinate 108,408,326 downwards.
AAAATTGTTTACTGTCTCTTTGATTAAACAGGTAACTAAGTATTGTTTCTCAGTAACCCATGATCCTACCTTAATTAAGTGTCTGTATATCCTCTGACAACTCTTTCGAAATAGATTTCCCAAAATTAAAACCCTAAATTTAGAAAAAAATTATTTTTTATATACCCTGCCAAAATTTATTTTTTATGTACCCCAAAATATATTTCAGATTTCTCAAGGGCTCCTGGAAAAATCACAAAGATTTGGTTTCTCACCATATAAAAAAAGAAAAGCCAGAAATAATTAGGTTTTTTTTGAAATATTACTATTGTAAGAATTAGATGGGAAGACTCGTCAGATTAGAAGAGATGTTCAATCTTCCCTAGAATATTAGTGTAGGCAAATGTTATTAATATAACTTTTCACAATGTGTATGCTTTATGGGAAGTTCCTGGAGTTTTGCCAGTGTTCTTGCTATCTATAATAGGTTTTTACTCTCAGGGGAAATATTATCAAAACTCATGAAATAGTTTTTTTTGTTTTGTTTTTAGTGACAGTGTCTCACTCTGTCACCCAAGCTGCAGTGTAGTGGCGTGATCACGGCTCACTGGATCCTCAAACTCCTGGGACCCTGAGTAGTTAGGACTACTGGCCTACGCCACCACACCTGGCTACTTTTAACATTTTCCATACAGACAAGGTCTTGCTGTGTTGCCCAGGCTGGTCTTGAACTCCTGGGCTCAAGTGATCCTCTCTCCTCAGCCTCTCAAAGTAGATTACAGGTGTGATGAGCCACGGCACCTTGCTGGAAATTCATGAAATAGTTATGTACTACACCACAATAGAGAATTTTACTTTCTTGTATTATTTTGCAGTAATAAATAAACCACACCCGTTGTCTTTGTTGTAATCTACACAGTTTTTACTTCACTCTCAGGCTTGTCTGAACACTCTAAATTACAGCCCAGAGTTTGTGTCTTTAACAAATAAATACAGTTTTATATACTTTTGGAAAGGGACCACACCAGGTACTTTTAACTGTTGATACTTCAACACACAGACTATTGCCTAGGCTTCTGAACTGATATCACTTAGATAACTTTCAGACCCTACCTTGAACCGAGTCAGAATTTCCAGAACTCTTTTTAGTCTATAAACTGGTGACTTCATGAAAGCAGACTGCTAACCAAGATCCGATAAAACAAAATTAACTACAGAGGACTGAGTGGAATAATGAGGGAAATTTTATGGTGGTTATTTGTCTGGAATATTGTTGTGTTATTGTTCTATTTTCTGGGTATATCAAAAAGCCATTTTCTTCTTAAATAATCTGTAACCCATAATTCAGTTGACTGCCTTTGTATGCTGAAATAAAACATTTTTACATGGTATCCAATTTTTACTGACTCACTCCCCAGAATTTAGAGACTTTTACTAAGTCCCAGTGCTTTTCATGACAATATAGTTATTTATATACATTTGATAGGAATTTATCTGCTTTTATACCAGGATATAATTGGATAGATTGTATAACCAAAGCCTTGCCTGAAGTGTATGATTTCAGAATGATGCTCTTTTAATCAGACATGACAGGTCACTTTTATGAAAAACAAAGGTTGGCTTTACATATGGGACCAATACTTATGAAGCCCACCTAGTAAAATTGGTTTACATGTCCCAGGTTTACAGATGGTTAAAGGAAGATCACATACTGGCAAGCCCGGAAATTTAGCCAATTGTGAGGACCTCAAAAAGAGGGGCAATTACTCATTTTCTATAGATATTATAGAAGAAAACTGGTGGAGATAAGTTTTGGGTCTTGATTTCTAAACCTCAAGATAGCAAATAATAGAAGCTTTTAAGATTCCAATCCAGATTCCTTATGACACCTCCCAAACAGAAGTTTATTTTGTGGCCTTAGCACTTAGTGCTTATGTTTGAATAGCAGACCCAAGGTAGCTTATACAGTTTGTTAACTCTTCTTCATAAATTTTCCTATAAAAGGCCAATTAGTAAATATTTTAAGCTTTGTGACAGGACCAGGACAAGGATGAGATGAATGAGATGTATTAGTGCCATGCCAAGCCATACGGGAGTCTTAGGTTATAAGGGAGGAAAAAATACCTTTCCTTCTACCCATGGCTGAAGTCCCCACAACAAAAGACAGATTAGCAAGAGAAAAACATGCAAACTTGTTTAATACAAGTTTTACTTGACACGGGAGGCTTCACAAGCAAATAAAGAATGAAGAAACAGTTAAATATAAGGGTTTTTGCATAATAAGTTTGATGCAGAGTAAACAGTCATGGAGACAAATAAGGCAAACAGTATGATCTAATGGTAATAAACAGGGGGAAACTTAGCAAGGTATGTTTGTTGTGATTCTTATTGGCATCTCTGTGCCTTTGGAGATAAGGATGCTCCTTTCCTCCACTCGAGGGAGGATACTCTCACATAAAGGTCTTCTGACCTGCTTCAGGGGAAGGTTGGCAATCATTCCTCATATTACTAAAATAAACTTTATGTGATCATACGGTATAATTTTAGTATGGTACATTCATTTTTGTGAAAGACTTTGAAACTACAAAAAAGAAAAAAAATATTACTAGGTGTCCTATAAAATGCTGTATTGTCTAACCTACTCTTTCTCATTTTTTTTTTATTATTATACCTTAAGTTCTGGGGTACACGTGCAGAACGTGCAGTTTTGTCACATAGGTATACACCTGCCATGGTGGTTAGCTGAACCCATCAACCCGTCATCTACATTAGGTATTTCTCCTAGTGCTATCCCTCCCCTAGCCCCCCAGCCCACAACAGGCCCTGGTGTGTGATGTTCCCCTCCCTGTGTCCATGTGTTCTCATTGATCAACTCCCCTTAAGAGCGACAACATGCGGTGTTTCATTTTCTGATTTTCTGTTAGTTTGCTGAGAATGATGGTTTCCAGCTTCATCCATGTCTCTGCAAAGGACATGAACTCATCCTTTTTTATGGCTGCATAGTATTCCATGGTGTATACATGCCACATTTTCTTTATCCAGTCTATCACTGATGGACATTTGGGTTGGTTCCAAGTCTCTGCTATTGTGAACAGGGCTGCAATAAACATATGTGTGCATGAGTCTTTATAGTAGAATGGTTTATAATCCTTTGGGTATATAACCAGTAATGGGATTACCAGGTCAAATGGCATTTCTGGTTCTAGATCTTTGAGGAATTGCCACAGTGTCTTCCACAATGGTTGAACTAATTTACACTCCTATCAACAGTGTAAAAGCATTACTATTTCTCCACATCCTCTCCAGCACCTGTTGTTTCCTGACTTTTTAATGATAGCCATTCTAACTGGTGTGAGATGGTATCTCATTGTGGTTTTGATTTGCATTTCTCTAGTGACCAGTGATGATGAGCTTTTTTTCACATGTCTGTTGGCTGCGTAAATGTCTTCTTTTGAGAAGTGTCTGTTCATATCCTTTGCCCACTTTTTGATGGGGTTGTTTTTTTCTTGTACATTTGTTTAAGTTCTTTGTAGATTCTGGATATTAGCCCTTTGTCAGATGCATAGATTGTAACAATTTTCTCCCATTCTGTAGGTTGCCTGTTCACTCTGATGATAGTTTCTTTTGCTGTGCAGAAGCTCTTTAGTTTAATTAGATCCCATTTGTCAATTTTGGCTTTTGTTGCCATTGCTTTTGGTGTTTTAGTCATGAAGTCCTTGCCCATGCCTATGTCCTGAATGATACTGCCTAGGTTTTCTTCTAGGGTTTTTATGGTTTTAGTTCTTATGTTTAAGTATTTAATCCATCTTGAGTTAATTTTTGTATAAGGTATAGGGAAGGGATCCAGTTTCAGCTTTCTGCATATGGCTAGTCAGTTTTCCCAAAACCATTTATTAAATAGGGATCCTTTCCCCATTTCTCGTTTTTGTCAGGTTTGTCAAAGATCAGGTTGTAGATGTGTAGTGTTATTTCTGAGGCCTCTGTTCTGTTCCATTGGTCTATATCTCTGTTTTGGTACCAGTACCATGCTGTTTTGGTTACTGTAGCCTTGTAGTATAGTTTGAAGTCAGGTAGCATGATGCCTCAAGCTTTGTTCTTTTTGCTTAGAATTGTCTTGGCTATGCAGGGTTTTTTTGGTTATGTATGAAGTTTAAAGTAGTTTTCTCCAATTCTGTGAAGAAAGTCAATGGTAGCTTGATAGGGATAGCTTTGAATCTATAAATTACTTTGGACAGTATGGCCATTTTCACGATATTGATTCTTCCTACCCATGAGCATGGAATGTTTTTCCATTTGTTTGTGTCCTCTCTTATTTGCTTGAGCAGTGGTTTGTAGTTCTCTTTGAAAAGGTCCCTCACATCCCTTGTAAGTTGTATTTGTAGGTATTTTATTCTCTTAGTAGCAATTGTGAATGGGAGTTCGCTCGCACTTTGACTGTTTGTCTGTTGTTGGTGTATAGGAATGCTTGTGATTTTTGCACATTGATTTTGTATCCTGAGACTGCTGAAGTTGCTTATCAGCTTAAGGAGATTTTGGGCTGAGATGATGGGGTTTTCTAAATATACAATCACGTCATCTGCAAACAGACAATTTGACTTCCTCTTTTCCTATTTGAATACCCTTTATTTCTTTCTCTTGCCTGATTGCCCTGGCCAGAACTTCCAACACTATGTTGAATAGGAGCGGTGAGAGAGGGCATCCCTGTCTTGTGCCGGTTTTCAAAGGGAATGTTTTCAGTTTTTCCCCGTTCGGTATGATATTGGCTGTGGGTTTGTCATAAATAGCTCCTACTATTTTGAGATACGTTCCCTCAATACCTAGTTAATTGAGAATTATTAGCATGAAGGACTGTTGGATTTTGCTGAAGACCTTTTCTGTATCTATTGAGATAATCGTGTGGTTTTTGTCATTGGTTCTGTTTATGTGATGGATTATGTTTATTGATTTGCATATGTTGAACCAGCCTTGCATCCCAGGGATGAGGCAGACTTGATTGTGGTGGATAAGCTTTTTTATGTGCTACTGGATTCAGTTTCCTGGTATTTTACTGAGGATTTTTGCATCAATGTTCATCTAAAATTCTCTTTTTTTGTGGTGTCTCTGCCAGGCTTTAGTATCAGGTTAATGTTGGCCTCATAAAATGAGTTATGGAGGATTCCCTCTTTATCTATTGATTGGAATAGTTTCAGAAGGAATGGTACCAGCTCCTCTTTATACCTCTGGTAGAATTCGGCTGTGAATCTGTCTGGTCCTGGACTCTTTTTTGTTGGTAGGCTATTAATTACTGCCTCAATTTCAGAGCCTGTTATTGGTCTATTCAGAGATTCCACTTCTTCCTAGTTTAGTCGTGGGAGGGTATATGTGTCCAGGAATTTATCCATTTTTTGAAAAGATCAACAAAATTGATAGACTGCTAGCGAGACTAATAAAGAAGAAAAGAGAGAAGAATCGAATAGATGCAGTAAAAAATGATAAAGGGGATATCACCACCGATCCCACAGAAATACAAACTACCATCAGAGAGTACTATAAACACCTCCACAGAAATAAACTAGAAAATCTAGAAGAAATGGATAAATTCTCAGCAAACTATCACAAGGACAGAAAACCAAACACCGCAGGTTCTCACTCATAGGTGGGAACTGAACAATGAGATCACTTGGACACAGGGCGGGGAACATCACACACCAGGGCCTGTCAGGGGCTGGGGGGCTGGGGGAGGGATAGCATTAGGAGAAATACCTAATGTAAATGATGTGTTGAAGGATGCAGCAAACCAACATGGCACATGTATACCTATGTATAAAACCTGCATGTTGTGCACATGTACCCTAGAACTTAAAGTATAATAATAATAATAATAATAATAATAATAATAATAATAATAATAATAAACACCAGCTCCTGGACTCATGGATTTTTTTGAAGGGTTTTTCGTGTCTCTATCTCCTTCTGTTCTGCTCTGATCTTAGTTATTTCTTGTCTTCTGCTAGCTTTTGAATTTGTTTGCTGTCGCTTCTCTAGTTCTTTTAATTTTAATGTTAGGGCGTCAATTTTAGATCTTTCCTGCTTTCTCTCGTGGGCATTTAATGCTACAATTTTCCCTCTAAACACTGCTTTAAATGTGTCCCAGAGATTCCAGTACCTTGTGTCTTTGTTCTCATTAGTTTCAAAGAACATATCTATGTCTGCCTTCATTTTGTTATTTACCCAGTAGTCATTCAGGAGCAGGTTGTTCAGTTTCCACGTAGTTGTGCAGTTTTGAGTGAGTTTCTTAATCCTGAGTTCTAATTTGATTGCACTGTGGTCTGAGAGACTGTTTGTTATGATTTCCATTCTTTTGCATTTGCTGAGGAGTGTTTTATTTGCAATTATGTGGTCAATTTCAGAAGAAGTGCAACATGGTGCTGAGAAAAATGCATATTCTGTTGATTTGGGGTGGAGAGTTCTGTAGATGCCTACTAGGTCCGCGTGGTCCAGAGCTGAGTTCAAGTCCTGAACATCCTAGTTAATTTTCTGTCTCGTTGTTCTGTCTAATATTGACAGTGGGGTGTTAAACTCTCCCACTATTATTGTGTGGGAGTCTAAGTCTCTTTGTAGGTCTCTAAGAACTTGCTTCACGAATCTGGGTGCTCCTGTATTGAGTGCATATATATTTAGAATAGTTAGCTCTTTTTGTTGCATTGATCCCTTTACCATTATGTAATGTCCTTCTTTGTTGCTGGGAGCAGGCCCCCAAAATCTGGCCATAAACTGGCCCTAAAACTGGCCAGAAACAAAATCTCTACAGCACTGTAACATGTTCATAATGGCCCTGACGCCCACGCTGGAAGGTTGTGGGTTTACGGGAATGAGGGCAAGGAACACCTGTCCCACCCAGGGCAGAAAACCGCTTAAAGGCATTCTTAAGCCACAAACAATAGCATGAGCGATCTGTGCCTTAAGGACATGCTCCTGCTGCAGTTAACTAGCCCAACCTATTCCTTTAATTCAGCCCATCCCTTCGTTTCCATAAGGGATACTTTTAGTTAATTTAATATCTATAGAAACAATGCTAATGACTGGTTTGCTGTTAATAAATATGTGGGTAAATCTCTGTTTGGGGTTCTCAGCTCTGAAGGCTGTGAGACCCCTGATTTCCCACTTCACATCTCCATATTTCTGTGTGTGTGTCTTTAATTCCTCTAGCGCCACTGGGTTAGGGTCTCCCCAGTCGAGCTGTTCTTGGCACTTTGTCTCTTTTGATCTTTGTTGTTTTAAAGTCTGTTTTATCGGAGACTAGGATTGCAACCCTGCTCAGGTTTGCTTGGTAAATATTCCTCCATCCCTTTATTTTGAGCCTATGTGTGTCTCTGCTCATGAGATGGGTCTCCTCAATACAGCACACCAATGACTCTTTATCCAATCTGCCAGTCTGTGTGTTTTGACTGGGGCATCTAGCCCATTTACATTTAAGGTTAATATTGTTATGTGTGAATTTGATCCTGTCATTATGATGCTAGCTGGTTGTTTTCCCCATTATTTGATGCAGTTTCTTCATAGTGTCAATGTTCTTTACAATTTGGTATGTTTTTGCAGTGGTTGGTACTGGTTGTTCCTTTCCATGTTTAATGCTTCCTTCAGGAGCTCTTGTAAGGCAGGCCTGGTGGTGACAAAATCTCTCAGCATTTGCTTGTCTGTAAAGGATTTTATTTCTAGTTCACTTATGAAGCTTTGTTTGGCTGGATATGAAATTCTGGGTTGAAATTCTTTTCTTTAAGAATGTTGAATGTTGGCTCCCAGTCTCTTCTGGCTTGTAGGCTTTCTGCTGAGAGATCTGCTGTTAATTTGATGGGCTACCCTTAACATTTTTTCCTTCATTTCAACCTTGGTGAATCTGGTGATTATGTGTCTTGGGGTTGCTCTTCTCGAGGAGTATCTTTGTGGTGTTATCTGTATTTCCTGAATTTGAATGTTGGCCTGTCTGGCTAGTTTGGGGAAGTTCTCCTGGATAGTATCTTGAAGAGTGTTTTCCAACTTGGTTCCATTCTCCCCATCACTTTCAGGTACACCAATCAAATGTAGAGTTAGTCTTTTCACATAGTCCCATATTTACTGAAGGCTTTGTTCATTTCTTTTCATTCTTTTTTCTCTAATCTTGTCTTCTTGATTTATTTCATTATGTTGACCTTCAATCTCTCATATCCTTTCTTCCGCTTGATAGATCTGGCTACTGATACTTGAGTATGCTTCACCAAGTTCCTGTGCTGTGTTTTTCAGCTCCATCAAGTCATTCATGTTCTTCTCTAAACTGGTTATTCTAGTTAGTAATTCGTCTAACCTTTTTTCAATGTTTGTAGCTTTTTTGCATTGGGTTAGAACATGCTCCTTTAGCTGGGAGGAGTTTGTTATTACCCACCTTCTGAATCCTACTTCTGTCAATTCATCAAACTCATTCTCCATCCAGTTCTGTTCCCTTGCTGGCAGAGTTGCGATCCTTTGGAGAAGAGGCTTTCTGGTTTTTGCAATTTTCAGCCTTTTTGCCTGGTTTCTCTCCATCTTCGTGTTTATCTACCTTTGGTCTTTGATGTTGGTGACATTCGGATGGGGTCTCTGCGTGGATGTCCTTTTGTTGATGTTGACGCTATTCCTTTCTGTTAGTTTTCCTTCTAACAGTCAGGGCCCTCTGCTGCAGGTCTGCTGGAGTTTGCTGGCGGTCCACTCCAGACCATGTTTGCCCGGGTATCAACCACGGAAGCTGCAGAACAGCAAAAATTGCTGCCAGTTCCTTCCTCTGGAAACTTCGTCCCAGAGAGGCACCCGCCAGATGCCAGCCAGAGCTCTCCTGTATGAGGTGTCTGTCAGCCCCTAGTGGGAGGTGTCTCCCAGTCAGGATACACGGGGGTCAGGGACCCAGTTGAGGAGGCAGTCTGACCCTTATCAGAGCTTGAACGCTGTGTTGGGAGGTCTGCTGCTCTCTTCAGAGCTGCCAGGCAAGGACGTTTAAGTCTGCTGAAGCTGTGCCCACAGCCGCTGCTTTCCCCAGGTGCTCTGTCGCAGGGAGATGGCTGTTTTATCTAAAAGTCCCTGACTGGGGCTGCTGCCTTTTTTTCAGAGATGCCTTGCCCAGATAGGAGGAATCTAGAGAGGCAGTCTGGCCATGTAGGCCTTCCTGAGCTGTGGTGGGCTCCACCCAGTTCGAAATTCCCTTTGGTTTTGTTTACACTGTGAGGGTAAAACTGCCTACTCAAGCCTCAGCAATGGCGATGCCCCTCCCCCCACCAACCTCCAGCATCCCACGTCAACTTCAGACTGTGTTGGTAGTGAGAATTTCAAGACAGTGGATCTTAGCTTGCTGGGTTCCATGGGGTTGGGACACGCTGAGCCAGACCACTTGGCTCCCTGGCTTCAGTCCCTTTTCAGGGGGATTGAAGAGTTCTGTGTCACTGGCATTCCAGGTGCCACTGGGGTATGAAAAAAAAGAAAAAAAAACTCCTGCAGCTAGCTGGATGTCTGCCCAAACAGCCACCCAGTTTTGTGCTTGAAACCCAGGGCCCTGGTGGCGTAGGCACCAGAGGGAATCTCATCGTCTGTGGGTTGTGAAGACTATGAAAAAAGGGCAGTATCTGGGCCAGAGTGCACCATTCCTCATGGCAGAATCCCTCACGACTTCTCTTGGTAGGGGAGGGAAATCCCCAAACCCTTGCACTTCCCGGGTGAGATGGCACCCCACTCTGCCTCACTTTGCCCTCCGTGGGCTGCACCCACTGTCCAACCAGTCCCAATGAGTTGAACCGGGTAACTCAGTTGGAAATGCAGAAACCACCCACCTTCTCCGTGGATCTTGCTGGGAGCTGAAGATTGGAGCTGTTTCTATTCAGCCATCTTGCCAGCAAATCCCCACCCTTTCTCACTATTTGGGACTTTTATTGCTTCTTGGGTATTTTACCACTCTATTAGTTGTAGTAAACTGTTAGTAATTCAAATGACTTTTGATGGTCATGATGCAATTGATTATTTCCCTGTGGAATTCGGAGTTTGATGAATTTTGAATCTATTGAATTCATTTCAGCACTCCAGATTACATCTATTTGTGTCTTCTTTGGAATCTCCTTGATTTGGCTCTTTACCCTTTTCTAGTTCCTTCAATAACTGAGTTAAAACATTCTTTAACATATCTTTATTTTATTTTTTTGTTCAAGATTCATAATTTTACCTTTAAAAACATTTATCCTTTAATAATGAGTTAAGACATACATAATTTATTATAAAAGTCCAGTTATACACTCAGGAAAGTGAGGATAGCTCTGGGATCATTCATGTGATCCAACTATGTGGCAGGGTGTTGGGGATACAATTATGAATATAGAAGACTAGTTCCTTCCTCCCAGAATTTACAACCCAGTGAATTTCCTGGTCCTTTCTATTGATTCATCCATCCACTCACTCTTCTACGCTACAAATGTTTATTGAAGCATACTATTAGTACTACAGCTCAGTCACATTTGGGTTGAATAAACTTTTTCAGTCTAGCCTTCAAGCCTTAAAGACATATTTAACAATGCTGCTGGACCAGGTGTGGTGGCTCACACCTGTAATCCCAGAACTTAGGGAGGCCAAGGCAGGAGAAGCACGAAGTCAAGAGATCGAGACCATCCCGGCCAACATGGTGAAACCCTGTCTCTACTGAATTACAAAAAAACTTAGCCTGGCGTGGTGGTGTGCACCTGTAGTCCCAGCTACTCAGGAGGCTTAGGCAGGGGGAATCACTTGAACCTAGGCGGTGGAGATTGCAGTGAGCTGAGATTGCGCCACTGCACTCCAGCCTGGCGACAGGGTGAGAATCCATCTCAAACAAACAAACAAACAAACAAAAAAATGTTGCTGTAGGAAACTGTGTAATGCATTCCACTCAACATTTTTTGATTAAATAAAAATCTCAGTAACATTTCTCCAGCTTTTTTAAATAGAAGAGGAAAAGGTCCTGCTCTCATAATTCCTTATGACTACAAGACAACTGGCCAGGCGTGGTGGCTCACATCTGTAATCCCAGCACTTTGGGAGGCTGAGGCGGGCAGATCACGAAGTCAGGAGATCGAGACCATCCTGGCTAACACGGTGAAACCCCGTCTCTACTAAAAAATACAAAAAATTAGCTGGGAGTGGTGGCGAGCACCTGTAGTCCCAGCTAATCGAGAGGCTGAGGCAGGAGAATGGCATGAACCTGGGAGGTAGAGCTTGCAGTGAGCCGAGATCGGGCCACTGCACTCCAGCCTGGGTGACAGAGCAAGACTCTGTCTCCAAAATAAATAAATAAATAAATAAATAAATAAATAAATAAATAGTAACAACTTACAAATAAGTTTTTATTCTACTATTTTACTGGGAACTAGATCATGTATGGAATGTATGTACTTATTCAATGATGCTGTTGTTACTGAAAATGTTTCTCAAAATTCTTTGGAATTGCCTTCAAATATACAAGTACACTATTCTGAATACCTCAGTGTAATATTCATCCGTTTAAGGAGGATCCGATTTTAGAAAGGGCCAAAAGTCTTTTGGAAGTAATTTTGGTCTCAGTTTGCAGATAAGACTCTAAAGATAAAAAATAATGTTTTAGATGATCTTTTTTCTGCTTTCCTTGAGTCTTTCACCACAAGAAATATAGGAATCATCCAAAACACTTTTAGCATTTTAAAGTAATATAAAGTATTAATTATAGAGTGCTAAAAGAAATTTCCACTTGGGTCCTTCCAGTCCTGCCCCCCTGCCTCATTTGCCAGTGGGTGCCACTATTAATGATATGAAGTATATTAACGCCAATATACTTCATAACATTACGAAGTATATGAAGATACACAGGAGTTTATAAAGATAGAACTATATGTACTAATCACACATAGATTTTTAAAACCTAGAATCGTGCAATACATATTTGTCTATAATTTTCCTTTTACTCATAGCCATTTACTATGGGCTTCTTTTTGGTCAGAATAAGAAGATTATTATTCATTAGTTTTAAGAGTTATTCAATATTTTTTGTAGTGGCAGATCATAGTTTATTCAACCATTTTCCTACTAATGGTCATTTGTTTTAGTACATTGCCACCGCAAAAAAAAAGAAAGATGTTTCAATGGATATCTTTACATTTATATCTGAATATTCTTGTACTATCATTTCTTTAAGATAAATTCTGGGAAAAACCATATAGGCCTATTTTATTTTAATAGATTTTTCCAATTTGCTTTTTCAAAAGACTGTAGAAGTTATTATTCCTCCCAAATACTCTTGAAGAATATCAGAGAATAGCAGTTTCCACACGCTCACCAACACTGGATTGTATTAATCTTTTAAGTTTTGACAATGTGATGAGGGAAATGGCATCTCACTGTTACAGAAATTTGCATTTTCCTGACCAATAATGAAGTTGAACACATTTTAATGTATTTATTTTTATGTTTTTCTTCAAATATTCCTTTTCATATTTTTGCCCATTTTCCCATTTTATGTTGCTTTTAAATTTTTTATTAATTTCTAGAAGCCCTTTAAATATCAAATATCTAAATATCTCTATTAACTCTTTATTCCATGTAAAACATCCATTTTCTCCCAGTCTTTTGAGTTTGTTCATATGTGTCACTAGCTATGCACAAATGTGGCTGGGCGAAGTGGCCCATGCCTGTAATTCCAGCACTTTGGGAGGCCAAGGTGGGAGGATCCTTCGAGTCCAGGAGTTCAAGACCAGAAATTAGTTGGGTATGGTGGTGTGCACCTGGGGTCCCAGCTACTCAGGAGGCTGAGTCAGGAGGCTTGCTTGAGTGCAGGAGGTGGAGGCTACAGTTAGCCATGATAGTGCCACTGCATTCCAGCCTGGGCAACAGGGTGAGACATTGTCTCAAAAAAACAAAAATGTTTAATTTTTTAAATACAATCAAATCCATTACTCCCCTCTTTAAAATTATAGCTTCCCGGCATTGCTTAGGAAGCAATTTTTTATTTTCTATGAAAAATAATAAAATACTAATTAGCATGTGAAATAGAACAAAAACTTCAGCCTCTAAGTCAAAATGAGAAATCTTATTTTTAAGCCAAAAAAGTAATAACCAATTCAACTCACACAGATTCAAAAATCTAAAAAAATCTATAAACAAAATAACTAGTAAAATATTCAAATAATACAATATGATCACATAAAGTTTATTATAATAATGTGAGGATGGCTTACTAATTAGAAATCTGTTGATGTAATTTATCACATCAGTAGGGCAAAGATTAAAAAATGTATAATTATTAATATAAATGCCCCCAAAATAATGAAATTGTATCCAATTTCCACTGCTGGTTGTTTAAAAAGTACAAAAATAGGAATGCAAGAAAAATAATATTTATCTCAAATAGCCAAAATCACACTTAATTTGGGAAGCACTAGAATCATTAGTTTTTATATTTCAGGTACATGGCACCTTTGCTTCTTTCCTCACTATTATTTGATCTCACTCATTATGCAAATGAGTAAGATTAAGAAAAAGAAATGAAAGTTTCTTTTTTATGAAACTTTATTTATGAAAGTTTATGTAGAAAAATGAGTCAGACTAGAAGATTGGATGATTTCCCACCTAAGAAAATTTTAATTCAAAAGATATAAGAGCTAATAAGCAAATTCATTCACGTGGCTTTTTTTTTTTTTTTTTTTTTTTTTTTTTTTGAGATTGGCATCTTGCTATGTTGCCCAGGCTGTTTTCAAACTCCTGGCCTCAAGCGGTCCTCCTGCCTCAACCTTCCAAAGTGCTGGGATTACAGGTGTGAGCCAACATGCCCAGCTAAAGTGGTTTGTAACAAAATACTTATACAACAAGCACTACATTCCTACATAGCAGTAATTACACTAACTAAACAATATACTAGGAAAAGCACCAATTTCCAGTAGTACAAATGCTATGAAGTAATGAGAAATATTTTTAAATGTCCAGGAAAATGCAATACTTTACTAAGGAACATAAAGCTTTGAGTAAATGTAGAAGTATATCACGTTTCTTAAAGAAATATTACTATTTAAAAATATGTCAGCTGTGCATGGTGGCTCATGCCTGTAATCCCAGTACTTTGGGAGGCCAAAGTGGAAGGGTTGTTTAAGTCTAGGAGTTTCAAATCAGCCTGGGCAACACAGTGAGACCATGTCTCTACAAAAAATTAGGTGAGTGTGGTGGTGTGTGTCTGTGGTCGCAGCTACTTCAGGAGGCTGAGGTGGGAGGACCACTTGAGCCTGGGAGGTCTAGGCTGCAGTGAGCCATAATCCTGTGACTGCACTCCAGCCTGGGCAAAAGAGGGAGGCCCTGTTTCCAAAAAGAAATAAAAATAAAACTATGTTAATTTTCTACAAATTAATTTATAAATCTAATTTAATACTAATCAAAGGTCAAATGAGACACTGACAAAATGATTCTGATATTCATCTGAGAGTCTAAATTGATTAGATGAACCCTGAATATTTTGGAAACATATAAATAATGACTTGATCTATCAGATATAAAAACATTATAAAATTCTAATAACTAAAACAGGATAGTATTGGCATAGGAACTAAATGATGAATGGAACAAAATAACATTTTCCAAAAATATACGTCCAAATTTGGTATATAATAAAGGTGATAGTTCAGATCAGTGTTATAACTTAAAAGACATTGTCTGCTTAATGCAATGTGTGCCCACAGATTATTCACCTCATTTCAATAATGATCAGTGTAATGGTTAATATTGAGTGTCAACTTGATTGGATTGAAGGATGCAAAGTATTGATCGTGGGTGTATCCGTGAGGGTGTTGCCAAAGGAGATTAACATTTGAGTCAGTGGACTGGAAGAGGCAGACCTACCCTAAATCTGGGTGGGCATCACCTAATCAGCTACCAACACGGCTAGAATAAAGCAGGCAGAAGAAAGTGGAAGAGCAGACTTGCTGAATTTTCCAGCTTCCATCTTTCTCCTCCCGTGCTGAATGCTTCCTGCACTTGAACATCAGACTCCAAGTTCTTCAGCTTTTGGACTCTTGGACTTACACCAGTGATTTTCCAGGGGCTCTTGGGCCTTTGGCCACAGACTTAAGGCTGCACTGTCGGCTTCCCTGCTTCTGAGGTTTTGAGACTTGGACCGGCTTTCTTGCTCCTCAGCTCATAGATGGCCTATTGTGGGACTTCACCTTGTGATCGTCTCCTAATAAACTCCCCTTCATATATACATATATCCTATTAATTCTGTCTCTTTAGAGAACCCTAATACAATCAGCATACCTTATGTTCCCTCTTGCTTTTATTTTGCAGAATCATTTGAAAGAAAGTTGTAAATACTGTTTCACCTTAAATATTTCAGTATGTGTCTCCTAACAAAAAAAAAAAAAGGCATTCTATGTAATCATCATATACTTTTAATGCCTAAGAAAATTAACATTAATTATATAATATCTAAATGCAGGCCATATTGAAATATTCCCAATTGTATAAACACAATTTTATTAGTGGTTTTATTGGATTATTTCAGACCAGAATATATTCCACGCTCATATATTTCATTTGGTTATTTTTGTTTCTGTCGTCTCTTTAGATCTAGTTGAGATACCCTACTTTTCTTTCATGACTCTGAATTTTTGATATCTTCTAAATTTTTGTTCTATAATCCTTTAAAGTCAGGTTTATTGAAGTATCATTTATGTAGTGTAAAATTCATCTTTTTTAGTGTATACTTTTATGAGTTTTTACAAATACATTCGGTGATGTAACCATCACAATCGAGATAAAGAACATTTCTAGCTCCCCAAAAAGTTCCATTGTGCCTCTTTGTCATAAACACTTTCCTCTTCTGCAAGATTCTCGCAACCACTGCTTTATTTTTTATCCCTACAGTTTTGCCTTTTTAGGAAAGTCATATAAAGGGAATCATACAGTATGTAGCCTTTTGAATCTGAGTTTTTACTTTCCATATTTGTTTGAGATTTATCCATTGTGTGGATGTACCAAAATTTGTTTATCCATTTATAAGTGGAAAAATTTTTGGTATTCAGGTTTTGACAATTGTGGATAAAACCTCCATAAATACTTGTATACAGGCTTTTGTGTAAACATGTTTTCATTTCTCATTGGTAAACAGCTAGAATTGAGATTGGGGAATCATATTGTAACTGTATGTTAACTTGTATAAGAAACCAGCAACATGTTTTCCCAAGTGGCTGTACCATTCTACATTTCCATCATCAGTATATGAGCCTGGCTGGGTATGGTGGCTCATGCCTATAACCCAGTACCTTGTGGAGATGAGGCAGAAGGATCACTTGAGGCCAGGAGTTCAAAGCCAGCCTATGAGATTTTTAGTTGTTCCACATTCTTGCCAACACTTGCTATGTCAGTCTTTCATTTCGCCATTCTAAATAGTTGTGTGATGGTGTCTCATTATGGCTTTAATTTGTACTACTCTCATGAACAATTATGTTGAACTCTATGTTTCTAGGTCAGGAAGGGATAGTTTTTAAGCTGACTGCTATTAGAACGACTCTACCCCAGTGAAATATTAAAGTCATTTCTCCATTGTCTTTGTTTCCCCCTTTCAAGCCTTCTCTCTTTTGGCTGAGAAAATATAACCAAGCCCCAATGCATGTCTCAGTCTACTCAGAAGGCTGACAGAATTTTCCTAACACTGATTTTTTTTAACTTGTGTGGATTATGGTTTCACTACCAAAGGAAGAGAAAGAGTTAGTTAGGAATCATCTGGAATTCCTTGAAAATTATTATTGATGGTAGCAGAAATGATGAGCTCTATTTCTGCCACTCTCACTTTCTCTTTCATACATATACACATACGAATACCTCACACAGTCTAAAAAATGGTGGCTTTTCAGAAAATATATTCCATGCTCACGTATTATTCCAGAAACTGTTCTTTTCCCCATAAACCCTCCCTTCAAAATTTCTTTTCAGAGTAAATATTTTCCAACTTGATCTTAGCAAATATTCCCTTTAATGTGCCTGAAAAGGATTAATTTTCTTCACAGACTACACCCCAAAACTATATCCATAAGAAAAAACTATGATGCATATTTCAGTATTGTTGAGGTGTAGATAAAAATATAAAGGCACAGTCAGAAATGGGACATTTCAGGGGTGAGAGAAAGCTGGTAGGTAATGAAAGTAGATGAAACAGTATGAAACAGGCAATGCAATTTAAAGTAGGTTTTGGGGTTAACTTCCCTTAGAATTAACTTCCTTTAGAAATAACACATTTTCTCGCAGTTCTTTATGGATTCTTGTCATTTTCCAATGAGTATATGCTTTACAAAATTTTTTCAGTGAAGATTCTGACACACTTTAGTCCTCTTAAGACCTCCAAAGTAAATTTTCCGCTTTTTTTAATTTATAAGAAAGATGGGGAGGATATTACTTACCATTTCATGGCTGACATGGAAAACAGCTATATTAATTTTTTAAATAGAGGTCCTATGGATCCACAGCACATGAAAACAGCACCTACCACTAATCTGCAGTTATGTTACCTACTGATAATTCAGCAGTGAACATCTTTGATTTGTAGTGCAATAAAGATTCAAATTATTCAAACTGGACTCAATGCATTAAAGTTTAGAGATGTCAATTTTTACAAATGTTGAAGACAACAGGCAGGAAATATATTGATTTGCCAGGGAAAATCATTGGCAAAACAATGGGAATTTGGAAGAGTTCCTGCCTTAGTATCCTCCCCAAGACATACACACACACACACACACACACACACACACACTCTCTCTCTCTCTCTCTCTCTCTCTCGCTCTCTTCCAAAGTAAGACTTAAATGAAGATATAAAGCAGTTTTGAAAGAAAAGAAGTTAGCAAGGACAGCATACTACCCATGATAATGGTTCTCAAGCTTATAAAATGAATTGCCCTGGAGGGAGCAAAAGATCCTTACACCCAAATTTTACTCATTCCCATTTTTCAACTGAGAATGGGAGAGGTGACTCAATGACAAGTGTTGCTGAACAAACAAATTTCAGGATACTATGTTTCAGGCCCAGCATGGTGGCTCATATCTGTAATCCCAACACTTTGCGAGGCTGAGGCGGGAGGATCACTTGACTCTGTGAGTTCAAGACCAGCCTGGGCAACACAGTGAGGCCTTGTCTCTACAAATAATAATTAGTGAGGCATGGTGGTGCTTGCCTGTATTCCCAGCTACTCAGGAGGCTCAGGTAGAAGGATTGCTTGAGCCTAGGAAGTTGAGGTTGCAGTGAGCCATGATTATGCCACTGCCCACTTTAGCATGGGTGACAGAGTGAGACCCTGTCTAAAAATAGAAAAATAAGATGTTTTATCTGTTTTAACAATTGAGTATAGATAGTATTTTAAAATACCTGTCCCCTTAGCTTACTTAACATGTAGTTAGTACGAAATAATGGACCCTAAATAATGGGCCCTAAGTATGGTTGATCCATTTGCATCACAACATACTGTAGGTATGACTGAACACACAATAACTTAAACATGATAAACAAACAATAACATATAACTAAAAAGCAGGTAGAACAGAATCAAAACCTAAGCTCACTCAATATAGCACTGGTGATATGTTGATAAAGTGTCCTGCCAGAAGTTTAAGGGAGTTTATGTAATTTATGAGGCTACAGAGAAGAAAATTATCCACTCCCTGAGTGGTGACAAAAACCAATGCTTCATTACTTTCCTCAGGAACAAAAAAAAAAAAAAAATCTAGGAATTTCTAAACCCAGCAGTATCAGATATATTAGATAGGTGAGAGCCACCTGCAGTGGCTCTGATGAGAGTGATCTCTGCCTCACTACTCCTGCCACAACTTCCTCTGTTGCCCACCTGCCTCAGGAGGGATTACATATAACTTAAATGGTTATTTCCATCCCTCCAGTTTCTGGATTCTCGTTATAATAATTTTACCTCCAGATATAGGGAACGAAATAGGAAAGGGCAACCTGCTACTCATCAGACTCAGGGTAGAGCACGCAAGTTTGGGATGTAGACATTTCGTTATTACAGTAATACAACAAATTCTGAACACATGGAGTTTTGAAGGTGACTTGTCATTTCTGAGTCACTAAAAGTAGATTTAATTATCTGGCTATTGCATCCAAGTATGTAACCATTTAAAAATTATATAATAAGGGCCGGGCATGGTGGCTCATGCCTGTAATCCCAGCACTTTGGGAGGCTGAGGTGGGCGGATCACCCAAGGTCGGGAGTTCGAGACCAGCCTGACCAACATGGAGAAACCCCGTCTCTGCTAAAGATACAAAATTAGCCAGGTGTGGTGGCGTAAGCCTGTAATCCCAGCTACTCGGGAGGCTGAGGCAGAGGAATAGCTTGAACCCGGGACAGAGAGGTTGCAGTGAGCAGAGATGGTGCCACTGCACTCCAAGCTGGGCAACAAGAGCAAAATTCCTTCTCAAAAAAAAAAAATTACATAATAAGAAATACAAATGTTATTACATTTGGGAGAAGGCTGGGCGTGGTGGCTTACACCTGTAATCCCAGCATTTTTGAGAGGCGGGTGGATCATTTGAGGTCAGGGGTTTGAGACCAGCCTGGCCAATATGGTGAAACCCTGTTTCTACTAAAAATACAAAAATTAGCTGGGTGTGGCGGCACATGCCTGTAATCCCAACTACTTGGGAGGCTGAGGCAGGAGAATTGCTTGAACCTGGGAGGCGGAGGTTTCAGTGAGCTGAGATAGCACCACTGCACTCCAGGCTGGGTGATGGAGTGAGACTCCATCTCAAAAAAAAGAAAAAAAAAAGGAAAAAAAAATAAATTTAGGAGAAAAAACATTTAATGTTAGGGAGACACATGTAATTTAATTCTTTTTTCTATAAGCACTATTTCTGTCAGTTGAAAATGAGAAAATACTAATTATAGAATATAGACACACACAGAATTGAAGGAATATAAATAGTGGAACATCTTTGTGTTACACTAATTCCATCTAAGGAAAAGATAAATATGTGAGTCTTAAGCAAAAGAAATAAGCCCATATCTTTGTCTCAATTATCTAATTTATGCAAAAGTGGGAGAACAACAAATAGTCTGTGCAGGTATTAACTTCTGATTAGTTGTTTCTTTTCATGAGGTTGAATTAATCTTTGAAGTTATGGATAATTGATCATTTGGTTTCTGCTATTAAAACTACATCAAGTTTTGGTATCCATATGACTGTATTTGAATACACACTTTATTCCATGCAAAAACATTTGCATTTGATGCAAAAACGAATTACCAGAAATGAAGTGACTTAAAATAACATATTTATTATCTCGTAGTTCTGTAAGTCAGAAGTCCTGGCATGGGCTCAGCTGGGTTCTCTGCTCAGGTTCTCACCAGGCTGAAATCAAGGTGTCAGCCAAGCTGTGCTCCCTTCTGTAGTTCTGGGTATTCTTCCAAACTCATGTGGTTGTTGGCAGAATTAAGAATCCTGTAGGAAGGAAGGCCTGCTTTCTTGCTGACCATCAGCTAGGGGCTACTCTCAGTTCTTAGAGGCCACTTGCCATTTTCTGCCATATAGGTCTCACTATAACATGAAACTTTACTTCTTCACGGCTAAAAGAAAAGCATCTGCTGTTGCTTTCAATCTCCCTGACTTCTCCTTGACCTTTTTTTTTTTTTTTTTTTTTTTTTTGGAGTCTCGCTCTGTCACCAGGCTGGAGTGCAGTGGCACGATCTTGGCTCACTGCAACCTCCACCTCCCAGGTTCAAGCAATTCTCCTGCCTCAGCCTCCTGAGTAGCTGGGACTACAGGCTACTTTTTTTTTTTTTTTTTTTTTTTTTGTATTTCAGTAGAAACGGGGTTTCACCATGTTGCCCAGGCTGGTCTCGAACTCCTGAGCTCAGGCAATCCACCTGCCTCGGCCTCCCAAAGTGCTACGATTACAGGTGTGAGCCACCACGCCCAGCCGTTCCTTGACCCTCTTTTTAAGAGTTCACTTGATTATGTCAGGCCCACCTAGGATAATCTGCCTTTACTTATTTATTTGGTTCTTTTTGAGACAGGGTGTCTCTCACGCTGTCGCCCAGGTTCTGGAGCGCAGTGGTGCAAGATCATGGCTCACTGTGGCCTTGACCTCCCGGGCTCAAGCTACCCTTCCGCCTCAGCCTCTAGATTAGCTGGGAGTATAGGTGTGAGCTAACATGTCCGGCTAATTTTTAAATTTTTCGTAAAGATAAGGTCTCCCTATGTTGCCCAAGCTGGTCTCGAACTCCTGGACTTAAGTGTTCCTCCTGTCTCAGACTCCGAAAATCTGCCTTTAAAATTCAGTTGATTAACAAATTTAGGTGCTGGCAATTTGAGAGGAAACAAAGTAGGAATTAATTCTGATGGGAATGATAGTCAAATAACACAGAAATACCACAACTGCGGACCGTGGTAACTGCTGTGAAGGAAATGAACAGGGGAGTGTAACAGAGTGACTGGGGAAGAGCTCTCATGACAGGAGGTGATATTAGGGCTGATATCATCTGGAAACTCAGAATGAATCAGTCAAGAGAAGAGCTTAGGGAAGAACAGGCCAGGCAGCAGCTGAACTTTCATATCATGTCTGAAACAAATTACTCAGGAATATAGATTGTCCTGAAGGGAATTCTCTGGAAACTTGTTTTTCACTATCATCTTTGGCCTTGAGTATTTCAGCAAAAACACAATATAATATGGAATTAAATCTACTGAACACCTGGGTGTTCCATGATTTTAAGATGCATCAGACAATGTCTTTCTAGGCCATCTGTCACATTTACCACAATTACTGGGATCAATGGCATGTGAACTTTGTTCTCCTTGTGCGTCACTGGTGCTATAGGATGTTTTAGCTATTTACCACAACCACCATTACCCAACTTCAAGCAGCATGAAAACCTTTTACAAAAGGCTGTCTTTTTATAAGCAAATGTGAATTTCAAATTTAGTATAACCTATGTTAGCAAAGAAGAAAAAACTTTTCTTTTTACCTTTTTGCCACATTTTAAATTTATATACTGGTTTTCAGTGTGAATCTCAGTATGCCATAACTCAAATCTACCTCAGGTTGGAATATTATTCAAATATGTAACTATTTTACGTTATAGAATCCATTATTTCACCATAAGTTATTCATTGAAATAAATCATAAGAACAAGCAATTTGGGGGTTTTCTCCCTATATTCATCATTCCCTTCCCTCTATCCAATTCAGAATTAAATCCTGACAACTCCACATCAGAAATGTTTCTCAATAACAACCTTACTTCATTATTCCCAGAATGCCTACATTCTTTTTTTTGTTTTGCTTTTTGTTTTTTGAGATGGAGTTTTGCACTTGTTGCCCAGGCTGGAGTGCAATGGCACAATCTCAGCTCACTGCAACCCCTGCCTTCCAGGTTCAAGTGATTCTCCTGCCTCAGCCTCCTGAGTAGCTGGGATTACAGACATGCGCCACTGTGCCCAACTAATTTTTGTATTTTTAGTAGTGTGAGATTTCACCATGTTGGTCAGGCTGGTCTTGAACTCCTGACCTCAGGTGATCTGCCCGCTTTGACTTCCCAAAGTGCTGGGATCAAAGGCGTGAGCCATCACACCCGGCCCTAAATTCATACTTTTAAGGCTTCTCTATGGACCCTTTGAACAACTTTAACTGGTCTTCCTTCTAAGAGGTTGCTTCTCCTCTAGTCCGTATTCCACACAGTAGCCTGATTATCTTCCCAAAAACTGAACAAAATCCCTGTCCTCATGGAGCCTGTGTTCTAATTGAACAAACCAACAATTTTTAAAAATGTGATAATGAGCTATAAAGAAAATAAAAACGGTAAGAGGAAAGGGCAAAGGAGGGATTAACTTTAGATAGGTTGGTGACATTTGATAATAACAAATGCTAATGCCCTCTAGCTAAAGAGCAGCAGGAAAACAACTAGATTCAAACCAAGGTGGGTTTAATGTCTTGTTGCAGGGAGGCAGAGAGCAATGAGGAGCGAAGTTGGGCAGGAGCACTCTCAGTAAGAAGGTATTGGTATTGTGAAAAACATTACAGGAATGAGTGTGTTGTTAGGTGATTTTGGGGAAGTGTCAAGGTTTTGCTCTGGATTGGATGCTGGCAGGAAACAGGTGATCCTATAACTTAATATTTTAATATTTGCTATCTAGAAGGCAGGAAGAATGGATCAAGGCTAAGCCTGTAATTGGCCAAGAAACAGTGGTCACTTATATTAACCAGAATGTTTGGTCATTTTTGTGGTTTAGAGACTGTTCTTGTATTTGCTGTGTTCAGACATGATTGTGGAGGGGTCTTATTTTTGTCTTGCCTATTGTAGTCATAAAATGACTATAACTGATGTTGATGTTTTGTGGGACTGTTTATATTTGACAAAACAATGAGAACTGAGAATGCCAGGACAGCTGCCAGTACCACAAATGCCTAGCTAATAGTGCCAGTCCAGCTCCTGGCTGTCCGGAGTTGGTTTCCACTGCAACTCCACCCTCTCTGCCCCCCAACTAGCAAAGCCATCAGCTGCTACAACTGTCTCTATAATTCTAATTTATGACTCTTATTCATAATTCTGTATCTTTAACATTTACAACATTAGTATTATTATTTAGGGTACTGAGTTCCAAAACTCATTACAGCTCTCCTGATAATAGTAGTAGCTTATTTAATCACTGATGAACTATACAAGACTCTCTCTGCTATTTGCTGTGGTAAAGAAATAAAAAGAAGGGTTAGAGATAATCCTAAGCCTCAAAGAATCTGAAATTTTTTCTGGGGAGAACTAGTGGTGTGATGATGGTGGGTGATGAGAACAGACATGCAAAATATCTAAATTATAAAAAAACAAGTATCTTTTGTCAGCACAGAGTCCAATAGGTAGACCAAAGACAATTTGCTTGTGGTTGAATGGTTTAGGAACTGGGAGTAAGGAAACAAATATTGTAAATTTTAGCAACGACTTCAGAACTCTCAGAGTCAGTTGCTTCATCTCTAAAAACAAGAAGTTGAAGTTGGATGGTATGTGTAGTTCTGATACATTTGCATGGTGCCAGGCTGTCTGTACAGGAATCACATAGGGAGCCTGTTACCAGGTAGCGATTCGAGGGCCCCGTATCCAGAAAGCATAAAACATCCTAACTTTTTGAGATTCATCCATGCTTTTTCTCTTGTGTTGCTGAGTAGTATTTAATTAGATGAATATATCAGTTTATTAATCCGTTCTCCCACTGATGGACATCTGGGCAGTTTATAGTTTTTGGTGACCATGAATAAAGTTGTTACGGACATTTTTGTACATGTCTTTTTATCGATATATGCTTTTATTTCTCTGGATAAATACCTAGATGTGGGATTGCTGGCTCATAGGGAAGATGTGTATTTAACTTATATGAAATGTATAGGTCGCAATTTTTTTTAAGAGACTGTGTTTCGCTACGCTGCTCAAGATGGACTACGGTGGCTATTCACATGCATAATCATAACAAGCTGGGCTTAAGCGATCCTCACGCCTCACCAGCCCTGTTGTAGTTTGAATGATAGGTACCACCACATCTGGCTCTGACAGGTTCATATTTTTGACATAAAGTTACAAAACACTTTATAATACTCTTGCCTTTTGTGAAAGTGCAGCCTAGTAGAGATGTCAAAGGATCTGTAATAAGTCCTCAAGCACTGCTCTGGGGCCCTGGAAGATTCTCCTACAGGCAAATGGATGAAAGTTATGTGGATTATATGTGTACGTAAATGTCGTTCAGGCAATGCATTTGATAGTGAATAGCGTGTATGTCTGTGAAATCTTTTGACAAATATTTGCTTCTAGAATTCCACATAACTGTCATTAGGCTCTGAAAGGATCCCTGAATGTGACAGACTTAAGATTGGTCATTTCTGACAAAAAGGCCAGAATTAACAATTGTTTGACAGCATGTTTGAGAGCAGGCTGGGTGGGGCTGGCCACTATAGTGGGAATAGCAATGTAGGTTCCAACAGTGGTCTTCTCCAAGCCACTGGGCCTTGAATATTGCAATACTTCTTCCTCAGTCAGCTCTCTCAAGTTATCCTTAGCAGATTTTTTTTTAAACACCTGCCACTTCTCTTCCACCCTTCAGCAGGTAACCAAGCTCTATCTGAAGCAAAACAGAAACCAACAGAAAGGAACTCTTTCACCTTCCTGCTAGAAACATCCACCTCTCTGTATCCGTCCTTTATCTACCTTTCCTCATTCTCTGTAATCACAATGAAGAAAGTATCCTTCCTAAAGCACTCTCCATTCCACCTTCTCCTCTTATTTCTCTCACTAGAGTGGCTCATTCCCATGGTATTTGCCTCCTCTAATTTTTCGCTTGTGAAAGCTAACCTCTCCGCACCAGGTACCGCTCTAGCAGCTGCCCTAGCTCTTTAGCCTCGATATAGTCAAACCTTCTAAAGGACTGCCTGCATAGCTGTTTCCTCTTTCTCATCTGGATCACCAACGTTTGTCATATAGCAGGCACTGCACCGTCATGTTTAAAATATACAACAGACGGCTAGACAGGATTCCGAGGGTGTAGACAATAAAGTGATCTACAGTTTGTAGCCTGGGTGTTGAATGGCTCACTGGGTGGGGAAGCTGTTATCTTTCTGCTGTGCA
Source organism: Homo sapiens (assembly GCF_000001405.40). Taxonomy (NCBI): domain Eukaryota; kingdom Metazoa; phylum Chordata; class Mammalia; order Primates; family Hominidae; genus Homo; species Homo sapiens. The sequence continues at coordinate 108,382,726 of NC_000005.10, read as the reverse complement.
CAGGTAATTTGATATATGCTTTCATTCTGAAATAAAGTTGTGGAAAGGCAGTAGTACGCAACAATTAAGAAAACACAAGTGGGTAAACAGTGGTGCCGCACAACCAATCAACCCCTCACATGACTTCGGTGCGCATCACCCAGGGGCCGCATCTGCCACTCTGCCCGAAGCGCGGTCAGCGCCCACACTGGCCCTTCCGGCGGAACCCGCCTCGCGGCTTCGAAGTGGCCTCGGTTTCCGAGTCAGGGGTGGTGACAGGGGTGGAAGGTGAGGGGAAGAGCCCAGCGGCTCCCGGCCAATGGCAGCTCTTGAACTTACACCTCGAGACGTCAGCGCGGCTGTGTAAACGGATGTCACACAGCTGGCTCGGAAGTGTCTCCTCCCGCCTCAGAAACGCGGCGCACGCCCAGCAGCTTCGGAAAAACCTTAGGCGGTGGGAGGGAGGGGCGTGCGCCGCACCCCGCAAGCCCAGAGCTCCGTGCCCTAGCCGGCCGGCTTCTTCCCGTAGTGCCGGTGTGACGGCCGTCCCGGGTGAGCAGCCGGGTGCCGGCGTCCCCGCCACGAGCGCGCCACCGCAACTGGCTCCGCCCCCTGCCGGAACGGGCCGCGCGCTCCTGCGGCTCCGAGCAGAGTCGCGGGTGCGCGCGCCGGCGGCGGATCCGCAGTTAAAATGGTCCGAGCGGGACCCGGCCTTTCCCCGGCCGCTCCGCTGACTGACTGAGCCGGCTGGCCGGGCCCGGACTGGTCGCCTAGCCGGCAGGCTCGCTCGCTCCCTCCCTCGCGTCCCCAAAGCTCGCGCCCATCGTTCTCCCGGCTTCCCTGGGCAAAGCATGTAGCCCCCGTCGGGCACTCCGGCGGCCCGCAGCTGACGCCCACCCCCCACCGTCGCGTGTGTGCCCGTGTGTGCGTGTGTGTGCGCAGGAAGGGCGACCCCTCCGGGGGCCGAGCCAGCGAGCGGCCTGCCCCGCTGCCGGGAGCCCGCCTCTCTGGGTCTCCCTCCCTCCCGTCCCGGTCCCCCTCCTCGGGGCCTTCTATATGGGCCACCTTCTCTCGAAGGAGCCGCGTAACCGCCCGAGCCAGAAGAGGCCTCGCTGTTGCAGTTGGTGCCGCCGCCGGCGCCCTCTCCTCAGGCTGCCCCGCCGGACCCCAGCCAAGGTGCCCCCTCAGCCGGCGGCGCCCCGGAGCCGGGACTGCTTCTTCCGCGGGCCCTGCATGCTCTGCTTCATCGTGCACAGTCCCGGCGCGCCCGCCCCCGCCGGCCCAGAGGAGGAGCCGCCGCTCTCGCCGCCGCCGCGGGACGGGGCCTACGCTGCCGCCTCCTCCTCTCAGCACCTGGCGCGGCGCTACGCGGCCCTGGCCGCCGAGGACTGCGCCGCTGCTGCCCGCCGCTTCCTGCTATCCTCGGCCGCCGCCGCCGCCGCCGCTGCCGCCTCGGCTTCGTCGCCCGCCTCCTGCTGCAAAGAGTTGGGGCTGGCTGCGGCCGCCGCCTGGGAGCAGCAGGGCCGAAGTCTCTTCCTGGCCAGCTTGGGGCCGGTGCGCTTCCTGGGGCCGCCCGCCGCCGTGCAGCTCTTCCGGGGGCCGACACCGTCACCGGCCGAGCTCCCTACGCCCCCCGAAATGGTGTGCAAGCGGAAGGGGGCCGGGGTCCCCGCCTGCACCCCCTGCAAGCAGCCCCGCTGCGGCGGCGGGGGCTGCGGCGGCGGCGGCGGCGGCGGTGGCGGGGGAGGGCCTGCGGGGGGAGGCGCTTCGCCGCCCCGGCCCCCCGACGCCGGCTGCTGCCAGGCCCCGGAGCAGCCCCCGCAGCCGCTCTGCCCTCCGCCCTCTTCTCCCACCTCCGAAGGTGCCCCCACCGAAGCTGGCGGGGACGCTGTCCGAGCCGGGGGCACCGCCCCCTTGTCCGCCCAGCAGCAGCATGAATGTGGCGACGCGGACTGTCGGGAGTCCCCCGAAAACCCCTGCGACTGTCACAGGGAGCCGCCCCCCGAAACCCCAGACATCAACCAGCTGCCGCCGTCCATCCTGCTCAAGGTGGGTCTGGGCGAGAGGCGCAGGGATGCTCGCTTTCCCCCACCCCCGGCCCCCGCCTCCGAGGCTTTCTCTCTCCTCCCCCTAAGCGCGGAGGAGGGGGGTTCCCTGGCAGCCTAGGGACGTCCCAAGGGGAGACTGGGAAGCCAGTGGGGCCTCTGCCTATGGCCTATTTTTTGAAGTAGGAGCACTTGGAGTCTACTGAATGTCTTTTAATAGCTTGACTCTATAACCCACCATTCAGGGTTCAGCTATTATTAGAATCCCAACCCAGTGGTTTAGAAACTTCGCAGGTATTCTGTGGAAAAAAAAATTTTTTAATCGAGGAATTTATACTTAGTGGGTAAAGGCTTTGCATGTTGGTGTTTGAAAGTCTTTAAACATTACTTTCATGTTTGATGGCTGGTAGTTAATGTCAAACGGTTAACTTACTGAGCATTTACCATAATCAGGCACTGCGCCAGACTTTATATATATAATATCCCATTTATCTAGTTAACGCTTCGAGATAAATACTGTTAATATCTTTATTTTATACAGGAAGAAACTGATTTCTCCGTGCTGTGGGCCACGGTTTATAGTAGTGAGTCAGGCAGAAGTGGTCTTTGCTCCTGTGGAGCTGACAGTCTAGTGGGGCTTGAAGTGGTTGAATGACTTGTGCAAGGTCACATACAGAAAGTAAAGGGTAGATCTAGGTCTTGAATGAGGGAATTTAAGACCACCTGACTTAAAAACCTCTTTGTTTATGCTATGTTGTAATGCCCTTCTACATTTTAACCCTTGCATAAAAGCATACAGATTACCAGAGGTAAGCACAGATGTATTTTTTGTTGGGAGATGGGTGTCCTGCATGAAGTTTGTGTCATTTTCAACTACCAAGAATATTTTGCAGTTTTGTCAATGCTAGTGACAAACTTTAGTTACATAATAGAGTTTTTATTAAGTTATTATTAACTTTTTCCCTCCTTTTCTCTCTTCTCCCACCCTACCCTATTTGGAGCTTAATAAATATAAACCATTTTCATTGTGGATGATACTAGAGACTAGCCATAAATAACCTTGATAAGAATTTGGCTACTTTTACCGTTACTGAAGTAACTGTCATTAATTACAATTGTTATTGTCACCAATATAGTTTCTTTGACTAGACTTTTTGCATATTTACAGTACTGTGTGTTTGGGTCTGTTTTACAGTGATATTATTGTTCTTGTGAGTGATACAGCAAGAGGGTGGGAAAACTTACATTTCCTTGTGTCAAAATGTAATGATCTAATTCTTATGGAGGTCTACTTGTTGGAAGAGTAATTGCCTACTCTTTGTGTGCAGAGGTGCATTTTAGGACAAAGGGAACTTTCTTGAGTCCTTTAAATCACTGGGTGATATGGATAAATAAAATATCAACAAATATTTGGTATAGAAACTTGATTGCTGTCTTCTTATTTGGCAAATAAGACTGTTTCAAAATGAACCAAAACAAAGCCAGGTACCTTCTACTTACAAATTATTTCATGAGGTAAAAAACATTTTAATGCCGAGAAAAAAAAGGGACATGATCTCATAATAAAGAGAAACTCTAATAGAATAAAATAAACTTATCCTATACCGCGTTGTTCTCTTTCATATTTTTTCCTGAGGATTGTTGAAAACTTTGTCTAAAGGACATATGGGAATTACCATGGGCTTGCCCTATTGTGTGTATTTGGACATGTTATGTAGATTTCCATTCCTTGTATTAGAAAATTCTAATAAAGATTCTCTGTCTGAGTCTGATGGTCCTAGTGGTATTCAGCACGAAGTGAGCTGTACTGTCTGGGATGAATTGAATTAGCGATTGTTCAGTGTCTGCCAACCCCAGTTTTTGGGTGCAGCGACTCTGGATTCGTAATCTTGTTCATTGCTCTGTCTCCTCCTTTAAGTGCAGTGTCTGGCATATAGTAGCGCTCAGTAAATACTTACGAACGAATGTATCATCAGGTGTTTAGAGTCTGTGCTGAGACTCAGGGTGAATACGCCACACCACGAAGAGATATTTCTAAGGAATGTCCATATTCTGACTGGAGTTGCTGTTGGAGCCACGGTAGAGCCATGTGGTGGTGAAAGGATTCTGGCTCTGCTGGTAAGGACTGGAGTTGTTTGACTTGGAGAAGGGAAGACTTATGGAGCTATGACAATTTTTCTTTTCTAATATTAGAAGGGTTGCGTAGAGAGGCACAAGTCTATCATCACTATTGGAAAACATTCTTAGAAATTATGCCCTGTTCTCCTGGTAGGGAGTCAATAGCTATTATAATTGTATTGCTTTTGCTTCATCTTTTATGCTAGGAAGTTACTATAGCTGTAAAAACAAAACAAAACAAAACAAAAAAACAAAAAACAAAAACGAGGCAGGTAGAATTTGGGAGAGAAATGTGAGGATGTTTAAGAATTTAAAGGATGTTTTTTGGGAAAGCTACCATACTTGCCCATTTTTTTTTTTTTATGGCAGAGGAGAGAAACTAAACTATATGTTGCATCATAGGCTAATTTTTGGCTCAATATCAACAAGGATGTTTCTCTTTTATATAGGTTAATATTACCTGCTTTAAAGCAGTCAAAAATGCATTTTAATATAATAGTTTCTTTAACAAGTTGTTTGCCTTTGGCAAAATATCCTATTTTATGCTTATTACCCACATCTTAAATTTCTTCACTTGGATAAACAAATCTGGATTTAGTCAATGACTTGTGGTTTATAACAGCCATATCACTTTTATATAAAAGATAATAGCTAAAGTCAGGCAGGTTTCAAACAAGATGCTACTTGGTTGCAGTGACCATGCCCTACATGTTGATTGTTAACTGACAAATTAGCCCTTTAAGACCACATAGTCCTTTAACCTTAAAAAATGATCTAGGCCATCTAAGTTTTTATTTTCTCATTTATAAAATGAGGAGGACAAGCATAAAAATATCCGCAAGAAATGTACTTTCACCTGTGGCTGCATGAAGAGTTTGGTGAATCCTTTCCACACACAAGTATAAAAATGGCAGAATTGCCCAAAACTATTTGAACTCTGGAAATCAACCAAAAGCAAAGAAAATCATTGAGAAACATTTATTCTTAGGAAAACTGTTAGATCTTCAGGTAAGAATAGTGCAAGTCTACAGCATTCTCGCGTGGGCTTCTACTGTGACCTCCTGTCCCAGCACTTTTGGCAAGAATTGTAGTTTGGAAAACCAGCAGCTTCGCTGTCAGACAGCTGATTCAATTTGGGGCAATGAGTAAAAACCTTTGTCGATAAAATGTACTGAACTTGGTAGGGGAAAACAAGGAAAAACCATGTATTTGCTAGTTTAAGGTTGTAGTGCCAGTTGGGGTGAGTGGAAGAGTAGCTATAAATTAAAAGGCAGACCCTGGAAATGAGAGAACCATAAAGGGATAACCTCTTCACATATCCTGGCATAACGTGAAACTATGCACATGTGTAGGGGAGACCTGAGGTTGTCTAACTGAGAGCAAGGGCCAAGGCAGATGAGAATTCTTTAAGCTTTGAATGTGCCCTTCTTAACCCAGATACAGATTAAAGAGCAGGCTCAAGCTGTTTGAGCATATCTTTGGCATGTACATAGCTGAAAACTAAGATATTCAGACACAGAATGACTTCTCTAGAAAGCCAGGCTAAAACATATATATGTGAATTAAAATCTGAACAGATGTAGTCACACTGCCCAGGACACAGATTCCACAGTTTAGGGCCAGACATGTTAAAAGGCTCAGAAATATAAAATTCTACACTGGTGGCCAGGTGCGGTGGCTCACGCCTGTAATCCCAGCTTGAACCCGTGGGTGGAGGTTGCAGTGAGCCGAGATCACACCGCTGCACTCCAGCCTGGCAACAGAGTGAGACTCTGTCTCAAAAAAAAAAAAAAAAAAAGAATATACACTGGCTATGTTATCCAAAATGTCCAGTTTTTAACAACAAATTTTAAGACACGTAAAGAGACAGAAAAATGTGACCCATGCTGAGGGAAAAAGAAAGCAGTTAATAGAAACTGACTGTGAGTGAGCCTAGATATTAGACTTAGCAAAGACTTCAAACTGCTATTATAAACATGGTAAAAGAAAGGAAACATTATTTAAATAATTACAGGAGAATATGATGACATTGACCCAACAAATTGGAAATCTCAATAAAGAAATGAGAGCTGTAAAAAAAGTTTTATTCTTTTTGATGCTATTATAAATGGAAGTGCTTTCTTAATTTCATCTTCAGATGATTCATTGCTAGTATATAAAAATATTTGCTTATTAGCTCTAAAATTAATTTTTGTGTTTATTCTCTGGGATTTTCTCTATATAAGACCATGACATCTGTGAATAGAGGATGTTTTAATTCCAGCTCCCCAATCTGGATGCCTTTTGTTTATATTCCATGTCTAATTGCCCTAGCCAGAATCTCCAGTACAATGTTGCATAGAAGTCATGATGCAGAAATCCTTGTTTTGTTTCTGATTTTGGGGAAAAACTTTTAGACTTTTACCATTAAGTATAATGATAACTAGGGGTTATTGGTAGATGCTCTTTCTCAGGTTGAGGAAGTGTTCTTTTATTCCTATATTTCTGAATGTTTTAATCAAGAAAGGGTATTAGATTTTGTCCAGTGCTTTTTCCTGAATCAGTTGAGATGATCATGTGTTTTGTTTTTGCTTTTTACCTTTATTCTATTAATATGGTGTGTTACATGGGTTTTTTTCATATGTTGAACCATCCTTGCATTCCTGGGATAAATCCTACTTGGTCATGGTGTATAACCCTTCTACTATACTGTGGATTTAGTTTCCTTATATTTTATTGAAGATTTTCACATCGGTATTCATAAGGGACATTGGTCTGTAGTTTTTTGAGATTTCTTTGCCTGGCTTTGGTATCAGGATATGCTGGCCTTATAGCATGAGTTGGGAAGTAGTATCCCATCCTCTCATTTTTGGAAGAATTTAAGATAGATTGGTGTTCATTCTTATTGAAGCATATTACTGGTGAGGCCATCTGGTCCTTGTCTTTTCTTTGTTGTAAGTTTTTTGTTTTTTATTACATATTCCATCTTTTTACGTGCTGTACATCTACTCAGATTTTCTATTTCCTTTGAGTCAGTTTTTATAGTTTATATTCTAGGAATTTGTCATCTATTTCATCAATTTGGTAGCATACAATTATAGTATTCTCTTATAATTGTGTACTTTTTGTAAGGTTGATATTAATGTTCCCATTTTTATACATGATTTTAAAATTTGAGTCTTCTCTCTTTATTCTTAGTCTAGCCAATTTTGTGTGTGTGTGTGTGTGTGTGTGTGTGCAGGGTCTCTGTCACCCAGGCTTGAGTGCAGTGGTGTGATCATAGCTTATAGCTATGTAAATGGAAGTGCAGCCTTAAACTCCTGGGCTCAAGTGACTTTCCCTCTTGTCAGCCTCCTGAGTAGCTGGGTGCACAGGCATGCTGGCGCATGCCTGGTTAATTTCTTAAATAATTTTTGTAGAGACAGGGTCTTGCTATGTTTTCCAGGCTGGTCTCAAACTCCTGGCTTCAAGCAGTCCTCCCACTTTGGCTTCCCAAAGTGCTGGGATTATAGGTGTCAACCATTGTGCTCGGCCTCATCATTTTAAAGAATAAACTTTTGGTTTTGTTGATCATCTATTATTTTTCTAGTCTATATTTCATTTGTATTAGCTGTATTTTTTCCCCCTTGTTTCTGCTTAGTTTGTATTGAGTTTTCTTTTTATAGTTTCTTGAGGTAGAAGTTTAGGTTGCCAATTCAAGATCTTTCTTCTTTTTAAATGTAGTTACTTGTTTCTGTATCCCATAGATTTTGCTATATGTGTTTGTTTTCATTAATTTCAAATTATTTTCTAGTTTTCTTTATGAGTTCTTCTTACTTGTTGATTGTTAAATTTTCATGTATTTGTGAAATTTCCAGATTTCCTCCTGTTAGTGATTTCCCCTCCTCTTTCCTCACCTCCCTTCTCCTCTTCTCTTTTCTTTCATTTTTTGAAACAGAGTCTCACTGTATCACCCAGGCTGGAGTGCAGTGGTGTGATCATGGCTCACTGCAACTTCTGCCTTCTGGGCTCAAGCAATCCTCCCACCTCAGCCTCTCTAGTACCTTGGATTAAAGGTGCACATGCCACCACGCCCGGCTAATTTTTGTATTTTTTGGTAGAGATGGGAGTTTTGCCATGTTGCCCAGGCTGGTCTTAAACCCCTGGGCTCAAGTGATCTGCCTCCCTCGGCCTCCCAAAATGCTGGAATTATAGGCCTGAGCTGCTGTTCCTGGCCTCTGTTACTGATGTCTAATTTCCTTTCATTGTCATTGGAAAAGATACTTTGTATGAGCTTAATATTTTCAAATTTGTTGAGACTTGACTTGTAGTGTAGTATTTTAGACTTTGGTCTTTGAGAATGTTTTTATGCACTTCAGAAGAATGTGTATTCTATTTTGTGTAGTGTTCTAGAGATATCTGATAGGCCATGTTTAAGTCTTGTTCAAGTGTTCAGTTTACTTGTTCATCTCTTGTCTGGTTGTTCTATCCATTATTGAAAGTTGTACGTTGTAGTCTCCAAGCATTAATGCGGAACTCTTTTTGGTTTTTTTCCTTTCAATTCTGTCAGTTTTTGCTATATGTATTGTTCCATGCTTTTACTCTCAATCTGTGTATATTTTTGGATCTAAATTGAGTCTCTTGTAAACAGTATATAATTGGATTGTGTTTTTACATTTTATCCTGTTATTCATTGTGTCTTTCTTTTTGAGACAGGGTCTCAGTCTGTTGTCCAGGCTGGAATGCAGTGGCACGATCACAACTCACTGCAGCCTCGACCTCCTGGGCTCAAGCTATTCTCCAACCTCAGCCTCCCATGTAGCTGAGACCATAGGTGCATACCACTATGGCTGGCTAATTTTGTCATTTTTTTTGTGGAGACAGGGTCTTGCCATGTTGCCCAGGCTGGTCTTGAACTCCTGGGCTCAAGTGATCCACTCAACACAGCCTCCCAAAAGTGCTGGGATTGCAGGTGTGAACCACTGTGCCTGGCCCTGGCCTTATGTGTCTTAACTGGAAAGTTTAGCCCATTTACATTTAGTGTAATTAGTGATAAGGAAATACATTTACTATTTTATTATTTGTTTTCTCTATGTCTTATATATTTTTTGTTTGTCAATTCCTCTGATGCTGTTCTTTGTGTCAGATATTTTCTAGTGTACCATTTTGATCCCCTTCTCATATATACATATAATTCTCACATTATATAAATAAATATAACATATCTAAATATATTAATATATTTAGATATATATTTATATTAATATATATTTAGATATATTATATTTAGATATATATTAATAAAAATTTAATATATTTAGATATATATTATATTTATATTAATATATTTAGATATATATTATATTTATATTAATATATTTAGATATATATTATATTTATATTAATATAATATATTTAGATATGTTATATTTATGTAATGTGAGAATATGTATATATGAGAATTATATATATAAATAAAATATAGTAAATAATTATGTGTGTATTTCTTAGTATTTACCCTGGGGGTTATAATTAACACTATATATTATAACAATTTAGTTTGAATTAATACCAGTTTAGTTTCAGTGGTATATAAAAACTTTGCTCCTGTATTTGTTGTTATTGTCACAAGTTACAGCTTTATGAATTTTGTGCCAATCAATATAGATTCATAATTACTGTTTTATGTAGTCTTTTAAATCATATAGCAAAGAGGAGGCATTGCAAACCAAAGACACAGTAATATGCACTTTTATATTTACCTATGTAAATACCAACAATTACTGGTATCCTTTAGTTCATATGTGATTTTAAGCCACTGTCTGATCCCCTTACATTTCAGCCTGATGGACTCTTTATAGTATTTCTTTTAGGGGAAGTTTACCAGTGACAAACTTCCTCAGTTTTTGTTTATCTGGAAATATCTTAATTTTGCCTTTATTTTTAAAGGGTTGTTTTACCAGATAGAGGATTCTTGGTTGACAGTTTCCTTTCAGCATTTTGAATATGTTATCCCACTGCCTTCTGGTCTCCATGGTTTCCAGTGAAAAATCAGTTGTTGATTGTATTGAGTGTCCTTTTCACGAGTTGCATTTTTCTTGCTGCTTTCAGGGTTCTCTCGGTTTTTGTCTTTCAACAATTTGATTATGATGCATCTTGATATGAATCCTTTTGCATTTATCCTGCTTGGAATTCATTGAGTTTATGAGCTAGATTCATGCCTTTCATCAGATTTGGAAAGTTTTAGCCATTATTTCTTCAAATATTTAGGCCTCTTTCACTCTCTTTTCCTTCTGTGCCTCCAATTATATGTATATTAGTATGTTTGGTGGGGTTCCACATGTATGTTCATTTTCCTTCAGTCCACAGACTCAGTAATTTTAATTTACCTATCTTTAGGTTTGCTGATTCTTTCTTCTTGTAGAGGTTCAAGGGATTTTGATGTTTCTCAAGAAAGAGATATGATTATAAGAAGTGGTAACACACAACAAGCTTCATTTGGTGGCACTTGGACAGGATTATATGAGAGGAAACTTCTTTTACAGCATGAAGCTGTGCAGAGGCTTACAGCGAGGTAGACTGCCATACAGAAGGGGAGGAGGGCAAGGCAACCCCTGGGGAACAGGAGAATTGGAGAGCAGGCTTACCTGTCTAGGTGATGTCACTCAGCAGCATGATGGGATGTGTAAAAATTTGAGTTTGGTACTAGTGGGCTCTTGAGCTAATGAGTCTCGTCCTGCAGTGAAGAAATAACCTAGGAACCAATACACAGAGGTCATCTTTGGCTTATTTATATAACACTTCCACTTGCTCTAATCTGTTTAATCTCTGTAGTGAATTTTAAAATGTCATTACTGTATAATTTAGTTCTATAATTCTTATTTGATTTATTTTCATAATTTCTACTTTTTATTAATATTCTCTATTTGGTGAGACATTTCTATTTGGTTCTCATAATTTCCTTTAGTTCTTTGTCCACGGTTTTCTTTAGCTCTGTGAGCATGTCTTAAATTGTTGATTTATTGTCTTTGTCTAGTAAGTCCAATGTCTGGGTTTTCTCATGGGCAGTTTCTTTTCATTTCCTTTTTTCTTGTGAATGGGCCAGCAAACTGTAGCCCTTCACAGGCCAAATCCACTGCCAGTTTTTGTAAATCGTGTTTTATTGGCACATAGTTGTATACATTCATTTATGTTTTGTGTGCCAATAAAACTTTATTTGGTTATCTGGCTAGAAAGATGGAGTTTCTCTCAGAGATACAGCCACCTGTGCTGCTGTGTAGTTTTGCATGACTGGGGCTGCTTTTATGATAAAATTAAGAAACAGTAGTGGGAATTCTTTGTTTACTTGTTGGACCACAGAGTTCTCTTCCCCAATTCTTCTGACCAGAATGGTGGGTTTACTTTTGGGGTCTATATTGCAGCTCTGCTACTGACGTAGCATTTGGGACATAGCCAGTAGGGAGAAAAGAGAAAAGGGGAAGAAAGGAAAACCAAAAATCAAGTCTTCTCACATTCTCTGTCTTGCAGAGGCCCATTTTCCTGGTCCTTTGTCCAGAAAGATAGCTTTTTCTCTGAATTTTTGTTGATTTTTACCTCCTGTGCATTTCTGTACAGGGACCACCCTGAATTCCATACTAGGGGATTAAAGAAAAAAAAACCCAGGAAACTCATCTTTGTTATTGGCCATTCTTCAAATTTTGGCACCCTTCCACAATTCATTTGTTACTAACTTTTTAGAGTTTTGAGGCAATTGCTTTTAATATATTGTCCAGATATTTTAGTTGTAATGCCTGCAAGTAAAAGGCTGTAGTGGGCTTAATACATGTTTGCTGGCATGGGAGACAAATTCGCTAGTGACTTTCATGATTTTTTTTTTTTTTTTCCGAGAAGGAGTCTTGCTCTGTTGCACGGGCTGGAGTGCAGTGGTGCAATCTTGGCTTACTGCAACCTTCGCCTTCCAGGTTCAAATGATTCTCCTGCCTCAGCCTCCTGAGTAACTGGGACTACAGGCATGCGCCACCATGTCTGTCTAATTTTTGTATTTTTAGTAGAGATGGGATTTCACCATATTGGCCAGGCTGGTCTTGTACTCGTGACCTCATGATCCACCTGCCTCGGCCTCCCAAAGTGTTGGGATTACAGGCATGAGCCACCATGCCCTGCCACTTTTATGATATTCTATACTTCTCACTAGACTTGTTGGAGGAAAAACTGGTTGTGAAGGTAACAGGCAGTTGTTTTCCCGAGGCCCAAGATTTAAACATAGTAGAGATTCTAGCTTATATGTTTACAACTTTTGTCCATATAGAGGTAAGTCATTTTAGGTAATAATTATAATTGAAATCATGTATTACAACAAATCCTTGACTAATAGCCTTTAGTTCAACATCATTGTGTTATAATGTTAATGAGAAAAAAAACAAAACAAAACAATTCGTAGCTGGGCCCACTGTCTATGTAGAGTTTGCATGTTCTCCCCATGCCTGCACATATTTTCTCTGGGTATTCTGGTTTCCTCCCACATCCCAAAGCTGTGTACATTAGGTTTTGTATAAGGTGTGCATGTGTCTAGATGGTCCCGGTATGAGTGAGTGTACATGTGCCCTGTGGTGCATTGGTGTCCTGTCCATTGCTGGTTCCTACCTTGTGCCCTGACCTCTGGTCACCTGCAACCCTGAACTGGAATAACTGGGTAAATAATTATCTTACTTGTTTTTATTAATCTTTCTTAAATGTATAGGTCACATTTGTTTCAGTGTTTAATCTTATTTAATAATTCCTTTAAATTAATATCTTTTATATTCAGTTTTATTTGATTGTCTGAAAAGTATCTTCTTAGAATTGGTTCAATTCTGGATCTCAGTGTGGCCCACACATGGTATTTGTTGATAAAGCTTTTAATTTTCCAAGATTTGTATTGGCCTTCATCCTGACCCTAACCATCTTTTTATGATGTAACTTTTAAAAATTATTTTTTAGAATAGATTTTATTTTGGAATAATTTTATTTTTATATTATATATTTAAAATATATGGTGTTTTGACATGGAATACATTCAGATTTATAGAAAAATTGCAATGATAGTACAGAGATTTCCCCTATATTCGTTATCCAGTGTTGACGAAAGCAGTCAAACTCTGTAAAATATTTGAAGAGATTTACTCTGAGCCACATATGAGTGATAAGTGGCCTGTGACACAGCCCTCAGGAGATCCTGAGAACATGTGCCCAAGGTGGTTGGGCACAGCCTAGTTTTGTACATTTTAGGGAGACATGAGACATAAGATATACATTGGTTCGGTCCAGAAAGGAGGGACAGACTCGAAGTCAGGGCTACTGGGTTATAGCTAGGTAAAAGATAAAAGGTTGCATTCTTTTGGGTCTTTTATCAGCCTTTCACTGAATACTCAATTTACACCTGAGGGAGTGTAGAGGAATAATCACTTCTGCCTTAGTCTGACTCAGTGAACCTGCATTTTTACATAAACAATATGGCAGAGGAAGCAATCAGATATGCATTTGTCTTAGGTGAGCAGAGGGATGATGGAGTTCTGTCTGTCATTTGTCCCATATCTGTGAAGAGAAGCTATCAATTTACATGGTCAGGGTGAAATTCAGCAGAACTGCTTTAGGGTCAAGATCTTGAGGTCCACAGAGAATTTCCTTTTGGTCAAATTGTGAGGGAAGTATGTAGCTTTTTTTTTTTTTTTTAAATCCTTGTAGCTATCTTATTTAGGAATAAAATGGGAGGCAGGCTTGCCTGATACAGTTCCCGCCTTGACTTTTGTCTTTGGCTTAGTGATTTTGGGGTCCTGAGACTTATTTTTCTTTCATACTTGTTTACTTCCCCTGATTTTATTTTCTTCTGACACTGTGGTACATTTGCCAAAACTATGAAATCAGCATTGTACATTACTATTAGTTAAACTCCAGTCTTTATGTGGTTTCACCAGTTTTTCCATTAATGTCTTTTTCTGTCCCAGGATCTAACTGGATAACATTAGTTGTCATTCTTTCTTAGTCTCCTCTGAATTGTGATAATTGCTTTCTTTTTTTGTTGTTTTTCATGACCTTGAATTTTTTGAGGAGTTTTGATCCAGTATTTTGTAGAATGTCCCACATTTAGTATATATATTTTATTATTAGATTGGTGTTATGAATATTTTGGAAAAGATACCATAAAGGTAAAGTACCTTTCTTATGATTTACTTTTGTTTTTCTTTTTTTCTTAAATCACATATGAAAAGTTCACGTGGCTCCAAGGTCAAACTGTAAAACTTCAGAATAATCTCAAGTTTATCACTCTTTCTTCCCTAGTCTTTTTTCCCTTCCCAGAAAGGTAAACAGTTTTTTTTTTATTAGTTTTTGGTTAATGCTTTCAATTCTTTTTTTTTTAAATATAAGCAAACACAAAGATATGCATGAACACGTGTCAGTACATGCCTGTTCTCTTCCCCTCCTCTTCTTACAGAAAATATAACATCAGTCCGTTTTTAGCTCCTGTATCATAGTTTCTCTTTAAGGTGATCTCTTACGGTGACTTACAATAATGGCCTCTTTTATTCAAGAAGGTTTTCTTTTTACAAAGTTAACTTTTTCTAACTAATAAAAACCTTTTCCTGTGCCTTGAAAATGTTTAGCACATATTATATGGTACCGTTTTTTATTCACAGATATTTTCCAATTTGTCACTGGATGAGCGTTGCCTTTCCGCATCATTGGTTTGCAAGTACTGGCGTGACCTTTGTTTAGACTTCCAGTTTTGGAAGCAGCTGGATCTTAGTAGTCGTCAGCAGGTATGGAATCCAATTCTAAGTAACACTCATATGACCTACTCAAAAAATATCTTTATTCCTCTTCAGAAATCTTTACTGTCTTCTTGTTTTTTAAGATAGTTCAAATCACTGTAATCTACAATTTTGTGCTTCTGTAGTTTTTTGTGTATGTGATTTCAAGGTAAAGCTAGATTCTCATAGTAAACAAGATAGTTTTTCATGTAGATTGGTAATTTAGGGTTGCTTTTTAGGTCTTTTTGTCTTTTTTCATTACCTTTTCAAAAAGTTATTAAACTTCTTTCTGTGGGGGATCATACTACAAATAGTTTAATAGTAGAAAATGATGGCAAACATTTCTGTAGCAATGCCTCTGTTGTTGTGTACTGTTCTAAGGGCTTTATGCATACTAGTTCATTTGATCCACCCAACAACTCTGTGAGTATATACTATTATTTTTTCTCCTTTACAGATGAAGAAATGGAAGTAAAATAGGCTAAGATAACCTTTTTTTTTTCTTTAACTTTTCTTTTGGTGGACTTTCTACTCTTCCTGTTGCTTAGCTGCCTAATGTGTTTATATAGGGGCATAAATTAGGAAAAAAGAGTTTGTAGTGTTTGTTGCAAACAGTTTTTTTGACTTGTTAGATTCCATTTTTAAAACTTGATGGTATTTGGCATTAGAAATATGTAAAAATGTCAATAAGAATAGCATTTTATCGAAGTACTAAACCTGTTCTAAATTCTGCCATGGTGTATTACTACTAGTGTGCTGATAAATGTTTAGCAACTGTCTTTAAAAAAAAGCCCTGATTTGTAATATTTGCCAATTTCTATTACATAAATACTCCCACCATGACCAGTGTCAAGCTACACGTTATGCCATTGAATGCAGATTTGAAAAGAGGGGCACACTATAAACTCTTGTGAGGTGCTACAAGCCAACTCCAGCACACTGGTAGTGTATGTGTTTGTGTGTATATAACACACACTTTAACCAAGTTAAGCAAGCTCACGAGGATTTGTGTATAAGTTGTTCCCTTTCTGTTTTTCTCCTTCATTGGTAAGAGGTTAAAACTATTAAGATAATTTGTTATTTACTTGCTTGGGTTCATGACCTTTATATCCAAGGAGAATGGTGAGGGAGTTAGTTGTGGGCAGTAGAATGGAGAGCAGATATGTGTAAAGCAATCTATCAGCTTGTTACATCATTACTCTTGAATGTTTGAGTTATTTATTATGAACTCAGGCTAATAATAGCTTCCTCCCCCACCCAAACCCCCTCCCCACCCAGCCCGCTACTGGTAGTAAGGTGTGGAGATGAAAAAGTAAAAAATAAAAGGAGAGGTATGTCAGAGTTATAACTTTTCCGAGAACTGTGTTTATGCTGTTTCCAACAAGCATAAACGAAGATAGTTTTATCTTTGGCTGTTACTCCAAGTGCTGCTTAACAGTGTAGTTCTTTCCTTCTATTCTAAATTTCATTTGCATTTTCTGTCTCCATTATTTTTACTGAAAGGACTTGAATAACATTAACTTTGTTTTGTATTTTGGAAATGTGGTGATTGGGCACAGAATATGTAGAGGCTGGTTTTAAAACAAAAATTCAGATGGCCATCTGAGTTTTTCACCAGATGAATTGAGTCGTCTGAGAAAAACTTTTTGATGTGGACGTTCCTATATAGTCTTTGGTGTTCTGATATGCAAAATGGTGTATTTTCCAACCTATGAATTATATGCGAGGTATTGTTTCTCATAGAAACAGTAAAAGATTAAAAACTTACACGCTGTGGTATCATCTGATATCAAGTGTAAAAGTGAATTTTCATATAACATTATTACTGATGTATACTATTTCATGGGTTACAAATGGAAAGTGAAACATTGAAAATCTCAGTATAGTTTTATTTGTGGTGAGTTTTTGCTGAATTTGAATTTTCCCACTAAGGATAGATTTTTAGGCTTTTAATGAGACGAACACATATCCTTTGTTGGTGTTTTCTGATACCACTTCTGACATCAAATATGTGGAGTTTTTCCACACTAACAATTTTCTAACACTAACTGGATGTACAACAATTCAGTTCAACTAACTCCCAGAGGTATCACTGAGTTTAAGGGCTCAGTCCCACAAGACTACCCACACTTCAGATATCAGTTGCAAGTCCCAGAAGCCACCTGAACTTCTCACTGACCAATTATAAACTTGTGAGTTCCCTTAATTTCTTTCTCAGTTTTGATAATTAGCCACAACTATTCACTGAACTCTGGAAAATACTTACTATATTTATGGGTTTATTATAAAAGATATAGCTCAGGGCCAGCCCACTGGAAGAGATGCAGAAGGCAAGGTATGGGATATACCACCTTCTCAGCACTTTGATGTTGTTTACCATCTGAATCTCTGTCATTTGAGTTTTTATAACCCAATCTCCAGCTTCCTTCCTCTCCTGTAAGTAGTGTTGAAAGTTATCACCCTCTAATCAAGGGTTTAGTTTTTCTGGTAACCAGCCCCCATTCTGAAGCCATCTAGGCGCCCCACTCTAAGTCACTTCATTAGTATGAACTCAGATATGGTCTAAAGGGCTTGTTATGAATAACTAAAGAAATTCTATTGCTTAGGAAATTCCAAGAGTTTTGGGAAATATGTGGCAAGAATTCAGGACAAAGACCAATTACAATATTATTATTATACCAAATTCTTGTTATGCTTCAATGTTAAGACGGTTTCTCTTTTGATTATATCGTTCATGCTATAATCTAATTAGTATATTGTTTATTGTGGAACATTTAATTAAAAAATGGAAAATACGTTTTTATTTTTAGCAAAAGTTTAAATTTATTGCTTTTTCTCTTACAGGTCACTGATGAATTGTTGGAAAAAATTGCATCAAGAAGTCAGAATATAATTGAAATCAACATTTCTGATTGTCGCAGTATGTCTGATAATGGCGTATGTGTTTTAGCATTTAAATGTCCTGGACTTCTTAGGTATACAGCCTACAGGTGTAAACAGCTTTCTGACACCTCTATTATTGCGGTTGCCTCTCACTGTCCTTTACTTCAGAAAGTGCATGTAGGCAACCAGGACAAACTCACTGATGAAGGACTCAAGCAGGTAAATTTTAGCATTTATAAAGTGATTTTACTTGAATTAATTAAAAATGTTTTCTAGCAACAACATTTTAAATGGTTACGTTAAAAATAGTTCCCAGAGACTCAAGTGAATCATCTTTTTTACCTATTAATGAATATTTGTTTAGATTAGTTAACTAGAGTGCCATGGTTATAATCAGTAAATTAACTGCTTTGTTTTATAGTGAGAGCCTGAACTTCTGTGACCAGCCATTTTATAAATTTATGCTTTTGTTACTTAAATTTTTTACCACATTTTGCTTTGGGCAACTGCGTAGTTTTGGTCAGCATGAGGTTTTAAAAATTAACATTTTAATTCCCCTTTTATTATACTAGATGACATACATGCTTAAATATCTGAATGTTTAAGGGATAAATGGACGTCCAAATTGAAGATTATAAAAGTTAGAACAAAGGCCTAATTACCTCTATTTGGTACAATAACTGGGTTAAAAATAGTATTATGCATACCTTCTGTTTATTATACTTCCTTTGGAAATGGCATTTAAGGTTTCTTGGCTCGGAGTGGATTATTTATTCAACAGATGAATATCCTTAAATTTAAACCTTATGTATGAATTAACTGAAAGCTTGGTATGAAAAGAAATTTGGGAAGACTCTATCCTAAATAGTGAGTACTGGGTGTGTCAGTACAACTTATATATTAAGAATGTTACCAACTTATAAGGGAGCCTATTTTGTTTGCAAAGGCATATTGTGCAAAAAGTCTTATTTGTTTTAATATTTTTCTTGATTCATTTCTGCTATGTACAGGATTATTTACTAGCAAAGCATTTCATGAAGTTCTTAAACATATTAAATTAATCTTTTATGAAGAAATATATATTTTGTGTATATAGCATGATTTTATTTACTTTGATGGAAATTTCTCAGCAATTTATTTTTCACAATGAAACATTTTAAAAAGGTGTATGTATTAAGAACTGGATTAAATCTATTTCATATTTAATTCTGATATAACACAAATAGGTAGTAGTTTAGCAGACTTCTTAGGGTATACCTAGTAATTTTTGTGAAAAAGAATAAGATCGTAGTCATGGTTGAAGTAGAGAAGGAGCAACATTTAATATGCTAATCAAGTATTATGAATTTATCTTATATTTACAACTTTGAGAGTAATTATGTAAATCTTCTCTAGAATGTGAGGTATTTTGGAGCCTGTTACTTAGATGTTTCCTTCGGATATTTATGGTTTCTGAATTATGAATTAGTTACACGTGAGGTAATATTCTGATAAAAGTAGCAAAACAAATTTTTTTCCCCTTAGGTAGTTTTCTTCTTAAGTAATTACATAGGATCTCATTGCAGTGTAGAGAATATTTTTCTGTACTTAAGACCGCTATAGCTGGGTATGTCTGATTTCATAATAGACTCTTTCCTCTGATGGAATAGTGTTATGGGTATAGTAGAAAGAGAATGGCTTTCATATATACATAAAATAGAAATTAAGTTTTATGAAACAATACACATCCTTATGTGCAATGCACATGGATATTATCTATTCTGTTCTATACTATTATGTTAAATGTTGGCCTTGACCCACTCACTAAATTAATTTTATGACCTAGTGATATTTCATAAATCCGAATATGGATTTATATTATGGTTTTAGTAAACTGACAGTGCTATGTTAAAATGTATAATAGAGTTACGAAAGCCTAAGAGGGAACTAGCCATAATTGATGATTTGCCTGGGACTGTTATTTTTTCTTGAACTCATTAATTTAGCAATTGACTGAATTGTTGATTCTACAGATTAAGTTGTTGCAGGGTTCTGTTTTTTCCCTCTTCTGTCAGTAAAAATTGAGAAATGTTTTAGAATGATATATGTAAATTTTATTGATAATTTCTTTAGAATATATTTTCTTTATAACTGCTATAATTTTGATTGACTTTAGCGGATACCAAATATGTGTGCCTTTTGAATTCTGTCAGTTTGTTTACAAAAACAGTTGCTTATAGCATTTCAATTTGGAGCTCTAATAGATGTAGACTCTAATGTTTTAACTATTGGATTCTGCTTAACAATATTTCTTAAGCATGGTGAAGCACCTAAAAAAATCAGGCTGGTTTTGGTTGAATACTATCCTCTTTGTGAAATACCACCCTGAAATATTTATATTTTTATTTTCATAATAGTCACTCAAAATAATTTTACCAGTGGAATGTGTTCCTATTGTATATATCTTTTAAAACTACAATCATGTATCTAGAGGAAAAATCTATTTAAGAATAAAGGGCTGTTTCAATTTTCCTAATATTTTGTTATCATCTAGCACTTGCCAGTAAACAAACGATAATAGTAGTCAAAGTATTAAAATATATCTAAGAAATTGTATGCATTGTTACTATATTATGTGACTCAATTATATGCAGTTTTAGCAGTTTAACACTCCAGCTCATGGAGCTCAGTAGAAATTTCTGTAAATAAGTCACTGTAGGCTTTTTTCAGATAAAATGGTACAAAAATAATAAATGTTACATTAGTAAATTTTGATCTGGCTATGCTATCAATTTTTAGGTCTTTAAAAATAACTACTTAGAGTACTATCAGCAAAATGTTGGAGCAGGCAGCTCCAAAAGCCTGCCTCTCCAAAAAAACATTGAAAAACAAGCCTAAACTATCAGATCCAACTTTGTCAGAACTCTGGAAACGTCAAAGGTTTATAGCAACCAAAGGAATGCTAGACAAGAAAAATGCAACTGAAAGGTGGAAAGAATGCTTTGTGGGTTTTTTACTTGCCTGTGCCTCACCCATTCCCCAGCTTGGCAACAGTCTTGAAGATAGCAGTCCGAGTTCCCAGTGTGGGACCCAGATCCCTGGTTCCAGAGGGAACAGAGCAGACCTTATTTGCAAATTATTCATTTGTCTGATCAACCTACCTGAGAGCTATTTGAAGGGCTGATGCAGGTGCTTATATATCTGTTTTACCTAATTTAGAACCCAGTCAGGGAGGAAAATTAGTGGGCATTGATTGAACACAGTATAAGGCAAATGAAAGAAACTTGCTTTTGAGCAAGCTTCTTTGGGCAATAGATTATGGTGAGACATACAATTGACCTAGGAGAAAGAGCCTGGGAGAGAGTTTGTTTTTATTTTTGTTTTTGTTTTGAAATTAGGACAATCAGCCTCAGTGTATAGAAGGGAATTTTGAAAGCCGCATGCATGCCCAGGGCAGGACACTTGTTCAGGAACGACCTAAGAAGACTGTAAACTTTATCACTGTGTGCTTGCTAGGTCCAGTACAAGCAGGAAGTAAAGGCCAAGGCAGAGTTGTGAATGGTATGGCTAAGTCTTAAAGAAATATCCCAGCACAGAGCCAGTCTGCAAAGACTTGAATAAGTGCTTTTGTTTTTTGTTTTAGTTTTGTTTTTAAGCTTTGGCATCCAAGGAAATCTCTTTCAAAACACTGGCTGAACACAAGCTAAGCCTTGATTAATCAAAAATAGTGAAGCGTAGGGAAGTGGGGAGAATCTAATTTCCCAAGTTACCACATTATAATCTAATATTTTAATATTTAGTTTTCAACAATAAATTACAAGGCATGCAAAGAAAAAAGTATTACCCATTAAAACAAAAAAGAATAAATAGAACCCATTCTTGAGGAAGCCTGGACATTGGATTTACTAAAGATTTTACTAAAGATTTTAAATCCATTATCTGAAATATGCTCAAAGACATAAAGGAAACCATGGCCAAAGAAATGAAGGAAATTAGGAAAATAATGTATGAACAAATTGAGAATGTCAATGAAGAGCTAGAAATTATGGAAAGAACCAAATAGAAATTCTGGAGCTAAGAAGTACAATAACTGAAATAAAACATTTACCAGAGGGATTCAAGAGCCGAAGTGAGCAGGTGGAAGAAAGAAGATAGGACAATTGAATTTATTGAGTCTAAGAAAGAGAAAGAAAAAAGAGTGAAGAAAAGTAAGTAGAGCCTAAGAGATGGGTGGGACATCCATCAAGCAGAAAAACATTCACATTTTGCTAATTCCAGAAGGAAAGGAGAAATAAAAGGGGCAGGAAGAATATTTGCAGAAATAATGGCCCAAACTTCCGAAATTTGGTGGAAGATACGCATCTATACGTCCAAGAAACTCAATAAATTCAGGGAGGATAATGTCAAAGAGATATACACTGAGACACATTATAGTATAATTGTCAGAAGTCAAAGACAGAATCTTCAAAGCAGCAAAAGATAAGTGACTCATCACATACAAGCACTCCTCAATAAGATTTACAACTGTTTTATCATCAGAAACTATGGAAGCCAGAAAGCTGTGGGCTAACAATATTTAAAGTGTCGAAAGAAAAAAAAGTCAAGCAAGAATTCTGTATTTGTCAAAACTGTTAAAGAATAGGGGCACTCAAGGGGACATTAAGATATTTCCAGATAAGCAAAAGCTAAAGGAGTTTGTTACTAATAGATCTGCCCTACAAGAAATGCTAACGGGAGTCCTCCAGGCTGAAATAAGATGCTAGATGGTAATTGAAAGCCATATGAAGAATAAAGAAAACTGATGAAAGTAACTACATAGAGGTTGAAAGGATGGAAAAAGATATTCCACACCAGAAGAGAGCTATAATAGCTGTTTTATTATCCAAAAAAACCAGGTTTTAAGTCCAAAAGGGATCCAAGAGACAGAATTATTATATATTGATAAATATAAAATATTAATCTTTCAGGAAGATGTAGCAATTATAACCACATATGTACCTAACAACAGAATCCTTAAAATATATATAGCAAAAATTGAAAGACTTGGAGAGAGGAATAGACAGTTGTACATTAATCATTTGAGACTTAAGTAATTCACTTTCAATAATGAATAGCACAACTAGGAAGAAGATTAACAAAGAAGCAGAGGATGAACAGTACCATGAACCCACTGCACCTAGCAGATATGTACAGTACACTCAACAACAAAAGAATACACATTCTTCTCAAGTGCACATGGAACAGTCTCACAGATAGACCATATGTTTGATCACAAAACAAGTTTTATACATTTAAAAAAGATTGAAATCATACAGTGTGTCTTCCCTAACCATAATGGAATGAATCTGGAAATCAATAATAGAAGGAAAATTGGAAAATACACAGATATGTAGAAATTAAATAACAGAGTCTTGTACAACCAATGGCTTATAGAAGAAATTACAAGGGAAATTAGAAAATATCTTGAGATGAGTGAGAATGAAAACACAGCGTTCCAAAACTCAAGGGATGTAGCAAAAGCAGTGCTCAGAGGGCAGTTTATAGCTGTACAATCTTACATTAAAAAAGAAGATCTGAAAGCAGTAATCAAAGCGTACACCTTGAGAAAGAAGAGCAGGCTAAACCCAAAGTTCGTGGAGGGAAGGAAATAATAACCAGACCAGAGATAAACATGATAGAGGACAGAAAAGCTATGGAAAAAAATTATTGAAAACCAAACTAGGTTCTTCGAAAAGATTTTAAAAAACTCTGACAAACCTTTAACTAGATTGACTAAGAAAAAAGACTCAAATTATTAAATCATAAATGAAAGAGTAGACATTACTACTGACTTTATAGAAATTAAAAAGGATTGTATGAGAAAACCATGAATAACTGCATACCAACAAATTGGATAGGCTAGAAGAAATGGAAAAATTTCTAGAAATACAGAAACCAGAAAAACTGACCCAAGAAGTAGAAATTCTGAGTTCCAGCTACTCATGAGCCTGAGGCAGGAGGATTGCTTGAGCCCAGGAGGCTGAAGCTATATTCACTGCACTCCAGCTAGGGCAATATAGCAAGACCCCATCTCTTAACAAAAAAAGAAAAAGGTAGAAAATTGGAATATATTTATAATAAATAAGGAGATTGAATCAGTTAAAAAAATTTCCAATGAAGAAAGACTAAGGACCATAGCTTTGATGGTGAATGTTTTCAAATATTTAAAGAAGAATTAACACCAGTCCTTCTCAAACTCTTTCAAAAAAATTGAAGAGGAGGCAACACTTCTTAACTTATTCTGTGGGGCTAGCATTAGCCAGCCCAAGACCCTACAAAAATGAAACTACAAAACAAACAACAGCTACAGACAAGTATCTTTAACGAGTATGTAAAAATCTTCAAAATGCTAGCAAACTGAATTCAGCACCAGATTAAAAGGATTCTACACCGTAACCTACTATGATTTATCCAAGGAGTACAAGGGTGGCTCAACATACAAATATCAATCAATGTAATATACCACATTAAGAGAATGAAAGGAAAAAAAAACCAGTCATCTTAATTGGTGTGCAAAAGCATTTGGTGAAATAAGCAGCCTTTCTTGAAAAAGCAAAGCAAAACAAAAACCTATCAAACTAGGAATAGAGTGATGCTTCCTCATCATAATAAAGACCATATGTGACAAACCCACAGCTGACATATTCAGTGATAAAAGGTGGAAAACTTTTTCCTTAAGATCAAGAATAAGACAAGAATGCCTGCTTTTGGCAATCCTGTTTTACATTGTGCTGAAAGTTCTAAGGAGCAATTTGGCAAGAAAAAGAAATAAAATGCTTCCAAATTGGAAAGGAAGAAGTAAAACTATTTGTATTCGAAGATGACATTATTTTATGAATAGAAAACCCCAGAGAAACCACAAAAAACCCATTTGAACTAATAAGTGATTTCAGCAGAGTGGCAGGATGCAAAATCAAAATACAGAAAAATCAGTTGTATTTCTACACACCCCAAAAGAAATAGAATCCAAACGATTTCATTTACAACAGCATCCAAAAGTATAAATTTGCCTTTAAACACTGCTTTTGCTGGATCTCATAAATTTTGATGTTTTATTTTTATTTTCATTTAGTTCAAAATATGTTCAAATTTCTTCTGAAGTTTCTTCTTTTACCCATGTGTTATTAAGAAACGTGTCATTCATGTATACCTATGTAACAAACCTGCACGTTGTACACGTGTACCCTAGAACTTAAAGTATAATTTAAAAAAAAAACGTGTTATTTAAATCTCTAAGTTTTTTGGGAGTATTTTCGTCATTTTCCTGTAATCGATTTTTATTTTATTTCTATTGCAGTATGAGAGCAGACATTGTATAATTTTTATTCTTTTAAATTTGTGAATGTGTGTTTTATGGCCTGGAATGTGGTTTGTTTTGGTGAATATTCCATGTGCGTTAGAGAAGAATGTGTATTCTACTACTGGATGAAGTGGTCTCTAGATGTCCATTATATCCAGTCAATTAATGGTTTTATTGAGTTGAACTATGCCTTTACTAATTTTCTGCCTGCTGGATCTTTCCATTTCAGATAGAAGGATATTAAGGTCTCTAATAGTGAAGTTATTCATTTTTCCTTGTAGTTCTAACAGTTTTTGCTTCACATATTCTGACACTCTTTTGTGAGATGAATACATATTAAGGATTATTATGTCTTCCTGGAGTATTGTCCCCTTTTGTTATTATGTATGTCCCTCTTTATCCCTGATAACTTTTCTTCTTCTGAAGTCTGCTCTGTCTGAAGTTATTATAGCTGTTCCCAGTTTTTAGTTAATAATTGTAATTCTTCTTAAACATTTCTGAAGGATTGCTTTTAAGTACTTTTTCTCTCAATTTACAACTCTCTTAATTTACAGTTTTATTCACTGTTCAGATCACTTTTGAATTCATTGAAATTTTGAAATTTTGTTTGCTGCCTGATTTTTGTGAATGCTCTTTTGACTTTTAAAAGCCTTTAAAAGAGGAGTTTTGGGTTCATTTCAGAATTGAGAAATTTTGCATATTTCCTACATACTCCTATTCCTCACATGCATAGCCCCTCCCATTATCAGTATCCCTCACCAGAGTGACACATTTATTATAATCAATAAATCTTCATTGATATATCTTTATTTCCAAAGCCCATAATTTATGTTAGGGTTCACTCTTGGTATTGTACATTCTATGAGTTTAGACAAATATATAATGACATGTATCTACCATTATAGATACAGTATAGAGTATTTTCACTGCTCTAAAAATCCTCTGTATTCTGCCTATTTATTCGCTCCTCCCCTCTAACTCCTGGCAACCCCTGATGTTTTTATTGTCTTTGTAAACTCTTCTGGAATGTTTATGATTCCAGTTGGAATCATATAGTATGTAACCCCTTTAGATTGGATTCCTTCACTTAGTAGTATGCAGTTAAGTTTCTTCCATGTCTTTTCATAGCTCATTTATTTTTAGCAATGAATAATATCCTATTGCCTGTTATGTACCACAGTTTATCCATTCAAATACTGAAGGACATTTTGGGCATGTCCAAGTTCTGGTAATTATAAATAAAACTACTATAAACTTCTGTGTGTAGGTTTTTGCATGGGCATAATTTTTTCAGCTTTTTTGGGTACAAACCAAGGTACATGATTGCTGGATCATGTGCTAAGAGTCTTCAGCTATAATAATGAATTCATCTATTTCTCCTTCTAGTTCTGTCATTTTTTACTTCACATATTCTGATGCTCTCTTGTTAGGTACATATGTCTTAAAGATTTCTAGGTTTTTTTGGAGTGTTGACTCCTTTATCATTAAGTCATGTCCCCCTTTATCACTGATAACATTCTTTGCTTTGAAGCCTGCTCTGTCTGAAATTAATGTAGCTACTTCTGCTTTCTTTTGATTAGTATTAATATGGCATATCTTTCTTCATCCATTTACTTTTAATTTATATATTTCTGTCTATTTAAAGTAGATTTCTTGTAGACAACATAGAGTTGGGTCTTGTTTTTTGATCCATTTTGACAATCTGTCTTTTAGTTGGTGTTTTTAGACCACTGATGTTTAAAGAGATTATTTCTGTAGTTGGATTAATATCTACCATATCCGTTAATGTTTACTATTTGCTGCCCTAGTTCTTTGCTAATATTTTTGTCTTCCATACTTTTTCTGCCTTTTGTGGTTGTAATTGAGCATTTTAATGATTCAGTTTTCTCTCTTTCTTAGCAGTCAATCATAGTTGGTTTTTTTTCTTTTACTTTTTAAAGTGGTTATCCTGGAATTCACAATATACATTTATAACCAACTCCACTTTCAAATAACTTTGTACTGCATCACAGGTAGTGAAAATATCTTATAATAACAAAATATTTTAAAGTTTTCTGGCTGGGTGCGGTGGCTTATGTCTGAAATTCCAGCACTTTGGGAGGCTGAGGCAGGTGGCTTACCTGAGGTCAGGAGTTCGAGACCAGCCTGGCCAACATGGCAAAACCCCGTCTCTACTAAAAATACAAAAATTAGCCAGGTGTGGTGGCGCACGGCTGTAATTCCAGCTATTCAGGAGGCACAAGAATTGCTTGAACCTGGGAGGCGGAGGTTGCAGTGAGCCAAGATCATGCCACTGCGCTCCAGACTAGGGGCAGTGTGAGATTGTCTCAAAAATAAATAAATAAATAAATAAATAAATAAATAAATAAATAAATAAAGTTTTTCATCCCTTATATTATTGATACTATTTACTTCACATATATAAGCATATATATGTGTGTGTATATGATGAAATACATCATTATTATTTTGAAGAAATTGTTATCTGCTAGCTTAATTAAGAATAAGGAAAATAAATGTTTTTATTTTACCTTCATTATTCTTTCTCTGATGCATTCTTTCTTTGTATTGATCCAAGTTTTTGACCTGTGTCATTTTCCTTGTTTCTGAAAAACTTCTTTTATCGTTTCTTGCAAGGCAGGTCTAGTGGCAACAAATTCCCTCATTTTTTGTTAGACAAAGTCTTTATTTCTCCTTCACTTTTGAAAGATAATTTCACAGGCTATAGAATACTAGGTTGTTGGTTTTTTTTCACTCGAAACTTTAAATATTTCACTCTACTTTCTTCTTGATTGCGTGGTTTCTAAGGAAAAGTTAGATATAATTTTTATTTTTGCCCCTCTGTAGGTAAGGTGTTTTTATCCTGTGGCTTCTTTCTAGATTTCTTACTTTTTTTTTTCTTTTTTTTTTTAACCTTTGATTTTTTGCAGTTTGAAAATGATATGCCTAGGTGTAGTTTTTTCTTTGTTTGTTTGTTTGCAGTTTTCCTTCATGGTATTCTCTGAACTTCTTGGGTCTGTAGTTTGGTATCTGATCTTAATTTGGGTAAATTATTAGTCAGGAGTGCTTCAAATGTTTCTCTGTTCCTGTCTCTCTCTCTTTTCTTGGTATTCACTTTTCACTTATGTTATACCTTTTGTAGTTGTTCTGTGGTTCTTAGATATTCTGTTCATTTTTTTTCAGTCTTTTTTCTCCTGATTTTCAGTTTTGGAACTTTCTATTATATTCTCAAACTCAGACTTTTTCCTTAACCATGTCCCATCTACTAATGTATCTTTTTATAGTGCCTATTGGTGCTTGCGTGTTGCCTACTTTTCCCATTAAAGCTCTTAACATATTAATTGTAGTTTTAAAAAATTTCCGGCCTGGTAATTCCAACATTCCTGCTGTATCTGACTGTGGTTCTGATGCTTTTTTCAGTCTCCTGAAATTGTCTTTTCCTTGTTGGTATGCCTTTTAATTTTTCATTGAAAGGTGGACACGATGCACAGGTTGAATGTCCCTAATTCAAAGTTCCAAAATCCAGTATGTTCCAAGATTGGAAACTTTTTGAGTGCTGACAGGATACTCAAAGGAATTATGCATTAGAACATTTTGGATTTTGGATTTTCAGATTAAGCATGCTCAACTGATAAATGTAATGCAAATATTCAAAAATCTGAAAAAAATCCAACAATTAAAACGCTTCTGGTCCCAAACATTTTGGATAAGGGATACGCAACCTATACTGGGAAATGCAACTTTCATAAATGGGCCTTTAGTAATGTAGTGGTTAGGTGTGGGGAGAGGAGGAATGATCTATAGTTTTAGGATTAGGTTTTAATATTTTGGCAAGTCTGTGCCACTGGGCTACCTTTACCAGTGCTTCTTTTTTTCCCCTTACCCTTAGGTGGGCTGGGATGGCTAGAGAGGGCTGGAGTTTGGTATATCCCTTTCCTTACATGGAAGGCTAGAACTGGCTGGAGTTCAATATTTCCCTTCCCCTAGGAAGGTTAGGCTCTGACAAAACTCCCACAGGTTAGGCTCTGGTAAAACAGTTCCTCCTGAGGACAGGCCTTGTTAAAAATAATAGAATGCTCTGGCATATTTCAAAATGGTTACTTTTCTCCTCTCATTGCTGTATGCATGAGGTGATTTCTCTCCAGTATTCTCCGTGAAGACCTGGTAGAGCTCCTGTAGATAAAACTCACAAAAGCATGAGTGTTGTCTTATAACCTGGTCCCCCTGGAATTTTTAATTATCAGACTTATCCACGCTGTGCCTCCAGTATTTTGTCAAATGCAGAGTTCAGGTTTTCCTACTCTAGCCCTGGTTCCCGCTGAGGTTTCTGGTAGTAGTTTCTCTTCTGGTGAGTTGTGCTTCTCTGCATCTGTCTGTCTCTGCAGTTTTGTGGCAGTGGTTTGGTCTGTGTCTTCATTTCTCTGATGGATCTAAAAAGAATTGTTAATTTTTCAGTGTGATCAGCTTTTTATTTTTTAGAACAGATTGGCAACTTCTAAACTCCTTACATGCCAGACTGAAAACCAGAAATCTTTTCTTTTAAAGCAAGCATTACAGTTACTGAATGATCATCCTTGTCTTGTTTGTGTTCAGTTTTATGCTTTATTATGTGGAAAGCCCAAGGTGTTTCCCAAATCCCTCTAACTTGGATCATCTAGAATAGGCCTTATTCTAGGGCATAGTTCTTGCTCCCAAGGTACCATCTTTTTGGTGTCTCAGCTGGATGCCAGGGCACTTCACAGGATTTCTCCCTTTTGACAGAGTAGAGCTCCAGTGTCTCTAGCACTGTCTTCCTGGACAGATAATTTTTTATTTAGAAGAATTATATTCGTCCAGGCGCAGTGGCTCACGCCTGTAATCCCAGCACTTTGGGAGGCTGAGGCGGGCGGATCATGAGGTCAGGAGTTCGAGACCAGCCTGGCCAACATAGTGAAACTCCGTGTCTACTAAAAATACAAAAATTAGCTGGGAGTCATGGCGGGTGCCTGTAGTCCCAGCTACTCGGGAGGCTGAGGCAGGAGAATCGCTTGAAACCAGAAGGTGGAGTTTGCAGTGAGCCGAGATCACACCACTGCACTCCAGCCTGGGCGAAAGAGCGAAACTCCGTCTCAAAAAACAAAACAACAACAAAAAAGAATTGTATTCTATTTCTATGGTTTTTAGATAGAGTACTAATTGTGCTAGATTTAAGGCATCCTAATGGTGATGATTTTGTAAGATTTGGTTGATGCCCTCTGAATGTTTTTCTGTGGGTCATAGATGAATACAACATTGAGAAATTTAAAGACTGTCAGCCAAATTGTAAATATATCAGTTATAATGATTGACTTTACAGTGCTTGGATAGTCTGGAACTTAGGACATTTGTGGATGGCGTAATGGTGAGTAGTGCAGATAGGCACTGATTTGGGTCTGGTCTTGCCGGTTATATCCAGTGATGTCTAAAACAGAATATCAGTTTCTGCAGTGAGATTAAATGATGGTTTTACTCAGTAGTAGTAAATCATAATAGCTTCTCCTGTGAGGCACTGTTCCCCACATCTGACTTTACCTCACATGCTGGTAATTTCTGCATATGCCATCCACATGGTTCTCATCTTTGTGTGGTTATCCACGTGGCCTGTATGAAAAGTCATTTCTTTATAGATAAAGCCACCAAAGCTACTTTTCAATGTCAAAACACCATGTAGTCAGTTTAAATTATTTTCCCAGCCTGCGGCGCTGTGATTTACGTGTCTTAACCTGAGGTTCTACCAACTTGTCCATGCACATTGATGTCTAAGACTTCACCAAAAACCACACTTATTCCTTCTGTTGATATGTAGATTCTCTTCTTTTATTTCTCCGTTTTTCTAGCTTGTGTACTAACTGTTGAGGTCTCATGGGGCCTCCTATTCACTGCTCAGGATGTTATCAAATTGATAAGTATGACGAAGAAATAGTGATGAAGGAGCAAGATGTCAGCTTTAGCACTCAGAAAATCTAAGGTGGAGAAGGTTGCTTACAAACAATGCTAAATGGGATTGTTAACCTGACTCTGGAGTTTGGCTAACTGACTAGTCATTGACTAGGCTGACCAGCAGAGTGGCCCCAAATAGAGAAATAAAGATTGCTTGCTCCCTGTATGCAGTTTATTCACAAGGGGAAGAAGTATACATATGAGCTGAAAATATCCAGTTTATTAAATACAGAATAATCAGTGGAGAGACCGGGAATCAGACTAGTTGGGCTTCCTACAGAATGAGAAAACATTTTCCCCTGGCATGTTTGTTTGTATTTTTTAAAAAACTTACCCACTTTTGACTGTTTATTGCTGATTCCTTGTATCAAAGATAAGGATTTAGCTCACTTATACTTCCTTCCCTGTGTCTTATCCTCTCATCCTTCCAACATAATTCTATTATAATTTTTGTTAAATAAGTATTCAGTATTTACATTCTATAATTATGTACCTATCTTTTTTCTCTAAAGCATTTTGTTTTCATTGGAATTAATAAATGTCTTTTTATTTCTTTACCTAGTTTTTATACTCTTAACACTAATGAAGACCAAAGCTTTCCTCCAGTTGCATTAGTATGTCTATATGTGAATACTTAATTACATTTACTGCCCTACAGCAGATTTGCCTGGGATAGTCTAGTCTGGACTTCTCATATACAAGTGTGATGGCATTAGTGGTCACCTTAGTATCTTACGACCGTTATCCTTAAGATTTTCTTTCTCTTGCTGTTGGGTTAGATCTTCTGTTACCCAGATGTCATGTTTTCTTTCCCTTGGTGTATTCTCGTGTTTTATAGAGCACAGATTCCAGTACCTTCCTGATAAAGTGTATATGGGAGGTAAATCTTTTGATAACTTGTATGTCTGAAAACATCTCTAATTCTGCTTTCACACTTAATTCATAATCTGAATCCCGAGTACAGAATTCTGGGTTAGAAATAATTTATCTTCAGAATTTGATGGCATTGGACTGTTGCTTTCTTTTAGTTTTGTTAAGAAGTTTGATGCATTTTCATCCTAATCCTTTCTATGAAGTTTATCTAAGTCTGTAGAATCTCTTTAAACTCCTGTTTCTGAAACTTTTTGATGATTTGCATTGCCATGTGTCTATTTTTGTCATTTATGCTGGACAAGTGGATAAGCCTTTTCAGTCTGGAAGTTGATATCCTTTCATTCTGGAAAATGGGATAGAAATGTTTCTTTGAATTCCTCCGTTTTCACTGTATAAACGTTCACAAATCCCCATATTTTCAGCATTGTGCTTTGGTTCTCAGCTATCTGTGGTATACCCCAGTCCAAAAACCCTACGTTTTGCTCTCCCCAGAGAAATACATTTTTTTGCCATTGTAGGAAAAAGGGCAAGGTCAGGCTGTGCAGTAATGGGGAGGTGATCTGAGGATTTAACTAATTTTTAAACAGACTTTCAAGAATTCTAGTATTTTTAGCCCCAACCTCAGCCTCACTGCCAGACATATATGTGAGCCTGTTGAGAGTTCTTCAATAGACTTCTTTGCTTTTCCCACTGTTGGCTTTGGATTTAGTTTCCTCAACATTTGTTATAGAAATATATATGCCTCTTTTAATGAATTCAATAAAAATCTGATAGCTAATGAGCATGATGACTACTAATGAAAAATATTTCAAGGTATCTGCAACAGTGATATATGAAATAATCTTTGATTTCTATTGCTTACAAAGTCTTAGGTATTGCTAAGCTACTGTGCTGTTTTTCATATGGTAAGGAAAGGCTAAAGTTCATTTGGAGGATAACATAAAAAATGAACATGCACTTTTAAAAAATCTGCTTTCCTGGAACCCCTGAATTCTCTCCATGGGCCAGTTAGAACCACTGAATTAACTGGAATTTAGTAGTATATGAGGCCAAAATCATGGTTTCTTGTATTTGCGCATTTAAAATGAGAGCTGCTTTATAGTGCATAATCCTGATCAGCCTTTTCATTTATTTAACAAATATTTATTAAGTATCAACTAAGTGTAAGATATCGGGCACCAGAGTTACCTTATTTAACAAAATAGACAAACTGCTGTCTTCATGGAGTTTACATTTCTGTAGGAATATGTTATTGGTTGTAGTGCAGCCTAGATTATAATAATATAGTTTATATCTATCACCACCCCTGGAAAAGTAACTGAACTCACATATATTTCTGATGTCATTACTTGAGACAGAACTTGGAAGTTTTTTTTTCTTACAAAAGCAATGTTTATTAAAAAAATTAGAGAAGATTCATAGGCAGAAGGGAATAAAAACTCACTCATGCGCTAATCAGAATTAACCACTGTGAACACCTTGGTATGTATTTCAGTCCCTTTTCTGTGCACAAATACACATGTATGTATTTAAATATGCATAATTTCTTTATAAAATTGGATTATACTATAAAAACTTACATACATTTTTGTCAAATGTTTCTTCCAATTGTAGTGGTTGTATAATATTCAGTTTTATGAATACACCATAATTTATTCCTTTAAGCATTATATTTTTTTCCTCACTATTAAGACTCAAGAGAGGCTGGGTGCAGTGGCTCACACCTGTAATCCCAGGACTTTGGGAGGCTGAGGTGGGAGGATTGCTCGAGGCCAGGAGTTTGAGACTAGTCTGGGTAACATAGCGAGACCCTAGCTCTACAACAAAATTTAAAAAGTAGCCAGGTGTGGTGGCACACACCTGTACTCCCAGCTACTCAGGAGGCTGAGGTAAGAGGATCTCTTTAGCCCAGGAGGTTGAGGCTGCAGTGAGCCATGATTGAGCCACTGCACTCTAGCCTGGGCGACACAGTGAGACCCTGTCTTTAAAAATATATATACTGGAGTAATAGATATGTAATTTTGAACTGTTAAGGAATATACATACCTTGGAGGGCTTGTAATGTGAGTTGGTTGAAACGGGGGTAAATTAGAAGGTTAAAAATGTTTATACAGTACTGTTTTAAGTTATGGATTGCTTACATTCTATCTTATTTTACAAGTAACATAAATATTTAACTCTGACGTGGTTATTTTCAAAAAATTATATGAAAATCTCACTTGAAATATGTTGCCTTTGTTATTTTTTGAGCATTCAGCTAAATCTGTTTGTTTACAGCTGGGCTCAAAATGCAGAGAACTCAAAGATATTCATTTCGGCCAGTGTTACAAGATCTCAGATGAAGGCATGATCGTCATAGCTAAGGGCTGTCTGAAATTACAAAGGATATACATGCAGGAAAACAAATTAGTAAGTACTTGTTATCATCCTTGTATTGTTCATTTTGTTCCTAACCTTCGAATTCTTTCAAGTTTATTTATAATTTTTTCTGCTTATTTTCTTGTGATGGTTCAAATACTACTTAATCAAAAGCAAAAATCCTTTTAAAGTGATGATTTTATAAATTGATCTTTTAACTGAATAGATGGTGTTTGTGTGTGGTACTTGCATGTTAAAAATCCCTCATTAGCATGTGCCAATGCATCTTTTCTAAATGTGGACAGTGAACTAATACTGGTAAATTGGAAAAATCAAATTTGTTTGCCAAACATAAGTCTGTGGTTGTGTAGTTCTTTCTGATATCTCTAGGGATTATAATAATTCTAGACAGTTAGAATTTTTTTTATTGTCCAGAAAAATGTACTCTTGTAAAATAGAGTCTTTTACTTAGTATCATAAAAAATGGGATTCAATAAGTTAGAGCATATAATAGGGCAATTACATAGATTTTATATTTTAAGCACATACATGGGTAATGCAGACACATTTAATATATTGTGCTTAAAAATCTTACAATTTTTTTTGAGAGATAATTCACATAAAATACATTTCACCCTTTTAAAGTGTACAACTCATCGGTTTTTAGTATATTTACCATGTTGTGCAGTCATTACCAATGTCTAATTTTTGAATATTTTCATTACCCCTAAAAAAATCCTGTGCCCATTAGCTATCCCTCCCCATTTTACCCTTCTTCTAGTCCCTGGCAACTGCTAATCTACTTTCTATCTCTATGGGTTTTCCTAGTCTAGATATTTTGTATAAATGGAATCACGTGATACGTGGTCTTGTTTCTGGTGTCTCAGCATGATGTTTTCAAGGCTCATTCGTGTTTATCATGTATCAGAGCTTTATTATGTTTTATGGCTGAATAATATTCCAAAGCATTTATGTTTTTATATGATAGGTACATCATATCAGTTAAAAGAAAAAGTTGTCACTAGGATGCACCAGTAGGAGTTCTTAAAATTGAAAAATAGCGTACATACAGTCATGGGCCATATAACAATGTTTGGGTTAACAGTGGATAGCATATACAGTAGTGGTCCTGTAAGATTATTATACTGTATTTTTGCCTTTTCTATGTTTAGATACAGAAATACCATTGTATTACAGTTGCCTGCAGTATTCATTACAGTGACATGCTGTTCAGCTTTGCAGCTTAGGGGCAATAAAAGCTATACCATATGGCCCAGGGCTTTCTGTATGCTCTAGGTTTGTGTAAGTACATTCTGTGATGTTCACACAATGACAAAATTACCTAATGACACATTTCTCATAACATTTTCCTGTCATTAAGCAATGCATGTCTGTATTTGAAAATGTTGTCAGGGTAGTCCTGAATGTGTAGTATACTACAAAGAAGACTTGCTTTTTTAGTTGTATTTCAAAAATGAAGAGATCTTTTTATTGCCCCTTGGAGTTCATAACATTTAATAATTTTTATGTAATAGTCATTCTTGAGACAGTAGGATTTTGTAAAGAGAAGTTAGGTCTGTGTTAGACTGAATTTTTGAATATTGGTATCCACTCACTTGCATAGTGACCCTGGGAAAGTTACTTGAGTTCTTTACACCTCATTTGTAAATGAAGTTATTGATATCTGTCTATTTGCTAGTTATAGTTTTGACGATTAAATGACACTGTATCTTTAAGTTGTCTAGTACGAAGTCTGACTTACAGGAGATATGTAAAACATAGTAGTTTTTATGGCATCACAACTGTATTTGTTACCTAACTTTTGGTTTTCACTTTACATCCAAGGTAAATTAAAGGATGGTGATCTCAATTTAGAAGTTTTCTGTTTCTCAAGCAGTAGGATATTTGTTGACTTTTATTTTTCTTGTTGAGTAAACATAAAGAAATAGTTTTATTGGCAATCAAACAATTTTTAGCCAATGGTTTCCCAAAGAAAGCAACTGTTTATGTTTTTAAGGTTTTTGTTATGTTCACATTAGTTTTTTTCTAGTATTTTGGTACATTAAAAATATGTTATATACGTAAATGCTAAGGGCATCAGTTTTGTATTTTTTTTTATTTAACATTTTCATTTCATTGGAAATTTGAGGTAATTTTGCTAAGTCTTAAAGGCTAATTCACTACAGTTCTTCCCATTTAAGTTTATTACAAAAGGAAATTTAGAATAATTTGAACTCTTTATTGGATAATTGAGATATTGATAACTAACCTCCTATAGGAAGTTTGTATTTTTAAAATTTATGAAATAAAGAGAAATATTTAAATACTTGCGAAGCCATAGCTTTAAGTAATTAGGATGTTTTTACTTTGACACCTATTCTTAGTAATGTAACAACAAATATTTTAAGTTAGCAACTAATACAGGTACGTACAGAGAACACTGTCAGAAAGAATGCCAAAAGAATTTCAACTATGCTTTGACAAATACTGATAATCAGTCAAATTATTTTGCTAATTCTCTTAATAAACTGAATATTCTCAAAAAGAGTATTATAGCTTAATTGCAGAGTCTAAAAATAATCATAGCATAGTTTTCATATAAACTTTGCTGACTTAAAATATCAAGCTATTTTGGTAGTATTTGAGTATACATACATCTTTTCATATTATATCTTGGCCTTTAGATGGCAGCATTGTCTTTGTATATTTCTGTGACATAGCTTTTATGTCCTTGATGTAACTATAAGGATGTAATGCCTCTATAAGTTTCTGCTGATGGTTTCTGCTGATGTTGTGGTTTATTTTACATTTTTGTTCTTTATGTGACCTTAATGGGAAAATTTCTTCTTAAGTTATTTAAAATAATTGTATCTAGAATGCCACAGGATGAACTTACCATTTTACACAAAGTAGTAAGATAGTAGAACATTTTTATTTGTGGCACTAGTTTAAGTAAGATAAACTTTAGAAAAGGGGAAGGATTCCTGTGTTTATGAGGGAGAAGTTTTATTCATGTGGAAAGTGAGGACAATGATTTGCCATAAATGAGTTATGGTGAAGCAGAGAACTGAGGACTTAGATGTACAATTTTTTTTTCTTTTTTTTTTCTTTTTGAGATGGAGTTTTGCTCTGTAACCCAGGCTGGAGTGCAATGGCACAATCTCAGCTCACTGCAACTTCCTCTTCCCAGGTTCAAGCAATTCTCCTGCCTCAGCCTCCTGAGTAGCTAGGATTACAGGTGCAAGCCACCATGCCCAGCTAATTTTTTTTTGTATTTTTAGTAGAGATGGCGTTTCACCATGTTGGTCAGGCTGGTCTCGAACTCCTGACCTCATGATCCGCCCACCTCGGCCTCCCAAAGTGCTGGGATTACAGGTGTGAGCCACCGTGCCCGGCCTTAGATGTAGAATTTTCCCAAAAGAGAATTCTTTGAGTTCTGTTTCAGTTATTTTTGAGTGAGACAGGTGTCATGTACCTACATAGGTATAGTTTGCATTTGCTGTAAAACTCTTGTGTCGACTATACACATAGATTTGAGGAGTATAGCTGTAGTGAGGGTCTAGCATATTGTATGTGTCTGTTTCTTCTAGTGATAGGTTTTATATCACTTTTGTATAGTGCATGCCACAAAGCTATTTTTAAGTCATATTTAGTTTGAGCATATAGTCATTATCTAGAAACCTCAGTTAAGTATATTTCCTGTGCTTCTTTAATTTCCCTGTACCAGATTCTGCTTCTCTACTTTTTGGACAGAGAACCTCTTTGGGTGGCTTTTTATTCCATTGTAAAACGATGAGGTCGGATAGATTACCTGCCATTTGTTATATAGGCCAGTGTTTTAAACTACTGGAATTTTATGAGTTATTCTAAAAATAGCTTCTGTGCTATGCCCTATGTCAGAGTATTTTTGATGTAGATCTGTATGCGTTATGTGTGTGTTTGGCCTATTTTTTACATTTTCTACTCTGAATAATTAGGCTGTAAACTATTATAGATTACTCAATTCTCAAGAAAATAGTAATACTATGAATAGATTTCAGAAAGTTATAGGGAAATGATTATAGGGAAATGGAAAGTTGATTTCCTGAAAGTTAATTGTGACTGTTTACTTTTCAGTCTCTTAGTTGATATTTTACTAGTTTTATAATTCTGTGACTTCTCTTAGAGTCCTTTGACTGCTGCTGTAACAATCTTGTTTTAAATTTCATCCTTTGGAGGCTTACATGAATGATGTAGGATCAAATTCACCTCTCCAGGCTTTCCCCCCCGACCCCCTAGGCTGAAAGCATTTTAAGGGGAGATGGAGGCAAACGCCATTTTTGAGTTGCACTGAACTCAGTTAAAACCTTGATCCTGCTGTTTCTTACTCATGTGACTTGCTTTAGTTATCTTAATTTTTGCACTTTGTTTTCCTTCCTTGCAGAAAGGATACAATACTACTTCATACATGTTCTATTGAGGATCAGACTAAATGAGATTAAGAGGTAAAGCGCCAAATGAGTTTCATTGCCACAAAACACAAGAAAGCTTCAATAAAGGTTTTTTTCCTCTCCTATCAGGAGAGGATAGTGAAGCCTATTATTTGCTTTCTGCAGTTTACTAATTTGAATTGGGCTGTATCAATGTCTAATATCACCTAGTCTGTTTTTACCTGTTAGCCACTGACAGTTTAATTTTTTTTTCTCTTTGCTGTGATTTGAGGCTGTTGTAGCAGTTAGGTGAAAAAATTGGTAGCCATGTTGATAATCAACTAGAGTAGTATATAAGATAAACATTTGTGTCACAGTTTAAATAGCAGTAGTTAATTCAGCATTATGTGAAAGCTTCCATTTCCTGACTCTTACTGTTCACCATAGAGTTAATAAATTAATGGGTTTATATATGAGTTAATATATTAAGGAGATTGGTTGTCCGCACCCTTAGTTCCCCTCCTATAATCTTGATGTCTTATTTCTCAAATACTCCTTGTGAAGTGAGTTTAATTGTAATACCAGACATAAATAATTTACATTTTTGAGGGATTTTGTACAAAGGGTTAAGTACTCACTTGAGCCTCCCAAATCATCCAGAGTATATACTCGCCTTCAGTGTTCTTTCCCCTCTTAATGGATGGGGCATTTACTTAAACCCAGAATGGTAGTTTCCAGTGAACAGTAATATTTGAATGTGGCATTCTAAAGAGGTGATCTAAAGATATTGAACATCATCTTATTGTTGTCTTTGTCCACTTGGGTTGCTGTACCAAAATACTATAAACTGGATAACTTACAAACAACAGACATGTGTTTGTCACAGATCTGGAGGCTGACAAGTCCAAGATTAAGGCACTGGCAGGTTTGGTGTTTGGTGAGGGCTTGCTTTCTAGTTTATAGACACCTTCTCCCTGTATCCTCACATGGTAGAAAGGCAAACAAGCTCCCTGTGTTCTATTTTATAAAGGTACTAATCCCATATATTAGGGCTCTGCCCTCATGATTTAATCACTCCCCAAAGATCCCACTTCCTAATACTATCATCTTGGAGGTTAGGATTTCAACATATGGGTTTTGGGGGTACACAAACCTTTAGACCATAGCAACTACATCTCAGGATTTTGCTATCATTTGCTGGTAATAGAAAATGTTTGATACAAGTTATCTTTTATTGAGTATTTTTAATATACCAGGTACTATGCTGTTTTATATAATTAATCCTCATAACTACCACATGAGGTAGCTATTTTTATCCAATTTTACCAGTGAGGTAATTGAGGCATAAAGAAGTTAACAACAGGTGGGTGTCAAAGTCAAAATTCTAACCCAGATCTGTTAAGATTCCCAAACTTCTCTTCTCTAGCCCTTTGGATTGCATGGATACATTACCTGTAATGCTAATCCACACACGTTTGAACCAAGTAGCAACTTCCAAAAGACATTATCTCCCTTGAAAACACTTATGGACCAGTGCTGTGAGACATCAAAGGAAGAAGTTAATTATTAGCATGAGTAGAAAATCATTTTTTAGGATGATAATTGATTTCAGGAGAAGCTGCAAGTACCAGCAGAAGTGTATTTAAAAATTTTTCTAGGAAAATTCCTGAAATTATCAAAGAGGAAAGCTAGTATTTAGTGTTAATCTTAATCCTATTTGAATATGAATATAATTAATAATAGAATTGCAGTATTTTATACAAAATTTCTCTGTATTACAGACATAGTGTTTTACATTTTTGTGATATTTTGATTCAGAAGCTAGTACCATTTGATTTTTGTCCAGAAGATTTAATGGCAATTTTAATGAATTCATGAACTGATAACTCTGTACTCTGTTCCTTAACACTTGTTTCAGATGTTCATTCAGTTCCATTAACATTTGAACAGTTACTATGTGCCAGGCACTGTGAGAGGTGTCGAAGAATTAAACAAGAGTTATACTGCCAAAGAGAGAAGATCCTGGTCTCATGATAGTGCTATAGAAACACCAATTGCAAAAATAGTTATTCTTATGTGAGGGATAAGAAAGGAATCTGAAAATCCTATAAATAGTAAGTGACATTTGAACTAAGTTTTGAATTACATGTAGTGATGTGATGAATATGCAAGCAGACATATTTTAGGGTAAGGTAATTGCACTAATGGAAAAGAGCGTTAACAAAGATAAAACATCAGAAAAATATGGGGAATGCTTAATAAGTGGTGAGTGTTACAGTGCCACTAGGTTGATAGGCTAGGTAGTAGGGAAGTATTC
This sequence comes from Homo sapiens, assembly GCF_000001405.40. Lineage (NCBI taxonomy): Eukaryota > Metazoa > Chordata > Mammalia > Primates > Hominidae > Homo > Homo sapiens. Next base: position 108,341,723 of record NC_000005.10, on the reverse strand, counting down.
ATATTTGGTCTGGAAAAGAAAGAAAGGACCAGGTTGTTAAATTTTTTTCAGTGTCATGCTGTGAAATTTGAAAGTCTCTAGGTAATAAGAACTATAGCATGAGATTTTAGCAAGTGTGAAATGTGATCAGATTTTAATTCTTGTTTTATTTATCTATTTTGAGAAATTAAGAAAAATATAGAATACAAAAAGGAGTAATAACAGCTGTATGCCTGTCACCCATAAATTGACAGTTGTTAACATTTTATTAAATTTGCTGCTGCTGCTTGAATTAATAAAGCAAATAAACTTCAAGTCTCTGTTGTCTTACATTCGTACTGTTGTCCCATTGTTCCCTTCCAGAGCAACTGCTATGATGATCTAAAATGCTTTAAAAAATATTTTAATATGTATGTGGATACCCATGATGTGGTATTATTTAGTTTGTGGTCACATGTAATTTATATCTAGTGACATATGGTTAAATATCTGGTCTCACAAAGTATATATGAGTCTACAATTTGCATGTTTACTTTTATTTTTGAGATCTAGCCATAATGGGTATAATTCATTCTTTTTCATTGTTAGTATTCTATTATATGTATAAATCTCTGGGTTATTCATTTCCTATTGAAGGACACTTACATTGCTTCTACTGTTTTACTATCAGAGGCAGTATTGCAATAAAATTATTGTATAAATCTCTTGTGCTCATCTTCAAGAGTTCTCTACGGCATATATGAGAAGTATATACAATATGGTACTAAGATATGTACATTTTCAAATTTTTCTATATCATGTCAAATCACTCTCTACTGGTAATTGAAATCATGTTTTAGAGATGTATCTTGCTGATGGAGTGTCAACTCTTTTGAGGGCCAGGAATATGTGCTCATCTTTTTATTCATCCCTCCTAGTGTTGGAATATAATAGACATTCAATAAATGTTGGGTTAGGGACAGATGGGTTACTACTGCATTGTGCATGCTTTAAAAAATGTATCACTTCAAATATTTTGGTGACATATTTTATTAAATAAAAGCTTAAAATAGCTTAAAGAGTCAAATGTTTTTTCACTTTTAAAGTAAGTAAATTGTTTTGACCTAGTTAGCACATTAATGATGCCATTCTTTATGTATCAAATTTATCCAGCCAAAGTCACTAATGTACTCAAGGGGTATTTTTTGGCATAATTGTCATTAACAACATGCAGTTCTGATCAACTAGAATGTAATTCTTGTCAGAATTATGTTGACTTGTACATTCTTACTGTTAATAAAATCGGTTTTATTTTGTTTAAGTGGTATTTGAAAGATCCAATTTAATTTAAAACGAGTTTTTTTTTTTTTTTTTTAAAGTAGAGACAGGGTCTCACTATATTGCCCAGGCTGGTCTCGAACTCCCGGGCTCAAGCGATTCTCCTGCCTTGGCCTCCCGAATTGCTGGGATTGTAGGCATCAGCCACCATGCCTGGCCTAAAACACGTTTTTTTGACAGTATAATTTCAATCTGAAGAATAAATACATTTTTACTCATTCTAAATTCTTTGCTAGATCGTATCCTCTTATTCTCTTTTTAGTCTATTGGTATCTTTCTCTTAAGGTTTTTTTTTTTTTTAATCACATAGCTTGGCAGGAACATAAGTGGATTATATTCTATCATTTGAAGGCATTGAAAGCAATAAAGAATGAATGTGTATTTTTTCTTTCCCTGTGTGCCAGTGTCGTATGGAAGACAGGCAGTGTCTTGGATGATATCCAGACAATTTTTCTTTGGAATGCATTATTTTTTACCCAGCAGATTTACCTGCTTAATTATATTAGTTTAGCAATATTAAAATTAGTTCACTAACTCTGGGGATTCATCAGCTGATGATAGGAGATGGCCAAATGCAAACGGGATCTCAGGAGGAAGCTAGCTTAGTATTAAAAACTCCGATAAGGATATCCCAGTGTGGATAATGCAGAATTTGTTATGGTTAAAAATAGGAAATTCCAAATAGTATTTAAGTATTCTTTAAAAATATATTTTTTTCTGGATCAAATTTTAGAATGCTTCTTTTGGATTTAAAATTTATGGTTAGTAGATTATTTTTAGTGTAATTCCTTGGCTAGTGCTTTTTTCCCCACATACATAGTCTGTAGTTTAAGTCCTTTTTTTTTTTTAATAAAAATCTAATTTTTATTTGCTTTCTTTTTTGACTACCTGTTAAAATCAGATATTTGAAGCAAAACAAATTATCTCTAAGATACAAGTGTGGAAGTGCAGTCTTGGGCTTTGTGCTCAAGTGTTGGCAACGGGAGATAGTGGGTTGAGATAAAGACTTGAGTCATTAGGCTTAGCAAATAGAAATTTTATAAGGTTAGATGGCAGTGGCATGCTAGTAGTACATTAAGCCTGTCATCTATGAGGATATTTTCCTGAACTACCTTTCTAGCCAGTCAACAAGTGAAATGTATTATTTGGATCTAGGAAGAAGTTTTGGCTTATGTTTTTATCCACAGTAATGAGGTTCTAGGGTTTTAGGATATCCAAGACTTATTCCCAGTTATTTCAGTGACTAAACTTAAAGGAAGGAGAATTGGAGAATTAGCTTTTTTTCTTTCTTTCTTTTTTAAATAAAGATTTGCCTTTCTAAATATAGTTTACAAACTGTAGTTGAATCTGGCTTCTGGGTAATAGGATGCACTTTTTCCATCATTTTATTGTAGTCATTATCACAAAGATACATTATTGTAAATGTCCTATGGCACTTGGGCCTTTGTCAGGTAACCCTGTCTTCAGGCAAAGATATACAGGTGATGTTCCTATCTAAACCTGTGTGCTGAGTACTGTTCCTATTAGTGCTGCAGATTTTGCTTACTCATATTAGGTAGGTTGTCTTCTTTTGCTGTCTTTCTTTAAATTATTTACAAAGGTTTGAACATAAAGTTACCTGACAGGCAGTAGAAGGATGTATTCATCATGTGAGTTTTGGGGTGGATTCTTTTTGTTGTTGTTGTTGTTGACTATATCATCCAGATTTTAATAGCCAAGAAATTTAAAAGCCAGATAAGTCCATACTGTTTCGATACTTTTTTTTCCCAACCCTTCTTCTCTTGCATCTTAGTTGTAGCCACATCTAGGTTGCAGACTATATCAGTATAGTATTTTTCTTTAGTGGCTGCCATATTTCATTATTTTTGGTTTCTAAAGTATGATGGTAGAAGTACTCAAGTTACTTCAGGAGAGTTTGGGGATAAAAAATTTGTAGTGTCTGTTACCAGATCTTTATTGGCTATTTTTGATTGGAGCATAAAATCTAGATGGTTATCATTCACTTTAATAAAACATATAAATAAATATATTGAGACTCTGTAATACAAAGAAAAGTGGTTGTAAATCCGAGTCCTTCTTACTGAACTATAGTTGGGTGATTTTCTTTTATTTTCATTTTTACTGTATATCTTTGAGAATATAAAGAAGAAGGCATATATTTATATTCATTACTGTTTAAATGTCCAAGTGAACGCCGAGAGGTTATAAAATTATTTGCATCATGTTCTAGCTTTTCATTGTAACTCCTCTGAGAACATGATAAAACTTCTATATCTTTTTAGTAGGTTAATATTTATTCTAAGTATTTGAAGATAATTTTGTAGCTTGCTATTTCATACATTTTAAATTGTTGCAGGACACTAATATATACACATATACTCATTCTATTAATATACTGATAAATCTCTGTTTATCATATATAATTGTAGGCAGTTTCATCAGATCTAGTATACATTCTATAGTTTTTCATTGTTTTAAGCTTTTTTGTGCGAAGAATTTAATGGAAAAAAGTGTGAAAGGTTAAAGATACATTGTATATATTCCTCTGAATTCACTCATAAACTAAGATGTTTCTAAAGGTTGACTTTTGTTGGTCATATCTACAGTCCAGGAGTGCTCTTTCCAAAATACTATTTTTATCATTTAAGAAATATGTAGTGGCTCATTTCAAAGATTTCTTCAGTTACTAGTCTCTGTCTTATTACTTTTTTTTTTTTTTACTTTTTGTACTTGTCCTTTTATCACTCTTCTTCTTTCTTCCAGAATGTGTTCATTACTACCTTCAAGCTCAGCTGAATATTATTTTTCGCAAATACTCTTTGAGAATTACCTCACATTTTTTACTTTCCTGTATTCTGTCAGCTTCCTGTATTTAGTTAGTTCTTACTAATCCATTGATAATTTGTTGTAGGTTTGAGAGTTTTAGTTCGGTAATGTCTCCCAGTGTAACTCCTTGGAATAAGAATGAGATCGTTTGCATACACGTTAAAGAAACCTGTATATTCTTCAGTGTTTTGATTAAATGGATAGTTGTTAGAACTTCTTAAAAATAAAATTTTTTTCAGTGTATGAATTGTAAATTTTCTGAAAGGAACTGCCAGTGAAGATGAACCATTGATATACTTAAGTCCTTTTGCTTTAGTTCTGGGAAAATTCTTTTTTTTTTTTTTTTGAGATGGAGTCTCACTCTGTCACCCAGGCTGGAGTGCAGTGGCACGATCTTGGCTCATGGCAACCTTTGCCTCCCAGGTTCAAGCAATTGTCCTGCCTCAGCCTCCCAAGTAGCTGGGACTACAGGCGTGCACCACCACGCCCAGCTAATTTTTGTATTTTTAGTAGAGACAGGGTTTCACCATGTTGGCCAGGATGGTCTCGATCTCTTGACCTTGTGATCCACCTGCCTCGGCCTCCCAGAGTTCTGGGAGGCGTGAGCCACCTTGCCTGGCCAAAAATTCTCTTTGAGATAAGGAAGAAAGAGTTTCTTTTAAAATCACATTTTAAATGAGACAAGTCAGTAACTTTAAACATAACCATTTATACTTTAATATGTACATAAAAGTATAGCTTTTAGGACGTAAAATTCAATTTTTATTTACTGAATTGGTGAAATATACTTTATTCTATAGCAATATCAAGTGATTTTTCATTAACATTCATACAAGAAGAATGGCAATGATAGTTTGAAGAAGTAAAGTCCCAAATAAGTGTGTTCTTTTTAAGAATTAGGTAGATTTTAGAAAATGATTTCTTAAAAGTGGATTTTGAAACTTAATGTCTTTAAACATTTTTATTTACTGAGTTATTTTTATTATTTTATTACAAATTACTTATATATTTTATTACAGATTACCTGTTATATATTTTCATTCACATGGTTGTACATCTCATTGAAGATATTTGGTTTGTTTCAGTATTTCATCCTTCTGTTTCAGGCAATCTCTCAGGACTGCTAAGAAGTGTAGTCTCTTTTCTTTTGTCATACTTTAACTACTTGATTCTTGAAAAGATGAAAGTTAACTAGTTGCTTCTGTGGTTGAGTTTGTTCAGAAGAGCTTGACTTTATTGTTGCAATTAGAGGTAGATATTAAATATAATATTTGATAAATATTTGCTTCTTGGTACCAATAAAATGCATCAGGCAGATCTGGCATTAAATTTAGTTCAGAACACCGGCATTGCATGCTTTGAGAGTAATACACCACGCAGAGGTTACACTGGCAAGTGTTTTTTAAAAAATACTCTATATAAAATTTTTAGTTTTTAGTTTCTAGTTTCATAAATTCTTCCCGTATATTTTTTTCTTTAATATGTTCTAACAATTTTGTAGAATCAAAAATGGGAAAAGAATGTCCAAGAATAAGGATAGATATTTTGTTACAGTAATGCAGTTTGTTTTTTCATTTTCTTGGAGGATTAAGTGACATTTGGACAATTTGAGAGGGGAAAAAATTGGACAAGTGTTGGTTCTGCCAAACTATTGTTTATCCTTGGATTAAATTGTGTTTTTTTTTCCCCTCTAGAAGTAATATCTTTTTCTAGTATACCCATATGGCTTTCTGCTATAAAGTTAGTCCAAGTATATAAGAATAATCTTTTTTCATACATTAAAATATATTTAAAACAATCACATTTTTCTAATATACTTTATGTTATCATGTTTTTAGATTACAGTCAAAAACAGGGTTTTTTTAAGAATATAATTATGCTAATTGCTGATCAGTATAATAATAGGAGGAATTTCACATCTGATCTTCAATAGTGGTAAATCATTTTCAGTCTAGTGTGTGCATTTGCCTAGTGTCACAGGTTAATTCTTTAGACATGGGTACCTTCCCCCTTTCTGTTAAGGCATACCTTTCTCAGCTGTTGTAGAAATGAACTTCCAGTTATTGGAGTCAACTTGTAATCACCTTAGTGCTTACCCTCCATCTCTGAGCTTCTATATTAGTACATGTCTAAGGTTATTTGTTTGTATGCATTATAATGCTATATTTACATTAAATTTGCTTGTAACTTATAATCATGCAGTTTCCTCTTCTGGTCCTACTTTTCAAAATTTAAAAAAAAAACGTATTTTTTTTTTTTAAAGATACTGTCTTAACCTTAAAAGTCATACTATCCTCTAAGCCTGCTTTTTGGCAAATCTCCTTATTGCATGCCTGATAATGAGCCATATATTGTTGTGTGTTGGGGGGGGGTGGGGGAGTGGGAGAGTGAAAATATTTATATTCAAGAACTCAAAATGTTTTAATGATAGTTGAAAAATTATGAGTAAAATGATACCAAAATATTTGATCTGATTTTTCTAATTTCTAACATCTAAAAACTAGTACTATCAATGCCTTAAGAAAAAGGTTGTATATATTCACCACATTATTTAAACAAGACTAGTGGAATTTATTTTTGATTTTACCTTATTCTCACACCAATAGTGTAGAATTTGTAATTTAACAATTGAAATGATTACTTCTTGTAAATATGTACGTTGTTTTAGGGGACTTTTCCATTTTCAGACAGTGAATGGCAGTACCCACTAAGTCGTGGTCCGCGTAAGACTTCGGTGGTTTCATTTACTATTAACGTGCTCTTTGACAGCGGGCCTTTACTAATCTCACACCATGGGTTTGAAATTTTTTCCTTAAAGCTTTATAGTTGAATTACAATGTATTGTGTCCTTTGTTTTCTCCTGGAAAAGGATTTTAAACAAACTTTCTATTGCACTTGTTGAATATGTATTTTATAGTAACCACCATGAAGTTTGCAGCATTTAAGAAGATGAAGAAGCGAAAATAAAAGATACACATTCAAGAAGGCTTGGTTTCACAGTTGGTCATAATCCTTTCTGCTGTCATTGGTACCCTAACCCTCTACCTACCAGAACAAAAGAAACTGAATTGAAAATTGTGGGAGCTGGGGAACATTCTGTTGGCAGCACATCGCATGGCCCATAGGCGTTGTCAGGTCTCAGTTTGATGCCCTTTATTCTTTCTGACAGATGTGAGGTAGGGTCTATGAGGGGGAAGTCATTACTAGACAGAGGGCAGTGTCAGATCAAAAGTAACCAGTGATCAAACAAGGTAAAGGGCTGTGGAAAATAGGCTCTCTTTCTGGCCTCAACACCTGCCTGATCACTGAAGGGAATAGTCCTTATGTGTCAGGGCAAGTTGATTTTCTTTGATGTACAGTGAATTAGAAGTCAGAGTGGAAGCTTAACTGGAGCACAGAGATTTTCATTTCCTAGTTCTTGGGCAATTTAGGTGTTTATTTATTTTTTAACCTTAATTACCTAGAAATTCTGTTGAATAAAATATTAAAATGTACTCATTCTGACTTTGTTATCACTATATATTTGGAAATGCTACTAATAAGCAATTTCCAATAGCACTGTAGGTCAGGCTTTACAAGTCATCAAACTCTACATTTCTCAAGCTTCTAATTGTAACTTCAATTAGATCATTTGTAAAATATAATGGTGGATATAAAGTGCATAGTACTGAGCTTGGCACGTAGCAGGTCTCCTCATGGTAAAATTTGGGAAGTTACCTCACTAAGTAATTTTGAATAAATTTGAATTAACTCTTTGCACATAAATACTTATTACTATGTTTTCTTTTAAGATAACCCTTTCTAATCAAGTCAATTGAAAGAAAATTTAAAGAGACAATCTCATTGGGGTTTTTGTATGTATGGTTCTTTTTCCCTGCCCTTTCATCTTTAGAGTATGTGACTGAAGTCCAGAAGGATGATATTTTTGTCTTTTGTTAGCTTCCTGTGTTGATAAATTGAGAATTGACAGTTTCTAAAAATTTCAGTTATATTGTTTTTCTTTACATTAAGAGCAAAGATTTGACCACTACTAGATTTCAGTGTCTCAACCTTTGATATTTTAAATACTGCCACATTTTATTCAGGTTCATAAATAGTTAACAGTCATTTTGTCCTCAAAACTCTGGATGTAAGAGTTTTTTTGAAATTACTTGTTTTGTAGTCAGAGGAATAAAGAATCTTAGCACTTTAGCATTTTAAAAGTGATTTTTTAACGTAGTAATTTGTCTGTCCATCTTTGCATGAAGTCTCATGTTTGGTTTTGATACTCTCAGGTAACCTTACATCTTCTTCCTTTATATATTTGGAAATGTAAATATAAAACAATATATATTATGTTGCATTGTCTTCACATTAATATTTGTCTTATAGACTACTGTTAGCTATAAATATATTTTATGCTTGGGAAATTTCAGAATAATATGTTGAATATGTATATATATATATATATATACTGGTATTTCTGGTTTGACTTAAGCAAAATTTGCTTATAAATTATTGTATGTTTTGCTTCGGCTTTCATTTTAAGGTAGTTTGACTTAGAACTTCTTATATAAGATTTTATATCTATTTTTGAAGCTTTTTGAAAATTACAAGATCTTAATACAGATTCATTTCATAATCTTTAACTATAGACTCTTTTTTTTTTTTTTTTTTTTTTGCTTTTGCTTTTGCTTTTCATTGTTAACATGTTTGCCCTGGCCACTTGGCTCACGCCTGTAATCCCAGCACTTTGGGAGGCCGAGGCGGTGGATCACTTGAGGTCAGGAGTTCGAAACTAGCCTGGTCAAACATGGCGAAACTCCATCTCTACTAAAAATACAAGAATTAGCTGGACATGATGGTGCACAACCATAATCCCAGCTACTTGGGAGGCTGAGGCAGGAAGATTGCTTGAACCCAGGAAGTGGAGGTTGCAGTGAGCTGAGATCAAGCCGCTGCACTCCAGCCTGGTTGACAGAGCGAGACTCTGTCTCAGAAAAACCCAACAACAACAAAAAACAAAAAGTTTGTCCTGAACTACCTCTGACGGACAGTAACTTGAAACCAATATGATAGTATTACTCTGATTTAGGGAGAAGAATGATTTTTGTTTTGGTTTTCTCAGGTAATTCCTATAATCCTTCTTTTAATCTGAATATTTGTTTAAAAAGATTGGAGTTGTTGATGTTTTAATATTAATGTTAGGAGGAAGCATTTATAAAAAGTGAATTTCTGTAAGTAAATATAAATTATTTTTTTCAAAACGGACCTTGGCAACATAGAATTTTACTAGTTACAATCGTTGGTTCATGATATACTGTGGTAATTGGTCCAGGCATAATCTTATTTCATTATAAAAGTTAATTTATCAAAAAGCTTTTGAACATTTACTCAGGAACGCTCCATCCATACTATTAATTAGAATATTATCAATAACTTTCATCTACCTATGCATTCCTCCCTTCTCTCATCTTGACTCCCCTTCAAAGGTAACTGCTATCCTGAATTTTATGTTTATCATTCTTTCCATTTTGTTACATTTGTATATATGTCTGATCAGTACATTATTTAGTTTTTACTAGTTTTTAATCAAATAAGTTTCTAAGGAGGTCATTTTGATGAACTGGTTGATACTATTCGATTCTAACTTTTAAGATATTCTCTACTATATTTTCACATCAAATTATTTCAGATCTTTAGATTGAATATGTGGTATCTATATGTTGGTCCCTTGAATTTGCATTTTTCATTTATAAGTTATATTCATAAATATGGATAACGAGGTCTTTTTTTTCAGTTTTGATTTGTTGCAATTTTAGCAATTCCTGTGACTTGATATACGGGTTAGAAGAGTTACTCTGTTAGGTGACGGGTGTAGTTGGTCAGGAATGTCTAGCCATTTCCCAGTTTGGAATGGAAATAAGTGAATTTTTTGCTTACCAAATGACTTTTATGTTTTACTTATCAATGTGTAGTGTCATTAATAAGTTCAGCCATTGTAATTTTTCATAAGGATAAAATGATTGCACTAAATTTCTTTGATTGCTAGAAGTGCTATTGATTTAATAACAGCTTTAAAGGAGAAAAATGGAAAAACCACATTAAATATTCATGTTGATTTTAAGACTTGGATTTCAAAACTACCAATTTGTAAGAAACATTAGTCTTTCTTTTTCTGTAACAGCTTAGTTAATTGGTCAATAGCTTAGTATTTATCTCGTACACAGTTTTGGTGAAATCAAACCAAACAGAATATTTGCTTTCACTACAGATGGAGTTTTCTCCAGTTTCCATTTTTAACATGAAGTCTGTGTAAAATAAAAAATGTGTGCTCATATCTGCCTTCATACTAATGCAGTCCTTTGGAAATGTGGTTGGTTGTAACTAAGAATAGTCGGTACTTAGAATGGTTAATGATTTCTTGATATTGAGTGAACTAATTGATAAAATTTTGTTGGAGATCAAATTAGCACTTTTTAACATTGACAACAATAGATTTTTTCCTTTTGAACAAGTTATGATCAATTGTATTTATAAGGTTGTAGGATATAGAATACATTTTTTTTTGAGATGGAGTCTTGCTCTGTCGCCCAGGCTGTAGTGCAGTGGCGCAGTCTCGGCTCATTGCAGCCTCCGCCTCCTGGGTTCAAGCGACAGTCCTGCCTCAGCCTCCTGAGTAGCTGGGACTACAGGTGCCCGCCACCATGCCCAGCTAATTTTTTTTGTATTTTTAGTAGAGACGAGGTTTCATCAGGATATAGAATACATGTTTGTACCAGTCTCAATCTTTAGGAGATTGTCATCTAAGTGGAAAGCTCATGTGGGCATATGTATGTGTGTGCACGTGCAATGATGTGTGTGCATGTGTGATGATGTGTGTGCACGTGTGATGATGTGTGTGTACCTGTGATGATGATGTGTATGTGTGTATGTATAAAACAATATAAGGTGATAGTGTGAGTTTATTAGAAGGGGAGTTTTTTTTGTTCCCTTGGTACTTTATATTGCGACTATACTTCTTTGCTTTACGAAGTGTTCTAGGAAATCTATATTTGTTGATTTGTGTGTGTTCTTTAAAATATATCTTGGTGAGATTGCTTATGAATTATTAATAAAACAGTTGGCCTAGAAGGTTTTGGGTTGTAGTTTGAGAAGTTTCACATAATTAATTGCATTGAAGTTTATTCAGTGTTGTTTTAAACATATGAAGGACCTAAACAGTAATCCCTTGCATACTTTTTAAAACAATATCAAATAATTTTTTAAAGATAAAATGGTATAGCTGATTGGCTTTTCTCGATGTAGATCAGTCATTTGAATAATTTAATGGAAAAAAGTTATCACGTGGTTCATAGCAGTCATTTCTTTATGGTATTTGGGAGAAGAAACAGATTTGATAGTGGTGTGACATTATTTTATACCCTAGAAAACTATATTGAAAGCTAGGGCATACATGATTCTGTTGTTACAGGTAGTATGATTCTGGATCCATAAAGTAGTCTTTGGCTACTTCATGGTTATTAGCTATATGGTTCAGTTATTTTTTTGTAACCCCATAGCCTATTGTTCTCTCATGCATTAAGTATTTATTGAATACTAACCACATATGAAGCAGTATGATTCCAGACCCTTTTCCATAGGCCATGCTGGTCTACTGATTTTATAGTAACTTTTAACTAATAGGAGTAATTTCCTATTATGTTGTATTTACCTATCTAAGTGCTTGCTGGGGAAGACAGTAACACCTGGTATCAAAGCCACTGTTCCCGAGCCTGGACTGTTAACCTCTCATATATTGTATACTGTGTTTTAAGAGTAAGAATTTGAAAGGGATGTCACTTATGTAATACTTATTTTACTAATGATAACTTCTAAGTTATTTCATCTTCAAGTGAAATATTTTGAAGATTAAAGTTAAAGAAGCTATTTTATAGTATATAATGTGGTGTACTCATTACAATGACTTGTTCTGATAATTTTTTATAAAGGTATTTTGCTGTTAAAGACTTATTTCATTGAGCTATGGTAGTACTTGGGTAATGCATAGGTACCAGTACTTGAAGAATTAAATAAAGTGAATTGAGTTTTGGCATTATTCTATTGAGTTGATGTTTATTTATTGTTAAGGACATTGTCCACTGTATCCTATGAGTCCTCCCTTACGAGAACCTGCAGTTAAGTATTCCCCCTGGTCTTAATACTAGGGAAAGCTAGACTTTAAGCAGTTGTTTTCTTTTATTAAGATAATGCTGTGAATTTTATTAAAGAAGTATAGTTGTCCTTTTCCTCTTTGCTTTGACATCTAAGAAACCAAGAAACAAATGGTAGTCCATCTAAGGCAAAGTATTCAGGACTTCCATCTTTATTATAGAATAACTTTTTGGAAAATGCTTCTTTTTCCTTTTTCCTTAATTTTTATTTCTACTTGTGTTTCTCCTGTAGGGTTTATTTCCAGAAAGAGCTGCCTCAATTTCTTTTTGGAAAGAGACAAGATATACCTAAATATAAACAGAAGTTCTTACATAAGTATATTTTAACTTTAAAATACCTTCTTGTTTGCATAGGCAATTGTGGTATAATGAAAAGCACCTTGGAGCTTGAATTGGGAAGATCAAAGGATAGATAATTACCTCTGTCTCTTAGTTGAGTGACCCTTAGCAAGTGACTCTGAGGTGGTTTTCTCATTTATGGCATAAGAATAACATTATTACTTTAGGATTAAGTCAGGTATATGTAAAAGTGTTAGTCACATGTTAAATGATTAGTTAGAGTATCTCTTCAGTCAGTTACCTGTCAAAACTCTTGATAAATATTGAAAGCTATTCATAATTTAAAAGTATATACTTGGGTTGATTTTACAATATATTGAGATATATAAGAAAGAGGCCCAAATAATCCTTGTTCTCATAAAAAAAAGTGCATATTATAAAATTCTAATAATATAGAAAAGTAGAAAATAAAAACTGAAAGCCTCCTGCTAATTCCTCTGGTGATTATTTTCAGAAAACTTTTAATACACATACCAACATGCGTGTATCTGTCCCTATTTTCAAAAATTATATTGCATTTTCTCTTCTACAAGACTTCATTATTGATGGGTACTATGGCTCTTTTCATTTTTTCCCATCACAAACAATAGCCATAAATTTTGATGGTTTTCTATCAGAAGAATATATTTTCATATTCTCCTGCCCTTTTTATGTTATCTTGTTGATAATTTTGATGAAACCAAGAGGCACGTCTTTCTACATACTTCTCTTCATCTCCATTCCTAGTGTTTTTGTTTATTTTTTTTAAATAATGCCCATGTCTCCTGCTGTCATTCTCTGAGACCACCAAATAGTTTAATACCTGGAGTCAGAGATAAGAATAAACAGGCTTAAGATACTTTAAATAATGTTCAATACTATATACTTGGTCATATCATTAGTGAGCATATTTTTCTTTTGGGAAGTAACTAATGCTTTCCTTAAGGCCAGGCCAGACAAAGGGACACACAGTGACAAACTTCTTGGTGTTTATCCTCATCAAGTGGTTTGTGGGAAGATAGTTTTTGTGTCAGACAGATATAGATTCCAACACCAATATTAACCATTTTACAAATTGCAGGTTCCTTCTTAAGCATTTAAGCTCCTTGGATCTTGATTTTTTAAATGTATAGATTGGAGACGATATAATCTATTTTGTTGAGAAGATTAAATGAACTCTGTGTATGTGAACTGTCCAACAAAGCATCTTGGGAAATAGTTGTTCACAAATGTTAGCCTCCCTCTTGTTAACTTCCCAACTGCCGTTTTTCTTCTCTCTTCTTCATGACCAAAGGAAACCTGGAATTATTGCCAGAGCTTTGTTGGTAGTGAATGCTGTTCTTACTGAGAGCTTAGCAAGGGGAAAAAGTAACCAATGGTTGCTTTATGTATTTGAGGTTCAGTTAGCCTTTCATCTTGGGAATTTCTGGAAGAGTCATATTTAATCTTAGTGTTTGCTTGTTGTTTTCAAAACTCTGCCTACACTTGTTACATCTTTTATATTTTTTACTCCTAGTAACATATCCACAGTGGGTGTTCCAGTCCATTCATTTTTTTTGCCTTGGTGTCTATCATTTTCTTTGCCATGAATCTTCATTCTTTGCAGTTAAATCATCTTACTATTAAATGGCAAATATTGAAATCATTAAATATGAACTACATCATATAATCTGTAATTTTCTTATTGCAGAAAACTCAAGTCAGTTTGCTTAAACAATAAGAAGGTTACTGGCTTATAACTGAAATGTGCTGGGGTGTAGTTCAGGCTTTAGGGTTGAGTTAATTCATTGTCTCCACAGTACATTTAGGGAGCTAGTTCTTTTTGACTTTTGGCTTAGCTTTCTCTTATGTCAACCTTAGTCTAAGTCTGGATTTACTTCTGGATCAAAGATTGTTGACAACAATTCCTAGGTGAGTATTGTATGTATATCATAGTTTATTGCTTTTTTATTGCTGAATAGCATTCCATTGTAAGGACATAAAACAATGTGCTCATCCATTTACCTGTTAATGGACATTTCAGTTGTTTCCAGTTTTTAAGTATTTCATATAAAGCTGCTGTGAACATACATGAACCAGTCTTTGAATGGACAAAAGCTTTCATTTCTCTTGAATAAATTTTAAGGAATGAGTTGGCTGAGTTGTTTGGGAAGTGTATGTTTAACTTGAACTTTGTGAGAAATTATGAGTTTTGCAGGTGGTTGTGCCATTTTTTACTCCTGCTAGCAATGTTTGAGAACTCCATTTGGACTACTATGTCGCTACCAACAGGTGGTGTTATTTTTAGATTTTTAAATTTTAGCCATTCTGAGTGGGTGTGTAGTGGTACCTTATTGTGGTTTTGACTCTCAGTGAGTGTATGGTGGTACCTTATTTGGTTAGCCCTGTGTCTAATGATATTGAGTACCTTTTAACATATGTATTAGGCTTTCCTATCTCTTCTTTTGTAAAGTGTCTTTTCAAATCTTTTGCTTTTTTTTGGAGACAGAGTCTTGCTCTGTCGCTCTGTCACCCAGGCTGGAGTGCAGTGTCAGGTTCTTGGCTCACTACAACCTCCACCTCCCGAGTTTAAGCGATTCTCCTGCCTCAGCCTCCTGAGTAGCTGGGATTACAGGCGTGCACCACCATGCCCAGCTCATTTTTTTTTTAATTTTTATTTTTAGTAGAGACAGGGTTTCACCATATTGGCCAGGCTGGTCTTGAACTTCTTGCCTCAGGTTATCTGCCTGCCTTGGCCTCACAAAGTGCTGTGATTACAGATGTGAGCCACTGCGCCCAGCCAAATCTTCTGCCTATTTTTTTTTAATTGGTTGTCTTCTTACATGTTATAAGAGTTCTATATTTTTGATATAAGTTCTTGTGTCAGATGTATGCATTGTGATTACTTTTTCTACGTGTGTATCTTTTCGTTTTAATAGAGTCTTTTGAAGAGAGCAAGGTTTTTACTTTGATGAAGCTCAATTTATTAATGGTAAGGGCTTTTGGGTCTTGTCTAAAATCTTCTGATAGTATCAGTTGTTTTTCTCTGTTATTGTTTGTTTATCATGTTCCACCCTTAAAGTGTAAACTCAGTGGAAATGGGGAGATTATCTTCCTTGTTCCTTTCTATGTCCTCTGTCTAGAAGAGTGTTGGGCACATGGTAGTTGCTCAAAAGTAATTTTTGAATGAGTAGAGTCTTTTGGTTTTGTAGGCTAGAAAATGTTAGCTATTGCTTATGTCTTGTTCACTTCTATCCCCTGTATTTCACCTGTCATTATTACTGTCTTGTTTCCTTAGGTTGATTCCTTGCTTTTCTGTTTCTACTTCTGACTCTAATCCTAACGCTTTTATGTTTTTCTGAACTGCAATAGCATCTCCTTAGGCTTGTCAGATGCCACGACTTCTAGGTGTACCTATGATCCAATTCCAGACAAATAGGGTATTTACTGTTTTTCAATAACATTGCTTTCCTGCTTAAGAACTGATTTAAGCTCTATTATAGATGGTGAGGTGGGACCTGCTATGTTAATATTTCTTTTTCCCTTTCTTCTTATTTTTCACAGTTTCTACCTTTGTTTATACTTTTTCCTGAAAAAGTATCCCTTTTTCTCTTGCTAAAATAAATCCCACTTATTTTTCAAGTTTTCCATTTATTCTTAAGATCAAATTTTTGCCCAACTTACCTAGCTGAATATTTCACAGATACTATATTTTTGTGCCCTTAGAATTGTTTCCTCCTTGAGATAAGAATTCATGCATTCTACTTACTTGGTAAAGTTTTGAATACAAAGATAATACTTCTTGGTTGATCACTCTTTTCTTCCTTGACTGAATTTGATGGCGGTACGTGGCAAGTTTGTGCCTTTCTATCAGTTTTTTTATCTCTTAAATAAAAAAATAATTGTGGTAAAATATATATAACATAAAATTTACCATCTTACCCATTTTTAAGTATTCAGTTTAGTGACGGTGAGTACATTCACAGTGTTGTGTAACCAGTCTCCAAAACTCTCGTTATCTTGCAAAACTGAACTTTATACCCATTAAACAACAATACACTGCTTTTCCTCCAGCTCCTGAAAACCACCATTCTACTTTGTGTCTTTGTGACTTTGACTCCTCTAGGTACCTATTTTCTGCCTTTCTGACTTTGATTCCTCTAGGTACCTCTTCTAGGTACCTTAATTTCTTTTTCAGATTATTCATTATAATCACACAGCATTGCCTTTTCATGACTGGCTTACTTCATTTAGCTTAATGCCCTCAAGATTCATCTATGTTGTAGCATGTGTTAGAATTTTCCTCCTTCTATAGGCTGAGTAATATTACATTGTGTATGTGTGTACATGTGCATGCACACACACACACACATATATATACATATACACACCACCTTTTGTTTATCCATTCATCTATTGATAGACAGTTGGGTTGCTTCCACTTCTTGGCTATTATAAGTAACGCTATGAACATAGGTATACAAAAATGTCTTTGAGACCCTTCTTTCAGTTCTTTGGGGTATATATCCAGAAGTAAAATTACTGGATCTTAATATAATTCTATTTTTAATATTTTTAGGAGCTGCCATACTGTTTTACATAGTGGTCGCACCATTTTACATTTCACCCAACAGTGCCCAAGGATTCTAATTTCTCCACATCCTTGCTGACACTTGTTATTTTCTGTTTGTTTATTTATTTATTTTTATAGTAGACATCTTAATGGATGTGAGGTTATATTTCTTTGTTTTGATTTGCATCTCCCTAATGATTCATGTCGCTAAGCATGTTTTCATGTGCTTTTCTTGGCCATTTACGTATCTTTGGATAAATGTCTCTTCTAATACATTACTCATTTTAAAATTGGGTTATTTCATTGTTGAGTTGTAGGAGTTCTTTGTGTATGTTTCAGATATTAACTCCTTATCAAATAATGATTTGCAAATATTTTATCCCATTCCATAGGTTTCCTTGTCTTTCTGTTGTGTCCTATACTGCACAGAAATTATTAAAATTTTTATGTATTTTAACATACATTTTTACTTTTGTTGCCTGTGCTTTTGGTGTCAAAACTTAGAAATATTGCCAAATTCAACGTTGTAAAGCTTTTATCCTACCTTTCCTTCTAAGAGTTTTATAGTTTTAATTCATATGTTTTAGGTCTTCCGTTCATTTTTAGGTAATTTTTAACATATGGATCAAGGTAAAGGTCCAACTTCATTCATTTGCATGTAGATATCCAGTTTCCCAGCACCATTTGTTGAAAAGGCTGCCCTTTCCCCACTGAATAGTGCCGGCACCCTTGTAGGAAATAATTTGACTTTTTATGCAAGAATTTGTTTCTAGATTGTTTCATTTGGTCTATGTCTGTCTTTTTGCCAGCACTACGCTTTTTGTATTACTGTAGCTTTGTGATAAGTTTTGGAATCAGGAAGTGTGGGACTCCCAGTGGATTCTTCTTTTTCAAGATTGTTTTGGCTATTTGTGGTCCTTAGATTCCATATGAGTTTTAGGATGAGTTTTTCTTTTTCTGCAAAAAATGCCCTTCAGATTTTGATAGGGATTGTATTGAACCTGTATATTGCAATGAGTAGTATAGACATTTTAACAATATTAAGTATTCCAATTCATTAAAACGGGATTTCTTTCCATCTATTTGTGTCTTTAATTTCTTTCAGTGATATTTTGTAATTTTCAGTGTATAAGTCTTTTGCCTCCTTTAAGTTTATTCCTAAGAATTTTACCCCTTTTGATGCTACTGTAAATTGAATAGTTCTCTTAATTTCTTTTTCAGATTGTTCCTTATAAGTGTTTAGAAATGCACCTGATTTTTTATGTTTTTTTTTTATTCTACAACTTTGCTGAAGTCATTTATTATAATAGTTCTTTTGTATGTGGAACCTTTAGGGTCTTCTATTTACAATATCATGTCATCTGTGAACAGAGATAATTTTGTCTCTTCCTTTCTAATTTAGATGTCTTTCCTTTCTTTTTTTCCCCTCTAATTTCTCTGGTTATAACTTTCAGTACTATGTTAAGTAGAAGTGGCATAAATGGGCATCATGTCTTGTTTCTGTTATTAGAGGTAAAGCTTTTAGTCTTTCACCATTGAATATGTTATTAGCTGTGGGACCTTTCTGTCAGTTTTTGTTGAGCACTGTTGGTCACATCCAATGTACACATTATACATTTTCTAGCTATAAACCGAACATGTTATATTGACATTTAATAAGATTTTGGAGCTCGATCTTTTTTTCCAGGAGTCTTGCATACAGTAAGTTCTCAAATAACATTTTCAGTGACTGTACAGACCTTGATGTACAGTATAGACAGGCCTTGATATTACCTCAGCACCCTGTTTGGAAACATCTATTAAATTATTGATGGAAATTTAATAGATGATTTGAGAGATCTAGAGTAATAGTTTACCTCTAATATCTGGCAAAGTCAATATTTATTATTATTTGTAGAAAGCGTTGTGGTTCAAAAATGTAATTATTTTCAAAAATACAAACCAGGAAGTCTTGCTCCCATCAATCACCATCTTCTCCACTGCTCTCTATGTATAATTAGTGTTTATGAAAATATGAAAAAAATTCTTATATTATTCTTTTCTTATACAAAGAGTAGCTAGTATTTACACAAAGAACAGGATGATATTTACATAAAAGTTAGATTAGTATGTACATCACACTTTTTTCCCCCGCACTTAACAGGTCTTTCATAATTGGTTCATAAGATTGTTCCCTTTTTTTCTCCTCTGAAAGTGTTGTCTAGAATTGGGAGGTAGCTTAATTCTTTCAATCAGTAGCCAGTTGATTGCTAGACACTTAGGATATGCCACTGTTTTGCAATTAAATAAATTATGTCATTTATAAATATACTGTACAAATTTAGGTGTATTTGTAGGAGACAGTCTCAGGATGGGATTGCTGAGTCAGAGTGTACAGGCCCCTGTGATTTTCGTAGATATTGCCAGATTGCCTTCCTTAGAGATTATGCCATTTTGCATTCCTATATGCAGTGGATTGAGAGTGCTTGTTTCCCACACTCTTGCCAGTGGTGTGTTGTTAAGCTATTCAATTTTTTGCCATTTTGACAGTCAAGAAGTGGTATCTGAGTTGGTTTTAATTTGCGTTTCTCTTATTATGAATCTGTTTGGGAATGGTATGTTTAAAAACCGTTTGGGTTTCTTTTTCTGTAACTGTGTCCTTGGCTCATTTTTCTACTGAGTTGCTAATCTTTTTCTTCTACCTTCCTAGGCACTTTTTATAAATTAAAGATATTAGTTCTTCATATGTGATTGGAGTTATAATTTTTTTTCTTGTTTGTCATTTAGTTTTAGGCTTTGCCTACATAGCATTTTTGACATGCAGAAGTTTTTTCTTGTTTTTTTTTTTAAATTTATTTACATTTACCACTTTTTTGTTTTTTGGCTTCTGAGTTTTGAGTTATAGTTAGAAAGTCAAAACAGCACTTTTTGAATGGAATGGAATATCCACAGGTAATAGAGCAGTAGCAATGTAAATTTCACAATATGGCATGTGTCCAGGGACATTGGAGCATGTTCAGGACAATAGTGTGCAGATTCTTTAAGAGAATAGCATTCTATGCCAGTCTACTGTTCTATAAATCAGTGGCCATTTTTTTTCATGTGAAACAGTATGGAAAGATCTTCTGGCCATTTTTTCATACCTGCACAAATAAAAGACATGTACTTGATTTGGTCAGTACTTGGAAAGAAGTCGTTTTCTCTACTCTTCTGACCTCAAAGAAGCAGCAGAATAAATATTTTAGAGTTGTGAATTTACCTCTACCCATAGACACTTTGATACTCAGTTTCTTCCAATTCAATATTGTAATATTATTATATACTCAGTAATTAAGGATGTTAAATGTGAACATTTGCTTGGATTTGAACATACTACAGCAATAAGTGCATGTGTGACATATAATAGGTAATAGTAGTAATAATTTCTTACGAGCATCAGCAGTTATATTGGATGTGAAAATTATCAGAAAAAAATAATTTCTTATAAGCATCTATGGTTAGGCAACATGAAGATTGCTGTTACTAAATATATTGTGGAATACATACTCTTAGAGCACCTCTCCTAGGTGTACTAGTTGGTAATTATTTATTTAACTTCGGATATTTGGCATAAAGTTTGGTTCGCAGATAGGCATTAAACGTGCTTTTTCTTTAAACAAATTTGCGTGATTTTTCCAATTAAAATCAGCATTATCTATAAATTGTTACAAAGCGAATTTGTTTTAAGAAAACCCTGTTCGAAGATAACCTACTTAAATATGATAATATGCTGAAAATGAAGTTTTTAGAGGCTTACAGAATTACTTTGGTTATTTTCTTAATTGTAAAAATGAGGGTTTTTGTTCTTAACAAATCTAGCAATTACGTATTTAGTAACTGATATCTAATTGGAGCAAACATTGTGGGAAGTAGAAAACAGAGTTGAGCCTTCCCTCAGATTTAAATGTTTAAATAAAATGTAAAATTCTCAAAACATTTAAAGTCCTAACTTGTAAAAATTTCATTTAAAACATTTTCATGTTAAATAGACTTGTAAAAGGGATTGAATTATTATAGTCCAATTTTTTTAGTTCTCTTTTCTAGACAGAAGAGACCAAAAAAAAATTTTTTTTTGGATGCTTTCCAAGAGCTGTATGTATTTGCTTGAGAAGTTACAATCACTTGATTCAAGTCTGAGTTTTATTGGACAGGCTTGTCTGGTGGGTTAAAATCCCCTCATGCTCTCCCAGATGATTACTGGCTTGTTTTTCTTCCCTTAAAAATAGTAAGAATTTATTTTTTTATAGCTATACCAGACCTAGTGACATAGGCCACTTTGGGTCTGTATGCTGCTGGCTTAAAGAAAGAATGAAATATGAAAAGACAAAAACAAAGAAGGGCGTAAAAGAAAAGGTAAGGAAAGGAACAAAGCTAAAGGTAAAAGAAAAGGAAAACATGATAATTTTAGAGTGGTGAAATAATTTCTAGCTAGCAAGGAGAGAGAAGTTTGTAATGCTAAATGTTCTAAAGGAGGACCTCATCATCTTAGAAAATGTTTTTTGAGGTAAGAGAATAGATTTGTTTAAAATTTCAAAATTGAGTAATTTTTCATGATGTGTAAGTAATATTCGAGGCAAGTAGTCATTTCGGGACCCTAGTAAACAGTTTCACCTCATATTTTGATAAGTTTATTTTTCACTGCACACTTCTCAAATACACATATTTGAGAAAAAAGATTGCTGCTGACTTTTTGGTGGTATCTAGCCTGAATTATAGAGGTAATTATCCTAGTTTTTATAGTAATATTAATAGAAGTTATATAGTTAAAAATAAATTGTTAAATTGAAAAAGTGAAAGTTATCAAAAATGTCATTTTATTTTTTTCTGAGAGATAATTTTCTCCAGTTAAAATAATAACTTTTAGATTTTTGTTCATTTAAAATAAACGATTCCTAGGGTTACATATAATTATTTTCAAAATTAGTTTGTGTTTATTCAAAAATAAAATTTTTAAATTATCTTGAAAGTAGTATTTTAACTGATAGGAAAATATTAAAATCTTCATATTATTTCAAATGTTTTATAAAGTAAATTCTGTTGAAAAATATTGTTTTTTTGTTAATGCATTTGCATTACAGTGCATAGTTAAAATTCATTAGGTATAACCTCTCCCTAATGATAGTTACTTGTCCCAACCAAATTACAAATGCTTTAATTCAAGAAATAAGATATTTAACTTTTGCTGTAGTTGTAATGCCACACAGATAATTTTCACATCCAGAAAAATTTCAGATGGTACATAATTAATGCTGTTTTAATGGGAATGACTTGGTATTTTGCTTTTCTCTCATGTTAATTTTCCCATTCTGCACTGGAATGATCAGTTTCAAGAACTAGATTTCTTCTATAATTTTAACACTATTACACAGAAGATAAATAAGTTTAAGTGGAATGGCTTATTTAAAATAATTTTGTTGTCATTGCCTGTTTGGGTAGAATAAAACAATTGGAAGGCAGTGCCGTGTGTCCTCACCTTGTGTCTTTCAGGGGAGTAGACAAAGCAGAATGCTCCATGTGTGAACTCAGTCATAGTCAGTCATGGTTGGGTTTGGCCTTGATTTGGGATGTGTTATGACTTATTTTTTTAAATCAATATTTCATTTTCACTATGATTTTTAAAACTGTAAAGTTAACAGAGCTTTTAAAATATTGATTGCAGTTATCCCTTTATAAATATAATAGAGGCTAGGCAGTTGTTTTCATAACCATCACTTGTTTGACTTATAATTTTTAATACCATAGATGGAAATATTAAACATTTCACTATCTGAGAGCATCATATTGTGTCATTACATGCTGTTAATTCTAGGTACTCAAATTCTGGCTCTTAATCCTGTAAAATTAGGCTAGTTTTCTGTTTCCTATTTATGATTGCACGGAGTGCCAGAAATGCTTAATGAAATACAGTTTTGATGAGAGAGAATCAAAATATATCCCATATTTGAAATTATATACAAATAGTGAAAGATATTAAATGCTATTAGCCTTTAAAACTAGTTTTCACTTCCCTCTCAAAATTTCAAGGATTTTATGTATATTGGTTGTTGAGGAACTTTTTTTTCCTGTATACATGTTTTTTAACAGTATTGGATTATTTGGGATTTATTTGGAAATCAAAATAGAAATAATTATAAATATAGTAACATATAGCACAGTGTAAAGTATGTAATAGGAGGTCAGTAAATACTTATCTGTGTATCTTACTGATTGTTTTGCTGAAGACATAGCAAAGGTAAAAAACAAATGCATAAGGCACTAAGTTACTGGGTGTATTATTGTTCTGTTACTGAGTACAGTATGCTGGGTATAGCTCATTACTAATTTGTTGATAAACTGGCTGTCGATGATTAAGAATACAAGGCATCTTTGTTGTGCACATGGGTTTTTTTCTCCTTTTATATTAGGAAACATAATGTTGATTTCTTTGGAAGGAAAAATGTTTATAGTTTTTTTTAGCTATCAGCGTATTATTTTACATTAAATACAGGCATTGGAATATTTTTGTGATCTGTTTCATAAAAGTCATTTTGGGCCAGAACTGTATATAATTTTGTAATTATTTAATTATCTGTAAAGCTTTTATGTTAGCAAATATGAATTCTAATAAAAATAGTAGCTTCATTTGATTATTTATTTGCAGATACATAGTGAATGATTGATTCATTATGTATGATTTTAAATCCTTTTGCATTTACATTAATACTTTTACACTAAAGAATACTGTTCCATTTGACTGCAGAAATTCTATGTAGGTCTTGGGATAGATATTTAATCATATTGTTTTAAGATAATATTTGTAATATGGCTATACTTAGGTTATGCTTATTGGTATAACTTTTTCATGAATTTGGCATATTAAGATGTTTGAAATTTTTTTTTATTGTACTTACGTAGTTAACCTTTAGTGTATTATATCCTAATTTTTATACCATAACAGAGTATTTTTAGCAGATTATTAATTTATACAAAAATAGTGATAATTAATAATACTATTTTTAAAAATCTCCAAAAATTTTTCAGTCGATGTATAGTAGTTGTACATATTTTTCAGGTACATGTGGTTTTTTTGATACCTGCATGCAATGTGTAATGATCAAATCAGGGTAGTTGGGATATGCATCCCCTCAAACTTTTGTCTTTTCTTTGTGTTGGGACTATTACAGATCTTTTCTAGTTAAAAAAAAAAACAAAAAACAAAAAACAAAACTCAGTAATTTATTGTAACTTTTAATAAAGTGTTCTTTATGTTAGAAATTAAAAAGTTATGAGGAAGATTTTATGTATATGACATTAACAAATGAATATATATGGGTTTGATTTTGGGGGAACCGATTTGTTAACTTTACATGTTTTATAAAACCTTGTAGTGGAAAACATAATACAGAAGAAAGCTAAGATTTAGCTTTGCATCTCTTCTCCTTAATTAGTACCTGTTGGGATTTGATAGTGGTATAACTCAGAACTAGAAATTGAGACCTTTATGTACAGTTTTTACATGAATAGACTTTGAAATTATTATAAATAACTTTAAATGTGATAAATATACAGATTGATAAATACACAGTTAATTGTATAAAAAGGTATAGTAGATAATATTTTATTGGTTCGATGTTAAAACTTATATTTCATGTAATTAACTGGATGTATAATAACTTACAAAGTTTCCAGTTGTTTAATACTTTGATGTGATTTAGTGATTACTGATCTCTAAAAAAAAATCAACAGTATAATTTCCCATATATATTATTTATTTTAAGGTTTATTTTAGTATGCTGTTATCTGGTTCATGACTTGCTTATTGTTTTTAGAACATTATTATACTGTTTAAAAATGACTATTTCATAAGGCTAAAACTATATTGAATCTAGTTAGTATAATAATGAATAGACATCGTTAAAAAAAGGAAATAAGTTTTGTCTTCTGAATTTAAAAATGCTCTTCAGTGTTTTGATATTTTAATGTTAAAAATTTTAGAGTTCATGTTTGAAGATAGCTATTATTTATATGATATACTTTTGAGTGCCTGCCGTGTTAAGGTTCTGTACAATGTTGGCTAGCACTTGTGTTTTAAAAGAGGATTTTATTAATCATAAATTAAGTGTCTTTTAGGTTTAATATTTAATCTAGAACAGAAGTAATTTATAGTTGTAGGAGTAATTTCATAAGAACTTAGAATTTAAAATTGATATTGCCGTATAAAAATGGTTTATAGTTCACATTGAATTCTTCCATTGTTGATCTTTTAAAGATATATTTGTCTAGCAAAGTATTTTAATAACAGTTTGTCACTGTTTTTTTTTCTCCTTTGAAGTTTTAGAGGGTCATGCAAGCAAGCATGGATTCTACTAAAAGTCTTAATCTTTCTTAAGGGTAGAGTTTTATTAGATTTCATAATATACAGTTTTTCATGTATCATAATACATACTGTTCAGGATACTTCTGTGTGGGCCTCATTCAAAGAGATTTTATTACTGAAGACCTTTGTTTAATAGATGTCAGGAGATAGCCTCATCATCAAGGTATGTGCATTTGCAGGGCAGCATTTTAGTCAGACTCCAATTATGTTTTGTGCCCATTTTGGAATGTCTAAAAATGATAGCTGTTTACATAGAGGGTTTATTTTATGCATCAAAGATGATTTTTCTTAACATTATCAGTTCTGAAGTATTTTATAGACTTATGACATGTTAATTGGTCTTTAAATATTTTATGTATTTTAAATGATTGAAAAAATTAGATTTATATCCTAATTGAATTATTAAATGATTTTGATTAGCAAGCCTAATTTCAGTTGTTTTGTTTGGGAATTCTTTGTGTTTTTATGAGAGACTATGGTGCTGAAGTTAAATAAGCATATGGTTGATGCTTTGTTGCTTAAAGGATTTTTTTTCTCTCTTTTTTTTTAACAAGGTTCATTTTTTTGGAAGAGAATAAATTCTCTTGGTTGTATTATAATTAGAAATAACAGTGACAGAAATATATTATCAGATTGGGTTAAAATTATAAAGCTTGGGGTAATTTTTAATGTGTTACTTTATTGACACAAATATTTTGAAATATAATGTAATTATTTACTCTTTAATAAATAATGTATTGATTGCACTTTCACTAAATTTATCCGTAAATTACACATTTTCATCTTGTCGCTTAAAAGCACAAAATATTAAATTATAAATGGAAGAATCTTGATGATGTTACTATTTGTATGTTAAATAACTCAGAAAAAGTAAAACAGAATATGTTACTAAAGCTGATTTTCTTTCCATCTTCTTCTCTGGATTTCATAGATCTAATAGATTTTAAAAAGATAAATGAGAATTCCTTTTTTGATTTTTTAAATTACCTTTTTACTTCAGTAATAAAGTGACCAAATTTATATGTTTTTTCCTGAGTTTTGATTGTCTTTATTTTCTAATGAGGTTGTACTTTTTTAAACTCTGGTAATTTATTCTAAAAATGATTAATCTATCATTCTTGATTGATTTTTAGAAGACAGTTCTCATAGTGAAAATAATGGTGTTTGTTGTTTAGAATTTACATAAAATTGTAAATAAAAATGGAAAAAAATTTTAAATTTGAAAATAAGACAATAAATGATCTTTAATAATACAACAGACATAAAACTTACCTACTAAATTAGTATTATGATACCTGTCTTAACCTAGTCTGCAGTGTTTTGTAGGACTAAAATAAGACTATAGATTT
The DNA here is from genome assembly GCF_000001405.40 of Homo sapiens. Lineage (NCBI taxonomy): Eukaryota > Metazoa > Chordata > Mammalia > Primates > Hominidae > Homo > Homo sapiens. The sequence goes on along the minus strand of NC_000005.10, from coordinate 108,314,816 downwards.
TGAAGTAATTTATAAATTATAAAATGTTATATAAACATAGGATAGTAGTAGTATAAATCTTAGGACTTTAATAACTTTCTTGCCTGATTTTAAAATAATGAAATGAAATAAATTCATCATCACTCTTAGAAGTAGTAATTTCAGACACTTTGATTTTTTTTTCTGGTTGTTCTTATTTTTTTGGCCTAATTTCTAGGTAGTACAGACTAACTTTTGAACGCAGTATTAATCTGAATTAAATTTATAACATGGAAGAAGAAATATTCAGGCTAAATACAAAATTTAGAGTTAAAGTGAATAAAGGCATTTGGAACACAGCATATGGCAACCATATGAATGAAATGTTAAGTTATAAATTATTTCTCTTATTGTACTTGTTTTCTAAACTGACTTATGGGATAGTCTTAGGAATTTTATGTTTTCACAGAATTACTTTTTTCTTATATATCTAGTCTTTGTAAATATAATTTAAAGACTTTTTGATTATGCCATTTCAATATTGGCCAACAATGTGAAGACCATGATTGTTTTTAAGAGCGTATTTCAGTTGCTAGATGCCTTTTTTTCTTTTATCACAGTTCAAGAGAAAATATATTCAGAAGAATGTGAAAATATGTTAGCATTTAAGGCTCCATGATTGCTTATTAAATATTGGTAGTATTAAAATGTTTTAAATATGATCTTTCTTGCAGATTTGAGTTTAAATTTTGTTTAATTTTGAAGTAATAGAAAATAGAAATGTTGCAAAAATAGCACAAAGAACTCCTATTTACCTTTTACCCAGATTTAATAATGTTTAACATTTTGCCACCAAATATAATATCTCCCATCATCTTCAATTTTTATCATGAAAGTCTACATTTTTCTGTATGGTAACTAAAGATTCATATTAGTAAGAATTTTATTTTTAGATTTGTTTTATCAGGTTCTTTCTTTTTGCCATGTAAACCTTATATAGTAAAATAAATAGAATACTGTATTAATTGTTCAAAAATGTTTTTTAGATATGCTTTGGGACTAGAACTGATGTGCATTAAATGACTACAACGTACAGATATTTTCCTTCTTTCATATATGTGGTACTCCTTGTCACTCAGGCTGTTGAATGAAACAGTAATCCATATCTTAATAATGGGTTGAAGAATAATAGACAATAGAATATCATAATATATAAATGTAAATAATTGAAAGAAAAATCTTTAAACCTGGTACCAGCCTGTGATAATTCTTCTTTTGCCACTATCCAACTCTTACTGAAATGTTAATGAGAATAGTTTAATATAGCTACTAAGGGCATATTTTACAGTTGTTGGCTTGCTGTAAATGAATGACAGAACTAGGTCTGTCTGTTTTAATTCTTCCCTCACCAACACAGTGGTGGACTTCTTACATGGCAGAAGGTAGAGATGAAATTAAATGGCCTTAAGTGTCTGCTTTTTGAAGACAGCTTGGGCTGTTGTTTTAAAATTGAAGTCTGCTCCTAGAGGATGTTTATCCAATCCAGGTGTCCAAGGTTGGATGTAACTATAAGTGGTAGATAGGCTTCTTCCAGAGAAGTTGTGATCACTGGTACTTCTCTGAATAGAATGGATTGTCTGTACTTCAATATGGTTGGAAAGGTCATTCATCAGGTAGAAACCTGTATTAGATGAATCTCTACTTTATCATCTCTTCTTATAAGTATGTTATTTCTTCGATGGCTAAGCAGTAAAGATGACCCAAGAGCAGAAGTTAGAAGGAGAAATAAAAGCTGCTTGAACATTGGACAGTCAGATTTTTAGTAACTAACATTTGATTATTTGTGAAATTATTTCCCTTTATTTAAAAACATGATGGTAATTATCAGTTGGAATTTGTAATTGATTAAATTCATTTTATTTCATATGAATAACTTCAGTCTAACCTAAAAATAGGAAGTCAGAGTCTCTGTTATTAGCTTATCATATTTTAACTGCTGAAATGATTATGCTGATAACTTAGAAATTATCGGTATTGGAGTAATTTAATTAGAGGGCCTGGAAGAAATATATACATTTGTGAATATGTTACATAGAATAACTAAATTGGCCCTATGGACAATAATAGAGTGAGACTCATTTCTTTGTATGTCCTTAAAGTAATGAAAAATTTACATAGTTGTGTTTTTAAGGGTGGAAATTTTATTTTTACTATAGTATTACCTTGTCTTGGAAGTAACATTTAAAATTAGAATAGCAGGGTTTTTTTTTTCCTTTGGTTTTAAGGTGCTTTTCAAGTGTAACTTAGGTTTATAAAAGTTTTTTTACTCATACTTTGGCATCTGGGCAGTGTCATAACATGTGTGGCTGCTTAAATAGAAGATATGTGTGAAATTACTCTCCCTACTATTGGGGCTGCCTTCCAGCAATGGCTTGGACTGCTACAGTCAAGCAATCTGCTACTCAGGATATGTAAGTTTAGAAAAAAGAGATTCATTTTTTTTTAACAGAGAAAGGAAATTGCTTTCTACATGGAAATTAGAAGTATAGGGTAGTTCATGAAATACAAATGAGCAACATTCTACGAGTTAATTTTTTAAAAATTGTGTTTTTTATGGGAGTTGAGAGAGACTAGGGATGCTTATTCTTTCTAGGAATGTTTTATGTAATGGGCTCCTAATCTGTTCTGCAATAGCCTTTTACATAAGCTGTGATGCTGGTGGTATGTATTATGAGACCTAGCCACCTTTTATAAGAATGTTTTTATAGAAAAAAATATCTTTTTGAGTCCTGGAAATGTGTCTCAAAGACACATTTCTGTCTTCTGACGGTAGCTTCAATGACCTGGACAGAGTATCAAGCTGTATGCTAGCTGAAGCTACAGGAGATGGGGTCAGGGTCTGGAGAATAGGTTTTCTATAATAGTTTGAAAGCTAAAGGGACTAACTAGAACTCTTCTTACATAAGTACCTAGAACGCTTGCAGCATTTCCTGGCACTGGGCCATTATCTCTCTTCTTCTCTTTCATTGGTTCATTATAAGCCGTTTGTTATTATGCATTCTCTTTCTGACTAAGAGCTCTTTCTTCTTCAACTAACAAGACACAAAACAATGTTAATGTTTTTTTCTCTTTTCCTGTCATCAGAGCAAATCTATCTTTTTTTTAGATTCTCCATGAGCTTATGCAGAATGGCAAATGGGGATGTGGAGATGAAATAAAAAGACTCTTAGGGAAGACTCAGTCCAAGGAGAGATACCAGTGGTGGATCTTTGGGATTTCAGAGACCCAAAATAATGTATTGTACATTTGGAAGAATACTCAGACTTCCTTGGAGCATATTAAGAGTAAAGAACATGAAGAGAATTAGTGATAAAAAGTATGTAAGAAGGCCGGGTGTGGCAGCTCACATCTGTAATCCCAGCACTTTGGGAGGCCGAGGTGGGTGGATCACCTGAGGTCAGGAGTTCAAAACCAGCCTGGCCAACATGGTGGAACCCTGTCTCTACTAAAAATACAAAAATTAGCTGGGCATGGTGGCAGGCGCCTGTAATCTCAGCTACTTGGGAGGCTGAGGCAGGAGAATTGCTGGGACCCAGGAGGCAGAGGTTGCAGTGAGCTGAGATCGCGCCATTGCAGTCTAGCCGGGGTAACAACGGCGAGACTCCATCTCAGAAAAAAAATAAAAATAAAAATAAAAAAAGGTAGGTGAGAGAAGGCTAGGTAGGTTGACTTTTCTGCAGTGGGGAACTGAAGGTAGAATGCAGTGATTTCAGTGACACTTACTTTTCCCTCATTCCCTTTTCTCCTTCAGCCCCAAATTTTATTTGTGTTGAATTGGTCATGAATTGTTGTCTATTAGAAGCAAGAATGGCAGTGGCTGTAGTTTTCTGAAGAAGTTTGCTGGCATTTTGGCAGAGGGAATGCTGAGAGGAGATTAAATCTCAACTGGCAACAGCAGGTAGTGAAGTAAAATTGTCTGTGGACTTTCGGTGTTGGGCTGGAGGCAATTCATATGTAGGACATGTGTAAAGAAGGAACCCTGACAAGTCACATATTGCCTTTGATTTAAAATAAAAGAAACTTACATTCCATATTACGATGCTTAAGTAGTGGTGTAATGATTGTCTAATATGGCAATAAGAGAAGGGCCCTGCAGTTTTTAAACAGATTTCCTAACATACATAATCTTAATTTTGAGTAGCTAGCTCTAAGTTATTTCTTGAAACAGTTTAAAAAATATCTCAAAGTTCTGATTGAAAATAATTGTTATATAAGTAATCTACTAGAATATTTCAAATTATATATGTTGTATCCACAGCTGGGTTATTTATTTAGCTACACAGTTTAAATGAGCAGTTTCTGATATAATCAAACTTTTTGAGATACAGATAACTTGACGGGATCATTAAGTAGAAATAGTGTGGCCAAATTTGGGACAGAAGATTAAAAACATTTTTTTCGAGTAAAGCAGCTCTTAGAGTAAAAACATGTAGTAATTGAGGTCAAGATATTTGGGTAGAAAAGGAACTGTCCATTGATTATGTAATATTTTAAAGGTCAGGATATGTGGATAGTATGATAGTGCTTTTCTCTTAGCATTGCAGTCCTTTTGCATATATTGAAGACGGAAGTCCACTTGGAGGTCTTACATGTTTTGTGAGAGCTCCAAATTGTAGAACTGTGATCTTGTATAGGAAATATTATGCCAGAAAATCCTGGTGATGCTTAGGAAGACCTGAATTACCCTCAAATAGAATTATTTAAAGAAAGCTCTTAATGTACAGACATTCACCTGCCTTTAAAAAACCTTAAATATTTAACTTATAGAATAATATTTTGCATTTTGATAAATATTCAATTTCAGAGGAACTTTTGTGATTTTTAGCCATCTAACATAATTTAAACAGAATTGTTTTTATTTGAACTATTGAATATAGAATATTTCTTGTTGCAAATGTAAGTAGATGAGGGGTAGAGAATCCTTTTATTTCTTTGTTTTACTTTTTCGAATTACAAAATCAGTACCTTCTCACTAAAGAAACCTTGGAAAACACAGTAAAGTACAAATGGCAGAAATCACAGATTACCCATACTCCACCACCCAAATACAAAAATCAGTCACTGTTTGTACCTGAGTGAATATTTTCAGTTTTTTTCTGTGTAAATGTAAGTTGTATTTTATTAAAAAAAGTTATTCTTTATATGTGGCTTCACTTATTAGTACACTTTGAACTTTATTCTAAGATAAATAATCAAATAGAACATTAGTTATTTATGGCTGGGAAATAATGTATATATTAATTTATTTGATATTTAAAATTTTCTCTTGCTTTCTATATTATGCTGTAATGAGTATTGTAGTTACATCTTGGTAGGCATCTTGATTGTTTCCTTTGTTTTTAAAAAGATGAAAATAGCCTTTTTTTTAAAATAAAGGTAATGCTTGTTGATTGGAATTTAAACAGTACAGTAATGTGTTTTTAAAAGTGTACTTTTACAGAGTTCTTTCAAACACATAATCTGTTAATAATTTGGTCAATTTCATTTCAGACTTGTTAATACATGTATGTACAGATATAAATGTATGTATTTTAATATTAAAAATGGCTATGCTCTGTTATTTTGGCTTATGCTTATTTACACTATCTCTTACTCATTATTCTGTGTGAAGGAATACAGATTATACCATCATTTTAAAAAACGACTTTGGTCTTCCATTGTATTGATGTATCATAGTCTATATGACCAATTAATTATGTTTCATATTTAGGTTGTTTCTGATGTTTCAGTATTATAAGTATCCCTGTAATAATTCTCTATTGCCTTGCCAGGTATTTGTTTTTTCTTTTACTCTTGGAATTATTTCCTGAGAACATATTCTGAAAGTGAAATTTTGGGATCTGGAGGGTATTTGCTTTTAAAATTTGCTACCTATTGGCAGATTACCTTTCAGGAAGAATAGTTGTGTCAATTTATATTCTTACGTACAGTGTTTATGAGTGCCCTTTTCCTTGTGTCTATTCTAAACCATATGTTAGCCATTTAAAAATTATTTAAAATCAGTAAATTTACAATTATGCTTTAAAAAAATTAATGCTACCTAATTTATTTCAAGTGAAAATAGTTGTCTTATCAACTACAGGTAAAGGATGGAGGAAGTGAAGGCCAAAGTTAATTCTGTTCTGAGCAGCAACCTGATGTGTCACAGTGCTCATTCAGATTCTCTTAGTAATTAAGCTATTTTGTGGAATAATCGCTAATTCAAAATCTATGACGGAGGTTTTCTTCCCAAATTAGAATTAATATTTCTATCACATTTTCCATTAAGCAAAACCTGTTTTGACCGCAGAATATACTTGTAGGAGTCAGAGTTCTTACTAGTGGTAAGACGATAGTACTGGTTTGAATTTCCATTCCACCCTTACTAGCCTTGTGATTGTGGGCAAGTTATTTAATATCTATGAACCTCAGTTTTACTAATCTATAAAATGGGAATATTTTCCTTATAGGATTATTATAATGAGATAACATATAAATATGCTTTTTATAATGCCTATACATTCTAGACACTCAAAAAATGAAAACCACCATTACTTGTTATTGTTATTTCTACTACTATTATTTTTACTACTACCATTGTTATTTTTACTATTAATACAATAATATTCTTTCTCATTCCTTAATTTTAGTTGATACAAAATTTTTTAAAAAGTCATGATAGTGAAAAACAGCAGTAGTAGGCATTTCTTTGGATAGCTAGGGTAAAAATGGGGACAAGGTCGTGTTTCTATTTATAGGAACAAACAGAACCAAGAACCTGAATCTGTGAGGCAGTATTCATTGGTCATCCAATATGTAAGAAAATGTTCATGTATCATATTTTATTATGTTTTCCGTTACACACTACTTAAATGAAGTTGTTAAATTGTGTATTACATATACACATAGATAAAAGCTAAAGCAAACTGGAATTGCTTATAAAGTTTCTGATGATTTGCCTTTTCCTTATTCTTTGATGTTTTATAACAATGTATCTCAAAAAAAGCAATTTTTTCTTTAGCTGTCTTATTTTAAAGCTATGTTAATGGGTCAAGATGAAGGGTAATTTGTTGTACAGGCTCTCTCATACAAAAGAACATCCTGTCATTCATAGCAGCAAAGTACCTTTGTGCAAAGATCAACTATCAGTAATAGCAATATATATGTTAAACAAAATCAGAGATTGATATGGTATACAACAAAAAAAAATATGGCTGGGTGCAGTGTCTCACACCTATAATCCCAGCACTTTGAGAGGCCAAGGTGGGAGGATTGCTTGAGGCCAGGAGTTCAAGACTACCCAGGGCAATATAGTGAGACCCTGTGTCTACAAAAAAATTAAAAAATTAGGTGGCTATGGCGACACATGCCAGTAGTCCCAACTACTCGGGAAGCTGAGGCAGGAGAATTCCTTGAGTCTTAAGAGTTTGAAGCTGCAGGAAGCTATGATTGCAACCACTGCACTCCAGCCTGGGTGACGGAGTGAGACCCTGTCTCAAAAAATAAATAAATAAAACAAGATTTTACATATACTCAAAAGAGTTAACATCCTAGACTGGATAACTAAAGGTCACTAACTTAAATTTAAAGCTTTTTCTCTTTTTTAAAACAGTTTTTCAAAAATGTCTTCTTAAGGAGAATATATATCAATATAATACAACCTTTTCTTGGTGACTCACATTCATCACCATAAATACCAGTAACAGGTCCTGCGTTACACACATTGATACACTGAGGGAGAAGTGAGAGGTATAGGGGTACTTGACCTGATGATTTCAGACTATTACTTTTTGGGTTTCATGATGGATACCTAAAGATAATGTATATCATAAAAAAGAGAGGAAGTGTAAGAACCAATAAATGGGAGGGATTAAGAGAGGCATAATCAATAAAGTAAATTAGTACATTTAATAGTATGGAGTAATTGCTAGTGTCAATCAATATTTAGAGATAACCCTGGACTTTTTTTAATGTGCTCACAAGTGATAATTAATTAGTGAAGAGAGAGAATATGAAGGTTCAGTTTCTTTTTATATAAGACCTGCAAATTGTACCCAAGTTAAAATATGACTCTGTGTTCTGTGGACACAATGATGGAAAAATGCTATCCCCTGTCTTTTATACTGAAGATGATAGAATACTTGACAAACCACAGAGTGAAGAAATACACCTTTACTTCAAAGAAGCTAGAAAACAATTTATCAAAGATAAATTATAATAATAGTTAACATTTGAACCTGATCCTTTTAAAAACACTTTAAATATTTTGTCTAGTTTAATTCTCACACTATCTCTGTAAGGTAGTTACTCCATTTTCCAGATGAAGAAGCTTGAAGCTCAGGGAGATGACAGCTAGTATATTTCAGGTACAAGGTTAGAAACCGGGTAGTATGGCATCAAAATTCATATTCTTAACTACTACTATCTGTGTAGCAAATTATTGAATATAATGTTGTTTTAGACTACAGTGTGCTAAAAAGTTGCTCTTGGAGACCTATATCCTTTAGTAATTTGTATTAAATGCATAATCACCAGCGTTTCTCATTCACAGCATCATTGATTAAGTCTTTAGGCCTACTTGAGGCAGTTGGAAGTGTATTTTCCCCCATATATCTAAAAAGTAGAATTATAATATCAGTAAGTACACATATGTTTTTTCAAGAAAATGTATAAAATTTACTGCCAAAGTAAAAAAGATCTCCTAAAAATATGCAATTCATGTATTCTTCCATTTATGTAAACAGGTGTGGATAAGATTAAAAATCCAAATGTAACAGCCCTTGGATATTGGGGATCTACTCAGATTACTACAACAGTATCCTAGATCAGTATTAATCTGACTCTACTAATGGGTTTTGATATAAATTTATGAGATCCAAACTGGCATTTTTTTAAAAAGGAAAAGAAGCTATCAGGATGTATCATACAATAAGGGTAAACATTGTTTTATGAAACTGTTATTTTCAGGGGTGGAGTGATAAAACGGATGGATGTTTCTTTCTGTTCAGATTGTTCAAAACAGTTTCAAAGGACTACCTAACAGTGTTCTGACTTTACTGCCTTTTTGCTGAGATTGTTGAGCAGTTAGTTTTCTTAGTCTTCTCTTTATTTTCAGTTCAAACTGAGCATGCCCAAAACTCAATTGGACTGAACTTGTAGTCTTAGCTATCCTCCTCTGTCACTATATTCTTCTTCTGTGTTCCCATTCTTGGTTAAAGCCCTTCAGTGAGTTTTCCTCTCATACAGGTTGGAGATGCCACACTCTTTAGTATAGTTGACAGTGTCTCTCTTGGCCTCACTTCTGCTTAGCAATCCTCACTTCTTTTTTTTTCCCCCTTCAACTTTTCAGTTCCAGAGTACATGTGCAGGATGTGCAGGTTTGTTACTTAGGTAAACCTATGTCATGGTGGTGTGCTGCACAGATAATCTCATCACCTAGTTATTAAGTCCAGCATCCATTAGCTATTCTTCCCTGATGCTTTCCCTACCACCCACCTCCAGTGGGCCCCAGTGTGTGTTGATCCCCCCAATGTGTCTGTGAGAACCATGTGTCTGTGTGTTCTCATCATTCAGCTATATGTGAGAACATGTGGTAGCAAACCTGACTTCTACTATGTCCTTACTAACCAACTCTATGTTAACCAAATCCATATGTGGTTTTCTGAACACGCCATATACACTTACTTTTTCCTGCACATAAGTTCTCTTTCCTCTCTTTTCTATTAGGGTCAGACTTGTTGATTTATGACAGCTTTATGAGGTAGGTCTTATATCCTCATTTTTCATATGGAGAAATAGAAGCTCAAAAAGTTTACCTTTCCCTAGATTCTTCTTTTAAGAATTAGAAATTGAGAAATGGAGTCAGTTTCTAATACAAAAGTTTTATTGTAGACATACAGTAGAGTATTGGTCCCTTATGGAAAAGTTTTATGCTTATTTTATTATAGAGAAGGACAAGGAAGAGGTCTTCCTTTCCGTAGGTAGGGAAATAGTTTTTAGTTTTTAATCAAGTATGTACAAGGCTGAAATATGAGGTAACAGAAAAGGAATATTGATTATGAGGGTAGAAATACCAAATGAGGGAGAGAGAGAAAGAGGTTTCTTGGTGCCTAGGCATTTTCTTTCTTGTATTGATAATTGTAAGAGATTCTCTTTTTCTGAATTTCATTTCAGTTTATTTTTGTTTTTGGCAACCCAAAGGGCTTGCAGATAGGTGTATTTATTTTTAAATACAAAATTAAAGCAAATAGGTGTATTTATTTTTAAATACAAAATTAAAGCAGATAGGTGTATCTATTTGTTTTTTTACTAATCTTAGTTTCATTTAAGTAGGGGAAATCTTCACTGAAAGTGATTATATCATTCAAGTTTATTCAGGAATTTTGGAATTCAGGAAACTTTTCATGATAATTATAAATGATAATTATGTTATTTGGTTAATTCATAAATGTTGAATAAACCTTCTGGGTTGAATTACTGAATATTAAAATGAAGTAATATTGGCATATGATTTCTGAAGCATACCAGTGATTCAAATTAAGATTAAAATACTTTTTCTAGAATGCTGTTACTTGAAGAAAAGCAGATTTAAAGAATTATACGGTAGTAGATAAAAATTTTCATAGAAATTTTGGCTGCTGCGAATTTATTTAAAACAACTATCAAAGTGTTTAATGCCCATCATAGATTATTTGTTTTGAATTTAAAAGTGTAATAAAATTAAAATGGGTGGAGACACATGTCTTTGGGCTGTGAAAGGTAAATTAGTAGGAAGGAACATGGTATAAGATAACCCCACTCCCAGTAAAAAGCTGTATTTGATTTCCACTAGTTCACTGATTCTCAAGCTCTGGTCTGTGGACCCATTATACTCTTAAAAGTTATTTGAGATGCCAGAGAGATTTTGTTACGTTGTTATATCTATTGAATTTTTTTTCACTTGAAATTCAAAATGAGAAAGTTTGAATATACAAGCATACATTCTATTAGTCATCAGAATGATGATGTTATCACAGGTCATGTAGTCTCTGAAAAATTCCACTGTTACTAAGAGAATGAGAGTGGAAAAGGCAAATAATGTGTTAGTATTAAATTATTATTAAAATATTTTTGACCTTTGCAGATACTTGGACAGACCACAGGTAAGAATACCTGGACCAAACTCCGAAAATTTTGCTGTAGTTAAAATACTTCCACTTTAAAACTTTGTTTTAAATGGGAGAAGCCTCTAGTTGAAGTGAAAAATAAAGTCTTCAGAATACATATGTTGTATGTGGTAGTTCAGCAAAGTCATCCCTTTTAAATTCAGAATTATTTCCACAGTGAAAGAGAATAGTTTGACTTGTCTTTATTTGCCTGTAGTCTTAAATTGGAAGACCAACATATGAAAAAGGGGAATAAGTAGTGTTGCTTGTGTGTGGGTATGTGTGTGTGTGTGTGTGTGTGTGTGTGTGTGTGTTTATGCCTGTGTGTTTTGGAGGAAGTTATCTGGTCAAGGGGAATTGAACTGAGACTAGAAATTTGTTCTGGTAGCTCATTAAGTTAACATTTGTGGTGGTAATATATGCATTTTACAGCCTGTTTTTCGTCATACATTGTGGTTTACTATACAGCTGTTACTTGTGCCCTATACTCACTAATTAAGAGTTAGTAGAGGCACTATATTTTGAAACATTTTTATATATATACAAGTCTTATGATTTTTTTGAACTTTGGGAAGAGTATATTAAAAGTTAAGCATTTTGTAATGTTTGTTGTGAACACAAACTAGATTTAGACCAAGGGCTTAAATGTAATGGTGAAACTATATAATTTCATGTCCAGTTTTCTTAAAATGTGAGTGTTTGCAGGTTTATGTGTTAGGTACTCTACTTAGGAAGTGAACGTAAATTGCCTTTCTGTATTGAATTACATATTCATTATTTGTGACTTTTTGGCTTTAATTATAAGGCTTTTCTTTTTTATAAACAAAAAATGATTTTGAACTATGAATTATTACTGATTTGTATTTCAACATAGGTTTTTCTTTAGAAAATGAGGCGTATCTATATGTAAATTTCATAGATTACATTATTGAAAAACTATTAGTGTATACATAAAGGATAACTGTCAGTGGCTGAACATTTTATATTGAAATATTTAAGAAAATAGAAAACATTTCATTCCTTAAAACGTTATTTAAATATAGTAAAATTAACAGTTCAATTAGGTTAAGGGTTTGAAGAGGAAAATTATCTTAATTACAGTTGTTTGGTTAGAAGAAATTTTTCAGTCTTTGTTTGTAGAATTATGTCTTGTAAGTATCTCTTAATTTTCTAAGATTTCTCTCAACCCTAGGCAATGATAGGCTAATTCTTAAAAGTGATTATTTCCTTAAGCTAAAGACTCATTTAGAGAGGCTTCTAGGTAAAGATATAACTCTGTAGAATTAGGAAGCAATATGTATTTCTTTTATTTTGGGATTTTGTTTGAAGCACTCATTCCATAAACTGGAGGTGAACCCTCCCACCCTTTTTTTTGGAAAGAAATTGTTCTTCAGTTACAATATGTTGGTGTATTCATGGAAGTATTTTTGACTAGTGATGACTTTATATTTACTTGGGATAGTCATTACACTATCTTTGTCTTGATTTTAGTGTAAACTTTGTTTATCCTTGGATATATCAATTTAGTTGCATTGGATGACATATGTATTTTCAGAAAAAGTAGCCTTGACCAATTACTTTATTGATTGGTCCACATTTGTGGCATGTTTTTCAGAAAGACATATGATGGGTTGGCGCACAGAAATGTCATATTCCAATCACGACATGAGAAATGGTTGGATTGCCTGTCCTACTAGGAGGTATTCTTAAAATTAGTTATCCTGTTATAGCTTATCAATACATATATCTCCCATTAAGAATGAGACATATCTGGATTTCATTGTTATCAGAGTTAAAAATCATAATAGGCATTTATTGGTATGATAGGCATCTATAAAATTTATAGAAATTATCATTCTTGGGATTAATGTGCTGAACTTTTTTGGATTCTAAATTTTTGATGGTTGTCCTAAATGGAAAAATCCTGTCTCTTGGTGGATAGTTATTAATACACATCATTTATACCAATGACTGATATACATTTTCCAGGAATGTTAAAATTTTATCACTCACATTCCATCCAAGAATAAGTGTTATTTGTCCAGTGTTTGTCTTTTTTCTTGAGATTAGACCTATGGTACTGCAATTTAAAACAAACAACTGCCCTAGAAGTTAACCACAGTTCATTTTTGTTGCATTCAACTATATGGCAGTTAGCATAATATTTACTTTTTTTCCCCATTAGAAATGTAGCTGCAAGTGCTGTGTGAGAAAGATGTAAGAATCTTGCAGTATAGATAAGCTGTTGTAAATATATGTAAAAATAAATTTAGTAAAATTACTGACCTAACATCGTTTTGGAATTCAAATGATGCCAACAGTTCTCTATGAAAAAATGATCTGCATTGTTTTTAAAACTTCTTTTTATTATGCATTTTTAAAGCTCTTGAATTCATCTTAGGTTTTTATCACTTAATTCATCTATATACATATGTGTCCCCTCTATCTTAAGACTTGGTAATAGAAAACTGAGCACCAAAGTCCACTGAATTAATAAGTGGCAGGAATAATAAATTCAGAGATCTCTGAGTGTTTTTGTACATTTTCATATGCTCAGAGGCATAAAAAATGCAGTAAGAAGCTATAATTAAAATGCTATAGTAATCACATCATGAATCAATTTGATTTTACAAAATGAAACTTCAGTAGGTCTGTTACTTTTTATTGTGTACATGTATATGTATACTATATTTTATTCTCTGTGATCTAATTATAGACTGCATTTTAAACTACTATTTTAGACTTTAAATATATATATACAGACATATTCTTTAATATTCATTTTATTTTACTATGATCTTTCATTCTAAATCATTTTGAGTCATCAGTTTTTTGGAACTAACAGAACTTTACTCTTACATATATAACACAATTGCATATAGACCTTCATTATATAGATGCAAGGTAATAAAAATATATATCTTTATTTTTTCCTTTTTCTTTGTTACCTTTTTATTTGTGGGTGAATGAGAAAAGCTAAGTGAGTTATTTCATACTAATGAATAATTTTTAGGTCTAGAAGCTGCCCTCCAGGTTTTCTTAAATTGCTACAATAGTGAAATAAAACTATTTCTTCTGTATATAAAACATGGTTAAACTTTCCAGTAGAAAATCTTCATGTGGAGATAAGTAATATAAAAAAGAAGATCTTTTATAGTCATTAGTTTTAAACAGTTATCCAAACAATACCATAGATAATTTGATTCAACCATTTAATTACAACTATTATATTTATTTCTGGAAGCATTTGTTCAACAATTCCAAAAATTGAATATGAGGAAAAAATAATAAATGTTATTTGTTTCTAAATTGGGCCACTTTGAACTAAATATAGAAGTAGAAAAAGTTTGAGTGTCTCTCTGTAGAAAGAATCTTCCATTTTAGATCTTTGACATAGTTGAATATTGAAGGATAGATACATATTTTTTTCCTCGATGCTATATTTTTTAATCAAGTAAATGGAGTTCTTTAGTATCAATGAGTAAAACTTTTGAAAATTATTTTACTTTTTAAGTTTCTAAAAGTTTTCGAGTCAGAGATATAAATACTAATTCATTTGTATAAGCAGTGATTATTCTAAAATGTTAACAAAAATCTTAAGTGAACTGCTGATATATGATTATCTATTTCTGGTTTTTAAAATTTTATAAACTGAAAATTGTAACAAGAATTGTCCGTAAGAATGGACATACTCCTTTTAAACTTTAAGAAATTAATTTTCTGAAGCATTTAAATGTAGGATCTAGATTTGGACATTGAGCTTTATTTACCCATCATTTTAGATGTTCTGGGAAGAAATATCTAATGATTTTTCCATGGCATCTACCCTTTTTTTCAGATTCTCGACTGACATTTTGTCGTGTTATTGTGTCCACGCTATTTAGTTCCTTCTGGAGCCTTCCGAATTTCACATGCACTGCTTCAATCAGCTCCTGCAGAGTGGATAACTTACCTAGGGACCCAGGCATTACTGGACAAGCAGCCAATCATGAACAGGGGCAGGCTGGCCTTTTTTTTTTTTAATTTTAATTTTTATTATTTTTTGCATTTTGAAGTATAGGTATTCATTATAGCAATTTATTGGAAAGTAAAACGCCAGGGAGCTTTTCTGGAAAAATATATCTTTATCTAAAATTGAAGGATTATATAGAAATTAGCCCTCCTGTTTTCTTTTCTTTCCTTATTCAATAACTTTTAGATTGTGATTTAAGTACTTTTCTATATCTATAAACTAGTGTGTCTTTGTTTTTTAGTACATATTTGTGTAATGTAAACTTGCTTGTGTTGATATGAAAACGTAGTTTGAAAACTGTACTATGTATGTACAAAATATACTTTAATGGTATCTTGAGGTAGGGAGATGGGTGGGTGAGAACCTCAGGTTTAATTTGGAAATAGAAGAGAGGGATCTGCCCTAACGCTTTAAACTAGGTGCAGATTGGGAATTTATCCTGTATGTATGTCATAAAGGTATAAAGGTCCAACTCTGCCATTTGTTTAAAAGAAAAACAAACTTGATAGAATCTTGACAGATTTTTAACAATTTTAAATAATTTAAAAAGCTGTTATAAATCAGACTGTTTTTTAAAATAGCAGTAAACATTTGGGGCTTTTTTGTTCAGATATGTACTCATGTTAAAATGAGGTATCCATATTGGCAGCTAGGTAATAGAGGAAAAAGTGTTATACTCTCCTAATACATTAAATGCTGGCACTATATATGAAACTGAAAGTAAATAATATTATTTAAATCAGTGTGCTATACTTTTAATGTGGATATGGAAAAAAGGCTCATTTTAAAAACTGCAAGAATAAATATATTTTAAATGCTGACATGTTAGGTTTTTATTTTTTGTTTTATTTTGAAAATATGTATACACTAAATTAGGTTTTTGATTAATGGTTAAGAATAGTGAATAAACAAACATGGATTTAAAAATTAAATTGAATTAGGAATTATAAGACTTTGATACTTTTATTTAATATTCTGTATGAGGAAGATAGTATATTACTATATCAAAGGATGAACTGTGTTTTGTGTTGATCAAGAACTTTGCTATTAAAAAAAAGATTTATATTTTTTTACAGTTACAACATTGTTTCCCATCTCTCAGACTGAATTTTTGTTGATTTCTCCTTAGCATCATTAGGCAAGTTAGTGGAATTTAATTTTTATAAAGAAAAACTTAGGGCTTTAGATGCTTTCAGTAAAATTTAAAGCCTACTGAAGTTTTGTTTAGATTTTAGTTTAAATCTATGATTGTCTTGATTTATTGATCTTCTTTGACTGGTGGAGTAGAAAGAAATAACTTTCTCTATGCACAGATTTTATACAAAAACGATTTTTCTCAGTGCTTTCTGTTTTATTTAGATGTTTGGAAGCCAAATTCTGTGTGTCTTGTTCACATAGTAGTAAGAAGTAGCAAGAAGACTATAACTTAAATAGACAAAAAGTTATTGTTGGGGCATTGTATATCATATGGAGCTGTACTTTCTAGAATTTCTAGGGTACTTTATGTTTCTTGCTCCCTAAAAAGAAAAACAAATTAGTTATATAATAGTAAATTAAAATTGTATAATATAAGCCCTACATGGGTATTTGTGGCAATTCAGGAGTAATTGCTTTATCATCATTCTGTTCAGAAGTAATTGCATTGCTTTTGGTGACTGTAGCTTACATTTAGAATTCAGTCAGTTGGGTCATATGCCATTTTTATAAATGGAGAATATAATGCCATAAACTGTAAATTTTTGAAGATATATGGATTCTGATTTTGCTGAATATTTTAGGTTTTTTGTTTGTTGTAAAAACTGTATTTCTACCAAAGGAATAGAATGTTAAATGCTTATTCAGTAAGAATTCTAAAGCATGAGTTAAGTTGGAATAAATGACTTAAAATTATTTCTTAATTTGTTATGAATAAACTTTTTTTGAAGTTTATTTCTGAGTTGCTTAATGTTTTTTGTAGTACTGAATGCTAATTTTGAAAGCAATGTTTCAGAAACATTTAAAAAACAATTTTAGCAGTCTTGTATAGATGATCAGTCAGTATGATTCTTAAAATTCTCGTTGAAGGTATCCAAAATTATTTCCCTCTGCACAGAATAAACAGTTAATGTGATGTTTATGCATTGGATTTTTGATGTTTGAGTCTTTAAATTGCCACATAGTCTGAAAATAATTTTATTTTACTGGTAATGCTTTTGGGATATTTATTCCTATATATATGGAGATTGAGCACCATCTCTTGGTCAACCTGAAGTATATTAATTTGCAAATTCAGCAACAATTGTTAATTAAATTCCTTAATTACTGAGGTTCTATATATTACATAATTTTGTCACAATAAGGTCTTATGTCTAAAGACTGTACTTCTCATAAAATTCACCAGAATGCCTTTACTGTTGTAGATTATAAAATGACTCACTTTTATTACCTTTACTGTTTAAGTTTCTAACTTTGCTATATACTACTGAATTATAAGTTTTCCTTTAAAAGAGGTGAATGGTCTTAATCCTGTGTTAAGAATAAACCCTGTTTATTTATGGAGTTATTAAATATGATTATTTGCTTTAAGTGGAGATTATCCAATTGAAGAAGGTTAGGTGATTTATATATTGTTACCTATGCATGCTAGGTTTATTATTTCAGAAAATGATGCTAAATTTAATATTTAAGATAATAAAATACTTTTTATTTTCCTTTAATATCAATTTGAATGAAAAAAGTATATTATCTAATTGAGCAACAATGGAATTAGGTATATTAAAAACAAAAATTACCATTTTTGTTATTAATATGTAATTTTTAGAATTTTGATTTTTGTCATATTGAATGTGTTATTTTGTTTGAAATGGATACTGTCGAAGTATGTATTAGTAAATGAAGTTTTCATTTTAAAAGATATTTTAATGATAGATTTAATACAGATATTAATAAAGCTACTTATTTTCTCAGAGCAAAGCAAAAAAATAAATATGAAATGACATTTCATGGTTTCGAAGATATTAAAAATGTGTGTTCTTTAAGACTAGATATAGAAGGCAACTGGTACTTCTCTCCATTCCTGACATCAAAGTGAGGCTACAGCTGCATCAAAGTCTTAACCCTCATACATTAATAATGTACAGTAAATAAATCAGTGCTTTTGGGTTTTAGGGAGGTTGATTTTTTTATTTTAGGTTGTACTTTCTAAACATAAATCATTCAGTACTTAGTATTAGATGTATTATTAGCAAGAAAATAGTTATAAATAAGGCCGAAAGAAACAAGTTTAAGAAACTAAATTGGCATTTTATATTTCATAACAAAGTCACTGATTTTTTATATGAAAATGAAGACTTGTAGTGTCAGCTGTATTACATTGTTTCAAATCATGAATCATATCCTGATTCCCCTTGACTCCTCTTGCTTTTTCCTTATCCACTTAATGTCATCACTTCTTCCTAGTGTTCTAATCCAGAAACTTGAGATTCAGCCTTGATTCTTCCCTATCTCTTGTCTTTCTCCTAAAAATTTAGTGTCTAAGCTTTGGAAATAACTTTATTCTTTCTTTTCTCCTCACAACTCTCTTATTTCAGTCTTCCTCATCTATTCCAGAGAGCTTATTGTGTAATGTTGACTAATTGAATTACTAATGTTATTGTCTCCAATCTCTTCCCTGTTCCACCCTATTCTTACTAGCACTGAAAGGTTTTTTTTTTTTTTTTTGGTTTTGTTTAATTTTCCTACTAGAACACTTGGCTGGTCATTTTAAAGATTCTTTAATGGCTATCTACTGTGTGCTACACAGTCGAATCTAAATTCCTTAGAATGTCACTCGCTAGAACTTTATAGTCTTGTTCCAGTTGACCTTAAGCCTTACTTTTTTCCTTTCTCTTTCCCTTTCCTACCTTTTGAGACCTGAGGCACAGGCCAAATTTGTGAAGTGTTACTTTAAGAATTAATCATGCTGGTTTGAGCTCTATTAGCAATTGGATTGTATTACTGGAAGATCTCTTATTACTAGAAGGTTTGTTGATTGTGTGTGTGTGTTGATAGTTGTGAACTCTTTGAAAACAGTAACTGATTTGTTTGTTTGATCTGTCAATTTCAAGTCTTAAGGATAGTGCTTGGCAGGCAGGAGTCTGTATAATAATATAGTAAAAAGTATGGACTCTGGAGCAGACCGTCTGGGTTCAATTCTTAGCTCCTCTACTTTGTCTCCTTGAACAATTTACTTAATTCCCTAGCCCTTCAGTAAAATGGGGATTATAACAGTATTTATGTTATAAGAATACTATGAGGATTAAGTGTGTTAATATACATGTAATGTGCTTAGAATATATGAGAATTAAATGCTCAATGTTATTTTTTATATTTAAAAAATATTAAAAATTTACTATATTTCAAAATTTGGAAAAGTATATGAATTTGGGAGAAAGTTCTTAAATATTTTTTCTTGTAGTAAAATATCACAAATTAATGTTAATTGAAAATATTTTCTTGACTGAAAAATATTTTAAAATTTTACTAGGAATCGAATTGTGTAAAGTTTCAGTAAATAATATATCCTTCAGAGTTAAAAAAGTGTACTCTTATATAAATATTTTTTGTTGTTGCTGCATTGTGTTAAAGTAATGTCACTCTAAATAACTACTAACCAAAATGTGTCTTTTTTAGGAATATAAATACTGTTAAGAACAAAAGTAAATTGACACCTTATCTGTAAAAGTAGACTCTTAAATTTAAAAATGAAGACCTAACATAGGTGTTTTTGTTTTAAATATAGGCTGAATGTAGTAACATTAGTAGATGGCTTTAAAGAACAACTGTGGATATGAAGTAAGTCATTCTGTAACAAGGTTTATTGCAGAAATAGACTTGCTTATGACTAATAATGGCTTAGATTTGTATTTTTTTGTTTTTTTAACTTGTTTTTATATTTGTTGTCTTGATGAGTTTTCTTATCACTTCTAGCCAAGTTCAGAGTAAAGACTTACCTTTATGCAGTTTGCTTTCAGTGGTTTATGGAGGAAGAATATGGATGGATACAAATGTCAAGAGAAGAGAGAGAGAGTTAAATTTGATTTCTTCAGTTTGAGATTTTTATTCTTTGCTTGGCATTGTAAGATGAAGTTTAAAAGCCTCTGTTGGGATATAAACTTCTGAACCTAGACAGTTCTCCTCAAAAATTCATAAAAATATTTATAATGATTGAGAATCACTGAATAATGTTAATATTAGCTTAGATGATAAAGCACAAAGTATTTTTTGGGAGCCTACAGCTATTAGGAATTACAAAAAGTATACACTTCAGACAATAAAATAAGAAGAATTCATCCTTTTTTGGGTTAGAGCCTGTATTTTGAACACTACTGTCAGTAAGTGTATATATATATATTTTTTTTTTTCAGTATATATATATATATGTTCTGAATATATATATATTCAGTAAGAATATATATATACCATATATATAGTGTATCTTTTCAAAATACTGTTGATATGTAGTTTTCTTTCTTTGAATGCTTATGTTAGAAATAAGTATAGATTTGACAATCAGTTTTTTTAATATCATGTCTGCTTTGAATTTTTTTATCTTAATGATTGAAATACATTACTTCTCCTTTTTTTTTTTTTTTTTTTTTTTGTGAGACAAGAGTCTCGCTCTGTCTCCCAGGCTGGAGTGCAGTGGTATGATCTCGCCTCACTGCAGCCTCCGCCTCCTGGGTTCAATGGATTCTTGTGCTTCAGCCTCCCAAGTAGCTGGAATTACAGGCATGTGCCACCATGCCTGGCTGATTTTTGTGTTTTTAGTAGAGATGGGGTTTCACCACGTTGGCCAGGTTGGTCTTGAATTTGTGACCTCAAGTGATCAACCCACCTCGGCCTCCCAAAGTAATGGGATTACAGGCATGAACCACCACGCCTGGCCAAAATACATTACTTCTGAGTGAGATCCTCGTTATTAATAATGTTCTTAAATAATTTCTGCAGTGGTAAAATTAATGACTTAACAGCAAATACCTGTTTGCTTTTTATGGTGTTTCATCTTTTGATTATAAAATATACCGTGATTTAGCAAGCAAGTCTGGTTTATTTGGAGAAGTTACTTAAGCATATAATCTTCATTTTAGACTTACAATTTTGAAGCTGTATTTTTGTTTTGGAAATTGTATATGATCCCCTAAAAGTTTTGTGCTCAGAGTCAGGTAGAGACTTAGGGAAATTATAGAGGAAACAGAAGTATTCCAATATTATTTTCTAGGAATAAAATTACACATGTCCCCATATTTGAAAATGTCTTTCACTTAATGGAATTCACAGTTTTCACACTTTGTTTTAGATGTGAAAGCTTTCAGTAGTTTCTTGTGAATAGGCCACTAAAATTAGTGTAAAATATTTCAATTTTCTAAAATAACTTATTAGTATTACAATATTTCACTTTATAATGAGAAATCCTTATTGTAAGATGTAATGATTCCTACCAAGAAATATTTAAAGTATGAGCAATAACCATATTTTCAGACTAATAAGAAACTAATATAGGAATACTGTTTCTATTCAACAAGTTTTTTTTTGTTTTTTTTTTTTTGTTTTTTTTTTGAGACAGAGTCTTGCTCTGTTGCCCAGGCTGGAGTGCAGTGGCGTGATCTCAGCTCACTATAAGCTCCGCCTCCCGGGTTCACGCCATTCTGCCTCAGCCTCCCCAGTAGCTTGGACTACAGGCACCCGCCAGCATGCCCTGCTAATTTTTTGTATTTTTTAGTAGAGATGGGGTTTCACCATGTTAGCTAGGATCTCCTGACCTCGTGATCCACCCGCCTCGTCCTCCCAATGTGCTGGGATTACAGGCGTAAGCCACCACGCCCGGCCTCAACAAGATATTTTTACAGTGTCTAATAAATACTGACACCATGCTAAGTCTTGGTATTTCCCAATTAAATATTATTTAGGAGGAGAAAGACATTAATGGAGAATTAAAATGTGATGTTCTAAGTGCTATGTAATAAGGCATGATTGAAAAGACACTTCGAGCATTGCTTAAGTCTTCTTGGGAGTTCAGAGGTTTTTTGTGAGGTCATGATCCCTCAGCTAGTTTATAAAGATTTGAAGAATATTTCCAGGTGGAAAATAGAAAATAAAGAAGGGATTTTAGGTTGAGGGAGCAGTATATGCAAAGTTCTGGTGGACATTTAGAGAGAAAGATCAGGAAGAACGGACTGTGGACCATGAGGCTGACTAGAGATACAGACTATAAAAGCTTTTGGGGGGCCAGGCATGGTGGCTCATGCCTGTAATCCTAGCACTTTGGGACACTGAGGCAGGTGAATCACCTGAGGTCAGGAGTTCGAGACCAGACTGACTAACATGGAGAAACCCTATCTCTACTAAAAATACAAAATTAGCTGGGCGTGGTGGTGTGTGCCTGTAATCCCAGCTACTTGGGAGGCTGAGGCAGGAGAATTGATTGAACCTGGGAGGTGGAGCTTGCGGTGAGCCAAGATCGCGCCATTGCACTCCAGCCTGGGCAACAAAAGCGAAACTGTCTCCAAAAAAAAAAAAAGCTTTTTCGTTGCTATGTTAACAATTTTGGCTTTTATCCTTTAAGCATTGGGGAGGCATTAAATAATTTTGAATAGAAGAGTAACATCCATTTACATTTTTGAATTATTATTCTGATCATTCTGTAGAGGATGGAGATAGACAAATTAAAGGAATTACTGCAATAGTACAGGAAAGAAATGATGACCACCTGAACTGAGGGCAGTGATAGTGAGAGGAGAGAGGGTATTAAGGAAGTAGAGTCAGCCAGCAAGTCTTGATGATTAATTGTGCATTGGGTTCAGAATGTTTTTTGCAGTACTCAAGACTGACTGCTGGGTTTCTGGCTTAAACTGCTAGTCCTTGACATAGGTATTAATGGAAAGAGGACATAGTTTTGGGAATGGGAGGACTTCAGTAGTAAACATGTCTCATTTGAGATGTCGGAGAACACTTGGTTAGGAATGTCTAGTACGCAGTTGGATGTCTTGAGATCTGGAACTCAGATCATGGTAATTTGGAAGTTAGCATACTGGTCCCAAACTCACTTCATTATTTTCATTTTTTAAGTTTGTTAATATTCCTCTAAGAAAGGGTAAAGAGAATAAGGAGAATTTAGAACTTAGGTTAAAGAACTTTTGGAAAAATAAATGCCTGTGTAGAGCCTATTTCACACTTAAGGCAACTGTTTGAGATTCATTTCTCCTGCCAGTAATTTCAATTCTCTGCTACCAGCTGTCTTGTAGGATCAGTGAAGTTGTTTTAAGGAAAAGCAGAGCACGTGATGACCTGGCTGTTCTGAATACTTACAAACTTAGAGGATGCCTAACTTTTTAGCATGCCTCCAACTCAGCTAGGTGAACTATTTGTAGTTTTTTTGTTGCATGTATCAGTGTTTCTCTCTGTTGGTGTGAGCAGTTGAGAGTTGACAGAATATAATCAATAAGGTGGGTGACAATAATTGTTTTGATATCATTGCCACTCATATCATTTATTTCACAGTTGCAGAAATGGAACTAGTCCAATATTTAATAGCTCAACATTTTATATGTATTGTATAATATACATGAGTGTAGGTTTTGGATGCTATGTTCTTTCCAGGACAATTTAAATCTGTTCTTTAATTATTTTAGATGGCGTTGCATATGTGGTATGAACTTCTTTGTTTCCACTTCTGCAGTTTTAATATTCTGTATATCATGGAAATATTTTTGTTAATTTTTAAATTGTGATGTATATCAACATGCAGAAAACAAGATTAAACATTAGCATTAATTGAATCACCGTATATACTTTAAATTGCTTAATATGCCATCAATTTACAGGATGTAATTCAAACATTATTTGCAATAACAACCCCCAAAATACCAAGGAATAGATCCAACAAAAGATACATAAGACCTTTATGGAAAAAAATTATACAACTTTGTTGAAAGATATAGGATCTAAATAAATGGAGATCAGTGTTATGCTTTTGGATGGGAAAACAGGAATTTCTGTTCTATAGTTTCTATTCTGTAATTTCTGTGATTGAATAGAAAGTCCCCCAAAATTAATCCATTAAGTTCAATACAGTCCCAATCAAAATCCCAAGTAGCATGTTCTTTTTACAATATTTGCCAATCTGATTTGAAATTGACATGGGAAGGAATAGCAAGAAGAGCCAAATAATTTTGAAGAACACTAAAGCTGATTAATCTTACCAAATACCAAGATTTACCATACAGGAATGGTAAATTAAAATAGTGTGATCACGAGACATGGGGTAAAAAAACAACTAATGGAACAGTCTGCCTTTTCAGTCTTGCTTCCTAACTCCTCTTTGTGTACAATGACATGCCAGCCAACCTGAACTATATGTGCTAACATTCACGCCCAGTATTGTGTGCCTTTGCTATTGCCATTCTACAGAATTCTCTTCATCCCTATGGACTCTACTTCACTGAATCTAAGATGTGTTATTAATTTATGTACCACTAAGAAAAAATGTTGCCAGTTAAACTGACACACCATCATTGCCAGATACACCCAGCTTCAGAGATGTTAAAACATGAAAATGTGTCTTAAGATTTGTGGAAGATGGTATTTAAAATGCCAGTGTCTCCACTAAAAATATCCCTTGGTTTCTCTTATCTGAAAGTAGATTCTCTCCCTATGAATCTGCATAGCATTTATTTGTGCGTTTTTGTGAATGTTTTACAGAGTAAAATACACTTGCACAAAGACTTTCCCCTGAATTTTTCATTTTAGAAGGTATCTCCTGCAATAATTTTAATAGGACCAAGAGTTACCAAATATTGAGCACATACTGTAAGTCACATGATAGTTGCTTTAAGGATGTTATCGTGGCTGTTAGGCAACCTTCCAAAGCAATTTCTGTTCTTCAGATTTTTACATAGGAAACTGGAACTTAGATATTAAGAAATTTTCCCCAAAACACAGTTACAGGATTGGAACCCCAGACTGCCTAACTTCAAAGCCATGTCATGTCATGGCAGCATTTGCCTGTTTCCTCTCTGCTTCCCTCTCCTGATTACAGTAAGCTCTTTGAGCATAGACACCATGCATTTTGCATCTTTATAGTCCCCATACCTTCTCATACCATCCCTTGAAACCTAATGAACGGCCAATAATCTGTAGAATGAATAAAAGTAGAGGAGGAGATCAGGGCACTTCTTCAAACTGATACTTCTTTACATATTGGTCTTGGTCCATTGTTTATTTGTGTGTGAGATCAGCACAAAGGAGGTGTAATTGAGGCTGAGCTATTCCTTTAACACCAAATATTAGAACAAAGAATGGATGTAACTTCCTAATTCAAGGAACGTCTTAACATTTTAGAAAAACATTTTTGAATTAAATTTACATATTCATCATAGAAAAGTTGAAAAGTGGAGAAAAAGAAAATTAATAATAACACATTATCAAGCATGTACTATGAACCAGGTACTTCGTGTGTGTTATATCATTTAATTTACAAAACAACATAATCATACAGGTATTGTTATCTGTATTTTGCACGAGAAAGCTGTCGCTAAGAGCTTTCATTTACCCATGATGTCATTACTAGTAAGTAGAGGTGTTCCAGTTTGCTTAACTTCAGAGTCCACACTTCCCTCTTTTTGTTGGTTTTCTGTATTTGAACTTGGTATAAATGGCATCAATAGTGAACATTCTGCAGTTTTCATTTTCTTCCCAACATTTTTTGAGATGTCATCAGCATTGCTTCATGTAGTTTTACTTCATTCAAGTAATTAAAAGTGTTTTTAAAAGTAGTAAGTGTACATAGTTTAAAAAGTCAAAGTTATGTTTAAAGTGAAGAGTAGATACCTCTCTCTCCATTTTTAGTCTTCTCCACAGAGACAGCTGTTTTCAACTTTTTTGTTATTGTATTTTCTCTTTCATTTACCTTTGTATTACCCCCACACAAATTTCTCACTGCCATTTCCTGACTTTTAAATTTTAATTACATAATGCCTTTCTACTATGAAAGAAAATAATTTAGTATTTTTCCTCCCTTCCATCATTTTCTGTTTTTTTCTCTTCCCATCCTTCCAATATATTTATATAACACTATCATTACTGTGTGAACATTTGCAATAGAGCTACATAATGTACTATGTTCGGTTTTCCCTCCTTTTTGTAACTTGTGGTTGTTTACAAGCATACCTCATTTTATTGTGCTTTGCTTTATTATGCTTCTGAGATATTGTATGTTTTACAAATTGAAGATTTGTGGCAACCTTACATCGGGCCAGTCTGTTGGTCCCATTTTTTTCAATAGCATGTGCTAATTTCATGTCTCTGTGTCATATTTTGGTAACTCTCACAACTTTTTTTTTTTTCTAAATGTTACCTTCAGCTTTTTTTGTTGTTGAACTTTTATTTTAGGCTCGGGGTACATGTGCGGTTTGTTATATAGGTAAATTGCATGTTGTGGGGGTTTGCTGTACAGAATATTTTGCCACCCAAGTAATGAGCATAGCGCCTGATACAAGGTAGTTTTTCAATCTTCACCCTTCTCCTCCCTTCCACCCTCAAGTAGGCCCTGGTGTCTGTTCTCTTCTTAATGTTCATATGTACTCAGTGGTTATCTCCCACTTATAAGTGAGAACATGTAGTATTTGGTTTTCTGTTCCTTTGTTTGTTCACTTGGTATAATGGCCTCTACCTCCATCCATGTTGCTGCAAAGGATAGTATCTATTCTTTTTATGACTAGGTAGTATTCCATGGTGTATATGTATCACATTTTCTTTATCTAGTTTACCATCAGTGGGTATTTAGGTTGATTCCATGTCTTTGCTATTGTGAATAGTGCTGTGATGAACTTACATGTCTGTTTGTCTGTAGGGTAGAATGACTTACATTTCTTAGGGTATATACCCAACAATGGGATTGCTGGGTTGAATGATAGTTCTGCTTTGAGTCTTTTGAGAAATCACCACACTGCTTTTCCCAATGGCTGAACTAATTTACATTCCCATCAGTGGTGTAGAAGCATTCCCCTTTGTCTGCAGCCTCACCAACACCTGTTGTTTATTTTTTTTTAAATAATAGTCATTCTGACTGGGCTGAGATGATATCTCATTGTCGTTTTTCTTTGCATTCTCTAATGATTAGTGATGTTGAGCATTTTTCATATACTTGTTGACCATGTATATTTCTTCTTTTGAGAAGTGTCTGTTCATATCCTTTGCCCACTTTTTAATGGGATTGTTTGCTTTTTGCTTGTCGATTTGTTTAAGTTCCTTATAGATTCTGGATATTAGACCTTTGTCAGATGCATAGTTTGCAAATATTTTCTCTCATTTTGTAGACTGTCTGTTTACTCTGTCAGTAGTTTCTTTTGCTGTGTTTAGAAGCTCTTTAATGAGGTCCTATTTGTCAATTTTTGTTTTTGTTGCAATTGCTTTTATCTTTGTCATGAAATCTTTGCCAGGTCCTATGTCCAAAATAGTATTTCTTAGGTTATCTTTCAATATTTTTATAGTTTTAGGTTTTATATTTAAGTCTTTAATTTATCTCGAATTGATTTTTATAGATGGTGTAAGGAAGGGATCCAGTTTCAATCTTCTGCATGTGGCTAACCAGCACCATTTATTGAATAGGGAGTC
Source organism: Homo sapiens (assembly GCF_000001405.40). NCBI lineage: Eukaryota > Metazoa > Chordata > Mammalia > Primates > Hominidae > Homo > Homo sapiens. The sequence goes on along the minus strand of NC_000005.10, from coordinate 108,287,033 downwards.
TTTTTTCCCATTGCTTGTTTTTGTTGACTTTGTTGAAGATTAGATTGTTGTAGGTGTGTGTCATTATTTCTGGGCTCTCTATGCTGTTCCATTTGTCTGTGTGTCTTTTTTCTACCAGTATAATGCTGTTTTGGTTACCATAGCCTTGTAGTATAAAGTCAGGGAACATGGTGCCTCCAGACGTGTTCTTTTTGCTTAGGATTGCTGTGGCTATTCAGGCTCTTTTTTGGTTCCACACCAATTTTAAAATAGTTTTTTTCTAATTCTGTGAATAATGTCGTTGGTAGTTTGATAGGAATAGCATTGAATCTCTAAATTGCTTTTGGCAGTATGGCCATTTTAACAATATTGGTTCTTCCTAACTATGAGCATGGAATGTTTTTCTGTGTCATCTCTGATTTCTTTGAGCAGTGTTTTGTAATTCTTACTGTAGAGATCCTTCACCTCTCTGGTTAGCTGTATTCCTTGGTATTTTATTCTTTTTTGTGGCTACTGTGAATTGGATTGCATTCTTGATTTGGCTCTCAGCTTGGATGTTGTTTGTATATAGGAATGATACTGATTTTTGTACATTGATTTTGTGTCCTGAAACTTTGCTCAAGTTGTTTGTCAGTTCAAGGAGCTTTTGGGCAGATGCTACAGGGTTTTCTAGATATAGAATTATATAGTCTGCAACAGGGATAGTTTTGACTTCATCTTTTTCTATTTGGTTGTCTTTCATTCCTTTTTCTTGCCTAATTGCTTGTCTATGACTTCCAGTACTATGTTGAATATGAGTAGTGAGAGAGGACATCCTGTTCTTGTTCTGGTTTTCCAGGAGAATGCTTCCAGCTTTTGCCCATTCAGTATGATGTTGGCTGTGGGTTTGTCATAGATGGGTCTTATTATTTTGAAGTATGTTTCTTCAATGTCTAGTTTGTTGAGGGTTTTTAACATGAAGGGATGTTGAATTATATTGAAAGCCTTTTCTGCATGTATTGAGATAATCATGTGTTTTTTGTTTTCAGTTGCATTTATAAGAGGAATCACATTTATTGACATGCATGTCGAGCCACTTTTGCATCCCAAGGATAAATAACCTGCTTAATTGTGGTGAATTAGCTTTTTGATAAGCTGCTGGATATGGTTTACTGGTGTTTTCTTGGGGATTTTTGTGTCTATGTTCATCAACGATATTGGCCTGAAGTTTGTTTTTTTTTTATTTTGTTGAGTCACAATTTTTTAAACCTTTCCATTATTATTATATATGTTATGGTTATTGTAAAGTCCACTGTTTGTAGGCCCACTTATAGCATGGTTTACTGAATATTGTAAGCCCACTGTTTACAAAGCCCACTGTTTTCAAGCCCACATGATACCACATCTGTTTAAAGCATGGTTTGCTGAATATTGTAAGCCCGCTTTTGAGACCTATTGCTCAGAAAGAAAAGATTTCTTTCAAAATAATACCACTCATTGACAATGTATGTGGTTACCCATGAACTCTGATGGCATTTACAAGGACATTAATGCCATTTTTATGCCTGTTAACACATCTATTCTGTAGCCTGTGGATTAAGGAGTAATTTAGACTTTCAACTCTTATTGTTTAAGAATAAATGTATATTTTGTAAGGCTATAGCTGCCATAGATAGTGATTCCTCTTTGGCAAAGTAAATTGAAAACCTGGAAAGGATTCACCATTCTAGATGCCATTAAGAACATTCATCATTCATGGGAGGAGGCCAAAATATAAACATTAAACAGAAGCTTGGAGGAAGTTTATTCCAACTCTCTTGAATGACTTTGAGGGGTTCAGTACTTCAGTGGAGGAAGTAACTGTAGATCTGGTAGAAATAGCAAGAGAACTAGAATTAGAAGTGAAGCCTGAAGATGTGACTGAATTGCTGCAGTTGCATGATCAAACTTCTTATGGATATGCAAAGAAAGTGGTTTCTTGAGATGGAATCTACCGGTGAAGATGCTGTGAATATTGTTGAAATGACAACAAAGGATTTAGAATATTATGTAAATTGAGTTCATAAAGCAGTGGCAGGATTTGAGAGGATTTACTTCAATTTTTACTCTGTAGTAGAAAGAAGTTTTGCTGTGGGTAAAATATGATCAAACAGCATCACATGCTACAGAGAAATCTTTCATGAAGAGTTCATTGATACATCAAACACTGTTGTCTTATTTTAAGAAATTAACCACAGCCACCCCAAGCTTCAGCAGCCACTACCCTGATCAATCAGTAGCCATCAACATTGAGGCAAAACTTTATGCCAGCAAAAAGATTACAGCTTACTGAAGGCTCAGATGATCATTTGCATTTTTTAGGACTAAAACATTTGTGTAAATTTATGGGGTACATGTGCAATTTTGTTACACGCATAGGTTGGACAGTAGTAAAGTCAGGGCTTTAAGGGTATCCATCACCCTAATAACCTACATTGTACCTATTAACTAATTTCTCATCATCTTCCCCCCTCCCACTCACTCACTTTTCCAAGTCTTCCTTATCTATTGTTCCACACTCTACATCCATGAGAGCTCATTTTTTAGCATACACTTAGGAATACGAATATGTGACATTTGTCTTTCTGTGCCTGGCTTGTTTTACTTAGGATAATGACGTCCAGTTCCATCCATGTTGCTGCAAAAGACATTTTATTCTTTTTTGTGACTGAGTAGTATTTTGTTATGTGTATATACCACATTTCCTTTATCTGTTGATGGACACTTAGGTTGATTGAATATTTTTTGCTATTGTGAATAATGCAGTAAACATATGAATGCAGATATCTTTTTGATGCAGTAAACTTATGAATGCAGATATCTTTTTTGATTTCTTTTCCTTTGCGTAGATGCCCAGTAGCAGAATTGCTGGATCAAATGGTAAATCTATCTTTAATTCTATGAGAAATCTCCATACTGTTTCCCTAGAGGTTGTACTAATTTACATGCCCACTACAGTGTTTAATGTTCCCTTTTCTCTACATCCTTGCCAACATCTATTATTTTTTGTCTTTTTGATAATAACTATTTTGCCTGGAGTAAGATGACATCTCATCGCAGTTTTGCTTTGCATTTCTCTGATGATTAGCGATGTGGAGTATTGTTTCATATACCTGTTGGCCATTTTTATTTCTTCTTTTGAAAAATATATATTCATTTCTTTTGCTATCTTTTAAATGGGGTTATTTGTAGTCTTTGGTTGTTGGTGAGCTGTTTGAGTTCTTTGTATATTCTGTATATTAGTCCCCTGTTGGATGAATAGTTTGCAAATATTTTCTCCCATTCTGCAGGTTGTTTCTTCAATGTGTTTATTACCCCTTTTGCCATGCAGAACCCTTTTAGTTTAATTAAGTCACATTCATCTCTTTTTGTTTTTGTTGCCTCTGCTTTTGAGGTCTTAATCTAAACTCTTTGCCTAGATCAATGTCCAGAAGAGTTTTCCCTAGGTTTTCTTCTAGTATTTTTATAACTTTGGTTCCTATATTTAAGTCTTTAATCCATCTTGAGTGTATTTTTGTATATGGTGAGAGATTGGGGTCCAGTTTTATCCTTCATATGGCAGTCCAGTTTTTCCAGCACTATTTGTCTTTTTGCCAGTGTTTGTTCTTGTCAACTGTGTCAAAGATCAGTTGAATATAAATATGTGGCTTTATTTCTGGGTTCTGTATTCTGTTCCATTGATCTATGTGTCTGTTTTTATACCAGTACCATGCTGTTTTGGTTACTGTAATTTGTTATCAGCTTACGTGATGTGAGCTTTGTTCTTTTATAACAAAATTATAATATAATTTGATATCAGCTAATGTGATGACTCTAGCTTTGTGCTTTTTGTTCAAGATTGCTTTGGCTATTTGAGTTCTTTTTTGGTTCCATACAATTTTTAGGATTTTTTTTGTACTTGTGTAAAAAATGACATTGGTAATTTGATAGGGATTGCATTGAAACTATAGATTGTTTTAGGCAGTGTGGGCCATTTAATGATATTAATTCATTTGATCTGTGAGCATGGGCTGTTTTCTCATTTTTGTCATCTATAATACAGTTTCTTTCATTAGAGTTTTGTAATTTTCCTTGCAGAGATTTTTCACTTCCTAAGTTAAATGTTCCTAGGTTTTTTTTTTTTGTTGCTATTATAAAAGGGATTGCCAACTTGATTTCTTTTTCAGTTAGATCATTGTTGATATATAGAAGCACTACTGGTTTTTGTATGTTGATTTTGTATCCTGCAACTTCAGTTAATTTAGTTATGTAAGAGTTTTTTTTAATAGAGTCTTTAAATTTTTTTAGATATAAGATTATATCTTAGCAAACAGGGATAATTTGACTTCTTTTCCAGTTTGGATCCTTTTACTTATTTCTTTTGCCAGATTGCTCTAGCTAAGACTTTCAGTACTGTGTTAAATAGGAATAGTAAAGTGGGTATCCTTGCTTTGTTCCAGTTATTAGAGGAAATGCTTTAAATACTCATCATTTAGTATTATGTTAGCTGTGGTTTTGTCGTATATAGCCTTTATTACTTTGAGGTGTGTTTCTTCTCTGTCTGTTTTGTTAGGGTTTTTATCATGAAGGGATGCTTAATTTTATCAAATGCTTTTTCTGCATCTAATGAGATGATCATATGGTTTTTGTCCTTGATCCTGTTTATATGATACATCACATTTATTGATTTGCAAATGTTGAACCATCCTTGCATACCTGATACATTCAACCCACTTGATCATGGTATATTTTTTGGATGTTCAGTTGGATTTGGTTTGCTAGTATGTTGAGGATTTTTGTGTCTGTGTTAAACAAAGATATTAGTCAGTAGTTTTCTTGTTATGTTGTGTCTTTCATTTTTGGTATCAGGATGATACTGGATTCATATAGTGAGTTTGGGAGAATTCCATCCTCCTCAATTTTTTGAAACAGTTTTAGGAGGATTGTAGTTAGTTCTTTGTACCTTTGGGATAATTTGGCTGTGAATCCATCTGGTCCTGAGTCTTTCTTTTTTGGGGAGTTTTTTATTATTAATATTACTGACTCAGTCTTTTTATTACTGACTCATTATTAGTTTGTTCAGGTTTTCTATTTTTTCCTGATGCAACCTTGGGAGGCTATATGTTTCCAAGCATTTATCCATTTCCTCTGGGTTTTCTAGTTTGTGAGCATATAAGTGTATGATGATCTTTTGTATTTCTATGGTTATAAGTTGTAATTTCTCCTTTTTCATTTCTGATGTTGTGTCTTCTTTCTTCTTTGAATAGTCTGTGTAGCTATTTATCAATTTTGTTTGTCTTTTTGAAAAACCAACTTTTTGTTTTGTTGATCCTTTGTATTTTTTAAAGTCTCTGTTACATTTAGTTCTGCTCTGATCGTTGTTATTTTGTTTCTTCTGCTAATTTGGGGTTTATTTTATTCTTGCTTTTATGGTTTCTGGAGATGTATTGTTATACTGGCAATTTGTAATCTTTCTTCTTTTTTGATCTAGGCATTTAATGCAATAAACCTCCCTCTCAGTACTACTTTTCCTGTATCCCACAGGTTTTGTTATATTGTATTTCTGTTTTCATTTATTTCAAAAAATTTTAATTTCCATCTTAATTTCTTCATTGACCCAGTGTTCATTCAGGAGTATGTTGTGTAATTTCCATGTATTTGTAAAATTTCCAGAGTCCCTCTTGGTATTGATTTGACCTTTGGTATTGATTTTCTAGTTTTATTCTACTGTGGCCTGAGAAGATACTTGATATTATTTTGATTTTTAAAAATGTGCCAAGACTTGTTTTGTGGCTTAACATATGGTCTATCTAGGAGAATGTTCAGTGTGTTGATGAAAAGAATGTATATTCTGCAGTTGGGCAGAATGTTATGTAAATTCTGTTAGGTCCATTTGGTCTAAAGTCCAGTTTAAGTCCAGCCTTTATCATTTTTTTGTACTGATTATCTGTTTTAATACTGTGAGTAGGGTGTTGAATTCCTCCACTATTATTGTATTGCTATCTGTCTCTCTCTTTAGGTCTAGTAATATTTGTTTTATGACTCTGGGTGCTCCACTGTTGGGAGCATATATATATTTAGAATTGTTATATCCTTGCACTGAATTGATTCCTTTATTATTATATCCCCCCTCTCTCTTTCTCTTTTTACTGTTTTTAACTTAATGTCTGTTTTATCTAATATGAGTATAGCTACTACTGCTTGCTTTTGATTTACGTTTGTGTGGAATATCTCTTTTTACCCCTTTATTTTTAGTTTTTATGTGTCTTTATAGGTAAGGTCAGTTTCTTGTGATCAGCATATAGTTGGATCATGTTTTTTTTTTAATTCATTCTGCCAATGTATAGCTTTTAATTGGAGCATTTAATCTATTTACATTCAAGGTAAACACTAATATGTGAGGTTTTAGTCCTGTCATGTTGTAATTGTTTTCTAAATTCTTTGTTTTTTTTTCTGTATTTGTTATTGTAGTTTGGTAGTATTCTGTTTTGGTGACATTTCTTTCCCTTTCTCCTTTGTGTGATTACTTTGCCAATGAGTTTTATACTGTCATGTGTTTTTATGATGGTTAATGTTGTCCTTTTGCTTCCAAGTTTAGGACTCCCTTGAGCATTTCTTGTAAAACCAGTCTAATAGCAATGACTCCCCTCAATATTTGCTTGTTTGGGAAAGACTTTATTTTGTCTTCCTTTATGAAGATTAATCTTGCTGGCAATGTTTTTCTTTAGCACATTCAATATATCATCTCATTTTCTTCTGGTCTGTAAGGTTTCTGCTGAGAAGTCAGCTGTTAATCTGATGTAATTTCCTTTATAGGTGAATAGGTGCTTTTTTTCTTTCTGTTTTCAGAATTTGCTGTTTTTACTTTGACTTTAGATAGCCTGATATAATGTTCTATGGCAAAGTCATTTTTGCATAGTATTTGCCTGGGGATCTCTGAGCCTCCTGTATCTGGTTGTCTAAATCTCATGCTAAACTTGGGAAGTTTTCAATTATTACTTCATTAAATAGGTTTTCTAAACTTTTTGATCTCTCTTTTTCCTTAGGTATTCCAATAATTCATAAGTTCAGTTGCTTCACATTGTCCCAAATGTCTTGAAGGCTTAGATTATTCTTTTTTAATTTTTTTCTTTGTTTTTATTTGACTGGATTATTTCAAAAGAGTTGTCTTCAAGTTCTAAAATTCTTTCTTCTGTTTGGACTAGTCTTTTTTTAAAATTTTTTGAATATATTTTGTATTTCCTTCATTGAATTCCTTAGTCCAGAATTTGCTTTTTTCCCCCAAAGATATTTATCTCGTTGGTAAATTTTTCATTAATATTCTTAATTATTTTTCTGTGTTCTTTGTATTTGTTTTCAGATTCCTCTTGCATCTTGTTGAGGTTCTTTAAAATAAATACTTAACATTCTTTATCTGGGTTTTGAGAATTTCTTTTTGGTTAAGATCTATTGGTAGAGAATTATTGTGCTTCTTTAGGGGTGTCATATTACTTTTTTTTTTTTTCCTGAAGATGTGACTATGATGTTGGTTGAGTAGGGCCCTTTGGTTTTGTTTCTGGGTGCATGCAGCACTGAAGTCTGTGTGTGATTGTGAATATTATTATTTTAGCTAAATAGCATTACTGGTATCCGTGGTTTCCTCAGTTTGTTAGGGTGCTGTTGTTTTTTGGAGGCTGTGATGAAGTTGTGCTGGGGTCTGGGATGCTGGGTGGCCTGGTCTTCAAGTTTTAGTGGTGATGGTGGTGGACTAAGCATGCCTTTTGTTCCCAGGGCTTTGAACACTGGCAACTGTGTTAGTGATTCCAGGCATGCTGATTCTTGGGCCTCTAGGTGTCTTTCTTGAATGTTGGTTGTAATAGCAGTTTACTGGCCAGGTGAAGCAGCTCACGAGTCTCTGAGTTGGCTGACATGGCATTGTTGATGGCAGTAACAGTGTTGAGATGCTTTTCTGGGTTCCAAATGCTGTGTGCTTGTGTTGGCAGTGGTTGAAATGTGCAGGCTGGCTTCCAGGCCAGCAGGTGGTGCTTACAGGTAAGAGCCAGAAGCAGCAGGGTGTTTATGTCCAACCTTAGTCTCTCAAGAGGAGTGCTTCAATGTACCAGGTGGTGGATTGGGTTTGTAACCTTTAGGACCCTGGATCTCTTACCCTGTCTTGTCAAAGGAGGTTGGGCAAAGCCAGGCACATCTGGACTGGTCAAGCTTGCACTCAGGACCCCCAGTGGCAAGTGCATGCACCAGCTGTGATGGGGAGGCCATGCAGTTCTCAGGCCCCTGGCAGAATGCTTGGGTGAGTGGTGGCTACTGCAGCATTGAGGTCCAGCCACAGGGAGGGTGGGGTCAAACCTAGTGGCCAAGGCCTTGAGTCCCACTTATACCCCAGTTCTGGTGGGGCTCATTCCATTTTCCCTGCTGTTGCAGCTGACCTGGCTGTTCTATCAGACCTGGCAGTTTGTGCCTGGCCTGCAACTCAGTCCTGGGCCATTGGAGCCCCTGCCAAGCTCAAGATCAAGCCTCTGTGGCAACTCTCCTCCTGCCTAAGTCCCAGAGACAGTGCCTGCTTCTAGCACTGGGGGCTGCAGCCCATGTTACACTTTTCTTCTCAGTCCTGTTTGCAGGAGTCCACCCCTGACTTGTGCCTCTGTTCTGCATGCAGCAGCCCGAGTTTCTCTAACACCTAGGACTGGTGCAGCGGGTTCCTAGGACTGCACACAGCCTTTTAAGAGCTAAGATTGAGAATAGCATCTTACTGTTTCTTAGGTTTCAGAAAGGGTGTGGAACCCAGGATGTGTTCTTTCCCTGAAGTAGTTCCTTTTCACAGTCTTCTAGCCACTCTGTAAGTTAGATTTGGGGGTTGGAGGGTCAGGGCGTTCTCTGGTGGCCCGGATTGTATAATTCCCTTGTGGGAAAGTGGACCTCAATAGGACCCTCACTTACCCTCTCCCATACTGGGGATAACTCCCAATTCCTGGCTGGTCCCAGCCAAGCAGGCTGCCTTTTCTCCTTTTCCTTCCTAGTTTGCAGTGTTTCCTTTTGCTTTTCTGTTGAACTCGTGTTCCCTCTTAGGCATGTATTCACAGTGTGATTGTCTACACATGATTTGGGTCTTCTAAGCAAATGAGGCATGCTTGAAATGCTTCTAGTCAACTATCTTGAAAGAAAAGTATTTTTAGTTAAGGTATATACATTTTTTAAGACATGATAGTATTTCACACTTAATAGAATACAGTGTAGTATAAACACACCTTTTATATGCACTGGAAACCAAAAATTCATGTGACTTGCTTTTATTCACTTTATTGTGGTGGTCTGGAACTGAACCTGCAATATCTCTGAGGTATTCCTTTGTTTTTTAGGGGAAGTTAATGACTTAAACCCCCATTTGCTTAATTTTCTTTGTACCAATTACTGCTTCTTGCTTCAGACTGAGAGAACTCTAAGCTCTTTTCAGAATGACCAAATAAATTAGTGTTTGGCTTTTTGTTTGTTTGTTTTTACAGACATTCCTCCTGAAACCTTCAACCCTCCTGCTTCAATTTATGTTTCTTTTGTCTCTTTTGTGTATTAGATTTCTGGTTTTCTTGGTTCTATATTTTCCTTTTACTTGTTTTACTCTTCAATTTTAATTTTTTCAGTAGTTTCTTGAAAAGGAATGCATGGAGGTTACATTTTTTCCCCCAGAAAGTTTAATAAGTTGATAAGAAGTTAATTCTTTCATAAATCCAATACACTCTCATTTTAAAAAATAATAACAATAAAATCAGATTATTTTCTCTTGGTTCACGAGTTTGGGAGGAGAAATATGGTGAACTGCTAGCTTGTTGAAAAATTTCCCCTCCAGTTCAGTGCTATCAAATATATCAGGTTAGTTGAGTTTAACAAATGATAAAAATGCAGATTTAGAGAAGACATAGTTAACATAACTCTATATAAAAGAGGCAATGTCAGTTGTAAAGCAGTGTCATGATTCTGTTTTCATTGATAGAATGGCATTTATTTTAAGTAATTTTTGGTTTAAATGGAAACATCTAAATTGTAGTGTTTAAAGGCAATTATAATCTACTTCTCACATAAAGATGTCTGAAGTACAATCTAAATATAGATTAAATGAAAAAAAAAAGTCCTCTAATTGCCTAGAGAAAAAATTAGCCAGGGTATGCATTGGCTTATGTTTTATGGTTTTTAAATGGAAATTTTCTGTTTCTGACATTGTAGAGAAGGCTTTTTACATAAATAACCACCCATACATCATTTCAAAATGTCTAAGGGCTTGAATAATAATTTTTTTTCTTGAGTGGTCTTCAAATGACATCTCAGTCATTAACTACTTTAGGATAAAAGCATTTTGCTAATATTGAGCTTCACTCAAAATTCTTAACTTGTTTGGATTGGCATATGCTGTTTATAGTGTTGTATTTGACTTGTTTGTTAGACGTCTTTTTTTCTCCTTAGTAAGAAATTTTACTGCTAGGTAGCTTGTCAGAGATCATTATAAATAGAAGGATAAAAATCCTGGTGGTAGATTGCAGTGTTTTATACTGAGCAGCATTATTGATCCATAAAGACTTACAATATATTATTCTAAGGTTGTCATTGCTAAAAGGACTGAATAAGGATTAAGAAACTATGTTGACAGAAGTCATCACTTTATTGACAGGCAATTTAGTTTGCAGTAACTGAAGCAAGGAAAAATGCAATCAATCATCACAGCAAGGATTTTCACAAATGTTTACCAGTCTATAATGAATGTTGTGTAGATCATCAAGGTCATTTGATAGTTTCTCTGAAAGTAATGTTTTCATATTCTAACAAAGCAATTAAAGGATTTAAAATAAACTGCTATGTCAATTTCTTAAAGTTCTGTAGTACAGTGAAGGAGTGAAATATGAAGGATTAAAAAGTTAAGAAACATTAAAATAAATCCAGCTAATTAATTAAGCATTTTGTTTCGTACTTGGAGTTAGACATGTTATTTTTCCTCCAGTTATAATTTAATATTGGATTACATTTACTTTCTTTCTTTTTATTGTTTTCAACTTTTAATGCAGTGTTAAAAATTTTATGCATAATGTCTCTTCAAATTGTTTTCTCCTGGTTATGTTGAAGGGTAAATCTATATGCAATGTACAAATTCTCTCCTGCCAACATTCCTCATCCACATTGATTCTGTGATAGTAAATGGGTTGGAATTAGGAGATTAGAGCCAGCAAAGAAAGTTAGGTTATGTGTTGTTCATTAAGCACAGCTGAGGCTGCTTCTGGAATCCATGCTTGAGCAAGCTCTAGAGTTAGAGTTCAAATTCAGGCTCTGTCCATTGCTTAGTGGAAGATTTAGTCAAGAGACTTAAGTCTCTCTTTGTCTGCATTTCCCTATCTGCAAAATTTGAATAATATGTTGCTCATGTGATGTTGGGAAGATATATTTCTATATCCCAACTATTCAAGAACTATTTATATAGTTCTTGACACAGGTAGCACTTCATTGATATTAGTTCCTGTTCACCATCACTTCTGTCTGATAGCAAAGATAGTAAAACATTTGACCTATTTAGTGGCAATAGAAGTAGGCAGAAGGGAGTCATGGTTACTATTTTACATTCTATGGAAACATATTCAGGGTAAGTCATAGCATGCTTAGCATAGACCAGGCCACTTAGAAGGTGACAATTGTGGCATTTTTTTAAATTGCTTTAGTAATTTCATACACTGGTTTGACTTTAAATATTTTGTTAAAAACCCCTCCAAAACAATAAACAAAACAAAAAATCTTAACTAGCTCTTTGACCAACTTTTCTGTTGGAGTCTTGTGTCGTAGGCAGTGCCTTAGTCAACCAGACTCTCATTGCAGTCTTAGGGTGAAAGAAGTGTCCTTATCCTCTACTTTATAAGTTGCACATTTGCATTTTATTCAGCATTCATTATAAGTAATCTTATAGGTCATTAAGTGAGATTAAATATGTGTGTATAAATTGAATTCTGAGTTAGTTATTTGTGGATGAGCATTCATTCTGGTAAGGAACTCTGTTTTGGAGGATTACAAAGACTTGGGGTTTAATTCTGTCTTGGTCACTTCCTTTTTGTGGACCTGAGTAGTTAACCTCTCTGCTCTCCAGTTTCCTTATATGTATAATTAGGATAATAATAGTAATAATTGTACTTACACTTGGGGTTCTGTTTTTAAATATTGTAATAAATGTAAAAGTTGTAACATACAAAATCCTTAATGTTATTTGTTGCGGGAAGTCAGGGACCCCAAATGGAGGGACCAGCTGAAGCCATGGCAGAAGAACGTGGATTGTGAAGATTTCATGGACATTTATTAGTTCCCCAAATTAATACTTTTATACTTATGCCTGTCTTTACTACAATCTCTAAACATAAATTGTAAAGATTTCATGGACACTTATCACTTCCCCAGTCAATACCCTTGTGATTTCCTATGCCTGTCTTTAATCTCTTAATCCTTTCAGCTGAGGAGGATGTATATCACCTCAGGACCCTGTAATAATTGCATTAACTGCACAAATTGTACAGCATGTGTGTTTGAGTAATATGAAATTTGGGCACCTTGAAAAAAGAACAGGATAACAGCAACGTTCAGGAAACAAGAGAGATAACCTTAAACTCTCACCGCTGGTGAGCTGGGTGGAACAGAGCCATATTTCTCTTCTTTCAAAAGCAAATGGGAGAAATATCACTGAATTCTTTTTCTCAGCATGGAACATCCCTGAGAAAGAGAATGCGCACCTGGGGGTAGGTCTCTAAACTGGCCCCCCCGGGCGTGGTCGTCTCTTATGGTCGAGACTGCAGAGGTGAGATAGACTCCAGTCTCCCGTAGCACGCCCAGGCTTATTAGGAAGAGGAAATTCACACCTAATAAATTTTGGTCAGACCAGTTGATCTCAAAAACCCTGTCTCCTGATAAGATGTTATCAATGACAATGATGCCCGAAACTTCATTAGCAATTTTAATTTCTTTTTTTATAAGTCTTTAATTATTTTTCATTCTTTCTTATAGATATTAGACATTTTTGTTTTCTCACATTTCCTGAATCACTTTTTTATCATTTAAGAAATTCCTGTAAAAGTAACATTTTCATCAAGGTTCTTGTATTCATTAGCCTAGATTTTTACATAATAGTTTTTACTACTTTTTAATGATCACTGTATCTGTTGAAATATAGCTTTTCATTCTAATGCTATATATCCATGGGTTTGCTACATTGTTCTTAATGAAAACAGCAAGCTATGTGTCTATTTAATTCATTATACTCTTTATTATTCCACAGAATCATCTCTTCAACTTATTTTTCAAATGTCCTTTCTGCATATATCAAATCAACTAATTTTGGTATTTTTTCTTTCTCTGATGCTCTTAGGCTTGTGTTATTTCATAGAAGTGAAAATCTTAGATTAGTGACATTTATTTTTGTTAATGAATAATAAAAGCATTTAGGGCTGTACATTTGCCTCTGAGCATAGCTTTGGAAATATTGTACAAATTTTGATAAAAAGAATTTTTATGGTAGCTGCATAGTAACTGAATAGTTTCTCCCTCATTTATCCAAGAGTTATTCATAATAAATATTGCATTTTTTTTCTGCATTTGTTTTGTTCTTTAAACTTTTATGTATACTTTCCAGTAATAGGCCTCAGTGGCATTGAGGCCAGAGAGACTTTTTTGTTCATTTTCCTTTTATTATTATTATTATTTTTATTATTATTATACTTTAAGTTTTAGGGTACATGTGCACAATGTGCAGGTTAGTTACATATGTATACATGTGCCATGCTGGTGTGCTGCACCCATTAACTCGTCGTTTAGCATTAGGTATATCTCCTAATGCTATCCCGCCTCGGTCCTATGGTCCTGTGATCTCGCCCTGCCTCCACTTGCCTTGTGATATTCTTTTACCTTGTAAAGTACTTGATGTCTGTGACCCACACCTATTTGCGCACTCCCTCCCCTTTTGAAACTCCCTAATAAAAACTTGCCGGTTTTTGTGGCTTGTGGGCATCACGGAACCTACCGACATGTGATGTCTCCCCCGGATGCCCAGCTTTAAAATTTATCTCTTTTGTACTCTGTCCCTTTATTTCTCAAGCTGGCCGACACTTAGGGAAAATAGAAAAGAACCTACGTGAATATCGGGGCAGGTTCGCTGATAGTTATTAACTATGGTTATGTTTTTCATACCATACTCTGCATAGAGTATTTTTATATACATACACACATAAATAATTCATTTTGCTGTAGCTGTATTCATGATGTGACCTTTACAATTAGGACACTAGTCATATATATAATAGGTTTCTGATGACAATAATATTGATTTTATCCTAAGTTAAATGAGAAACCGTTTTATTGGGAAAATGCGGGATCATTTATTATAGAAATTGTAGCTAATGGCCGGGTGTGGTAGCTTATGCCTGTAATCCCAGCACTTTGGGAGACCGAGGTGGATTGATCACTTGAGGCCAGGAGTTTGAGATAAGCTTGGCCAACATGGTGAAACCTGTCTCTACTAAAAACATAAAATTTTAGCCAGGCATGGTAGCACATGCCTGTAGTCCCAGCTACTTGGGAGGCTGAGGCACAAGAATCACTTGAACCTGGAAGGTGGTGGCTACAGTGAGCCGAGATTGTGCCACTGCAATCCAGCCTGGGCAACAGAGTGAGACCCTGTCTCAAAAAAAAAAAAAAATTATAGCTAACGTTTGTTGGTTGCTTTTCTTTATTTTTTAATTTTTATTTATTTATTTATTTTTTTTGGAGATGGAGTCTTGCTGTCGCCCAGGTTGGAGTGCGGTGGCGCGATCTCGGGTCACTGCAAGCTCCGCCTCCTGGGTTCATGCCATTCTCCTGCCTCAGCCTCCTGAGTAGCTGGGACTACAAGTGCCCACCACAACACGCGGCTAATTTGTTTGTATTTTTAGTAGAGATGGGGTTTCACCGTGTTAGCCAGGATGGTCTCGATCTCATGACCTCGTGATCCTCCCATCTCGGCCTCCCAAAGTGCTGGGATTACAGGCGTGAGCCACTGCACCCGGCCGTTGGTTGCTTTTTATGTGCCACACATTGTACCAGTGTATTAGCTCATTTAGTCTTCATTACCACCCTATAAGGCCCATTTTAGGGCCTGTTGCCCTGGTAATAGCCTCATTTTATAGATGAAGAAACTGAAGCACAGAGAGGTTAATTTGCTGAAGGTCACATAAGGGAGCCAGAAATTCCTGTTTTGGAGATCTTTCAAGAATTCTTAACGCTTCCTCCCTAGTTCTATCACTAAATACTTGGAAGGATTTTTCCAACTAGATGAAAGCAATGAATGAACATTAAGATGTTACAAATAGATACATAGAGAAATCTTGCATTTATATCTTTCTGAGCATGTTGCTTCAGGTGTTGTTTTATAGTTTATTATCTGTTGGCAGGTATTTCCCAACTCATAAACATGTATTAATCCACCAGTATGTTCTCAAGAAGTTGACTGTATTGGTAGTTTTCTTCATGGTAGCTGCCCATCCTTGATAATGTGTGTTTGTAGGACCTTCCTACTGTTTTCTCCAGAGTTTGAGTCTGTATTGTAATGAATAAAGAGATTGCTTATGGTTTTGCCGGGTGTCAGGAATTCACCAGCTATCTTAACCTGGTTTGTTCTGTGTGTGTATATTCTGGTGCCTCCTCTAGCTTGTAGCATTCTTATCACAATCAAACAGATGTTGGGCTGAGAGTTGGGGGAGGATAAGAAGCTGCCACACATAAATATGATTTGGACATTTGTTGGATTAATAGAGAAGATAGGCCTTCTTTAATAGACTGGAAGAGGAAGGGAGCTCCAGTTTTCATGGTTTATTTCACTGGAGGAATTGAGACCATCATGTATTATGATTTCTACTGTGATTTGATTAGGTATAGGTACCTAATTTTCATTAATCATATTCTCTTCTGTTGCTATTTCTTTTTTTTTTTTGCATTGTCTTTATTTACTAAATCATTTGTCTTCATCATTTCCACTGCTCTATTGGATGTAATTATTGGGAAAGGAGGTGAATTGCATGCTTACACAGGGAGGTAGGGAATGTGGAGAAGGAGAGGGGGAAAGGGGGAGAGATGAATGTTTACCATGAATAAATGGACTTTTGGAGGAGAATTTCAGCAGTCTGTTAGTCTTTATGTGTATGTGGTTTTCCCCCCTCCTCATAATAGTAAAAAGGGTTCAGGAGAAATAATTTAAAACTGTCAACTCTTCAATTATTTCAACATAATAATTTAAAACTGTTAACATAACTGTCCCCCTTCTCATAATAGTAAAAAGGAGAAATAATTTAAAACTGTCAGCTGTTCAATTATTTCAACATAATAATTTAAAACTGTTAACATAACTGTTAACGTACTTGAAACAAACATCATACTGAGAAAGAAAATCTTAAATGTCACTTATCCTCAAAGTTTATGGCTAATGGATGCTCTGTTTCTTTGGTTTTACTAGACAAATTTCCTTGAGAACATGTTTTTTTTTTTTATTAACCTAAGAGTCACCTCCTTTTCATTACAATTGTTGCTAAATATGTGATTTATGTATTTATAAATAAATATATGATGTATAAATTATATTTAATTATAAATATAATTAAAATATGATTCATATAGTTATAAATAAATATGTGATTTAACTGCATCATAAATATATGATTTAGGTGCATTTCATTTAGATACATGTATGGAGGAAACAGCCTTTCTCAACCTATGAGTGGAATGGATTGTAGGGGAGATCGCCTTCACTTTTTTGTAGGGTATCCACAGACACTGAGAGTTTCTCAGTATTTAAGACTCCTTTTCCATTAAGAGTTTCTACGGTTTTCTTATAATCTAATTTTTTATATGGCAACATACCTGGCATGTGTACTTTTTACCTCTCCTGGGTGCTTTTAGATGCTGGAGATTGTTTACTTCTTTAGTATCTTTAATCTACATATTTGAAATCTTAGTTTCAAAATTGTTGAGAAGACCTTTTAGCTTTGATACTTGGTTTGGCTGCTTTTTGTTTTGTTTTGTTTTCTGGTTCTGCTGGGACCTACCTAATCTCCATTGAGGGGATATAGCCACATTCCTGTACCTTGATATTTGTAGCAACAGTAGTAGAGGGAAATGTATTTTAGGGCAGTACCTAGGTTTTATTCAGTGTTTCAAGTAGTAAAGTAACTTGATTAAAAAAGAGAAAACAAACCCTCGTCTAAAAGATTTCAGCAAATTTTCTTTATTATTGAATAGCTTTTTTGTGGTGGCACTGTCTTAGGTACTATGGATTCCAAGACAAATAATACATGGTTCTCTTCTTTGGAAGACCTTACAATCTGTCTAGGTGATATATTGTTGGAAGGAAGGTGGTGGAAGAGGGGCATAGAGGGTGAGGGAGGAGATCCAGTACCCATATTTTAATCTTCTTGCCTTCAGATTTCTCCAGGTCTAGAGAATGAAGATTGTTCTTTTGTGCACCAGTTTTATGATCATGTGGAAAAAATAAATAAAAATTGAGGAATTTACAGATTTTTTCATCTGTATCCAATATAACCAAATTTGATGGCATTAGTTATTGTGTATATTCTTCCCACTAAGTTCTTGAGGTTATACCTTTCTTGGGTTACCCTTAGAGATAATGGTGTCAGTACTGTTGCTGTGATCATGGATGTCATCTAAAACTAAAGATTGAACGCTTGCATAACAGTGTAAGGAAATAATTAAAGAACTTAAGAGCATGCCACCTCAAAATACGCCACTTTGAGTGGCATATTGATTATTTTGAGGTGAAGTCACTTGAAAAACAGTAGGTTCAAGAAGATCACTCTTACCTTCCTCCTACTCCTTAAAAGCACAAGATGGAATTCCTATGTGAAAGAGGTCCTCCCGATATGAAGGAAAGTAACATTCTTAGCAAGGATGGGAAATTGAAGCTGAGGGGAATTTGTACAAACAACCTTATGAAACCAACCTTTATCTTCCTGGTCACTTCTCTGCCTAAAATAACCACCCTAACTGAAGTCCCTTTGCTTTGTTATATTTTCATAATTTACTACTCTTTGTCTACCTCATTATATGAATATTCAACTCTAATTGAGTCTTTGGGTCTTCATTTCTTTATGAAGGCTCTTGTGGCACATAAAACTTGTATTAAATAGATGTGTAAGCTTTTCTCCTGTGGATCTCACTTCAATTTAATTCTCAGGACCAGCTTAAAAACTCTAAGATGGTAGTGGTACAATTCTACCTCCCCTGAAGAATACATTCCAAGGTAATTCATATAGTCCATTTTAAAGTCCCTTAATTAAAAACCTATAAAAAGAGGATATGTAGTAACTGATATCAACCTCTTTTGAGTAGTATGTAAATATCTTTAAAGAAAATGCGTTTCTTTCCTTGCCATTTTTTTTTCAGTTTGAATTCTACCTTTTTAGTTTGATACTTAAAAATACATTCAACATAGTTCTGATTGAACAGTTTATCAGGGAAGGAGTGAGGAATCA
This sequence comes from Homo sapiens, assembly GCF_000001405.40. Taxonomy (NCBI): domain Eukaryota; kingdom Metazoa; phylum Chordata; class Mammalia; order Primates; family Hominidae; genus Homo; species Homo sapiens. The sequence goes on along the minus strand of NC_000005.10, from coordinate 108,268,536 downwards.
GGTGTTCTGCAATGACTGAAGTATTGTGCCAAGTGACTGATGCATCTCAGAAGAAAAACATGAGAATTTATATAACCTAAAGTTCTGGTCCTTTTCTGATAACGTTGAACCAGAGCCGTTTCATAGTTACAGATTTGCCTTTAAATCTTATACTTTGAGATAAAATGCTTCGAAAGTAAAAAGAGGAGTGTTAGGTGAAGTTAAGTATAAAAGCCACAGCACATATGCATGCATTTGTGCCTGCAGACACACACACACCCACATCCCTACCTACCTCTTGTTGCCTCTTAGGAATAAAATGAAAATAGAAGTGTCACTTACTTATGATTTATTCATGAGTTGAATATCCACTTTATGGATCATGTAGCTCTTTAATTTCCCTTTATTCTTCCCCTCTCCCCAGTTTCTCCCCATCAGCTGCCTAATGTTTTCTAATTTTTTCTTTCTTATTACTATACTAGAGGATGGGACATGTCCAGGACACACACTTTAAATTATCCAACTTTGTACTTTGTTAGCAATCAACAAAAAACTAAAATTACTTGGAAATTACCTTTTGCATTTTACATCATCCCTGTTTATCATTATAAATAAACAGAGCTTATTAATAATAAAATTTAGAAAATACATTTAAAACAAAATAGGCGTGAACATTGGTTTTTCATAATGTCTTAGAGACAGATCTCAGCTCAAATGTCACTTCCCCAAGGAGGCCTTCTTTAATCTGTCCCTACCAAATACAGCAGTTCTAGTCATTTTTAACCCTCGTATCTGACTTTATCTGACTTCATAGCACTTATTTTATTTATTCATCTGCTTGTTCAGCCACCTGTATATTGTCTTTCTTCTGGTTTAGATTGTAAGTGCTGTGGTGAGTACTTTGGTATTCTTTACTTCAGCATAGTGCCTGCCCCAGAATAGGCACAAAATATTTGTTTAATAAACCATAGATGAGGGAAGTAATTTGCTTTGTTTTTATAGAAATGGGAAATTAATACTTAATGATGATAACTTTACCAATGTTACACTACTTATGACTAGTAGGAGTAAGATTAAGTAGCACCCTGCATCTTATACTGAATATTTTGAACATTGATGATTTACATAATTAAGAATTTCAGACCACCTAAATTTGTTAATGTCTTATATAAACTAGAAGTTGAGTATTTTGTGGTTATGTGAAATTTCTTATTGTAGTTCTTGGATTTCTAGTTCAGTAGTAAAAATTTGGTGAGTTTTCTAAATTTAGATTATATAACAATTTCAAATATACAAAGATTTGATAATAGCATTAGTTTTTCTTAATTTGATTTTTCGTTATTATTTAGGGAAACTGGTTCTTTATTGCCAACTAGATTTTTTAATGATGTCCTAAATAATTTTTAGTGATATCCATTATTGGAAAATCCTGAATATATTATGCTAATCCCTTCAAAATTTGACAATATCTGAATGTTAAATACCTTTAATAGTAAAAAGCATGTTTTTTGAATAATTTTTTTGTAAAATTAAATGCAACTTATGCTATAGAATAAATATAAAATTATGCCATAGAATAAATCTAAAATCTAAATCTAACTAATTAAAAATTATTTTTCATTCTAATAGTTCCCCTTATCCATGAGGGATCCCAGTAGATGTCTGAAACCACAGATAGTGCTAAACCCAACTGCCCTCAATCAGAACACATTTCTGTTGTCTTCCATCTACAAATACAATGCCTTTTCCATCTTATCTAAGCACTTTATTATGCACTGTAGCCACAAATTTTGCTGTTTTGAGGTGTGATGGCAAAACTAGCATAAATTTCTTTTTCCTTCTTCACAATTACACAGATAGAAGATTCGTTCTTACCATTGATTTTAGCAACCTCAGTATACCATTTTTTTCTTAAGTCCAAAACTGCTACCTTTTTACTTAAAGGAAGCACGTTATGGCTTATTTGTGGCATATGTGAATTACCAGCATCAGTACTCTTGCACATTGGGGATGTTATTAACTGAAGAAAGAGTTACTTCAACATAAGCACTGCAATACCCTGACAGTTGATTTGATAACTGAGCCAGCCACTGAGTGACTAAGGGTGTGTAGTGTCGACATTTGTGGATATGCTGGACAAAGGAATGATTTATGACCTGGGTGGAATAGAGCAGGATGGCACAAGATTTAATCATGATACTTGGTATTCAGAGTGATATGAAAGTGAAAAATTTATGTATTTTTTATTTCTGGAAATTTCTGTTTAATATTTTTCAACTGTGGTTGATCACAAGTAACTGAAACTGTGGAATGTGAAACTATGGATAAGGGAGACTACTGTATTCAAACTTTAAAGTTAGAATTATAGTTTCTGCTAATAATTACTCCTTACTTACAGTTGCATTATGAGATTTCCAGCAAATTCTGGCTATTTTTAAAACTTGAAAAAAAAATCGTATATTTTTAGTATGTGCCCCAGCTCCACCACACTTACTCGTATATTATAGACATTTTAAAGTTCAGAAATATGGAAGATTTGGAATTAGTTCCCCTCAGTAAGAAAAAACTGAAGGGCAACTAAGTATTTCTGTATATGAAGAACCATATTGCATTTCTGTAAAAGTTAAACTTAATTGTAGTGTCGAACCTTACTATTCAAAGTGTGATCTGAGGATGGGCAGTATACCGGCATTACTTAAAAGTTTGTTAGAAATGCAGGAACTCAGGTTCTACCCCAGACCCACCAACTGAAATAGGATCTGCATTTTAACAAGCTATAGTTTGCTTGCACATTAATATTTGAGATGCTCTGGTTTAGAATAAATTTCTCAAACAAAAAAGAAAACAGATCCTGATGTGAAGATGATTAAATATTGTTTTCCAGAGATTTTTAAGATATTTAATAATAGTGCAAATTCCATAAGTCTTGGTGAAAGTAAGGATGTTACTGTGTATGTGAGCCCTAAGAACAATGGTTGGTTTCATTATCTCTTAATGAATGATATAGAGATTAACAAAATACAGTTGAACATTGGAAATCACAGATAGGATGTTTTTAGTGTATGTTGATTTTATTATATCATTATGGAGTGATACTGGGTTTAATATAGTCTAGATCTAATATTATGGGAATTGTTGAGAACAGTAAGTAGTATTTGCAATGGTGGCTTTTGGTTTCTTGTCATTTGAAAATGTATATGATTAATTGGGTCAGTTGTCTAGATTTAAGAATTGTATTAATATCTTTAAATGTCAAATTGAATTTTTTTTTCCTGAAGATTAGTGCAGAAGATCAGTGCAGATAGTTCTATCCGATTAGGTAGAATGACTGATAAAGTATTTCAGAAAATGAAGTAACAGCTGCCTCAGGTTAGTCATATAATCAAAGCAACTAAAAGGACAATGAAATAATCAGTGTCTATGAAAACAAGAGAAAACTTTTAAATGTAGATAAATCATTGATTAAAGCAAAACTTATAAATTATTCTGTTGCTTCTTTTAAAGATTTTTGTATTCTTGACAATATTAATTCATATAATCTTTTAATATAGAGGATGGATCACAGATAAAAGAAATAGGGCTTTTGACCTATGACAATGCCAATAAAAATTTAAAAACTATCAACTGTCACTATAATGATATAATTTAAAAAACATGATTTTTTTCATGTTTACTGATACTAGATAGCATTAGGAAATATAAACTAAGGAAGTCGAAAGTAATTGACCGGTTTATTCTTTCACTGAAATTAGAAGAGTTATAATTGGCACTTTCATACTAAGATTTATTCAACTGAAGTTATTGTCATGGGCCAATAAAGCTGGCAAGGCTTAAGAGAGCTGATCTCATCTTTGCACTCTGATCTTTTTCAACAACTGGAGATGTATTTAGAAAGGTTTCTAGATGAAAATTCTGAATACTTCCTAATTCATTTATTTCAAGGTCAGAAAATTTTAATTTATTTTTAATTGAAATCTATTTTCATTTTAAGCCTACTTATACCTGTACATTTAAAAAATTGAAATAGTATAAAAGAGCTAGTATAGAGACAGGAACCATCCTGTTATCCTACTTTATATAATGATTTATAAAGTTGACTATTTTTACCTACTCTCTCTTTTTTGGCCAGTTTAAATAATTTAGTTCCTTTGTTGGTTCTCTTTATCTTTTGACCACTTGGGACAGAGCACCTAACTCTTTCAGTGTTTTGGGTGCTCTTAACTTATAGATGCTACACTGGTACAACAGTACCTGTTGTCTTTCTGAATCAGTTAGGACCAAATGATTTCATTCAAAAGAGACGTTTAAAGTAGAGATTTTTTTTTTTTTTTTTTTTTTTTTTTGAGAAAGAGTCTCACTCTGTCGCCCAGGCTGGAGTGCTGTGGCGTGATCTAAGCTCACTGCCACCTCCACCTCCTGGGTTCCAGCAGTTCTCCTCCCCCAGCTTCCTGAGTAGCTAGGACTACAGTTGTGTGTCATGATGCCCAGATAATTTTTGTATTTTTAGTAGAGATGGGGTTTCACCAGCATTGGCCAGGTTGGTCTCGAACTCCTGACCTCGTGATCTACCCGCCTCGGCCTCCCAAAGTGCTGGGATTACAGGCGTGAGCCACTGCACCCGGCATAAAGTAGAGATTCTTTAAAAGAAGCAAATACTTCACATTAAGAATGAAATTTGCTGATCATATTGGGTAGTTTGTTCTAATAAGGATAATTTTCTCTTTCTCCCATATCATGGGTTTTTGGAGTGAAGTTTCCTGGACACTTTGAAATGCAGCAATTCTATGGGAACTTTTTCAGGATAATGTGAAAATACATAGATGTGTTTTTTATGTATTAAATAATATTGACTAATTATAATTTTGAAATAATGAACATTAATGCTTTTTTAAGATGTCTGCAACAAATATAATGTGATGTGGAAACACCTTTGATTTTTATTGCTGACAACTGTGGTTTCTTGACTGTATTTATAATAGAAATGCTGAATAGAGATTAGTGAAAGTAAAAATGTAATAAAGTTTAGGGAAAGTAAATAGAAGTATTTCATTGAATGTAAACATGTAATTATTTTTCCATCCAAATTTATGGACCCATTAGGGTTTATAGACTCCAGGATAAGAACTCTTTTATTTGGCAACTTCACTGAATTCCCTTGTACTGCAGTTTTAAACATTTTATTGTTTTTTTCCTAGGTGGATATTTATATCATCTAAAAATAATGATAGTTTTTTTCTTTCTATCCAGTCGTTACAAATTTTATTTTATTTTCAATTTAATTTTGTCCAAGACCTCTACAACTGTGTTTGAGTCGTGTTGATAGTAGTCTCTTTTGTTCCTGATTTTAAAGGAGATGCAGACCCTCCATTAAGTGTAGTGTTCATGCAGGTATTCTTTGCTAAGATTACTTGGGGCCTGAAATCAGATGGGGAGTTGGTGTAGCAAGATTCTCAATTAATTGGTTATATATGGTTCACGAGTTTTGGGTAGTGAGTAATGAGAACTGAGATGGTGAGGAAAATTAAAAACTGAAAATTTATTTGAATTAATTTTGTCACTGAGTTCCACTAGCAGGTTTTCAGCTAAGTTCAGATTGAACAGTATCCTTGTATAACCTTTACCAACTTAAGGAAGTTCCCTTCACTGTATAATTTAACACTTTTAAAAATTATAAATAGGTAGTAATGGTTATCACATGCTTTCCCTCTATTAATTGAGCTAGTCATAGATACTGCTGAACTAAGTTTACATTCCAGAACACTTCATGACAATTGTATTTTAATAAAGTATTGGATTTATTTAGCTCTTTTTTTTGATGGTGGTTTTTGTTGTTGTTGCTTGTTTTTTCCCATCTAATTCCTAAGTGAAGTGGGCCCATATTTTCTTCTCGTATATTGTCTCATTTTGGAATCAAGATTCCAGTAGCCTCCTATAATGAGCTGTATAGTTTTACACTCTTCCTATTTGCTATAACAGCTTGCATTAGGAAGTCATTAATGTTTCTTAAATCCCACTTGTAAAAAATCACGTAGACCATTGGCTTTTTGAGAGGGATGCTTTGAGTACCTTCCAAATTATTTCATAATTTTTGGCATATTCAAGGTCTCTATTTCTTTTGACAATTTTGATGTATATATTTTCTGGGACTTTCTTCCATTTTATGTAGATTTCCAAATTATTAGCCTATACTTACAACACTTTAAAAATATATATTTATCTTTGGGAGGCCAAGGTGGGTGGATCATGAGGTCAGGAGATCGAGACCATCCTGGCTAACATGGTGAAACCCCGCCTCTACTAAAAATACAAAAAAATTAGCTGGGCGTGGTGGTGGGCACCTGTAGTCCTAGCTATTTGGGAGGCCGAGGCAGGAGAATGGCGTGAACCCGGGAGGCGGAGCTTGCAGTGAGCCAAGACCGTGCCACTGCACTCCAGCCTGGGCGACAGAGCGAGACTCTGTCTCAAAAAAAATAAATAAATAAATAAATAAATAAATAAATAAAATATGTATCACTTTGTATTCTCCCTTTTCATTCTGTATTTTGCTGCTTTGTCCCATCCCCCCCATCTCCCCATCTCATCCCTAAGTTTGGTGAATCTTGAGAAAGGTTTATAAATATTTATTAATATGTTTGGTCTTCAGGAAAGTAACGTTTTAAAAATCTTCCCTATTACATTTTTGTTTGGAATTTTGTTGATTTATTCACTTTATTATTTCTGTGCTGCTTGTTCTTCTTAATATTGTTTAGCATTTTAGTTCTCAGTTGTGGGTGCTCTTTGTTTTTTTCTTTTTTTTAAGCTTGTGTTTAGTTTATGTTAGTTTTTAAGACAATAACAGGTAAAATGTTGGGTAACCCTTCTATCCTGTATATTTGCATCATCTTCCTGATTTTGTTTTTTATTTGAATACTTTCTCTAGAATGTGTTTAGTTTGGGTCTTTATGGGCAAACCTTCTGTGGCCTTGTATGCCTAAAGCATTTCTATTGTGTACTCATCTTTGTGTGACAGTGTGGCTTGATGTAAAATTCTAGAGTCAAAATTGTTTTCTTCAATACTTAAAAAATATATTATATTCTTTTACTCATTTTCCAAAGTTTATCTTCTTTCTTTCTGGAAGATTTAGAAATTTTATCTTTTTGTTCTAAAATTTAACCATACCCATAATATGCCATGGTATGGGTTTATTTGTCCTATTAATTTTTCCATTCTGAGATCTTTGATCTTTCTTTTTTAGTTCTGTAACATTTATTTTAATTATCCTTTCAAGCTTTTTTTGGTCTGTCAACCTCCCTCTTCTCACCATTTTTTTCTGAGCCTCCTGTTATCTGGATGTTCACATAACTGCTTCTGTTCCTTGCCTTTTCTTTCATGTTGTTTTATATTATTATTTTCTATTGTCTTTTAGGAAGGACCACAGTTTGATTTTCTAAATCAACAATTTATCCTATAACTGTATTTATCCTACTGTTTATCTCTATTGTATTTTAATATTTTTTTTTACTAATACTTAACATTATTTTTAATGATTTCTTATTCATACTTCACATTGCTATCTTTCCTTAGTGCCTTAGCTATATCATGTTTATTTTGAATTATTGGCATGTATTTCAATAATTCTGCTTCAGCACATACAACCTCTACACAAGACAATCAGGGGATCGCAGATTTTTCAGTTATGTAAAATGCGAGACTGTGTGATACCGATATTGGTGAAATGACTATAGCAAACTTGTGCAAAAGTCCTGGGAGTTGGGCACAGAGCGGAATCTTTCTTGGTCCTGGCTGTAGTTTGGTGCCATCTAGTGGCCATTGCCTCCTCTGCTCCTCTGGCTTAAAGTTCCACAGGCACAATACAGTTTCCTTTTGTGAGCTCCAAGACAGTGGCAGCAATTCCAAGAATCTCTTGATTAGTTGTCTCTCATTTTGTGGGCCTGATTGGAATGATCGGTCTGGGAGAAATGTAGGGGTATAGGAACCCGTTCTCTTCTTCCCTCCTTGTAATACGATGTTGCCTGGCATGGTTTTGCCGTTTCCTCCCTTTCCTATGCCTACTGAAAGGGGAAGCCCATTATGTTACATGTTTAGATAGTTGTATTTCTTTAATAGGTAGATGTTTTTATTAGTTGATTTTTAGATCAATTCTTATTTCCTGGATATAGCTACCCTGTGTGGTAATGTGAATTGGGAAGGGCGGATGACCAGCCTCTGGTCATTGTTATTTGGCAGAGAACTATAGGAACCACCCAATCTCCCAATCACTCTGATCACCCCTTGCCTCTTCACTACCTATGGTTTTCACCTTCACTTCACAAGAGTCCTTAAGCTGCCCCATATTACTAATTGTTAATGCTGACATTAACAACTAGTCCTCTCCTGTCCAATGCCCATGCCGTGGTGAAGATGTATGCTTTACCTATCTTTATAAGAGAGGCAAGAGTAGCATGGAAAAGTTTTCCAACAACCGGTTTCCTCCCAAATTAGGCTGCAGCATCCTGACTTCAACGTACATAGGTTTTTTTTTTGTTTTTTTTTTTTAAGTTTCTTATAACTATTTCTCTCACTAAGCTAGTTTCTCCAGTATTGATTTTTGTAGAGGAAGCCAGTAGTGGACAGAGTTTACCATCCTGATAGGAACAATAAAATATATTACCTTATAGATAACTGCACATTTCAACTTAGCCTAGGTTTTAAAAACCGTTAGTGCCAAGTAGGTAAATTTAAAAATAATAATCTATTGCTTGCTTTCACGTATTTAAATTTTTATTTTGACAGCTATTGAAAAAAATTCCTTTTAGATACCCTCTCTATCCTTATGTGATTCTTTTGCCTTGGGACTTCCTTTTGCTTTTCGTTTTGCTTTATGTGTCTTACATCTCATATTGTCACATCTTTGACACTGAGAAAATGTCTTGGACTTCTTTAGAAGTTCTCGAATTTTTTTCAAGCAACATTTTTACAAAGCCCTTTCACAAAGCCCCATTAGTCATATTCATTTCTAACTGAGGCTGTGTGGGTGAAACTAAAAGGCTAAGAGAGGTTAAGTGTGTTAGACCTGATAGTACAGCCAGCAGCTGGCAGGTCAGGAATGTAAACAACTTTACTTCCAGGGCTCTCTGTCTGCCTCACTACAGCTACATTGAGGATACATTATGTTTTTAAAACATTGGAATCCTCTGAATGCTTTGAAATCAATTCTCAATTTCAGTTTTCATAATAAAATGAGCTTCATAGTTTTAGCTTTTTAGAACTTTTAAGTCAAAGATTTCCACAAAACCATCATATCCCATATCGATAGACATTTTTTATGGATTGTGGTATATATATTTTTAACCAACATAGTTTCTTTGTACCTGATTTCCTCTTATATCAGATCTCTTCAATTCCTGATTCTCATAGCTTGAAAAACAGTATTGTTTGTGCTGTCTTTTCTTCAATTCTAATTGTGCTTTGAAAATAGCTGATAGTCGCCGAAGACTTATTGTTCAAGGGAGAAAAAACCTGCCACTTTTAACGCACAGACACTTGTTATTTAAATGGAAATTGTATAATTGCTTTCACTATGATCTATAGACTGCCTTGGAAATATGAGGGCCCTGGATAAAGCATATTACAGCTTTTATTATGTCTAGCTTTATCTATTATGTTTATTATGTTTAGTTTTTCTATTGGTTTCTCAGATCTAATTTGGAATTTCTTTTAAATTCTCTGTGTGTTATCACTTCAGCAATATATCCTGGGTATACTCTTCTGTTGACTAGCTTTCCACCAGCTAGATTGTAAGATCCTAGAGTGTTTTAGCAAAAAAAAAAAAAAAAAAAATGTTAAAGGCCATTTATCCTGACTTCCTTAATTAAACTGAGGAAATGGAAAGGTTAAATGACTTGGCCAGTGGGCATCTACCTAATAAGAGACTGAGCCTCCTTAGAGCCCAGGTTTTTTGACCCAACTCTGGTCTTCATATGCAACTTAATCTCCTTAATGAATAACAAACAGAAATTTTGTATTTTTTTCTTTGAACCTATTCTACTTCTAGGAATCTCACATTATTTTTCTTTTCAACAACTGAGTGCTTCTTTCGTACCTGTTTTTTTACCCCAACATATGAAAGGGTAGAAAGAAGAAGAAAACTAACTTTGTTCCTTTTAAGTTCATGTTTCATATTCGTCTGCTAAGGCTGCCATAATGAAATACCATAGACTGGGTGGCCTAAACAACAGAAATTTATTTTCTCAGAACTCTGGAGGATAAAAAGTCCAAGATCAAGGTCTGGCAGGGTTTGATTTCTGGTGAGGGCACTCTTCTGGCTTTCAGATGACTGCTTTCTTGCTATGTCATCACATAGCAGAGAGAGCTTCTAAAGCCACGGCCCTGTTGAATCATGGCCCCACCATTATGACCTTACTTAATCTTAATTACATTCCAAAGACCCTATCTCCAGATACAGTCTGGAGTTAGGGAGTTAGGGCTTTAATGTAAGAATTTTGGAGCGGCACAATTCAGTTTATAGTATGCTCTATGTATCATAACCTTGTGATGTAATTTGCATCCCCACAGTTGCTGGCACGCCTGCCTCAGCATCCTTAATGTGATCAGTCTTTGAGATCAAGGTATGACTGGTCTGGGGAGATGCAGGTTGATGCAAACATAATTTTTCTGCTACCTTTAACAAAGCATACACAACGTCATAGGATTACTCTTAGTTCCTCGGTCCAGGTACCAACAGGTCTTTCTTTCAAAAAAATTATAATACAATATGTATGTGAACAATTTAAGATCATTTTGCCCATTTAAATCCTTATGGAAGACATTATCAGGTCGTGACTGAGTCCACCTGGGCACATATTTTGGCATGAGAATTCCTGGTTTCTTGGTTCTGCCACTTTAGTATCTGTGAACCTGGAAAGGATTTAGTCACTGCCTCTGTTTCTCATCTGTAAAGTGGACAAGATTACATCACAGCTGCTGACAATGAGGATTACATGAGATAGCACCTGATAAATAGAAATTATTCAGTTAATAATAATGATAATTATTATCTTCCTTTGCTACTCTTCCTGAACTTTGGAGCTCAAATGACTCTCGCTCATTTGTTCTCAGTATTTACCCTAAAGATCCTCCCTTTGTCATTTACGGCCTTGGTAAGATTTAATCAATTCTGTGTTTCATCATGGTGGATGTATGCTTATGGAATATTTTATCCAAGTCCTTTGTTATCATTAAATTATTCAATGAGTAATCAGAAATCAACTTATGATATTCCCAGTAATCCCTGTTTTATAGATAAGGAAACTGAGGGTCAAAGAAATTAATAACTGTTCAGCTAGGGTGAAGCCAGAATTCTCTATTGGATCTGTCTGTCTTTGTTTGTTGTGCTGTTTTCATTACGTCACATTAAAATAATTTAATACTTTTAAGTGATAGCTAATCAGTGTTAAGTTCTGTAACATCCGAAATATCTGTAACCAATATAAAGCCCAGGTAGTTTGTGATCCAAGCCTAATGGACTCCTATTCAGCCAGAGGCTGGTAACTGAAACACAGTTAAAAACAATTTAAATATTTATGTTGCTCCTGAAAATGCTAAAGTGACACCACTGTCATAATGCACAACACAACTTTAAAAATATCCTTTAGTGAAGAATTTTGTGTTGAATTCTTGTTACACGCTTAAAAAACTAAGTAAGGAAAACACAGAACAGAAACAAAAAAAAATACACTTATTTACCTCAGGTAAACAAAAACTTGTGCAGGGAAGGAGAAGGAATAATAGGAATAGTATAATAGGAATAATAGGAATGATAAATATAAAAATATATTTTTATATAGTCATAACTAAGTAAAGACTAAATGTGAATCTAACTAAAATTATACAACTACATAGGAAAGATTGTGTATATGTTGGGTCTGGGTGGAGAAAATACAGCTTCATCCTTATTTTCATATTTGAAAAGTCAAATGCCTAAAACTTGAAATCAAGAAGTAGCAATACAAACATTTGGAGATATGGTATTTGGAGATATGGAAGTAAATTCCAAAATGATCATGAAAGAACTGAAAATGTTTACCTCTGGGAAGGGGGAAATAGGGTAGAGGTGGTGTGGAAAGACAAGTCTGCTATTTTTTAAACAAACGTTTTGGAGTTACTTGATAATTCAAGCCAGGTGCCTATATAATTTTAATAAAATGAAATAAATAAAAAAATAAACTTTTGCCCAATGATAAATATTTTGACTTGACTTTAGCTGATGTTTTGTTTGAATGTCAAGATAAGCATTGATTTTCTTTAGAAGGCATAGTACTTAATTTGCCTAATATTAATTGAATGTCTGCAATGTGCTAGGCATAGCAGGGGATGTAAATGTAAATTAGACAATAATCCTTCCAAGGAAGTTGTGATCTTGTCAGGAGATGAGATATATGCAAATAACCGAAATGGAAGATTCTATGTAATACCTGCCAGGAGAGCAGGCTTTTCTTAGTCTTCTTGACTCTGAGCTTTGCCTCAAGCCTTGGGTTAATAGTACAGCTCATATTTCCACTGATCTTGGTCTTGCTTATGATTTGCAGAATTGGCTTTATTCTAGACCTTTATCTGTTTCTACTCTTGGTGATCTTTGCCCTTGCCTTACGCCTTGCTTTGTTCAGCATTTTCTTTGGTGGATTTCACCTAAGTCGAATCCCAGGTAGAGAAATTCAATTGGCAGGAACAAAACCTTTTCATCGACATTATATTTTTAGTTCTAATTTTCCTCTAATTTCCTCCCCTAATTTCCTCAACAAATGTTTTTTTGAGTACCTGTGATGGGGCAGAGGTGAAACTACTGAAAGGCTATATATAATATTTATGTGAAATAGGAACCAGATCACCTGTTAGAAATGACATCTGCCTTTGTTGCTTGCAGGCAGTGAAACTAGATCATGTCATGGATCTGGTCAGTTTTTCCTTGGACGCAAGCCCAGAGGACTCCTGAGATTAAGCCTAATTATGAACCCAAAAGAATTCTGTTAAATTTCCATAAACCAGGAAAGCCTATTGATGATGAATTAAAAATCAGTTATTAGATTACTTTATTAAAAAAGTGAAAAGAAAGCCTGCTATCTGTTCTTCCTCTTTTATGAATTTAGCTTTGAATTGGTCAAAATGTAGGGATCATTGAACAAACATAAAAAATCATGTCAGTTTTTAGATTTATGATTTTGTAAAATACTACAAAGATAAGATAGGAACAACCAAATGAAAAAGTGAAAATCCATGTTACGGTGTATGTATATATTAAAATATGCTGCATGCTGAGCTTTCAGTACACAGTAACATACTTCTATTTTTAGAATAATTATATTCTGCTATGATTATGGTCTATCTTAATGTTTTTCAGGATTTGCAAAAAATGTATTTTATTATGTTGAAAAATAAACGACAAATTATGTGTGTATGTATGTATGTGTATGTAGGTCTGTGTTTGTGTACTTTTCCTCCAGATTGATTAATTTCTTTGATGGAGATAATACTTACTTAATGCTCTTTTCCATCAAGTTGTATGAGCCCTTTGTACACTCACTAAAGCCATACTAAATTATTTCCAGCATCGTAGATACGTATGTAAAGCAATAACTTTATTGTGCAGATTGCATAGTGTCATATTACAGTAAATTGTGATTGAGTGGTGTGTATGTAGATAGGCAGTTTAAGACATTGGGATTAACTTAAACATTGACACTCAATGATTTTTCTGAAGGTCTTAATGCAGTGCTTCTAAGAGCCCTATTAAAGAAAGCAGAGGGTAGGGCTGTCCTTTGTTTTACCATGATTATTTAGCTCACCTTTGTGGGGGAAAATATATATTTGTGTGAAATTATGACTTAAATTATTAAATATTCTACAAATTAGCATATTGTAGCATCCTTGCAATACAATTAAATAGAAATCTATTACTCTTTAATATTACAGAGTTAAATGAGCATCTTGGGAAATTAGAGGCATTTATGATTTTCATTTTCTCCCACTGTTCATTTCATCTCTTGGGAATAAATGATGCCTACAGAATATCCTGATGATGATTTCTGATCCTTAGCAGATCAGCAAACTTAGTCCCAGCAATGACTTAAACAGTGGAGAAAAGGAAAGCATTCGGGACAGTTTTCTGTATAGTTGGGAATTGACAGGGAAGAGACCATAGGCAGAGAATTTTAGAAATTTGCAGTTGCTTTCTTGTCTCCTCTAAAATACCAGAGAATATATGATTTATACAGTTCAAGCTTAAATAGGGAAATTGCCTTGAATATGTTGTGATTTTGGGGAAAATCTTGTTCATTCTTTCTTTTCTAGAAGCACAGTTTACATTTGTCAAAAGGCATAATTATCTCATTTACCAGTAAGTTTCTTTAGTATATAATGCAACTTGAAAATTCTTTAAATTTGAAGTTTAAGATTTTGTAAAACTTATTCATGTCTTAATTGTTTCTATGATTCAAAATACGAGCTTACATAAGAATACCTATACTGTGTGAAAAGGTGATTGCACATCTATTAAGGTATAACTTGTATGTGGATACCTCTTTACAGTTTCTTTTCTTTTCTTTTTTTGAGACAGGGTCTTGCTCTGTGGCCTCCCACTCCACTCACTGCAACCTCAGCCTCCCAGGCTCAAGTGATCCTCTCAGCCCAGTCTCTCAAATAGCTGGGTTTGCAGGCACCCACCACCATGCCTGGCTAATTTTTATATTTTTAGTAGAGATGGGGTTTCACCTTGTTGCCCAGGCTGGTCTTGAACTCCTGGGCTTAAGCCATCCATCCACCTTGGCCTCCCAAAGTGCTATGATTATAGGTATAGGCTACTGCACCCAGCCCACTTTAAACATTTTTAATTATTTGCTATATTTGCGTACTTACTTCTTAAATTATTGTTAGTTCTAATTATCCCTGATGGTTAATGCGGAATGTTAGAACCAAGGAGAATGGGCTGAGTAGGGGAGTCAGCTGGTGGCAGGATGTAAGCTAATTTATTCATTTTCCTCTTGTAAAGAGAACAAAGAAGAGAGAGGAATATAATTTTATGAGATATATTGGTAAGACATATGACATTGAAAGAACCATTAAATGATGAATAGTATTCCTGTAATCTGAAGAACTTTGAGTGGAGAGGTGGTATTTCATGCTTTAACAAACATGAGAAAAGATTTAAAAATAATACATTTAGCAGGTATGAATCATTTGGAGACAGTATTCAAAGAACCATTCTACATGCATAAATACCAGAATTACCATTGCAGAAAACCTGCTCAGGACAGAAATAAAAATTTTTAAAAAAATCACCTTTTTTCCCTAGAATAAAGTACCTTTTCTGTGATTCATGGAACCTGTCTTACAAGGAAATTTTCATATAGTACAGGTTGGGAAAGCTTTTCTTCTCTTCATTAACTTTAACAGTTACTTTGATCATGCGGTTACAATTTTGAATGTTTGTTTTGAGAATGCTTTATTGATATGGTAATCTGCTTTAACTTGCTGAGGGTGCTTTATTATTGCAGTTCTTTGGAATCTCTCAGATCATTGATACAGAATCGTAAATCCTTTAGAGGATCCACAGATTCTACTTGGGGGCCTCAGAACATCTTCACATCAGCCTTTTCTAAGAGTATAGGTGTAACTGATTCATGTGGATGATGGTCCAGATATGCTGTGCATAATGAGAATTTGAGAATTTTTCAATTAGAGCATAAGGAATGGCAGCAGTACCTTTTACCCAGCTTTGGGGTGAAATAATGTTTGCCTCTCTGCTGTCAGAGAAATTTGGTATGTATACAGCTCTTGTGGGCTATAGTTATTTCTGTGACATTTTGCCCTCAAACTGAAGCCAAGGATGGTCTTATATGTGTTCATGTATCTTTCTATGTGTAGTAGAACATATTTAAATGGTATTAGGTTCCTAGGCATATGTGCATTGCCAACTTACAGATAACCAATGACTACTGGAATTCACACCAACTATCTTACTATGTTTTTACCTGATTTTAGTCATTTTGTTTGTTCCAGAAATTTTAGAAGCAATTTGAAAATAATACTCTTAGAGAATTCTGGTTTTTCAGAATTAGTTTCTTTTTTTTTTAAACAACATAGCATTTTGTCTTAACAAAGAGGCTGCTGATTTAATTTTGTACGAATGATGTTTTTTAACCTTGTAAAGCACTTTTCTTCAATCATGCATTGGTATGTTTTCCATTGCAGCTTAATTGCTCTGAATACACTTAAGCCAGTTTTACACCTGATAACAAGAAACCCCCCAGTTATAAAATTACAAGACTAGAAGGAATCTTAGTGATAAACTAGTTTATAGTTACAGATGAAGACACTTTACAAGATATTGGCAAATTGTTCTCCAAAGTGCTTATGAAAATTTATATTCTCACCAATATTGGAAAAGTTCTCTTTTCTTTATATTGTCTCCAACACCCGTGCAAAAGCTTCGTTAAGACTCAGCAATTCCACTTCTAAGTACACACATATCTGCATATACAGATCTTATCATGGTTATTGTCCATGTGTTCAAAGAGACATGTCAAGAATGTTCATTATATCATTGTTTGTAATAAAAATACATAAGAGAATTGATAAATCACTGTATATTAAATAATGGGAAGTGGTTAAAATTAATGGAATAGATCTACATGTATCAATGAATATGTCTATATCTCAGCCACATAATATTGAATGAAAAGATAAAAGCAAATTGTAGAACTATACAATATGTTATTTATATAAAGAATAAAAACTTATAAAACAATTTATATAGGATTGATGGAATATTATTGAGCTTTACGAAGAGTTTATATAATGTGGAGAAATGTGTGTTATGTATAACAGGGTAGCAAATTGTCTATGATTATAGCTAAAGGAAAGCTACTGCATGTTGTGTTTGCAGTCTACATTCTTCTGTTTGTAACCTGCTTGTCCTGTTGCCAACTTCTCTTGGCTCAGTTTCAGGAAATCTTATGAATTTTGAAAACCAGACATTAGATTGTGTCAGAATAATGAAGTCTGGCTGTAGGAAGATTTCTATTAAACTGTTACTTGATTCATCTGATAAGAGGACAAGCATTTAAGTGTCTGTAATCTTTTAAGGCCCAAAATGAAAGGGAACAGACTTAATTTTCCTACTCTGTCTACATAAGAAAATAATAATAACTGAAAATACCATCTTGGAATAAACATATGAGAAGGTTTACACCCTTATTAATAATGAAAGAACTCCAAGCAAAAACCTCATTGAGGTATTTTTTACCCTGCAGGTTGGCAAAAATAAGTTTGATAATTTCTGGTGATGGCAGGAGCATGAAGCAAGGGACACTCTTTTCAATGGCTGGTATCAATCAGTGCAGTTTTTCTCAAAGACAGTATAAATAAATCTCTCATAATTAAAATGGCCCATATTTTTTAATCTGAGAGTTGGACTGCAAGAAATTATTGCAGATAATTGGTGCTAGTTTTTCAAAATATATCTACAAGGATATTTGTTGAAGTATTTTTTGCAATAACAAAACAAATAACAAAAATAGGCAATAACTTAGATATCTATCAATATGGAATTGATTATATAATTTTGTATTTTCATGTGATAGAATACTGTGTAGCTATTAAATAAATGAGATCTATGCATGCTGATGTGGAAGGTTCCCCAAGATATTTTAAGTAAAAAAAGCTGCAAAGAATGTATCAAGTATGAAACTGTTATGTAAAATCAAAAGGAAAAATAAACAAGTACATATACCATACATGAGCATTTGCATTAAACAATTTATAAGCAAGTACAAGAAACATAACAGTGTTTGCCTTTGGAGAATGTAAGAGAAAGATGGCTTTAACTTTTCATTTTGTATCTTTCAGTACTTTTTATATATTCTAACCCAATACATGTTTTACTGTGTTTATTTTTTAAATGCCACTAGAGTTTGTCAGAATTTCTATCTCTTCATCCTCTACTCTTATTCCTATATTAATTATAAAACACTACCAGCTGCAGTAAGAAAACAAGTAAAAACCAGCAAGTGATTATATAAAACACAACACAATTATGTTTTCAGTGAGCATAGATGGTCACTAAAAAACATCCTTCAAAATGGGCCATTATTAATAATTATTTATTGCCTTGTTAGTTTAAAAAATGATGTAAAGGTCAGAACATTAATGGCTAAAGCCAATTGGTCATTAACTGTGGTAATCATTGACCTTAAAAAGGAGAATTGGTCTTCTGAATGATTTTCTGAAGTTGTTAATAACTGTATTTGAAGATTAGCAGCTATATTGTGATGACAAGCATGCCAAGAGACGTTGGCCCCATTCACATGAAAAATTACGTTTTTAGTGTGTAATTTGCTGTAGCATTCATCAAAATTATGCATTCTTTCTAAAAGGAAAAAATTGATTGGTAGCAGTTGCAGTGCCAAGGTTAGCATTAATGGTACTGAAACATCTAAATTTCCTGGCTTTTAAACATCTTAAAAACCTTTGAAGAGATTTATATGGGCTCTTGGATATGAAACAGTTCTTAAAAAATAATAAGGTCACTTTTTTCTTGCATGCCAAAAATGTGTTGCCTGGATGTAGGAGAGCTGTCAGCTCCTTCTTACTATTTTTACAATCTCTTCATTCGTTGCTGTTTACTTTTGGATAAAGGGAAGAGGAGTTCTTTCTCTGTCCTAATGTGGTAGCCCTCAGCAGGACTTTCCTAGTGTGCATATTTTGTTAGTACAAGAATATATCTAATTGTGGTCAGGTAACCTCTACTAGCATGTTCCAGAAAATATACGTCGCTTATATTTTGTAGTTCTCAGCTCTGTACTGCTTCTTAGAGCATCTTGTTTGGGGCAGTGGAATATGAACTGAGGCCAAACCCAGAAGATAACATTCCCGAAGGCCGGGGTGCAAAACTCCTTTTTCTTTTTCTTACAGTGTAGGCTGTACTCTTATACAAGTGTATGGCCTTTCAAAGGTTGCAGAGCAACAAGCTTCACTATTTGAATAAGTTAAATGTAGAATTGTCTTAATTTATCATCAATGTGCGTGATGCTGTTTGTAATACTGATTAGATATGTTTCTATAAATTAATATGTTGGTACAGAATGAGGCAGTATATTTGTTTGACCAGATAGTAAATAAAACGAGCCTTCACTTTTAATATTTTGTTCCTCTCATGTTTAAAAATAATGTGCGGAGCTCTTATATCAGTCAGATATATTCCTGGCTTGTCTCATACACTCCCTAGCAGGAGCAAAGACTGAAATCTCCCTTTCTTAAAGCTGTAACAGGGCAAGGCATGTCTAGTCATGGTGGTTGCAGGGTCAGAGGGTTAGACAGGTCTCTAGGCCAAGGAATGATTAGTGTACCCATTTTCTGGTGAAAAGGGAAAAAAATGGGAAAAGGAGCATTAACTCTGGGTTGAATCTGGCTTTGAACTTTTCTCATCCTGGACTGACTTGACTGTCTTGATGTCAAACATAATTTAGAAAACTGAAGAGAAGAGGGAAAGTCTATTGTATTAATCCATATTTTTACTTCTCCTGTTGCTCTTTCTTCCTGATGTTTCAAGATTCCTTCTTTAATCATTTGGATTTCATTTCACGAGCTTTCTCTTATACTTTTAGGGTAGGTCTGCTTGGAAAAAATTCTGTAAGTTTTTCTTATCTAATTCCTATTCATTCCTGAAGGATATTTTTTTTCTGGATATAGAACTCTGGCTGACAGTTCTTTTCTTTTAGCACTTGAAAAATATTGCCCTACTTCCATCTGGCTTACATGGTTTCTGATGAGAAATCTGATGTCATTCAAATTGTGTCTTAAATTTGAGTTGTAGAGAGATCTTACTGCTTTCAGGATTATTTTCGCCTTTCGTTTTTAGGAATTTGGTTATGTTATTTCCTGACATGTATTTCTTTGGGTTTTTCATGTTTAACATTCGCTCATCTTGAATTTGTAGGTTTATGTCTTTTACCAAATTTGGGGACATTTCTTCCATTTTTTCTTTAAATACCGTTTTAGTCCTATATTCTTTCTCCTGTCTTTCTGGAATTCTGATAACATGAACATTAAATTTTCTGTCATAGTCACGTAGGTGTCTAAGGTTATGTTCTTTTATTTCAGTTCATTTTCTCTGTTTTTCAGATTGGGTACTTTTTATTCTATCTTCAGGTTCACTGACTCCTCTGTCTTGCCTTCATTCTGCTGTTGAGATCATCCAATGACTTTTTCGTTTTGGTTATGTATTGTATTTTTTAGTTCAAAAACTTCCATGTGGTTCTTCTTTATATCATCTACTTATTTACTGAGAGTGTTTGTTTGTTTGCTTCAAGTATGTCTATAATTGTTAAAGCATTTTTATGATGGTTGATTTACAGTTTTTGTCAAATAATTCTAAAATCTGTGTTATCTCTTGATTGTCTTTTCTTATTTAAGTTGAGATTTTCCTAGGAACCAGAGGAGCAACAGAGCAATGAATTCTCTGGATTTTCTTTTTGCTTCCTATATTGCAGACTAGGTGCTACATTAGCAGATAACCTGGAAACACCAATGCATGCAGATAAAAAAGCCCCAAGGAAATACTGCTCTTTCTAGCCAAAGAGTCAGAGTCTTCATGTGTTTGTTTTATAAATAATGTCCAGAGTTTTTAGCTGTTCTTAGCAGGAGGAATAGAATACACCATCTTGCCCTGGAACTGGAAGCGTTGACTTGAATGTTAATCCCTGGTATTTGGCTGTTATGGATCATGTCACTCACAAGTATCATGTAGATGAATGATGTAAACCACTAAAAGCCCTGGGTACTCTGAAATAAGTTTAAAAGGCAGCAGAATTTAAATGCTATGAGTAAAAATTAAAATATCCTCAAAACTTTAAAAAATAAACTTTAAATATCACAAGTTTAGATTTCTTAATTTTAAAGACTTATTTATATTTAAAATATTAAAACCTGAGGTTAAAAGGAATCTGAAAAAAGTTATGTCTTAACAATGATACCTTACATTTTTAGGAGAATGACCTTATTTATGAGAAAGCCTTAGCCTAATAATCTAATTTCCATTTTACAGATAATAAAACTGAGATACAGAAGGTTAAATAATGTGACCAACTGTTAATAGTGCTGTCTAGGGCAAAGCCAGAATTTGATACCTGCACTTTTTTATTCTCTCATATACTTTGTACATTCACATCTCTGGGCCCTTGTCCCTATTTTTTTTTTCTTTACAATGGTCCCTACCTCATTTCCATCTCTGGAATTATCTTTGGAAAGGCTCTCCTTTTGTATCCTCTATCTTCGTTTTATGTAGAACCAAATGGGAATCCAAATACATAAAACCAATTGCTTTCTCTTCTTCGAAGCCAGGGCAATTTTTACATAATCGTTTTAGCATTTATCTCATGTTATTGTGGATACTTGTGCACATTATCCCACCATCACTACCATTGCAAACACAGATATACTAGACAGGGCCTTTATTTTTTTGAAAGTGTGCATTACTATGTAGTTGGTGGTGAACATTTGTGAATTGAATTACATTTAATATTTACTCCCAGTCAGGCCCTCATTTCACTCATGTATACTCTGAATATAGTGAATTCCACAATATTAGGTAAGTACAAATTACCTAATATTTCAAGAGACTGAGTCTCCTCAACAAAACTAATCCAAATACATCATTGAGCAAATATATGCTTTTCTTGATGATTTTGTTTCTTAAATGAAATTCTGAAAATTTAGGTATTTCCTCCAGATTAACATATAATCTTTTCTATCTTTTGCCAAATTAACTGATTTAAAGCAATTTTACCAAGTTTATATTATGTGAATTCTTTACTTGCATTATCCTTGTTAATCCTTACAACTCAATGGGAGATGCCCTATGGCAATTCTGTTTACGAGATTATTAGAGTTAGCAGAGGTTAAGTATGTGACTGTTGGGTTGTGAAATGATTGATTCAAATCCAGTCCTTTTGACTCTGGATGCAAGTCTTAACCATCTGAAGTTGTAGAAACTGTTGTCTGCCCTTTTTTTATTTTTTTGAGACAGGGTCAGCTAGGGTGGAGTGCAGTGGCATGATCATGGCTTACTGCAACCTCAACCTCCTGGGCTCAAGTGATCCTTCCACCTCAGACTCCCAAGCACCTGGAACTACAGGTGTGCACAACCGTGCCCAGCTTGCTTGCTTGCCTGCTTATTTACTTATTTACTTTTGAGACAGGGTTTCACTATTTTGCCCAGGCTGGTCTTGAACTCCAAGGCTCAAGTGATCCTCCCACCTTGGCCTCCCAAAGTGTTGGGATAACAGGTGTGAGTCACCATGCCCAGCCTCTAGTGCTTGACAGTTTCTAATGTGTATCTTTTGAAATTATGAGGAGGGGGGAGAGATTTGTGCTGGGAGAGTAAAGAAGGACTCTAGGTATATGGCACCTCTTCCTTGTCCAACCTCTTGTACTTGATTTTAATTCCTGTAGTTAGAGGAAAAGGGCCAGAAACTGAAGAAACTGTGTGGGAGAGACAGACATTGTGAGGCACTGAGGTCCAAATCAAAGCACTGGATTGATTTAACTCATTCATGTATTCAATAAATATTTATTGAGTACTTACTGTCAGTCAGGCCCTGTGCTACTTACATATGTTAACTTGGACTTGGGTAGAAGAGTTATCATGAAAATACCCCAAAACTTCCTTTGACCCCTCCAGTTGGAGAGATGAGTATATGTCTTGATGTTGTACAATGTGAGCTCTGCCCTTTCTGACCTTCTAATTTAAAAAAGTTAAACAGATTTGTATAAAAGACTTCTTTTTTTCCTCTCTGCCAAAAGTGACAAAGAAAATGTCTTCTGTGCTTTCCTGTTACTAGCATGGTTTTCTTTGTAGAGTTTAAGTGTTTATGCCAAGGGGACTGAGTTACGATGGATGGTGGATTCTCCATCTTACTTCCCATTATTGGAGAACCTTATTTAAAGGAGGTGGGATTTTATAAGCTGTTTGAAGTGTAAGAAAGAACATTTAGTGAGCTGTGAATTTATTTGTCTGACATGATGAAAAATGTATAACCTAATTTTAGATTTTGTTTTTTGATGATCGGTTTTCTTGTTTAAGGAATGTTAACATGAATATGTAAGAAATGTTCTATATTCATACATCAGGGTGTTTGTTTTTTTTTAACAAGTAATTATTGTCTTCCATTTATGATTAAAATACAGATTATTAGGGCTTTATACCTTGGTTAGATTTTATTCATCTTGGGAAGCATTTTCTCCTGTTAAAATATTAAAGTCTAGTCTGAAATATTTTCACAAACACAGGTGACTTTTTGAAGGTCGTGCTCTTGCTTCTGTGCATTTTCTTTTTGCATATTATACATCAGACTTCCAGGGATGGGTATGTTCTTTGTTGTTATGGAATATTATACATTTAAATCAAGTCTATTCATATCTATATGAGTTAAATACCTTAGTGGAAACCTTCCTGATATATTTCCTTTACAAATAAGAAACTTCACTATTTTGCTTATTACTCAAGATTTTATATCTTTAAGACCATTACAAAGCCTAATTTTGAGTATATACACATTGTTCTGCTTTCCAGAGACTTTAACAACAGTAGAATATGCTGCCATATTCAAGTATCAAACAGTTATTTGGATACTTTCAAAAATTACCTATAATTTTAAATATATTGCAAAATACAGGTAAACCTGTTATATACAGTTAAACTTGTTACTGATATTTTACTAACTGGAAGTTTTGTTTAACTTGCACTTTTTCCCCCTGATGTATAACTTCAGCCTCATGAATAAATATAGAATAGGACAGTTTATGTATTGTTGTCATTTCTGTTTCTAATGGTTTGGAGAGTAGGTGCAACATGTCATAATGGAGATTTTCATTAAGTGATTTCTATTTTATCAAGTACAATGATATAAATAAGTTAGTGCCCAGTAGTGTTCAAAATGTCAGCTCCATGTAGATAGAGAAAGGAAGTGTTTGTACATTGAATAGTGGGTAGCCCTTGTTAAGCGCATTGTATAGTATACGCATGGCATGCAGGTCTTCTGAAGGAATTGTCACAAGAACCCCCTTAGGTTGGTATCTCATTTTCACACTTTTCAGATAATAACTTCCTTAAGGTCACGTAGCTAGTAAGAAGTGGAGCTGGATTGCAACCTAGACACACATTCCAGTAATTTCATAGGGTTATATAAACTTAAATTTCCTTTTGAGATAAATAAAAGTTTAATATTACTGATTTTAAATTAATATAAGAATTATACTTAAAATGCTTCCATATTATGACCAGCCAGTTAAGAAAGGATATGAGAATGGGCAAAAGGATTCAGAAGAAATATGAGGAAAAGAGAACTAGTAAATGGAGGTAGAGTGACAGATGGAAATGGAGAAAAGGTGTGAGGACAACAAATGGCATGGAGAAGAAAAGGTATTCAGGAAGAGGCTGAAGAATAAAAACACAGAAAGCAAAGTTACATAGGTAGGAAAAGAACCATAGACAGTTCGAAAGTCTAAATACATTGCCTTTATCATAGCTGGCTTTTCCCTGGTTTTGTGAATTTTAGCATGCCTTTTGAAATACTAACTAGCTCTGCCACTGCTCAGAGCTCTTCCACTGTTCTTTATATGTTACCCTTCTGAGACTTAAGTTCATCTCATCCTTTATGATTAGAGGATTCAGAATTCAAATTGTATATACTATTTCTGGTTTTTCTATTTTTGTATATAACACATGATATAGCCACACAATCAACTTTTGGTAAGTGATCTGTATGGTAGATTTAATTTAGCCTTCAGTAATACTCTTGTACATTTCTTTTTTAGTCTTTAACCGTATCTGTTAATTTAAATATCTTATTTAGAAATGAAATACAGTTTGACAAAACGGAAGAAGGTTTCTTTACTTTCAGAGAGTTAAAACACTTAACCAAATGATTAATTGTTTTTTGATGAAATACCTACTAGGCTCACGTATAATCTTGGGAAGATTACTTTAACTTCTCTCTTTCTTCATTTGTAAAACAGAAATTGCACCTGCCTGTTGATCTCAGTGAGCTACTGTACAAATGTGTATGTGTGTGACAAAAAGTGCTTTCTAAACATTACTGCTATACACACCTATGGCTGTTACATTAGTAGATTACTTTTTGAATTACCTTTTTCATTAATTAAAGATGGAACAGTCAGAGAATAAGCTGTTTCATTTGGATTATCTCAATATTAAATTGCAATAAATAAAAGCAATATTAGTCAAAGAAATTTGGTCAGCAAATTGAAGGAAAGTGGTTAGGTCGTATTTAACTTATCATAGGTCTTTTTAATAGGGACAGATCTCTGTGTCATTAGTTGTAGACCAATGTCTTTCTCTTTCACAATACTTTAACACATAACTTATCAATCTCTTTTTATCAGCCAATCTGACTTTTCCAAATCCAGCCTAGCACTAAGCAAGATAGAATGAACAAAAATCAGGGAAGTTCAAATAAACAATCGAATTATCAGATTCTCGTTGGATGCTAATAGAGTTTTAAATAGTTAGAAAATGATTAGCTATGAATTCCAAAGCCCTTGTTGACAAAGGGTCAGTTTTTATAAAGCTGTGGTAAAATTTTAATGAGATTTAAAAATCATTCAGTGTATTATTAGCTACATAAAACTATTCTTAGTTCCTTTTTCATAAGTTTCACATGAACATTTTTGCTGAATTTTTTTAGATATAATAATGGTATTATGGTTATGATTTTTAAAGAGACTTATCTTTTATAGATATATTAAAATACTTAAATGTGTTTTGGAAGTAGATGAAGCTGACCATGAAACAAAGTGAGCCATGAATTCGTAACTGTTGAAGCTAAAAGACTGTTAAATGGAGGTTTATTTCACTATTTTTGTCAACTTTCATTTTTTGTTTTTGAAATTTCTTATAATTAAAAGCTAAAATATTTCACTGCTTTGTGCTTCTAGTTTGCTTGATGAAATAATTACATAGGACTAATTTAAAGTCAGAGTTATAGGCCAGACACAGTGGCTTACACCTATAATCCGAGCACTTTTGGAGGCTGAGGTGGGAGGGTTGCTTGAGATTAGGACTTTGACACCAACCTGGGCAACATATCAAAAACTCATCCCTACAATGACAACAACAACAACAACAACAACAACAACAACAACAACAACAACAACAAACTAGCCAGGCATGGTGGCACCTGCCTTTAGTCCTAGCTGCTTGGGAGGCTGAGGCAGGAGGATTGCTGGAGTCTAGGAGTTCCAGGTTACAATGAGCTATTTCTCTCTTATTGTACTATCTATATCTTGAAAAGTTGTTGTAGTTATTATTTTTGATCAGTTCATCTTTTAGTCTTTCTACTTAAGATACTAGTAGTTTACACACCACAATTACAGTATTATAATATTCTGTGTTTTTGTATGTACTTACCATTACAAGTGAGTTTTGTACCTTCAGATGATGTATTCTTGCTCATTAACATCCTTCTTTTTCAGATTTATAAACTCCCTTTAGCATTTCTTGTGGGACAGATCTAGTGTTGATGAAATCCCTCAGCTTTTGTCGGTCTGGGAAAGTCTTTATTCCTCCTTCATGTTCAAAGGATATTTTTGGTTAGATATACTATTCTAGGATAAAAGTTTTTTCCTTCAGTACTTTAAATATGTCATGCCACTCTCTCCTGGCCCATAAAGTTTCCACTGAAAAGTCTGTTACGGACGTATTGGAGCTCCATTGTGTGTTATTTGTTTTTTGTTTTTTGTTTTTTCTTCTCTTGTGGC
The DNA here is from genome assembly GCF_000001405.40 of Homo sapiens. NCBI lineage: Eukaryota > Metazoa > Chordata > Mammalia > Primates > Hominidae > Homo > Homo sapiens. Next base: position 108,241,748 of record NC_000005.10, on the reverse strand, counting down.
TTTTCGGAGCCTTTCTTTATCTTTGACCATTGTGAATTTGATTATTAAATGCCTTGTTCATTAAGGTAGTCTTTCTTCTTTGGGTTAAATCTGCTTGGTGTTCTATAATCTTTTTGTGCTTGAATATTGTTATCTTTCTCTAGGTTTGAGAAATTCTGTTATCCCTTTGAATAAACTTTCTACTGCTCTCTCTCTCTACTTCCTTTTAAAGGCAATAGCTCTTAGATTTGCCCTTTTGAGGCTATTTTCTAGATCTTGTAGGCATTCTTTATTCTTTTTTTTTCTTTGTTCCTTTGTTTCCCCTATGTATTTTCAAATAGCCTGTCTTCAAGCTCACTGATTCTCTGCTTGATCAATTCTGTTAAGAGACTCAGATGCATTCTTCAGTATGCCAATTGCATTTTTCAGCTCCAGAATTTCTGCTCAATTTAAAAAAATATATTTTAGTCTCTTTGTTAAACTTGTCTGATAAAATTCTGAATTCCTTCTCTGCGTTATCTTGAATTTCATTGAGTTTCCTCAGAACAGCTATTTTGAATTCTCTTTGAAAGGTCACGTATCTCTGTCTCACAAGGATTGATCACTGGTGCCTTATTTAGTTTGTTTGGTAATGTCATATTTTCCAGGATGGGCTTTTGGATGCTTGTGAATGTTCATTGGTGTCTGGGCATTAAAGAGGTATTTGTTATAGTCTTTGCAGTTTGGGCTTGTTCATACCCATCCTTCTTGGGAAGGCTTTCCAGCAATGCCGTGGCTCTTGCATAGAGGTGTACCGGCTTGGTGGTCTTGGATAAGATCTGGAAGAATTCTGTGAATTATCAGGCAGAGACTCTTAACTTTCTCCCAAACAAATGGAATCAATCTCTCTCTCTCTCTCTGTCTCTCTCCCTGCACTGAGCTACGTGGAGCTGGGGGAGGGGTGACACAAGCACCCTGTGACCACCACCATTGGGACTGTGCTGGGTGAGACCTGAACCAGAATAGCACTGGGTCTTGCCCAGGGGCTGCAGTATAATCACTGTCTGGCTACTGCCTGTGTTCAGTCAAGGCCCTAGTACTCTACAATCAGTAGATGGTCAAGCCATCCAGGCTTGTATCCTTCCCTTCAGGGTGGCAAGTTCCCCATGGTCCTGGGCACATCCAGAGATGACATCTGGTGTCTAGGGACTGGAATCAGAAACCTTAGGAACCTACTTGGTGTTCTATTCTACTGTGGTTGAGCTGGTACCCAAGCCACAAGATAGTTTTTCCCACTCTTCCTACCCCTTTCCATAAGAAGAGGAGTCTCTTCTCATGGCCACCACTACCACAGGCCCACAGGGAGTACTGCCTGGCTACCAATGATATTCATTCAAGGACCAAAGGCTCTTTAGTCAGCTTATGATGAGTGCTGCCAGGCCTAGGACTCACCTTCAGGGCAGTTGGCTTCTCTCTGGCTCAGGGTAGTTATAGAAATGCCATCCAAGAGCTAATGCCTGGAATCAGGGATGCCAATAGACCACTTGTTGCTCTACCCAACTGTGGCCTAACTGGTACCTAAGCTGCAAGATAAAGTCCTCTTTAATGTCTTCTTTTCTCAAGTAGAAGGAGTTTTTTTCCCTATAGCCACAACAGCTAGGAATGCTCTGAGACACACGTGAAGCCAGCACTTAAGTCTCACTTAAGGCCCATGGCAAGTAGTGCCTGGGTACTGCTTCTGATTATTCAGGCCCCAAGGGCTCTTTTTAGTCAGCAGATGATGAATCCTTCCAGGCCAAGGTCCTTCCCTTCAAGATGGCAGGTTCTTTTCTCGCTGAGGGTGTATCTAGACATGTCATCCAGGATCTAGGTCCTGGAATACGGGCCTCAGGACTCTGCCTGCTGCTCTACCTCACTGGGGCTGAGCTGGTACTCAAATTGCAAGACAAAGTCCTCTTTACTCTTCCCTCTCTTCAAGCGGAAGGAAGGAGTCTCTCCTGGAGCTGCAAGCTGTGCTGCCTAGGGGTGAGGAAGGGGTGGTACAAGCACTCCCTTGGTCCCCCAGCTCCCGCCAGGTGGTGTCTGCCTGAGTCATGTGCCCTTCAGTTTCGCTGGCTGTGAGCCCAGCACAAGACTTGCTTAGGAATTGCAGTCTTTGTGGCATAGACTGCCTTTCAAGTTTATTTAGAACCCCAGAGCACTTCAGCCCACAGTAGGAGGCTTGCCAAAACTCAGGTTTTGACTGCTGGGATGAGAATTCCCCTCTGGCTAGGGCAGGTATAAATGCTTCCTCCATAGGCGCCAGCGTAGTTCTGCCTGGTGTTGCTTTCCGCTATGACAGGGAAGCACTGAGTTCCAATGCAAGGTCACAGAGTCATGGCACTGTCTCTTCCCAAAGCACACAGATTCACTCCCTGTGCCTTGTGGCTGCTGCCAGGGGATGCAGAGGGGTGGTGTTGGCAATTCAAGTATGTCTTTTCAGCTGTCTTTAGTGCCTCTTTCGATGATATGAAGTTAAAACCAGATACTGTGATCACTCACCTGAGTTTTGGTTCTTAAAAAGGTGCTTTTTTATGTGGATAGTTGTTCAGTTTGGTGTTCCCGCAGGGAGGATAATTGCAGGCAGGTTCTACTCAGCCATCTTGCTCTGCCTCCTACAGTGAGGTATGATCGCGCTACTGTACTGCAGCCTGGGTGACAGTGTGTGACACTGTCTCTAAAAAAAAAATGTCAAAGTTATATTAGTACATATAAGTTCTTAAATTTTGTTTTCTCATGATTTCTAAAAGCAACATTTATTTATTTAAAAAGTAATATTTGTTATAGCTCTCTACTGAAATGATATCAGTCATATAATTACAACTTAAAATATTTGAGAAAAATATTTTGTACTAATTTACTGTAATTTTTAGTCATGTGTTTGGCTGCTTTCCACGTTAACCACACATGGAATTATGGCATATATAAAAAGTAACAGTTCAGCTGGGTGCAGTAGCTCACACCTGTAATCTGAAAACTTTGGGAGGCTGAGGCAGCTGGATTGCTTAAGTTCAAAACCAGCCTGGGCAACGTGGTGAAACCCTGTCTCTACAAAAAATGCAAAAAAAAGAATATTAGCCTGGCAAGGTGGTGCATGCCTGTGGTCCAAGCTACCGGAAAGGGTGAGGTGGGAGGATTACCGGAGCCTGGGAAGTGAAGGCTGCAGTGAGCTGTGATTGCACCACTGCACTTCAGCCTGGGTGACAGAATGAGACCCTGTTCCCCCAAAATAAGTAAATAAAAATTAAAAAGTCACAATTCATTGACTAATGCAAATGACCATTTTAATACAGTGATCACACTTGAAATAGATGTTTAACATGTGCCCTTCTTACTAAATTGTAAGCTCCAAGAGGGTAGCCTGTCTTTCTTAATCATTGTATATAGCAAGGTACTTAGCGCATAACACGAACTCAGTAAATATTGTTGTCTTGACTGTGGTTTAAAAGAAAAGTACTTTAAATAATCTGCTTTTAGATTTCTTTTAAAAATTTACTAGATATGAAGTTTTCATTAAATGAAGAGCACAGTGATGAGTCTTACTGAAATGATTTATAAAGTGAATCCATACGAAGTATTCTGTCACCATTTTTAGCTGTTATGTGACAAGTGCCAATGTGTTCTCTGTTTTTGTATTACTGTTTCAAATAAGAAGGCTTCCTGGTGCATTAATAGTAGGTATACATACTGTACCCTGTAAAAGATGTAAATACATAAAAGCAAAGGAAGGTAAAGATAAAAGATAATTTTCACATGGATTTTGAAGAGTTGAGTAAACAAATGGAAAAATTTTCTTGCGTTCCATTTTTAAGGCTTCTAATAAGTATAATTTATATTTTTTGTGAATTTAAATAAATTTCTTTCATTTGGTATTTCTGTCATCACAGTACTTTATGTACTCTGTAGAGCATCAGATATGGATGTTTACTGACTTTGGCATGTGGCTAGGCCTAACTAAGGTGCCCTGGGGTGTGATATGTTATCATCTTCTGGGTACATGGGGCTTGTTGCATCCATAGCCTCCTGGCCAGCCTCCTTGAGGCCGAAATATTCCTTTAGTTGGTCTTGTGTATACCTGCTGGACTTTGAAGTACAACTTTCTCTTTATTACCCTGCACTTAAAGCCCTTAATGAATGACTCCATCAGTCATGGACCTGCAATCTGTTGGAACTCAAGGGGATATTAAAGTCCATTAAGCTCATATGTCTCTATATTGCTAATAAAATAGACTCCTTCAGTATAAAGTCACAACCATTCTGCTGGCTTTCGGTCTCCCATAATCTTGTTCTCTCTTCAAACTTGCTTTTGGTTCTAGTCAGAAGTCCTTGGGAAACTGAACTGAACCGAACTGGGATGCAAGCTGCAGATTAAAATATTCCCAGAGATCTCACTGGTAGTTGTGGGAGCTAGGACTCTTCACATCCCAACCTATTACCTCTGCTCTTGGAGGCAGAGACTGTACCTCATCTTCATACAGCATCAGCACTTAACATGAAGTGTTGTGCATGTAGTAGGTGCTTGTATATTTGTTGAATTAAAGGGATTTAGGAGTCTGAGTATACCTAAGTGAAATAAACCCTTCATTAGACACACTATAAATGTGTCTTTATTATTTCAAAGATAATGTTGACTCAGTGGACTAGGGTAGCTGTTCAGGATTGGAGTATATTCTCTTATGGTTCCCTAAACCAGTAACCTGTCCCAATGCCCACCGTTGCTGTCTTTTTTTACCACCTACTACATGGCAGAGAGGATAGTCAGACAACCAAACTATTCCACAGACTCCTAACCCGAATCTATATGACTGTTTTAGACTGGTAAATCTCATTGGAACAGATGGAAATAATTTCCCTTTCCTGTATAAGCTTAGTCAGGGCAGAGCCTAGTCTAAGGAGATTACTTTATGCTGGCTTTCTTTTGCATTCAGAAGATGAGGGTACCCTATGGGCCCACTGACTACTTGGCCTGCAAGAGATGAAAAAATTAATCAACGATTGGTATTTCTCCCGGAAAATGACCCAGAAATTAGCCTTGCTATGCTGTGGGTCTCTGTTTTGCTCTTTTTCATTGAGGGTGGAAAGAAGGTCTTGAATTGGTCTTGAGGTCTCAAGTGAGATTAGTTGTTCACCCCTGGTAATTCTTCCACATTGTCATTGATATTTGTTTGTTTGCTTTTTGTTTTTGTTTGTTTGTTTTTGTTTTGTGTTTTTTTGGTTGTTGTTGTTGGTTTTTTTTTTTTAGACAGAGTCTTGCTCTGTCACCCAGGCTGGAGGGCAATAGCGTGATCTCTGCTCACTGCAACCTCCACTTCCCAGGCTCAAGTGATTCTCCTGCCTCAGCCTCCTGAGTAGCTGGGATTACAGGCGCCTGCCACCACGCCCGGCTAATTTTTTGTACTTTTAGTAGAGACAGGGTTTCATCATGTTGGCCAGGTTGGTTTTGAACTCCTGACCTCAAATGATCCTCCTGCCTTGGCCTTCCAAAGTGCTGGGATTACAGGCATGAGCCACCCTGCCTGGCCTGTTTGCTTGTTTTTTTTAAGAGACAGGGTCTCACTCTGTCACCCAGGCTGGAGTGCAGCAGTATGGTCCAAGCTCACTGCAGCCTCGACCTCTGGGCTCAAGTGATTCTACTGCCTCAGCATCCCAAGTAGCTGGGACTACAGGCATGTGCCACTAATCCCACATTGGTTTTTCAGTTCACTTCAGACATATTGAAGAATCAAAGTATTGCTATTGATTTTTTTGGAAATTCTCTCCTTAGCTTTGTGAAGCCATTTATCTAATTCTTAGCCACTACTTGTGTGTGCCACATGGAACCAATAAAATCAATAGTTCTGTTTTTCTTTGCATCAAAAAATGTATTTCTTCAGTATTGAACCAGCAAGCCATTGGCATGCATCAAAAAGATACTTCATTCATTCATTTTAATTTCTGGAGCTTCTGTTGTACGTGGGACACTGTATCAAACTCTAGGGCTAGAGTAGTGAACAGGATAAATGGAAAGATCATCACAAAGTGATCAAGGAGAGGGGATAGTGGGATGAAATGAATTAGATGAGATGGGATCAGATCATGCGGGGCCTTATAGGTTATAAAAGGAGTTTGGATTTTATTTTAAGAGTACCACTGGAGGATTTTGAATAGCAGACTGACATGATCTGATGATTTGTGCTTCTTGAAAGATCACTCTGACTTGATGAGTGGAAAATAGATTGGTGGCATCAAGAATGGCAGAAGGAGGTCCATTGTGTAGGTTATTCCAAATATCCCGGAAAAGAATGACATATCTTTGGCCATGGTGGGGGCAGTAGAAATGGGCAAAGAGATAACCACAATGTATATTCTAGGCCATCTTTACAGTGCTAGTATAACGATGGGTCCAGTTAGCCATTGTTACGAGATTTAGTCATGAGACTTTCTGGATCGATTCCATAAGAATCATTAAGAGAAGGATTAGAAGTATATGTTTTCAGGCTCTGAATTAGTAGTCTGGGGTGAAGTCTAGGAAAATTTTTTAGTTTCTAATTAAGATCAAGAAATACTGTTATATTGTTTGGTACATGCATGTAGAATTACACAGATTAACTCTATAATCCGGCAGTATTAAAATGTCCAAAGATTCATTCCACCTTTTTAGAATTAGTACACCAAATTCCTTTTCATCCCAGATATGCTAGCAATTATTCCCAAAATATCTTTCAGCACAGATTACAAAATTATTTCATTGAATCAATCTTATTCTGATAAAGATAGATCTGTCTTCCTATAGTCCAAGAAAACTTCAAGTCTTAAAATAAGACTACATTGCATCTCTTTATTTAGAATCTTGAAATTTATAGAAGAGCTTTCCCTGTCCTTACTTTTTTTTCTTTGTTAATTTTAATCCTTTCTAGATAAAACTGCTTCCTTGGATTCCAGTTACTACTTTTATGGTTTTATAA